>NC_000015.10:98789054-99427481 GCF_000001405.40 Homo sapiens
TAGGCTTATGGCTCAGTTTACTTGTTCCAGCTCACTTTCCTGTTCATTTACCTTCTTGTAAAATGGAAAGACAAACATACCTTAAACTTAACTCAGATCGTGATTGCCAACTTTGTTCTCTGTGTGTAAGTAGTTATATTATTCCTAGGTTATGGCATCTTGATTTATCTTTGAAAGAAGAAAACCCTCACTGAGTTGACAGGGACACATTGTTCTAGGCTTCTACAATTGTGCTGATGACGCTTTTTCCCATTGGAATGACAGGGATGATAAGGTCGGCTGGCTAGCCTTTTTTTAAAATGTAGAAAACCACAACTTTAATTTATAGCATCATCATTTTCCTTATGTATGTAGTATGTTTCAAAAATAATCCAATGTCAGATTCTTGCTTCTGTGATCAAGGTCTTGTTTTTGCCCTTTCTTTGCTCACCACCTCCCTGCCCCTGACGCCGAGTCCTCGCCTTAGAGGAGGTGGTCAGCTTATATTGCAACATTGAAAATGTTATACCTTACAAAGAAGGTGATATGCCATTTCTTAATTATAATGATGTGCAACAGTGACTTCTGATGTAGACCTTTAACATTGGGCCACGCAGCTTTTTCTTTGGAGGAGGGGCATTTCAAATTGGATGATGCTCTTATAGTTTAATAAAGAAACAAGCAAACAAAATAGGCTATACAGGGCATGTGTTCTTAAACTCTGTGACAGTGGAGGTGAACCCAGGGCCCTTTCATGGCCTTGGGAGGGTCCTCAGCTTTGGGGGCGAGTTATCTGGGTGGAAAAGCACCATGGGAGGAAGAAGTCAGAGAGGCGGGTTGCTGGAGCTCAGAGAATAAAAGCAAGTCTCTGCCCTGAAAATGGCCCTGATTTGCTTCAGATGTACTCTGTCTGCCAACATTTAGTGTCTGTGACTTAGCCAAAGGAAATGTACATTAACTGTTCAGTTTCTATGTAGTTTGTGCTCTAGGATTTTGCCTCCGGAGGATTTCTGTGAAGGAAGCTCTGTTCAAGTGGCTCTGTTCCACTTGGGTTTGGAAAGAGGCCGGGACAGGTGATTTCGAAGGAAGGATGAGGACAATGGAGGAGATGGGCTTGGTCATTGCAGTGTGTGAGGTGGCCCAGCTTATCTGGCATTTTGGGGTACTATATGTGCCATATGAGGTGGGTATGGGTGTTTGAAGGGAAAGGGGGTGGCCTGGGCAACTTGTGTCCTTGCCTAGAAAGATCATCACTCTTTTTATTTAAAAGAAACATGTGAAAGAGCCATCAGGGATAGTTTTGTCCTCCCTCTTCTTACAAGTGATCATTCCCTTGGTAGGGCAGTGCCAGACCCTGCTTGTGAGCACAGAAAACGCCATAAGCTCCTCATGAAAGCATGTCTGGGGAAGCTTATCTCAAATGCAGTTTGCACTTGCAAAGGTCCTGTGGTATAGCGGGGGAGCAGGGGAGATGGAGTCTGGGAGCGGTGAAGGCTGGGTCACTAGCTGGCTTTGTAGCCTCTGGGCGTGTTGTTTTTATCCTCAGAGGGGCCACTGCACCTGCTCCATGGTCTCTTCCCACAGCAGACCCTTCTGTCTCTGTGCCTCGAGGGGCTATGTGGAAAGCAGAGAAAGACTCAACCAGAGTCTTCCCTTAAGGAAATCGGAAGGAAAACAAAATTAACGGCATTAGAACTGAGTATGTATTAAAACTTCTACTGTCTTACAAAATTTAGTTTTCTTTCTTATTTTTCTTTCCATGTTGACTCAGTAGGTAAATGGACTAAACACACATTCATTTAGGGCAGGAAGAACTTCATCATTTGATTACCTTTAGTTCATTTACCTTATAATGCCTAAAACAAAGCAGAAAGTGACGTTGGTTAATCAAAAAGATCACTTTCTTTTTTGTGTTCTTTTGTGCTATTGTGAGATGCCTCTTCTCCAGCAAGCTGTAGTTGTTCACAAAGTAAAGCTGTTCCTAAGCCTTCATTAGATTGAAGCTTGTCCCAGACTTTCTTTAAAGAAGTTTGCATAGCTTAGTTCATGCTCAGATGATTCAGTGATGATGATGGGTTGTTGGTTAGAAATTACTTAAAAATGCCTAATACATTATTGACTGATAAATGTTAAGACATATTCTTTAAGGGTCTAAATCCTATTCTTGTGGAGCTGCAAAGATCTTGGGGGTGTGGTTGCCCTTGTCTGTTGCATCATCTTTCAAATGCAACAGCTGTAATGATATTCTGTATCTTGAAAAACTTAAAAAAGCAACAACTAACTTATTTGTATCTTTTCCTCTAATATTTAGTTTTTACTTCACTTGTAACTTATTACATGTATTAAGGAGTTTATTTTTATATGACATTTTACTCATAAAAGGATGAAACCAAGATTGGTGATCTGTTCACATAGATTAAAATCCTGTTTGTGACCACTTAGGTGTGTAATGTGTGACTTGTGGACTGTGTCAGAGGAAGATTTTCCAACCAAAAGTACCCATTGGTATCACAGATGAAAAGTCCTTATACCATCTGAAAAAAAGTAGAAGGTGGGGAGAAGCTTGAAAACCTAAGGAGGCCATTAGGAAAGGCTGTATATTTTCTGATTCCGTTTAAAATTTTAAGTTGGTGAAAATACTATGTGATCGAAGGATGAACATATTTTAGTAAATAGAGTTATAGTGCTACAATGAGATAAATTTCACAGGTAAATGTGACGTAGCTAATGCATAATCATTCTTTGTGTTGCATGGCAATTCTGTACAAATGGAAGGTAGCATGTTTAACGTTCCTGTTATTTCACATAAATACAGACTGAGAGTTTCAGTGGTCTGGTTTGAAAGGGAAGAAATAGAAGAAGGAAGGAGAGAAGTTGGCAGAGGAGCAATCTGCTCTAATATCCTCCAGTACACAATCTAGCTATAGGTCCTCACCTGGCAGGGTTTGAGGATCAGAATGGTGGCTCAGGTTTAGACAATTCTCCCTGTTTGTGGGGCCCAGCAGCTAGTTAAGAGAAAAATCTTTTTTCCTTCCCTATTACCCTATAAGGTCCCCAAATTCATTGTATGTAGAATACTTGAGTCAGAATAACTTTCCTAACACTTAGGTTTCAGGTTTGTTAGGTATGCCTGACAGCTCTCTTATCAACTCCCATTTATTTGCTAATCTAAATGAAAGTTTGATGGTAGAGTATTGTAAATGTAGGGAAGGTGAAGTGTTCACCTTCAGATGGTAGCTATTTATCTCAGCAAGAAGAGCAGATGACTAACACCCAAATACATAACCATTATTATATAACTTAGCATTTATAAGGCATTTCTATGCATCCTGAGAGACTAGAGCACTCTCAAATGAGGTTTCAGAGTAAGATTAATCTTTGCAAATGAAGACAAATTAGCAAAATCTTCCTATTTTTAAAGTGTGCCTTTTGATTTGATACCTATTTATTTGTTTGGAAAGAAGCTTTTAAAATCAAAACCATGAATCTGTGGTTATCTTCAAAGGATAAATTATGGTAGGTGGTTGTTACCCAGGTTACCATTTTAAGATGATTATGGCTGGCCCAAATTAGGGGATCTTTTCATATATGTATTATATATTTTAACTTCAGTCTTTTAAAAATGAATATTCCTAGGTGGCATGGGAGGGTGGGAAGGTCAAAAGCCCAAACTTCTCTTACTTATTGGCTGCTTCCTTGAACTTAGCGTTTTTCTTTTGGAAAAGTGAGCTTTTGTTTTTGGATATTTTGTACTGATACTCTGTGCCTACACAGATTTTGTTTTGGTTCAATAAGAGTTGATATTTTGCCAGGGGTTGCCTCCCATGAGATTCCAAATACAGATGTAAGTTTAACAGGCTTCTGAACTGGATGTTTCTATGCGCTGAAACTCTGTAAACGCGTGTAGCTTTGTCTACCATTGTATATTGCTGTATTGATTTGTTGGGTTGTTTTTTTTCTTCCTCCTGAAAAGCTCTGGTCTGTCCTCTGCTGATACAAAGACTGGTCCATTCCCCAGGGTCACTGCAAGAGAACCTCCAGGGCCTGGCCACTGTTAGATATTACTAATCTGTGAAGTTGCTCCAAATTCTCTTGCCCCGATCATAAAGTTCCATTGAGTTCAATTTTATGTGAAGGTTCTTTGTCAAAAGGAATAAATGTTTATTCAACAGATCCAGTTGTTGTCAGCATTGACAGATGTGAAAATTAGCAAATAGCAAGAAGTCTCCCCTTTAGAAAAGGAAAACAAGTACTTAAAAAAAATCTTGTGTTGTCAATAAACAAGTCCATTTTAAAAGCATCTTTGAAGGTGTGTAATGAAAATGGAGGCCTTAGGTTGTATCAGGGTTTATGAGGAGCCAGCTTATATGTAATCAGATGTTCCTGTTACTGTTATCACTGTAGTATAGGGCTTAGTTCTGCCCTTTAAGTCACAGACTCAAGTTACTCCTGATTTTACCAGCAGTCAGAATACATTTTTCTTTAAAAGGAAAAGAGACGATATCCCAGTGCTTCTCTATACTAAAACAGGAAGAGAAGCTTCCTTGTTGAAGTGACAGTTTAGATGTTGTTATTTTGACAGAAATATTAGTAAATATGTCACATTATCCCTTGCTAAATATTTATAGCATAGAACGTATACTCTGATGCATAATATTTTATGAAAGAAATATCTTTTGCCTCAAATCCCTTTCACTGTTTTGACATGAATCTATAATTTATACCCAGAGGTCTGCAGGAAAAAGACTTTATTAAGACCCTTTTATTTCAGCCAAGATAAAACTCCATCCTAAGAGGGAACACCCTGGAATCTTTGAGACCCTTAAAGGTGGGGTATTCTGAAATACCTGTGTTCGTTCCTTTGCTAGAATTTAGATAGCTTCACTTTTGCAAAAAGGCACAAAATGAGGGCAATTTTTGATGGAAAATTTTAGTTTTTGAGATGAAGCAGGGGGCACAGTGGCGAAGCGCCCTATCTTAGCACTTAGGTAGCAGCCGTAACAAGTGTCCTGGGTATTCCTCCCTAGAAAGGAAATGTTGGTCACAAATGGCAGTGTCCTCTGCATTCAGTTCAGCTATGTGACTGAAAGACACTGTTCTTCAGCAGCTGTGAGTTTACAAGATGTCGCACATTGAGTATTTTTCTCTAGCTTATTTAGAAACGCCAGTCTAGACTTCCGCAGTTTTGGATTCGTGGCCATAGTTTTGGCCTTTATTAGATGGCCCTCAAAGGTACTTTTCAGGTGGACATTGATTTCATGCCAGCTGTCAGAGATGATTTTCCCTAGAAATGGCTGGGTATATGGAGACATTCTGTATTAGAATGGAGGTATACACC
The DNA here is from genome assembly GCF_000001405.40 of Homo sapiens. Classification (NCBI taxonomy): domain Eukaryota; kingdom Metazoa; phylum Chordata; class Mammalia; order Primates; family Hominidae; genus Homo; species Homo sapiens. The sequence continues at coordinate 98,794,372 of NC_000015.10, forward strand.
CATCTCTTCTGTATTAGAGAGCAGGTGTTGCCCCCCGTGGTGCTCAGATTGCTTAGTGTGAGAAGGAAAAGACCAGTGATAAGAGGAGGAAAACTGCGCCTTCCATGTAGCTCAGTTAACAGCATCATGATTCTCCAGGATGGCCCCATTTCTGTTTTTATTTACAAAATGGACTTGAGAATTAATTAGTAAGCAAACTGTCTCCATTAGGTAAGTGGCATTCTGATTTGTCTGTGTAAAGTTCCATTTCCCAAGTAATGTGTTCCAAAGCATTTTTATGTACAACTACTGGAAACTGCTGTACAAATGTTTGCTGCTATTTGGTTGTAACAAAATCAGTAATGAGTTTCAAAATGGAATAATTTCAGAGCCCTTCATCTACAGTAGTTTGGGAAACACTTGAAATACCAAGTGATCTGAATTCACTACAAGCTCTCCAACTGGAAAATGTGCCTGGTGTCGTCTTCAAGCAAGAATCCCCCGCCCCTTAACCACTGCTGCTGTGGACTTGAGTCTTCAACCTTGTTTTGTAGACTTTAGCATTTGTATTGTGTCATCCTTGACACCTCCCCAACCCCAGCCTTCCCAGCTTTGATTGCTTACCTTAGCAATGCTCTCAGCTTGGACCAGAAGGCACGGATGTTTCCCTGACCTTAACCTCACTGTGTATCAGCTCAAGGAAGAAGCCAGATTTGCTGATGTTGTAAGCACTAAATTATGTTCATAACATTTAACCCTCACATCCATAAGCAAACTAAGTGGGAAAATATTGACTATTGTAGCAGTCATAGATTGTTTAGGAAGCAGCAAAAAGGCAAATTTTTCTTTAAAGTTCAAAATGGGGCGAAAGAGGGTAGGAAAGGAAAAGTTTATTAAGAAAATTGTATACTACATTAATTTGACTTTGCCGTCTAGACTTAAATTAAATTCATGTATTTTTTTGGTCTTAACACATTGACATGTATCAGTAAGTTAAAAACTTAAAAATACACAAATGATTAGATTAGCATTATTATGTGTTTCTTTCTTGTTTTTTGTTTTGTTTTGTTTTGTTTTGTTTTGAGATGGAGTCTCACTCTGTTGCCCAGGCTGGAGTGCAGTGGCATGATCTCGGCTCACTGCAAGCTCCGCCTCCTGGGTTCATGCCATTCTCCTGCCTCAGCCTCCCGAGCAGCTGGGACTGCAGGCACCCGCAACCACCCCTGGTTAATTTTTTTTGTATTTTTAGTAGAGACAGGGTTTCACTGTGTTAGCCAGGATGGTCTTGATCTCCTGACCTCGTGATCCACCTGTCTCGGCCTCCCAACGTGCTGGGATTACAGTCATGAGCCACTGCGCCTATTATGTGTTTCTTATAGAAAATCTCTCTAATTTTTTAATAAGCATGTTTTTACAAATGCTGTTTCCTGAGAACTGTCGCACCACATGCGACATGCCATGCATGCGACTGGAACATGCCAGATATTTGTGGGTGGTCCCTTCGTGTCACCTGTGCCTTCTTACCAAGTAATTTGAAACACCCGTGTAAACTACCTTTGGCAAATAGGATAGCTAAATCACCGCTAAGATTTATAATTTACTTTTTGGATATCTGAAACATCAACAATACAGCCATCCATGGCGTGTTCCTCTGGAGTGTGGTCCGTGCCGTCTCTGCCTGCTCCATCTGGCTGATCCCAGGCAGGCAGCTCAGCTCTCAGCAGACACAGATCCCCAGCACATATGAACGTGAAAGAGGCTTCTCCGTGGGAGCGAAGTGGCCAGCAGGTGTCACAGGCTGTGTGGGCCCAGCATCGTGTGGGCACTGTGCTGGGGGAATCCCATCACAGCATGTGCTGGCGTTAGTAGTAGACTGTGTGTGTCTCAGAGGGTCCAGAAAGTAATACAGTAAAGGCGCCTGGGGGTGTGTGGGGGTGGTTGGTTGGGGTTTGCTTGTTAGTTTGTTGTAAAAGCCCAGCTTTTCATTCTTGGAAAGATTTCAGCCAACTCGAGAGGGTTACCTGCCAGGAATGCTGCAGAAGCAAGAACTCAGTGGGTGAGCACTTCCATTTCTTCAACAAATGCTTCTGAGTCCCTGACCTGTGCCAGGTGCTCTTCTTGAGCTGAGAATCCTGCAGGGAGAAAAGAGATAAAGACCCCATAGTCCTGTGGTTTACCTTCTAATGAGCATACTTTTGTCGATCAAACAGGGTGACCTCTCTGGTGTCTCTGCACACTACCTGTATGGTCTTTGCGTAGCTGATGGGGTCTCCTGACTAGTGATTGGTGATTTTAATCTGGATTTTGCCACAGCACTTATTTTCTAACATATGACTTAATTTACTTAATAATTGTGTCTATTGAATGTATTCTTATACATACACACAGGCATGCACACACGGACACGAATATAAGCTTTACAAGGACAGAAACCTTATCTTTTATTTATTTCTTCCTTGTGTATCCTGAGCACTGAGAACAGCCTGGCACAAAGCAGGGCTCAGGAAATGTTTGCTGAATGCATGTTCACACTGGATGTGTTCGAAGGCTCTCACTCGCGACTCCTGTTGGCTTGTGGAGAGTGCATCTAGCTGTAAAAGCCATGGTGCTTGGATGTCTTGGGGTGCTGAGCCTGTTCCCCCCTCATTTGGGGGTGTGGTGCTATGCTGGCGTTTGGGTCCATGCCCCGCATTTCTGATGGCTGCCCCATCTGCCCTGTGTGGGGTGGCAGAGTTCTGTGTACACAGAGTTACATTTCGTTGTTCCTGGCTTCTCTATGGATGACAGCAGCACTGATAAATGCCACACCTGCTTTCTCAGCAGTCTTGCGGGGTGATTTTTCCTCTTAAGGAAGTCACCTGATGTCCATGCTGAGTAGGAAATGCATCCAAAGCTTTGGGAGCTCAGTGTTGGCCCCTGGGCTGCAGCCCGAGCCCCGTTTTAGAGCTGTGTCTCCCAGGCAGCTGTGATGACTGCTCGAAAGCCCACTCAGGGGGAAGGTAAACCTGATGCCCGGGTGTTTGGACAGTGAGCATGGCGAGTGGACCGTTACCTGTGCATAGAGTTGTTCATATGTGGTGACAGATGTTGGGCTGTTATTTAGTAACTTCAAATTGTTTTTCTTTGCGTCGGAGCCATGTCTAGGTTCTGAGTGCTTCTCCCAGGTCAGATGGAGAGCTCTTCATTTGGGGTTGGGGGAGCGGGGTGGTGTTTTCAGGTGCCCAAGGCATTCCATGCACATGCACCTGCAGGGTATGTGTCATCTGGGGTAAGACAGAGCCCTCCCGGTTCCTCTTCTGGATGTGTGCTTTTAGTTTTTAAAGAATGTCAGTATATACATTGCCATTTATTCAACAAATACGGACTGAGCATTCTGTTGTGCTGACGTAGCTACTTGGGGTTACAGAGACAAAGCCAACTCCATTCTCCAAATGGAAAACAAATGGAAACATTCTAGTGGTAGAAACAGACAACAAACAAGTAGACAGAAAATAATGTCAGACAGTGGTAAGTGCTATGAAAAAAATACAGACTCACTGATTGTGATGGAGACTTTTAAGTTGGATTCTCATAGAAGGCCTTTCTGAAGAGGGGACATTTGCCCTGCCACTGTGAATCAGCCATGAGAAGACGTGGAGAGGAACATGAGGTGGTAGGCCCCAGCGAGGGAAAGATCTCCATGATGGCATCGATTATTCGCTCCACAAATATTATTGAGCACCTGCTGTGTGCCAGGCACTGTTCCTGGTGTCAGGGTTATAGAAGTGGACAAAATGAGGCCTCTGCCTCTGTGGAGCTTTTATTAAAGTAGGGAAGGGGATGGGAGGGCTGGGTCACATGTTAGGTGTGGGGTACAGGGTACGTGGTGCCAGGCAGGTATCCGGGTACCTTTTTACGTAGGGTATTCAGAGAAGGTCTCTAGAGAGGTGACATTTGGACGAAGACCTAAAGGAAAGGGAAGGGAAAGGCGAGGAGCTTGGAGAGCTTGGTGCATCTTGGTGGGGGATGGGGTAAACTGAGTCAGTTATGTAGGGCCCTGGAGGCCACGGTGAGGACTTCGGCTTTGACTCTGAAAGGAGATGGCAGAGTTTGGAGCTGGTGTGTACGTTAACAGGACCATGCTGGCAGCTGCGTTAAGAGAGACTGTAAGGGCAAGGACAGAAGTAGAGAGACCAGTAGGAGTAGGCTGTTGCCCCAGTGTAGGGCAGAGAAGATGAACCTTAGACCAGGATGGTGGAGATGGTCAGTGGAGAGAAGTAGTCAGAGTCTGGAAGCACCAGCAAGACTGTCTGGTGCACACAGGATGCACGTGGGATGTCCAGTGAGGAGGATGAGATGAGGTTGGGTGGCTGGAGCCTGGTGAGTGACAGGCAGAGAGGGCTATTAGATCACATGGGCCCTGGAGCCATGGTGAAGAATTTGGATTTTGTTCTCTGTGTTGGAAAGTTAGCAGAGAGCTTATATGGGGGGTGAGATGGCATAGGGACAATGTTAATAACAGCAACGAATATTTATTGAGCACTTACTGTGTACCAGCTGTTGCAACAGCCTCTCAAGGGTTCGTTCTGCTATTAGAGCCATGTTATAAATGAAGAAACTGAGGCACAGAGAGGTTAGCTAACTTGTCCAAGATCACACAGTTAGGGACAAACTTGACAGAATTATGTGTGTCCTGGTATGTATTTCAGTTTTCTTTAGGGAAGGTACCACAACTTTGGGTAACTATGCCCCTACCCCAGGATTTAAGATGTTTTGATGGTTGAAGGGCGATGTTTAAGAGTGGGACCAGAGAATATTGAGGTATTAAAATCTCACTAAATCTGTATTCATTATATCTGTATTCATGGTATAATTCATGTGCCTCCCCCTTTCGTGAGCCCCTCAAACATGATCATGGATATGTTTTCTCCACCCGTAAAGTACGTTCATATTCATAGAAAACCCACAGAGAACTGCAGACCTGAAGGTTTCTTTGTAAGAGCTTTCATTGGATAGCTAGAAGGGCTGCAGTAAGTTTAAAAAAAAAAAAACCCAAACCACCCTGGATTCCAGGCTGCACAGCCTCTAGGAGGTGTGGGTAATCCCTTTATAAAGCTTGGCATAATTTCTGTTAAGACTTGCTTATTTTGCTCTCAGCTTGCTATCTTGATATGTTTGCCTTTGAGGAGGTTAGAGTTATTGTGATTTAATCACAGACCATGTATTTCGCAAGATTCATTTGGTATCTCCAGCTTGTTTTCTTGTTTCCTCGGCTGTCAGTCCACAGGCAGAGGTGGGAGGCGGCCGGCATGGGGGACCGAGTGTGGTAGAAAGGAGTGTTTACTTAGCGGAGGGGAGTGCTGAGGGCTGCTGTTACCTTCCCAGAATGGCTGATCCCCAGCAGTGATGAGCAGGCTGGGATCGTGGTGTTAAATTTGGTATTTTCTAGAAATATATAGCAGGCTTTCCCCTCCACCTGCCCCCCTTCAAGGTTTCGAAGCCTTGTGTTTTGCAAGAGTTGAGAGGGGAACAGTTAATAGCTTGGATTATCTTGTCTCTGGAGAGAATTTATGTATCAATTCACCGGAAGACTGCTCTGGTATTAGGGCAACAAGAATGGTTTTATTTCTCCCTTCCTTTCCTGCACTCTGTTCTTATGTAATTCTTGTATTAAAACCATTCCTGGTAAATTAGAACATGCTCTTGTATTTGGGCCCTGCTTTGAAGAAGGCTGCTGAGTCTAAAAAGTTTGGTAGCCTCTCGTTTCTCATGGTGATTTCTGAGATTTCTAGGGACTTGGTGTTTTACAGAGCTTGTTGAGTTGCACAAACCAGCCTCCTTGGCCCTTCTAGGTGATAAAAGATGCTGGGCTGGGAGGGCAGCTGTGGAAAAGGGTGTGGGCGAGGGAGACAGTGCTTCATCCTGCCTGGATGAAGCATGTTGGTTGTTGGTTTATTCATAAATTAGAAAAATATATTAAGAATTGAAGTTGTTCCTTATCTCATAAGATTTCTAGCAGGCTGCATAAAGTCTGTAGATGGTAATATCCATTTAAAAGTGGACAATGAAAAAATTACCTCTTTGGGAGTTGTGTTGCTATCTCTACCCCAATTTGGCAATCTTTAATTAACTTGGCAACCCCCGTTTTACCAACAAAGAACAACCTTTGATTAAAAAAAAATAAAATGTCAGGGAGTGAAAGATACGGAGTGTGACTCAGCAGATGGGAATTCCTTTAATAACACGCTGGGTGTTAGCGTTAGAACCGCCACTGAACAGCTCTGCAGGATGCCCTCCCAGCCCTCCCTCCACCTATTTGGATTAGACCAGGAGACTGCAGCAAACTTCTCAAGGGGAGGCGAACTTGGTGTTGGTATCTGAGCGATTGTCTGTTTCAATTGTTTCCCTCTGTCTTGGAAAACACCGGCACAAAACACAAATCCAGTCCCAGTTCCTGCAGCTGCTGGGGCGAAGCAGGCTTTTTATGAATGAGGCCCAGAAGGGGGAGGAGAGGGCTTGTGTTACAGCAGCAGTTGGGTAATACATTTCATTCACTTGCAGCCATCTAGCCCAGGCTTCATTTTAAAGGATATTGTTCATTTTTGGCAATTCAGATTAGACTTTTTTTCTTCCTTGTGCAACTGTTGGTAAGTTAGAACACGAAGCATGTGTGTGCATTCTTTTTGCTTGCTTTTTTGAGTGTTTGCTCCTTTAGTTGGGATAAATGGTAGGAGAGGTAGGAAGGCTTTGTCATCCCCGGGGACCTTGCTTACTTCTCCCTCCCAGCACCACTTAAGAGAAGAGGAGGTGGCCTCCCTCTCCCCAACCTCAGAGCCCTCAAAGCCCTTGATAGTGAGCCTGAGCACTTGTTAGGAGGTGACTTCTACCTGGGGTGTGCTGGGGTCCACATGTGCCAGTCTCTCTGCCCTGCTCCCCGTGAGCGGCTCTTTATTTGTGGCCCTTGAGGCCCCATTGTTGTGGCCACCAAAACCTGAATTGGAAGCTGTGTGACAATGCTGGTCCCCCTCCCTGCACTGCTTCCTGCTGGGGGCAGAACAAAGAGAGCGGGCATTGTCTCTGGCATAAATGAACCTCTATCAAAACAAACACCCAGAGAGAGGGGCAGCCTGGTTACAGCTGCCTGTGTGAGCCTCGACAGTGGGCCTCATTCCTCACAAAGGGAGCTTTGAGGCCCGGAAGAGGCCTTTCCTTGATGATCGAGCTGTGCACAGGGAGCAAACCCCAAGCCGACTGCTTGTCTGTGCCACCCTCAAACAATGATTTCCCCAAATTGGACAGCCTGGGTTTGTATCCTTGAGCACGGTTTTGGGAAGAGCATTCTGCATGAGGCATTGTAGCTATGTGTATGGAGTATAATTCTGTTTTCAGGTTGCTCTGCCACAGAGGTTAAGAACTCCCTCTTCCAAGGTAGACATTGAGAACAGAGACGACCACACTGGGTTTTCACTGCAGCTTTTAAACAGGATGACTCCCAGCCCCCATCCCCGTGGCTAGCAGCAAGCAGGGACTCTGAAACACTGCAAGCCAATGGACTGAGCATCTTACTTTTGCTGTCCGTGTTTTGGTGTTTTGTAAACCCATCTGGTAATGACCCTGATGCCCCATGTCCCAGCAAGGGCATAGGTACCTGCCATTGTGCACCAAAGTCCCTTTCCTCATGGCCCTGGCTGTTCTCCTGCATGGGGTCATGTGTGTCCCGTTACCAAGTTGTGGCCCCTTTTCAACCTTGAGTGCCACATCTGGGCTGTTGTAGGCATGGGTAGTACAAGCTGGGTTTGTTACTCTAAAAATGAAAGGGAGGATCAGTTGTTAATACCTTCCTGTAGGTGCGAGAGGGAATGAGTTGAGGATTCGATCACTGTTTATAGCCAGTCTCGGATCCTGATTGTGAAGTCATTCTTTCTGGATAATAACTACTATATCCAGCATCTTGAGAGTATAAAATAAAGGCACATGTTGTACGTCATCTCTGAGATGTAGCGATGGCTTGGACTTTGGAGGCTGATGAGAGAAAACTCATGGTGGTGAGCTGGAGCAGGGTGTGGCTGGCGGATTCTGAAGGTGCTAGCCCTAGTTTTACAGCTGACCAGGGAAGGTCATTGAACCCTACAGTCTTGGCCCTGAGAGAACCTTGGAGGACTTAAGGATGGAGAAAGGTGACAAAAGAGATGCAAGCCAACAGCAATTTTGTGGAACAAAGTGTGTACAGGATTTGAACTTAACTCTGCGAAAGACAGGGGTTGCTTGTATGCACGAATTCACATCTGAAGAATGCATCTGATTGTGGCTGCAATTTCTGTGGACGTGCAAACATCTACCTGTGCATTTTATTTGTCTAGCATCATTGAAAGAGTTTTTTGCTTGAGTTGATTTCCCAGGTAATTGAAGCTTACTTCTCAAAGCACAAGATATTTTTTCTCATATATTAGCGGTCTTAAGTGAGTGAGACCCCTAAGAATTCTTAATTCCTTTATCTTACTTTTCCTACAGGAAACTTATTATGTTTTCCTAGATAGGAATTGTGCTACCAAAAATGAAAAGTAAACGTAATATGTAATGTTCTACTGGTAATTGTTTCCATTTTAGGTTGACACCGAACTAATGATATTTAAATTGTAGCTGACTTGAAACACAGTGAAAAAATGGTTTCCTGCTGTTTTTTTAAAGCTGGATTCAGTAACATGAAGGTAATTAAAAATGTACAGATCTCAGTAATAGACAGTCATATGTTGCTTAATGACAGGGATATGTTCTGAGAAATGCATTGTTAGGTAATTGGATTTTATCATTATGCCAGCATCATACAGCGTACTTTCACAAACTTAGTTGATACAGCCTACTACACACCTAGGGTCCATGGTATAGCCTGTTGCTCGTAGGCTGCAAACCCGTGGAGCATGTTGCTGTTCTGAACGCTGTAGGCAATGGTAACACAGTGGTAAGTATTTCTGAATCTAAGCATAGATAAGGTGCAGTAAAAAATATAGTGTAAAAGATAAAAAAATGGTACACCTGTATAGGGCACTTACTAGGAGTCAGGCTTGCAGGACCAGAAGTTGCTCTGGGTGAGTCAGTGAGTCAGTGGTGAGTAATTGTGAAGGCCTGGATAAATACTGTACACTTAGGCTACACTTAGTGAATATTACATTTTATTTATTTATTTATTTATTTATGAGATAGGGTCTTGCTCTGTCCCCCAGGCTGGAGTGCAGTGGTGCAATCACAGCTCACTGCAGCCTCGACCGCCAAGGCTCAAGCGATCCTCTTACCTCAGCCTCCTGAGTAGCCGGGACTAGACGCACACACCACCATGGCTGACTAATTTTTGTGTTTGTAGTAGGGATGAGGTTTCACCATGTTGCCCAGGCTGATCTCAAACTCCTGACCTTAAGTGATCCACCCGCCTCGGCCTCCCAAAGCACTGGGATTACAGGCATGAGCCACGGCGCCTGGCCACAGTTAACTTTTTTAATAAGTAGAAGGTGTACACTCTTAAATAACTATAAAAAGTATAGTAAATACATAAACCAATAACATAGTCACTTATTATCATTATCACATATTATGTACTGTGCACTGTTGTACGTGCTGTACTTTTATACAGCTGGCAGCACGGGTTTGTTTGCACCAGCATCCCCACAAACATATGAGGAACATGTACATCTTACCACGGTTGCAATGTCACTAGGCAATAGGAATTTTCTAGCTATATTCTATCCTTACAGGACCACTATCGTATATGCACTTCATCTTTGAAACGCTGTTAGCTGCCTCATGACTGTATTTCTATTCCTCAGTCATGGGCTCACCATGCAGTACACATGTGTGGTCACTGGAGGGAATGGAAGAACACTGAGGAAATGCATAGCCTGTTTCATATATTTATTACACTATTATTTATTTAGAGGAATGTTAAGAAATCTTGCTTTTATGTAGTTTTAGAATGCCATGAAATATCTAGTTGGGGCATTATCTGCCATTTTGCAAGGTAATCTTCCACTTCTGAATAACGTTACAAGTAACCCGCGTTTGGAGGACTGATTTGGGACTAAGGCAAGGAATTTAGGAGGCACAAGTAGAGGGGAAGAAATAAACACATGACTTTTGTTTTTGTTTTTGTTTTTGTTTTTTGAAAGAAGGACAGTGGTTTGCTTGTTGATTCTGCTTTGAGAGGATGGGGATGCACTCCAGAGAAAGTGAAACGGGGCTATGGGAGGAAGAGAGCAGCGCACACACAGCACCTGCATTTGATTGTGAATGCGATTGTGACTCCTTAGGCAGGAAGGAGAGTGCTAAGACCGTCATCATGGACACTCAGAAAATACCTGCTAATCCGTTTACTGGAAGATACAGGGAGCTGCAGATAATTATTGTTTTTTAAGATGGAGTTTCGCTGGAGTGCAATTGTGCAATCTCGGCTCACTGCAACCTCCACATCCCCAGTTCAAGCAATTCTGCCTCAGCCTCCCGAGTAGCTGGAACTGCAGGCGTGCACCACCACGCCTGGCTAATTTTTTGAATTTTTAGTAGAGACAGGGTTTCACCATGTTGGCCAGGCTGGTCTTGAACTCCTGACCTCAGGTGATCCTCCTGCCTTGGCCTCCCAAAGTGCTGGGATTACAGGCATGAGCCGCCACTCCCGGCCGCTGCAGAGAATTTTTAAAATAAATGATAGATTCTCACAGATAAGAAGTACAGGATAATTATTTGCCAAAGTTTGAAACTGCCATTATATTCAAAGGCATTCTCTTTTGGGAGTGGTTTTATATTTAAGGTTTGAATTTAGATGACCTCAATCTTGAGGTGTTATCGGAGCATTACAGGGGAGTCTTATATACATGCAGGTGCGATTTAATTTGAAGATACTTCCATTTAAACTTTATGCTGCCAGAGTTGGCCAGCTAAGCAAAAAGAATTCTGATAGGTCTTATTCTCCTCCCCATCCCACACGCTGATTTTTTTTTTCTTTGTGTTTGGCCGAAACATTTTACATTTCTCATTTTTCACAGAGCTACTGTTTCTCTAGGATTGTTTTCCCTGAAGTGTGTACCCTGTGTTTGGGCAGAGCAGCAAGACCAGACTTCCAAATGGCATGCTGCGTTTTAATGTGCTTTCATAATTGTCTGTTCCAAAAGGGTGCCTGTGTGTGTATGGTGTGTGTGTGTGTGTGTGATTCAGAGCACCTGAGAGCACACTGCCCGTTGTCCCCTCCAGCCCTTCTGAAATGCAGGCCACCCTTTCTGTTTCAGTTGCCCCTTGGGTGGCAGTCTGTGATAACTCAAGGTCAGGAGGAAGTATTTGTTTTGGTTGTCTTGTTTAACTAATTAAATCTTTAATCTTGGTCCTTAAAAGAAACTAAAATAAAATCGTAAAGTAGTTCTGATAAGTCCTTGCCATAAATTATTGCTTTTGTAAACGCACATAAAGGACTCTGAACTGTTGCTACTCATAACATTTCTGACGCCAAATGTGTGGGGTTTTGCCATACCAACAACCAGTTGTCTAACTCTCCAGACACCAACTGGGGGCCTTACAATTCAGTGCAGTTCTGACACTCACCACCTGGAGTTAGCACAGACTCCACAGGGATGAGGGTTCAGTCCCACGAGTCTGCCCTTGCTGCAGATGCGAGTAGCAGGTATGGGGTGCCCACACTTCTGTCTGACTTGCCTGAAAGGTTGAGAGTTTGTTGCCAGGCCCCTTGCTTTCAGGTCTGATAACTTGCTAGGTTATTAAACCTGAAACTTGATAACTTCTGTAGATGTTGAAATTAGAACGGCCTCACTCACCTGGGCTCACAAAATTCCAGAAAGTAGTTGACGTCCTATTACTGGTTTACCGTGAAGGCTCTATGTCCAGAGTGGACAGGACAAGTGGAAGAGTGGCACAGGGCGAGGTGTGGGGGGTGGCGTGGAGCTCCTTTTCAGGAGTCTCTAAGAAGGTGGGACTCCAGCGGCAATGCCTTGTCCATGTGCTAAGCCAGCCGAGGGCGCACGAAGTGCTGTGTGGTGTCCAAGCTGACTTGGGAGGGACAAGTTTGGGGCCAGCCCCCCAGCCTCCCTTGTCATGTCCCACCTCTGCTGGCATCTGTGGGCTTAAAGTGCCTTCACTCCCATCCTTTTCAACTATTTCTTGATTAAAAAAAAAAAACAAAAAACTGTTGAATAGTAGGAGACTCTCTCTCTCATTGGTATTTGTGGGAATAAATATTAAATAAACACTTTCTAATAGGTGTTACCAGGACGCCTAAGGAAATTATCTCACAGAGTTTTCAACACTGTGAAAAGAGAAGCTGACTGCCAGGGAGAGATCCCTTTTTCCTAGTCCTTGTGAACATGTGCTGGACAGCCAGGAGTGGCACTGTGGCAAGAAACACCCGTTCTCTGGCATTAGTAAGAGGGATATAGCCAAGGGTATCTGTATACCAGTGTTAGGCCCATACATCCATAAAACATTGATGTGAGAGCTTTAGGGCACAGCTGACCCTAAGCCTAACGTGATCATTAATGTCATGAAAATTGGAGAATTGGTCAGGCGCGGTGGCTCACACCTGTAATCCCAGCACGTTGGGAGGCCGAGGTGGATAGATCACTTGAGGTCAGGAGTTCAAGACCAACCTGGGCAACATGGTGAAACCCCGTCTCAAAAGAAAAAAAAGAAAAGAAAATTGGAGAATTTATAACGTCTGATGTGACCTGTTCTTTAGGTGTTGAAATTAGAACGGCCTCACTCACCTGGGACATTCTTCAGCTCACGCCCTGTACCTGGCTTACAGTTGCTCAGTGAAATGCTTTCTTGATTGTAGCATGGTGGGATTTTTATAAATCCAAATGACTTAGAGGTAGGTGTCACATTTTTAGCAGCTAAAATCATACTAATCGTAAAGCTCAGATTCCTGTAAGTAGGGCGCTGAGCACAGGCTGCATCCTGGATATATGAATAGATGAACCAGATCGTGTACATGTGGGACACGTTCTTTGTCCTTTGGGACTTTCTTTTGCTTGGATGTTGGTAGTAACCATGTAAGTTCGGGCAGCTTTCTAGAAACTTTCCTTGTTGTGCAACATTATGCAATAAATGCACTGCTTTGTGATATCTGAGACGTTTTGGTTTTCTTCAGCTTGTTTGAGTTAAATTTAGACTCCTGGCATAGTTTTAGGTTTGAATGCATTCTCTGAGATAGGATAAGGACCAAAACATCCACTCAGCAGCCAGATGGGATTTTATCCTTGTGCTGCCATTTTTGAGACTCATGCCTCTGTTTCACTCTCTGTAAGATGGCATTAATAGTGAGGGATTGTTGTGCTGTGAGGTTTAAATGAGCTAATCCCTGTGAGGAGTTTACAGCAGGGCCTGGGCCATAGTGAAACACTGTGTATGTGGAAGCCACTTCACTTTTGTCATAGCTTTGTTGTCATTAGTGTATACCCTGTCTCCTTGCCGTTTATGGGTCCTTCTTTCAAGCAGTCGGATTTTCTGTCTGACATAGTATAAGTTTAGAGGAAACAATAGCAGCTGTAAGATAATAGTAATTTTCCTTCTGAAATCATTTTGGTGAATTTAGTCAGAATATCTGATCCATAAACTCTCATTATAAAACATTGCCTTATGATTGGAGTTTTTTCTGAGAACAGTTCCAATGAACATGATTTTTTGGTGGTGAGGTACTATTTCTGTGCAGTAATGAAGTTGTGAGGACACACAGATACCACATCCATGTTGTTTGGGAATTGTTTGGGAAAGGTACGTGGGATAGCCTGGCATGGGGAAGAATGATGTTAGGGTATTCTCCTTGAGGAGCTCAGAATAACCAAAGGTAAAGCATTTGGTGGTATAAGATATATTCATCTTAAAAATAAGTTGAAAATAATAAGATACTGGGAGATGTTAGCCACCGAAGTAAATAACTACAGTGAAATAGCTCTTTATTAATTTTGAAACCTAAAGTTGAAAGAGTTCCGTATTATTTGTCAGTATCTTTATCCTCTTCAAAAATGTTTCCAGCTTTGGGATAAATTGTGAATAATTGTTTCACTTTGTTTTTTAATATTGGCTATGTAGTGATTTTGCATTGAACTGTGATATAAGAATGATCATCAGCCCCTTGAGATTACTGTGTGTACCTGTGTCACCAGTGGCATATAGGGGCTTAAAAGCAAGTAAGTTTAATATATACATTCATTGAGAACACACTGTAGACTGTTAGGATTTTCGGTGCTGGAGCCATAGTGATGAATATGACAAGGCCCTCACCCTTGAGGTGCCTATAGTCGTGTGGAACCTAGGTCCTCGCAGGGACTCTAGGGCAGGTATGTTCTTGAAAGATTTTTTTTTTTTTCTTTTTGAAGAGACAGGGTCTTGCCTTATTGCCTACACTGGAGTGCAGTGGTGCGGTCATAGCCCACTGCAAGCTCAAAGTCCTGGGCTCAAGAAATCGTCCTGTCTCAGCCTCCCGAGTAGCTAGGACTACAGGTGTGCACCACCATGTCTGGCTAATTTTTATTTGTATTTTATTTTTATAGAGTCAGAGTCTTACTCTATTGCCCAGGCTGATCTTGAACTCCTATCTCAAGTGATCCTCCTGCCTCAGCCTCCCAAAGTGCTGGGATTACAGGCATGAGCCACTGTGCCCTCTGTAAAAGATTCTTATCAACAGTTAAAATAAGAAGCTGCTCAAGACATTTACCTATCCTGAATGTTTCAGGCCCTCAAGGTGCCAGGTAGCTGCAATATAGTTCTAGTGTAGAAAAGAAAACCCTGACGAGGTCTATATATTCCAGGACTCTGTCTGAGGCCCTTTGACACTCCGGGGGCACCCTGCCGTGACCCTGACTCTTTCCTGCATGTACTGAGGATGGAGGTAGCCTATGGGTGGCACAGAGATTTGCTGTCTGGCTAGCAGTACTTCAGGGTACTGGGTGGCTTGAGGACCTCCTGTTAGAAGCTTGGATTCACTTTTCCCAAGGCAACCACGATTGGATTCTATTAGTTCTGGGTCTTGAGAGCCTGCAAGGGCTTCCTTCTGCGAAGGTGAGTCTGGGAGAGACGCCATGGAGTCAGTGTGAGTTCTGCAGCCTCCCAAGTTCCGCTGGCGTGAGAGGCTTGCCTGGTGCCAGGGCTCTGGGCATTGGGAACATTGCCTGGTCTACCGGGCAAGAAACGTGAACCACCGCAGTGAACTGGCAGCGCGTTGGCATTTTTCCCTCCATGTTTTTATAAAACCGCTGAGTAGACACCAGATTATAAATCCTGTGTAAATAGTCTTGAAGAGTTTCTGGGTTCAGCCCCAGAGAAGACTGGTTTGGGTTTTGAGGAATACTTCAAGAAAATGTTTGTTGGTTCTGTTTTCCAACGTAAAGTGCTGCACAAGGACTGTGCTGTGAGATCCAGGAGTGTCTTTTCAGCCCTCAGTGAGTGCCTGCAGGGGACACAGCTGCTTTGGAGGAACGTGGTTCCGGAGGGTTTCCCACTCTCCATCCTAGTTGCTAAAGTCACGTTCCACGTATTGTGTTCTGATGATAGAATGAAAGCCCACTCCCCGCACCCTGGGGTCTAGGTGGGGAAAGGAGAGGTGTATATGGGATAGCCACGGGGTTTGGCATGAGCTCAGTAGAGACAGCAAACTGACCCAGACAGACTCCCGCTTTAGGGAAGCTGGGATGAACTAAGTGAAGGTGGGTCATGGGAGCAATGCTGAACCACTTTGGTGGTTACAGTGAAGGCTGCTACACACCCAGCTTTGGGAGGTGGGGCCCAGGGTGTCCAGCTTTGTAGAAAGGCATGGTGTGGGGGTGGCTGGCGGAGGGGGTGGTGGGTGGTTTTCCTCTTGAATCTCTGAGAAACTTGACTGGTGTACTGCTCTCTGCTTTCCTAAGGGGTCCGTAGCTGTGCTGGTGGTTTGCTTGGTATCTGTATTACATCCACTCTGTGCTTCAGCCTGTTTGTCCAGTTACTGTGTCTAGTGAAGCTAGCATTCACATATTTTAGATTAAATTCCACACTCCACCCCCAAATTAAAACCCTGCTATTTAAGGTAAAAATAATTTTAAAATGTTTTATTTTGGTCTCTTTGGATAAATTAATCTTGAGGAAAGCAATACTTACTGAATGTTGATGTGTGTATATGTCTTTCTCTTTGTACCATACTTAACAGGCAAGTAACTCTCTTGTAAAATCAGATTCTAAATGATTTTCTTTTCTTTTCTTTTTTTTTTTTTTTTGAGACGGAGTCTCTGTAGCCCAGGCTGGAGTGCGGTGGCGCGATCTCTGCTCACTGCAGGCTCCGCCTCCCGGCTTCACGCCATTCTTCTGCCTCAACCTCCCAAGTAGCTGGGACTACAGGCGCCCGCCACCACGCCCGGCTTATTTTTCGTATTTTTAGTAGAGACGGGGTTTCACCGTGTTAGCCAGGATGGTCTTGATCTCCTGACCTCGTGATCCGCCCGCCTCGGCCTCCCAAAGGGCTGGGATTACAGGCGTGAGCCACCACGCCCAGCCTCTAAATGATTTTCTTAAGTGTAATTCAGGAGTTGGCAAACTACAGCCCATGCTGCCACATCTGGCCTGCCACACCTGTTGTTGCACATAAAGTTTCATTGAGTCACAGTCATACTCATTTGCTTTCATATTGTCTGTAGACAACCTAGAATGTTAGAAAATTCTTTCTCTGGCTGGACGCGGTGGCTCACGCCTGTAATCCCAGCACTTTGAGAGGCTGAGGCGGCCGGATCACCTGAGGTCAGGAGTTCGAAACCAGCCTGACCAACATGGAGAAACCCCATCTCTACTAAAAATACAAAAATTAACCAGATGTGGTGGCACATGCCTATAATACCAGCTACTCGAGAGGCTGAGGCAGGAGAATCACTTGAACCCAGGAGTTGGAGGTTGCGGTGAGCCATGGCTCATGCATGTAATCCTTGCACTTTGGGAGGCTGAGACGGGCAGATCACAAGGTCAGGAGATCGAGACCATCCTGGCTAACACGGTGAAACCCCGTCTCCACTAAAAATACAAAAAAAAAAAAAAAATTAGCCAGGCGTGGTTGCGGGCGCCTGTAGTCCCAGCTGCTCGGGAGGCTGAGGCAGGAGAATGGCTTGAACCCAGGAGGCAGAGCTTGCAGTGAGCCGAGATCACGCCACTGCACTCCAGCCTGGGTGACAGAGCGAAACTCCATCTCAAAAAAAAAAAAAAAGTTATTTCTCTATGTAAACAAAGAAAACTCTCCTTCCTTATAACTTGTATGTGTTGGGTCTATTTGTATTCTGTGAACCATAAGAAATAAGTCAACTATCAGCTGGGCGTGGTGGCTGACGCCTGTAATCCCAGCACTTTGGGAGGCCGAGGCGGGCGGATCACGAGGTCAGGAGATCCAGACCATCCTGGCTAACACGGTGAAACCCCGTGTCCACTAAAAATACAGAAAATTCTCTGGGCGTGTTGGCGGGCGCCTGTAGTCCCAGCTACTCCGGAGGCTGAGGCAGGAGAATGGCATGAGCCCGGGAGGCGGAGCTTGCAGTGAGAGATCGCGCCACTGCAGTCCAGCCTGGGTGACAGAGCCAGACTCTGTCTCAAAAAAAATAAGTCAACTATCTCAAGGTAATTACCCTTTTGAATACTTGAGGACATCTTTTCTGTGCCCTCTGAATATTTCCTTCCCCAGATAAAATATTTCTAGTTCTTTTACTTGTTCTTTGTTTCAGAGTTTTAAGTCTCCATTTGATAAAGTATAGTTTAATAGCCTTCGAAACCACATCGTTGAGATTTAAAAAGCCCTCCTTGAGAGACATGACCAGTAGAAATCATACCAGGACCGTTTAGCACCCTAACTCTGGGAGCCATGGCTCTTGGGATGCGGCTGAAGATTGTGTTATCGTCCTGAAGCTCTCTTGGACAGCTGAGTCAATGACTGGAGGTAGGAAAGTTCCTTGAACTCTTTCTTGTGCCCTTCCAGCTGTGAGCTGTGTCACCATTGTATTATTTTTACATTGTTGTTGTTCTTGAAAAAGCTTTTTTTTTTTTTTCAAGGCAGAGTCTTACTCTGTCGCCCAGGCTAGAGTACAATGGTGCGATCTCAGTTCACTGCAATCTCCGCCTCCTGGTTTCAAGCATTTGTCCTGTCTCAGCCTCCCCAGTAGCTGGGATTACAGACGCCTGCCACCATGCCCGGCTAATTTTTTTAATTTTTAGTAGAGATGGGGTTTTGCCATATTGGCCAGGCTGGTCTCAAACTGCTGACCTCAGGTGATCCTCCCACCTCAGCCTCCCAAAGTGCTGGGATTACAGGCGTGAACCACCGTGCCCGGCCAAAAAAGCTTTTGAAAACTTCGTCGTATAATATTATGGCCATCCTTCCAAACGTGACCTTTTTATGTTGTATTTTATCTAACTAATTTGCCCTTGCCCCCAACTTTTATCTTGGAATTTCTTACGTATTAATATACTGTCAGGGTCCCTGCTTGGGGCATTGTCCTTGGGCTTGTCATTAGATAACTCCAAGTTGGCTTGACTCCAGAGGAGCTGCCTTCACACGTGCTGTGAAATGTACTGTTGTTGACCAGAGACCATCGTTATCATTAAGTCCACAAACCTGCTTCCTGTCTCTTAGGCTGTTCCAGTCTTCTATCGAAAAACAGTGGTTTAAGTGGCTTCTCCGATAGTGCTGGTGAATTGGAAGCTTCTCGTCATCCCCCTTGGCTGGGGCGAGGCTTACTTCCTGGGGCCTTGGCAGTTTTGATCTAACTGACTTATGTTACCTTTCTGTATTAATCAAGCCTTTTTATTTTCCATACTTCTGATGCTTTGACATCTTGGGGCCTTGCTGACCCTGAAGAGACCAGCCCCCCTAGGGTTAGCCAGTTCCTAGGTAGTGAATGAGTACAATGCTCATATGCAAAATAACCAATCCAAAGGCCACGCCCCTCACTCATATGCAAAATAACCAATCCAAAGGCCAGGCCCCTTACCACCTTTATTGGGATTTCATACTCCAGGCCAATATTGCCCTACCTTAATCACCCTAGGGCCAGATACCAGGCAAGAGACAGCCCCTACACCCCAGAGCCTGTCAGAATTACTCCAGCCAGCTAGTCCTAAACCTGCTTACCTTGTGTGATTTATTCCTTCCCAAGGAAACCACAATAAAGGCTCTCCTCCATGTTTTCCTACCATTCCCTCTGCCTCAGGACCAACCTTGGTTCTTCTCCGTGTGGCCCCTTGGCATGGTGCACTACCTCTTCTTGGGGACTGTGAGTAACAGACTTTTTCAGTGGCAATTGTCTTTTAACTGTTGGCCTCACCGTACCTGAATAGCAGTAAACCCTACATCTTAAAATACTTTGAGATTGTCACATACAGTACCCAGAATAGGTGAGGATGAAGGCAATTTACTGGATGCAGAGCGGCCCCAGTCCATTCCTTATGTCCGAATGCTAAGACTTGAGAAAGGTGGAGAGGAGCCTGACTATCAAGAGTTGCCTTCTTGGATGAAGTGGGCTGAAGACACACGAACCCCTTCCATTAATACATCTACATATTTTCCACCATTGTAATTGTATTAATAATTGGAGAAAATAACAATGACTGTCAACAACAATAGCTTAATCCAGTAGAGATGAGGTCCGGAATAGGTTCTGGCCTACCTCAGTTCATGTTTTTTACTTTCAATGCTGAAGCACAAGCAAATGCAAAAGCTTCTCTTGAATGTTTTGTAAATTGTGGGATAATTGAGGTATGTGACATGGTTAATAACCCAGTGTCTGCTCATTGAGCACTGGGTTATTAACCATACATAGCAAATGGAGCACATCATCGTGGGTTGCTTGCGTCACTAGATCCTGTTGCAAAACCAAGATTCAACTTTAAAATACATTTTAATTTAAGTTACTCTTTCTGGCATGAATGATACATCACTTTGGAGCAACACTTACCAGGCAGTGAAAGCTTTTTTTAATGCCCTGTGTAGCACTGCTTTCGGTGCCCTTATATGATTTGGATGGATGGATGGATGGATGGATATAGCCACAGGGTCTTGCTCTGTTGCCCAGGCTGGAGTGCAGTGGCACCATCATAGCTCACTGCAACCTCAAACTCCTGGGCTTAAGCGATCCTCAACCTCCTGAGTAGCTGGGACTACTACAGGTATGTGCCACTATGCCCAGCTAATTTTTAAATTTTTTGTAGAGATGGGGGTCTCACCGTGTTGCCGGGGTTAGTCTCAGACTTCTGGCCTCAAGTGATCCTCCCACCTTGGCCTTCCAAAGTGCTGGGATTACACGTGTGAGCCACTGTGCCCAGCCTGTTTATATGGTTTTAAAAACAAAAATGTATATGCTCTCAAGATGGCTTTCAGAGAGCTTATTAGTGTCTTGGCCATTTGGAATTCCATTTCACTTAAATTAGAAGAGTGAAAGAGAAATGAATGGAAGACCAAAAATGGGGAGAAGAAATTGTATCTGATATAAGCGTGGCTCTACCTGGGAGAATGGCCATTCCGAATTACTGGAAACAGGAAGAAGACTTGCTATGATGCTTCCTTATATCTGTGGGGGAAAATCAAACTTACATTCTGAAAGGAAACTTAATACTTCATGTTTTTAAACACAAAAGGATATTTTTTCAGAGTAGCAGTTATAAAGTTGTTAGTTTAATCTTTTAGTTCAGCTTTTTTTCTTACCAGAAAAATAATTAGTAGTACAAAAATTTATGCGTTTGTTTTAGCTCTATTCTGATACTGTTAAGAAGATACATGACATAAAAACAGGAATATTTTCAGTCAGTGATTACAATTTAAAATCATATTCGAAATTTAATAAAAAGTTTAAAAGAAATCACCAGCATAAGATGTTGTCATTTGGCTCTTGGGGCAAACCAGCTCTCTTCTGGTGAAAGAACTTTCTGGATGAGGTCGAAAGGCAACAGAAAACCTGGGGAACAATGGCTGTCTTTTTAATGGGAGTTGCTCCTATTCCTGGTGGTAACAACCTCTTCCTGTTGCTCCTTTCCGAATGGAATTGCCTCAGTGAAGTTGTTGAAGAAGTGAGGAGGGCGAAATATGCCCATCCTTCTACAGTGGGGAGAGGCCTGGCGCATGAAAGCAGGCCTTTGTGTATGCCGGGCTGGGCCCATGCAAACAGGGCACAATCAGGCTATTGTTTGTTTGGGAAAAGCTATGGCATCCTATTGCAATTATTTATGGAAGAAAATATTTGATGTTTTTGGAAGAGGTTAGGTGTGGGGGGTGATGAGGGAGGGAGGAAAGAGACTGGGCTTACCTCTTGTCCCATTCACTCCAAATCTCTCAGTGCGTAGGATAGGGTCCATCTGGTCCAAAGGAGAGTTTTGTGTGACTCTGTGTGTTGGAGTGTTTTCGAAATGCAGAGAAATTCAGAGCTTCTCTAGCTTTGGCTAGAGAAGGAACAATGGAAGTGAGTCTTATTCTACCTAAGTTTGATGTGGGGCAGCCTGTTCTGTAGTTGCCTTCCAAGCCCTTCTTCTTTCTGATGCTTTCTTGGTACCATTGCCCACATGCTGCCTCCACCCTGGATGAGGTCTAGACCTGTTACATTGATTCTCAACTAATTAAAAGTCAATATGGTAAAATATTTGCAGCATTCCTTCTCCTTCCCTGTGTTCATTTCTGAAGCTCAACAGTCTTCCATACTCAAGCTGTGGGGAGGTCCCTTTCTCCTTTGACACCAGCCATTTTGTGATCTGCCCTTTCAGGCCACCCCAGCCACCCTACTTTCCCAGTCTTGCCTCTGCCTACTTCACCTCTTCTCTCGAACCTCAGAAGCTTCTGGAGTCTTCACAGTGGCCCTAATCATGGGTCTCATCCTTGTTTTCCTGTCTCTTTGAGGTTCCAGCAGCCAGCTTTGCCTCATCAGGCCTTTCTCTGAAATTCCCATCAATAACTACAAGATCTGCCCAGTACCTTGTGCATATCAGGTCTCAGGAAATTGTGAGTTTCTTGTTTCATTAAACATTTTTCTTTCCAGGAATCATCATTCATCGCATTGCCATATGTGTCCAGATCCCCCTTTTCAGGGAGCCAGTAATTCGAAAGCACTTGCCTGTGTTGAATATGGTGGAAAAAACAAATGTCAACCCTAGCCGGCCATCACTCCCCATCGGCCCACCCCATTCTCTTGTGCCAGTAGGACTTGCCTG
Organism: Homo sapiens; assembly: GCF_000001405.40. NCBI lineage: Eukaryota > Metazoa > Chordata > Mammalia > Primates > Hominidae > Homo > Homo sapiens. Next base: position 98,816,518 of record NC_000015.10, read on the forward strand.
TGTTTTCTTTGGGCAGTTCAAAGTTGGGCTCTTGAGAAGTTGCCTGTAAATTCAATTGAAGTGACCAGATCTCATCCTTACCCACTCTGTAGCTGCAGATAATAAACACTGGGGACTTCCCTTGTGCCTGTGTTTTAATGTAACCTTAAGACTTGATGCTCCCTGGAGTGTAAGAATATGAATAGCTACTCGCTGTGGATATTGCAGTTAATTACTCCTTCCTGTCCCATGTGGTCCCCAGAGGAATATGAGATTGCCACAAACATGGCAGCTTTCTTTGGGGAGGTGGGAGAGGGAGATGAATCTTGGGGCAAGGCACATTCTCATAACCATGTGGCTCCAGAAAGCTGCCTGACTCAGAGAATGGCTATAAATGCCCGGTTGTATGGATCTGAGATCCTCAAAGCCAGGTTCATTCACTTATTTATTAATTTAACAAACATTAGGCAGCTGTGGTGCTCTGTCTGCTCCAGCAGTGATCAAGACAGAAAAGATTTCTTCAATGCTGCGTGTGGTGGCTCACACCTGTAATCCCAGCACTTTGGGAGGCCAAGACAGGCGGATCACCTGAGGTCAGGAGTTCAAGAACAGCCTGGCCAACATGGTGAAACCCCGTCTCTACTAAAAATACAAAATTAGCTGGGTGTGGTGGCCCATGCTTGTAATCCCAGCTACTCGGGAGTCTGAAGCAGGAGAATGGCTTGAACCCGGGAGGCAGAGGTTGCAGTGAGTGGAGATCATGCCACTGCACTCCAGACTGGGCAGCAGAGCGAGAATCTGTCTCAAAAATAATAATAATAATAATAATAATAATAATAATAATAGTAAGAATACTGGGGTGGGGATGGTAGGATGCACAGTAAAGAGAATAATAAGCTAGTGATGAGCATCTAAGAAGAAAACACAAAACAGTACTGTCATCACAATGCAGGAGTGCTGGGTTGGGGGCCAGGTGTGGTTGAGGGGTGCTGTATTACGCTGGGTAGTCATTGAGGCCTCTGTGAAAAGGTGGCATTTAGACTAAGGGAGATTGGAAGGTCCAGCCATGGGAAGTTCAGGAGAAAGGATAAGAAGAAAAAGCTGTCACATGGGCACAGACTGATGACCAGCAAGGCTGGAACTTGGAAGATGAGGGAAACTGAGAGTGATTGTCAGCTCAGGCTGCTTTGACAAATTACTGTAGCCTGGGTGGCTTAAACAATAGACATTGCAGCATTCCCTCTCCCTCTCTGTGTTCATTTCTGAAGTTGAATAGTCTTCCATACTCAAGCTCTGGGGAGATCCCTTTCTCCTTTCACACCAGACATTTCGTGATTTGCCCTTTCTGACCACCCCAGCCCTACTTTCCCAGTCTTGCCTCTGCCTACTTCACCTCTTCTCTCCAGCGTCATGGTTGGAGAAGCATATTCTCATGGTTCTGGATGCTGAAAGTCCAAGGTCAGGTGTCAACAAGGTCTGGTTCTAGTGAGGGCTCTCTTCCTGGTTTGCAAACAGCTACCTTCTCACTGTATCCTCATATAGTGGTGGGAGAGAGCAAGCTGTGGTGTCTCTTCACTGATTAAGGACATTAATCCAATTGTATCAGGGTCTCACCCTTATGACCTCATTTGATCTTAATTGTCTCCTTAACAGCCCTACCTTCAACAGAGTCACATGAGGGGTTAGGGTTCCTACATATGAATTGGCAGGGTGGAGGTGGGAGGTGGCCGGGGATGAGACACAATTGATTTCATAGCGTCGAGTTATAAGATGGGTCACAGTATTAGATGGGACCAGAGCAGAGAGGGTCTGTAGGCCATGGCAAGAGTGAGAATTTACTCAATACACAGTGGAAGTTGGGGATGAGTGAGAAGCACAAGAGTGGCACACTGATTTCTACAACAGTCAGTCTAGCTGCTGGGTGGAGAAGGGGAGAAGGAGGAATAGTGGAAAAAGCAGGGAGACCGCTTAGGAAGCTGCTGGGACCGTGCATATGAGAGATGTTGGTGGCTTGAACCAGTGCTGGGTTTCTCAGCATTGGCAGTATTGACATTTTGGGTGAAATAATTAGTTGGGGAGTGGCAGGGCGGGGGGTAGGGGTGCAGTCCTGAACCAGTGCCAGGTTTCTCAGCATTGGCACTGTTGGCATTTTGGGTGAGATAATTAGTTGTGGGGGGCTGTCCTGTGTATTGCAAAATGTTCAGCAGCTTCACTAGTCTCTACCTGCTAGATGCCAGAAGCCCACCCACCCCGCCCCCTAGTCATGACAATCAAAAATGTATCTAGACATTGACAGATGTTAACCTGGGATTAGGGGGTGGGGAGACCAAAATTGTACCCTGTTGAGAACCACTGGACCAGAGTCATAGCAATTTGTAGTGGATAGATTTAGGAATATTTGAAGACTTGTAAAATATAGCCTGAAGGGAATGGAGACTGGGAGAGTGAAAGATACCTCTGAGACATTTTGGCTTGGACAGAACAGGGGGTGGAGGCTTCCATTCCTGAGCTGCAAAGGAGTGGGGAGGGAGGAGCAGTGTAGTTTGGGAAGTGTGTGGTGGAGAAGGCAGATGGGGCAGGAGCTCTGTCTTGCATCTCTCAGGTCAGAAATGCCTCAGACATCCAGGGGGGGCAAGCTAAGATGGAGTTGAACACAGCAGTGTAGGGCTCAGGGGACAGGCCAGGAATGGAGAGAAACATTTGGCACTCATCTACTTGTAGCTTCCCTGTCGAGAAAAATGAAATCATCCAGGGGTTTTCAAATTCAGTGGTCTCTGGACCCCTTCACACTGTTAAAAATGGAAAACCCTGCCACTGTCTACATGTTTATGTTGCCCCAGTAATCTATGCATTGAAACCTAATCACCATGTGATGATATTAGGAGCTGGGGCCTTTAGGAAGGGATTAAATCGTGAGGGTGGGGGACCTTTATGAATGAGATTGTGCCTTTATAAAAGAGAGCTGCTTTGCCTCTTCTGCTAGAAGGTGCCCTCCGTGAACCAGAAAGTGGAGCCCTCACAAGACACTGAATCTGCCAGTGCCTTGATCTTGGACTTCCCAGACTCTAGAACTGTAAGGAATAAGTTTCTGTTGTTTAAAAGCTACCTAGTTTAAGGTGTTTTGTTATAGGTGCCCAGACAGGCTAGGACAAACGCCAATAAGCTTTCGTTTATGTGGGTTGTATCCATTGATACTTGCTGTATGAAGAATTAAAATTAATAACTTTAAAAAGATTTATTGATTCAGAAACAGTAACAAAACTTAATATGCGTTAACGTACTTTTATGTTGGATAAAAACTATATCCCACCCCAGTATATGAATAGAGTGGCATTGTTTTATGTGTTTAATCTCTGGCTTAACAGAAGGCAATTGGATGATCATACCTGCTTCTATGTTTATTCTGCTGCCAATATCACACAGCTTCTGGAAACTTCCACGGCACACATTCATGAGACAATAAGAGTTAAAAAGGTAAACAGTGTCTTAGTAGTGTATGAAAATAGTTTAATCTCATAGACCCCCTGAAAAAGCTGCAGAATCCTTACGCGTTCACAAACCACACTTTGAGAACTAAAGATCAAGGAGTACAGTTTTCTCATTTTTATGCTGTTCAGAGTGTGGTTGAAGTTCAGCCATCACTAGTCCTTCACGGATAGTTCATACCCCAAGTTGATGGCCTTGTGGAATTGCTGATGCTATTTTCATATATATATATATATATAATTCTAGCCTTTTTCTCTGGTCTTATAAGAGTCACATACGTAGGTAATTTCATATCCTACAAATATGTTCTAAACAGCAGAATATTCCAGGAAACCTTAAGTGATAACTGAGTTGAAAGAGTCATATTTTTTAAGCAATACAATTTAAATAATTTTTAAAGGAAACATTTCTAAAGGACGTTTTACATTGCTTGCATTAAAAAGAATATAATGAACATAATCCAACTTTTTCTCAATACTCAGGGTCATCACTGTGAAAGTAACTTCATTCTATGATAAGATAATGATGCTCCCAGGTGGGCAAGGCAGTTTTTCATCTAAGGTAATTGAGACACCTTTTAAAAGCAAAAGATAAATTCACAGACCCTCAGTGTCATTATAAATTACTTGGTATAAAGATACTTAAATACCTACAGCCTTATAAGGCCTAGGTGTCAATTTTTTACGCTTGCAGATCTTTTACAACTGTAAGTTAAATGATTTTACACATTAAGTGCATATAAAACAAAAAGATTCAAACCCAAATATTAATTTAATGACATGGGTAATATTTTGCTAAAAGTAAACCACTGCTCAGAATGTGAATAAACTGACCTCGAAGGCCTGAGTACGTTTGAATTACGGAACACCTCTCTTTGACATCACAATTGAATTTTTTCTTTAAGTATCGCAAGGCCCCAGTTCACGGAAGTACCACAACATAAATTGGTCTTCACTTGGTATGTGAACACATATTTATATGTTAAATGTGTCTTTTCTTTTTGGTGTACAACAGCTAGAGTAATGCAGTTTGCTTGCAATGTGTTTTTTATGTAAATGCTGATGCCGAATCCACTTGGCAGCACTGAGTTACAAGAAGGTTAAGTAGATGAACTAGAAGATGGATAAACGAAGATAGATAAAATGAAGAAAAACAAAAATCAAGGAGAACTCAGGCGTCCAAGAGTGTGTAAACAACTTCTGGTGTGAGACGCGCTACATTGCGCTAAATGGCCTGTGCGCTTCTGGTTTTTCCCTTCCTCTGTTGATTTTTTATAGTTGTCTTTTATTTTAAACACGCCTCCCCCCCCCCTTTTTAAACTGATTTTACCATCACTCTCTCTAGCCCTGCCTCCCTAGAATTAGCTGCTTCTTACCTCCCTTGGATCTGGAACTTAAATATTAACGTGTATATAAGTTAATAGTAAGTAGACCGTGAATTTAGAAGAGTAAAACAGAATCATGAGTACGTAGTCACTGTGGCCCCTTTTCTGCTGGATTTCAAGTTCGTAAGCATTTTTGGAAGAGAGTCGAAGGGGAAGGGGTGGCTTGCCAGTCAGTTGAGTGATGCGTGAGGGAGGCGTTAAATGTGCATGATGCACTAAAATGCATGTTTCGAGATCCAGTATGACTGCTCTTCCATAGATGATGAAACCAAGGCAGAGAAATAAGATGTAACTCTCTTACCTTGATTAGTGATGAGAATGGGACAGCTTTATTCATGAAACCCGGAAACCACTAGCCCATTCTTGGGATGATTGATATCTGCAAGGATCTTCAGGAATAGAGTACCTGGGGCTCAGGAGCCAAGACTAGAAGTGTTGAAAGGTGAGCAGGAATTAGCTGCTGGCCTCAGACGTGGAGAGACACACGGGTGTATGTGTGCACACACACACACAGGCACATGTATATTCATGATGGCTTCTTAATTCCCACTCCAGGCCAACTCATTTCCCTTTCCCTTCCACAGGTACTTATACCATAAAAGGTATATGAAGTGCTAAAATACTTGTAGGTATGTTGTCAATATGAGCTACTCTGTAAATGATAAATAATAATTGACTGGTGAGTCTAGGCAAGGCAAGTCAATGAGATTACAAGAAAAGAGATGTTAGGCCTTCAGAAAGATGGAAATTTCTCTTTGTCCCTGCAGGGACTGTTGCAGAGCATTAGAGCCACCCTCAAACAGTTACCCAGTGAGTCTCCTCAAAGCAAGTGGCACTGAGATACAACCTTCCTACAGGTTTTCAAGTCATCTCGTGTGGTGCACAGTCCTCGCCCTACCTCGAAGGCCCGGGCGAAGTTTTCCTGAGTGTGTATACTCATCTCTTTGTGTTGTCTCTGGCAGGGAGCAAGTGAGTACAGGATTGGAGTAATAGGCATTTTTAGGCTTGAGATGGCTTTGTGTGTTTGGTTAATGTCACTACATTTCCTAGGGGATAATAAAAGTCTAGCATGATAAAAGATCTCGTCTTACAAGGTCCCGATGTAAAGTTTGGAGCCTAACTTAGAATTTAAAATAAAATACATTTTGACCCATTGTATTGAGAGCTGGTATAATTTAATATAGTGAGCCCCTCGGCTTCTGGTTGGTTGGGTTATAAAGCTTCTTATTCATTCGCTCATCCATTAATGCATTTCTCCTATGAGGAAGCTTTTTCCTTTGAGCTGAACACACAAAATTAATCGTGCTCGAACTCTCCAAATTTTGTGAGTTCCCTGGTAACTGACTGTATGGAAGACAGAAATAAAAATCAGAATAAACTTTTATTTTCTGAATCAGAAAGCAGTTGCTCCAGCTTTTGGTGGTCACATTGCTAAGATGTAAAAAACAGAAGTTAGGTGAAATAAATTAAGAATAATTATTTTGGAGAAAGAGAGGGTAGTGTTTGACTAAATTAGAAACATTCTCTGAGTCTTAGAAGCGTGAATGATTTAAATGAGGTTCCAGCATAGTATTGCATGTGGTTTCTATTTTAGAGTTTTCCCACTTGAAAACAAACTTTGAGGATTTTTATTGAAGTCCATCAGTTTTAACTTACTCAAAGCTTAGCAGCCACCTTTTGCTTTTCTTCCCGTTCCCCCCACCTCATGCTGTGAAGAAAGTCATACACCATTGTGGTGTTGATTGAAACCTTTATTTCTCCAGGTCTCCTCTCATAAACTGGGCTAAGAAACACAAAGGACATTTGACACTTCATGACTACATAAGATGTGCTGTTCCTCTCTCTTTCTGTTTGAAAGTGACTTGGCAGGGTGAAGTTGAGAACCCCTTGGAAAGGAGGAAGCCGAAATGCAAACAAAGTTGAATCATGAAGTGATGTCACTCTGAACCAATTGGAGCAGTGGTGTCATGTGCCTGGCAGCTACTTCAAATGCCCACAAAACAGGAGTAATGGTTTAAGCTGTTTCCCTCTTCCCCTCCCACCACCAATCAGCAGCAGACTGCTAGAGGACAGATGCAAAACAGTTATTAGACCAGGCTTAGTTAGACATGGAGGATGCATCTTAACAAGTTAGTACCTTTTTGCAAAGCATGAAGACTAATTCAAAGTCTATTTTCTGGTTTTGCTCTACCAGTACGGCCAAAACCATTTCTTTTTAAGTGAGAAGTGGGGATATGGTCAGGTTTGATTCCAGTTGAAGTTGTGAGCTGCACAGGGCTGGTCTGAGCCCAGTGGCATCTTTCCAGGTGTCAGAGCCATGATTTTAAGCTCCTGTTAAATTCACAGTGCTTAGTAACCATAACTTCTTGGTTTCATGATCATAGGGGTTTTTGCATAGCTGCCACCCCCATTTTCTGTTTGTGATCCAGTAGTTAAAACTCCCAGAAAATATTTCTCACCCTGGTTTAAATAAACAAAACAGCCACCACAAAAACAAACAAAAACTTGGCTAACCACTATTTTCAGGCATATTCTGAGAGAGAAAGAGGGGGAAAAAAAGACTAGACATCCTAAAATTAAGCAACATTATTTTTGGAATTGTGTTGTTTCTTATACTCAGTCATTTGTGAATGATGTGGTTCAAACAAAACTGAAACAAAAATAGTTTTTCTCATTAAAAATATGTTTGTCGCATAGCCAGCACTCGGAACTAGGGAGGGTAACATGGAAGTATTGTCATTCTCGGGGCTGACTGGTTGACAGCAGCCTATACAGGAGTGGAGAATATTGACAGGGCTGCCCGTTCTCCCCAGGTCGAAGAGAGCAAATGCACATCCCTGTGTGCACGGCCACCTGGTTCCTCTCCTCACTTGCTGGTGAGTATTGAACGGCTCACATAATTAGGCAGAACTCAGGAACTTTCCTCCCTATCTCTTTCACTCTTCTGAAATGCCCTTTATGTTTTCCTCTGCTCTTTCAGTCCCAGTGCCTTTTCTCTGGTGCAGCCTCATGGTTCGGTCTCACCTTCAGCTTTTCCTTCCCTCCAATACATCCTGTAAATTATTGTCAGACTTCTTCTTATCTAAATAACTCGTTTAGGTAAGGTACTCATATGTTCAAAATACCATGGTGGCTCCCTGTTCTCTGTGATGTGAAGTCCTAACCATTAGACTCAGCTTTCCCCCAGGACACCTTGGCTTATCTTCTTGCTGCTTTCCAGAGGCATGGGCCATTAGGCTGGTTTTCTGAAGGTTCTGCCAAAAGGCTGGGCCCTTGTCTCCCACCCCACTGCTGTTACTCATGTGTTCTCCCACTTGCTCGGCATTCTTTCCCATGCTTTTTCCTTGATCATCACTTACTAGCTAACATCTATTTTTTCCTAAACACTCTGTTGCAGTTGTAGTCTGCAGTCACTCTCCTAAGACTTGATCATCTATTACGCTGTTTCGTTCTTTATTTTTTAACTTTTCTTCTTCTTTTTTTTTTTTGAAACGGATTCTCGCTCTGTCACCCATGCTGGAGTGTACTGGCACAATCTCGGCTCACTGCAACCTCTGCCTTCCGGGTTCAAGCGATTCTCCTGCCTCAGCCTCCCTAGTAGCTGGGATTACAGGCACGCGCCATCACACCTGGCTAATTTTTGTATTTTTAGTAGAATCGGAGTTTCACCATGTTGGCCAGGAGGTCAGGTCGAACTCCTGACCTCAAGTGATCCACCTGCCTTGACCTCCCAAAGTGCTGGGATTACAGGCATGAGCCACCATGCCCGGTTGTTTTGTTCTTTAATTTTACAAACTTGGCATAGCTTAGAAGACCATATACAGTGGCACCATATACAGTGGCACCATATTAGTGGCACCATATACAGTTTTCCCTGAGAAAACTGGTACCTCCCAACAGATACCAAAATCTGGGACCACCCCAACAGATACCAAAATCCACAGATGCTCAAGTCCCTTTTATAAAATGGTGTGATATTTGTGTATAGCCCATGCTCATCTTTCCGTATACTTTAAACCAGGGATCCCCAACCCCTGGGCCACAGACCAGTCCCGGTCCATGGCCTGTTAGGAACCAGGCTGCACAGCAGGAGGTGAGTGGCAGGCCAACTAGCATTAACTGCATGAGCTCCGCCTCCTGTCAGATCAGCAGAGGTCCTAGATTCTCATAGGAGTGAGAACCCTATTGTGAACTGAACATGCAGGGAATCTCAGTAATGCCTGATGATCTGAGGTGGAACAGTTTCATCCCAAAACCATCCCTCTCCCCCACCCATCTGTGGAAAAATTGTCTTCTACGGAACCGATCCCTGGTGCCAAAAAGGTTGGGGACCACTACGTTAGACCATCTGTAGATTACTTATAACACCTAATACAATGTAAATAGTTGTTATCATGTATTATTAGGGAATAATGACAAGGAGAAAAGTCCATACATGTTTAATACACAAGCATCCTATTTTTTTTCCTGAATATTTTTGATCTGCAGTTGGTTGAATCCATGGGTGTGGAGCCCTCAGATATGGAGGGCATGCTATACTGATCACCCCTATGGGTGTGAATGTTGGGCAGATCCTCCAGTGTCACCAGCCATGTGGCCTTGGTGACCTTTCCATACTTTTCAATCAGAATGATGATCTCCACCTCTCAGGAAAGTTGTGGGGATGAAATGGTATAGTCTGTGTGTGTAGAGTTGTTAGGCTGGGGCCTGCCATGTTAAATGCCCATGAAGCAGGTAATTATGGTAGTAGTGGTTGATATCTTGAAATCAGGGGGATTCCCAAATTTCTACCCCAAATCTGGATGACTGCATATTGCGGGAGTTCAGTAAATATTTGTTGCACTAATACTTATGTGCATACGCTGAAATAATCTAAATATTTAAAAACCAAACTAACGGTAGGACTTTCCTCAGGGATTTAACGTTTGCTGTAGAAGACTGAATGATAGAATATATAAGCTGTATTTTTCTTGTGATTCTACACATTGTCCATGTTGCAACTTAAATATTTTTGGAATGCAATGTAAAAGTGATTTACTGTCCTATAATTGTTTTCCTGAAAGCAAAATGATATTTAAGTGAACTGCAATGAAAAATGCAACGACTGTAATTTATCGTTGAAGGGCATTTTCAAAGTGTATAGAATGACTAAAGCTTAAGTGTATTAAATATTCTAGAGGAAGACATATTTAGGCTATAAATCTAGACTTCCTTTGGAATTTGTTTCCTTTTTCTCAGCCAGGTGTATGAAGATTTTAAGTTCTTAGGCCTCAGTGGGAAGAAGATTTAAGGTTCCAAGAGTACATTTGTATCTCTTTTAAATTTTCTATTGTTTATCAGTGACATATGTAAATGTTTTAGGGAGCTGTTTACTGTAACATTACCTACTTTAGCTCTGTGCAGTTGTCTGGCAACCAATGTGATAAAGACAGAGGGAAGTGCTGTATTTTGTTGCTGACAAGTATATCTTAAAAGTGCAGGTGCACCTGAATAGGCAATAAAGTATTAAGAGCTGCTCCTGGAGCAGTTTGCTCTCTGTGACGTGTGAAAAGTCTACGGGGTTTATAATTGGTCTGGCCATACGGCTGCCTAGGATTAGACTCTTTTCATATCCCACTAAACACTCTCCTTAGAAGCAAGCACAAGGAGATAGTTTATTTTAAAATGTAATTGCTATGTTACTAAGATTTGAATTTGAGTACCGAGAATAAACCATATTTCTGTTTAGAGGCTGGTTGGCTTAAAATTGTGTCTAATCCTTCCCCTGCCCCCCAACTCCGAATCAGAGAATGAATAACAAATAAACATGACAATGAAGTCTCATGCTGTTGTTTTCATATTTGTATTTAGGAGTTTCAGAGCAAATGACTTGGAAAACAGGCAAATCCACTGACATAGGCATTTTTAGCCACCTTGGAATCCGAGGAGGGATTCTGCACTATGCCCTGTAACCTCGTTCACATGCCGTTTGAATGTATACCATGAAGACCCCTTAGCTCAGGGAGCTTTGCTCTATTTAAGTAATGTTTATATTCTTAATGAACCAAAGAGGAAGTGGTCATGGGAAAAGAGCCAGGACTAGATTTCATTCTAATGCTTATAAGGAGAGTTCTAGGAAACCCTCAGACTTGGTAAACCAAGGCATTTGGAGATACTATGAATTGGTTTAAAAGGCCATTTACCACTTCTTTTGTAATTGGCCTTTTAAACCAACTCTCACTTAGCTGATTAAATGTGGTCATTTAAACTGCTAGTTAACAATCGGAAGTGCAGTGGCGCAATCTCAGCTCACTGCAACCTCTGCCTTCCGGGTTCAAGCGATTCTCCTGCCTCAGCCTCCTGAGTAGCTGGGATTACATGCGCACGCCACCACACCCGGCTAATTTTTGTATTTTTAGTAGAGATGGGGTTTCACCATGTTGGTTAGGCTGGTCTCAAACTCCTGACGTCATGATCCACCTGCCTCGGCCTCCCAAAGTGCTGGGATTACAGGCATGAGCCACCGCGCCCGGCCTAAGATTTCTTATTGTGGTATTCTGCAGTGGAGAATGGGAGTTGGAAAGAAATGTTTTCTCCCACACCTGTCCCGCTCCTGTCTACTGAAAGCTGATTAATCAGTCAGATAGTGAGTTCCTATTGGTAGTACGCCTCCAAAATTTGGAAGAGGGGAGGTGGCGTGATGTGAAAAAGCAAGGCTTTAGGGAGAGATTCCCGCTGGGGGCATTCACCCTCTGGTCCAGCGTGCCTGTTACAGTGATCACTCCATAGTGGTTTTGCATGAACAAGACTGCCCAGTTTGCTTAGGAAGAAAACAAAGGACATAAGGTAGTTCTCATGTCTTCCCAGCACCCTAAATACTCGGGCTAAACTTCCACAGTCAGACCGTCAGCTTCAGGAAGGGCTGCTGTTGGGAACTTTTTTTTTAGTTTGCAGTTAGTTCAGCTCCAGCCAAAAACCTACAAAAAGCCACTGCAAGCCCTCTGCCTGCTCGTATAAGACACCTTGGTTGGGCCCCTGTGACTGTCCATCCATAGGATGGTTGGCCATTGACTGCACAGAGAGGTAGGGCAAGATAAAACGACTCATTTGTGGATCTGACTCCTTGTACTTCTGTTTGGATTCAAACAGAGGAAGATAGAGTAGTGGCCTTGGGAAACCGTGGAGAGAGAAAAGGCATAGTCAGAATGTTTTCAGAGGAGCGCAGACTTTTCAAAACCCCTCTCATCACGTTCCCACTGACCTTCAGTTCCAGTGCTGTGGCCACAGGGTGTCTGCACCCCAACTTCTTTGCCAAGAAATTAATGATCTGTGAAGACACACAGACATGAGGCGGACTTACTATTTAAAGGAATCCTGAAACGAATATTTTTCTGATACATATTTATCCTAATATATTTGCTGAGCATGGTTTTTTTTTTTTTTTTTTTCCTATTTTGGAGTTTTTGGGTTTTTTAAGCCTAGGGAATGCCTAATATGTACTGTGGAGTGCATTTGTTCATTTATATCCCAGTGCATTGTAAAATCGAGCAATTCAGTGCCTTAGAATCCTTTCTGTGAACTTGATGCTACGTGAACTACTTGAGAACAACTACTTTCAAGCCCTCCGAAGCACTCAGTTACAACTGTCGGTCTAATTGCACATTATTCTAATTCATTAAAAAAGTCCCCAAGGGCTTCTTAGGATACTGCTCTATGTTATTAGAAGTCCTTCCAAATAGAAAAACTTTATTAATTTAAAAATAACCGCCAATTCAGACTTCGATTCAAACAAGGCATTTTACCAAGTCCGGCTGAAAGAGCTTCTTACCACATCTGGCATGTAGAATGGCAGAAGACTATTTTTGCTAGATTCCTTGTTGCTGCAGCCGTTTCTGATGTCCTTTTCCCCTTCACACCTTTCGTGTTACACATGTCTGAGATGACATGATGCTAAGTAACCAAAGTACTGCTGCGATGGAATTGCTCTGATGTTTTTTTCCAGAGTGAAAGCTGCTATTACTTTAAAAAAAAAAAAACTTGAGGTTTGGTTTCTTTCCCCCTCTATCCGGGTGTTATACAAATATGTAATTAAGATGTTTGGGGGTTCAGATGACAAACAAGGAGTCTACTTCTAAGAATGCATTTGCAAGCCAAAAGAGTGGTGAACCACTTCAGAGTGCGGGTCTGTGGGGGATGATGTCTGCTTTGCTTCGTTTTGTGGAATAATTTTTAACATTTCTATTTAGCATTCATGATACTCTAAATAGAAGCAGGAGAACACTGTGGCTCTCGGATCCAGGAGAGGCAGGCCACGAGGGCTCCTGCTGTTTGGGGACAGTCTGTAACTCTAAATCTTTTTATATGCAGCAATTATGACCTTAAAAATGGGTGACTCTAATACTGGCATTCATTGCCTAAAAATAATTTTAATGTGCAAATGCCAGAGACCAGGTCATCTCAGAAATGGACTAGAATTGACCACTGCTATGTTTTGGTGAAACCTGATAACCTTGCTTTTCTCCGTGTACCTTGTTTTTCATTGTAAAACTATTTAATTATGAAAATGAGAGTGTGAAAGGCAAAGTATGATTGAATTTAGGGGGCAGTTCCATATAGTTGTAACAAACTGATTATCAAATGTCCACCATTAGTATGTTAAAATACGGTTTTCTAATACTGAGACAACAGGGATGGAGCAGCCTATCCACTGAAGTCTTGTTGTTTGTCCCTGCTGTGTCCCAACCTGGAATCTCTTTCTTCTTCCTTCAGCAGACCCTTCGAGATCAGCTTAAGCTTCACTGCCTTAGAGAAACTTTCCTGTCTACCTGGACTGTCTTCTAGATTTCTAGAGCAGTGTTCCTGCCCTTTTCCTTTCTAAATGGGGTGGGAGTTCTCAGAGAACTCATCTCCTTTATGGCTTTATCCATCACAGCCACACAGATAGGTTCTGTCTGGACCATCCTTTTCCCTGAGCTTTCTTCTCCTTTGCCATGTGTTTTCATTTCTGCCAGACACTGGCACTGGGGAAGCCTCCCATCGTCTCAGACTCAGGGTGTGTGAAAAACAAACCTGCTTTCTGGACTCTACAGTTTGTGCACTAGCCTAAGCCGAAAATCTTGAAATCTGTCATCAGTGACTATTGTAGTCCATAGGAATACCCAAGACTGGGTAATTTATAAAGAAAAGAGGGTTAGCTTTTTTTTTTCCGGCTCATGGTTCTTCAGGCTGTTCAAGCATGGTTCCAACATCTGATCATCATCTTTTTTTTTTTTTTTTTAGATGGAGTCTCATTCTGTCACCCAGGCTGGAGTACAGTGGCGCCATCTTGGCTCACTGCAACCTCCCACTTCTGGGTTCAAGCAATTCTCCTGCGTCAGCCTCCCAAGTAGCTAGGATTACAGGTGTGCGCCACCACACCCAGCTAATTTTTGTATTTTTAGTAAAGATGGGGTTTTGCCATGTTGGCCAGGCTGATCTTGAACTCCTGACCTCAGGTGATCCCCCCACCCTGGCTTCCCAAAGTGCTGGGATTACAGGTGTGAACCACCACGCCCGGCCAGGATCTGATCATTTTCTAGGAGGCCTCAGGGAGCTTTTATTCATGGCAGAAGGTGAAGGGGGAGCAGTTGTATCATGGCAAGAAGAGAAAGAGAGACGCCAGATCTCCTGGTAGATAACTAACAGAGTGAGAACTCACTCTTTACTGTGGGGAGGGCACCAAGCCCTTCATAAGGGATCCACCCCATGACCCAAACACCTCCCACCAGGCCCCACCTCCAACAATGGGAATCACATTTCAACATGAGATTTGGAGGGAACAAACATTCAAACTATATCTACGACCAAATTTTCCTAATTCCTTTCTACTTAAATGCTTTCTTTTCCATTTATTTCACCCACATCTGACCCTAGGATTTCAACGTGTTCTAAAATGAATTTCTTGCACCCATTTTCACTTTCTCTCCACCAGAATCCATCTCACCACCCACCTGCCAGTGGCATACTCCTTGCATAGACCCTGCTCTAGCATGAATATAGCCCACTGTTATCTGTTGTAGAACCTCACGCCCAGCTTCCCACCCTGTGTGACATCTTCACCCTCTTGCCCTGGCTTGTGCCATCCACATTCCGATCTTGATGACTCTGGTTCTCTTCTCTTTGACGGTGGAGGGTTGATCCCTTCCTTCCCCATGATCATAAAAGGTCATGCCAACACTCCTAAAACAAAAGATAGATTAATAAGAGAAAAACCTAACAAATTTATTATATGTGTGCATGGGAGTCATACAAAATATGAAAACTCAAGAAAATGGCCAGATGGTTGATCCTTAAATGCTTTATTTATTGGTGAGAAGGTATTGGGGGTGTAGGAGTAAATGATTTTCAGGGAAAATGAATATTTCCCTGAGACAGCAATTTACTTGTAAATGATGCTCTTTAGAATTTGAACACGCTCCAGAGGCAGAAATTGTCTTGTGAAAAAGTCTGTCTGGGTATGGTTGCATTCCTCAGTCTTGAGCTGGTGGATGGCAGGGTGCAATTGCAGGCCGTAGTGTTCCTCTTTGGGGATCTGGTTTCTAGGTGGGTAAGGGAACTTCAGAGAACAGCCTTGTCCTGTGCTTTGCGAGAGACAAAGGATGAGGAAGGGGGGTCAGGGACCTTGAGGCTGCTTCAGCATGTCAAGAGTGCCATGTTTGGGACGCCTCAACACTGGAAATAGCCTTCATTCCTCTGCTTCTTGGGTCTGGATCCTTTTCTTTAGACTCCAAGAAATTCTTCCTTTTGCCCCAAACTCACATTGTTTTTGTCTTCTGTCCCTCTACTTCTATGTAATTCTATTATTATGCACAGATTCTGTGTGCCCAAGGAGACTGTAAACTCCAGGAGGGCAGGAATTATGTCTTAAAACACTAGCGGTTAAACAGTTAAGAGGTGTCTTAAAACATTCCTGTAGCCCCAGCTACACTCTTGGGTGCAGGAATCACAAGTGCCTTATTCCCCACAGGGTCCCCAGCATATTCCAGGAGCTCATTATGTTTTTAAATGAATGACCTACTGAAGGCAAGAGACCAGGAAGGAAAGTTTGTAAAAGTTTACATTATTAGATTACCCCTGAGATGTGTAACCTTCTCACGAGTTAGATTTCTTGAACCACTGCCCGGGTATTGTATTCCTACTCTAGGAGCTTGAAGGATTAATGATAATCCTTTTACAGATATATTCACAAGTTTCTGTGAATGTGAATTAAGTATGTAGATCTTGATTGCCTTTCTTGAGTGCATGGTTTTTTTCTAGAAAAACAAATTTAAGTTAGGTGGGACACCTAATAAAGCTCTAGGCTCCTTTCTTTTCCTCTTTTAAGACACAGTTAATTACCTTATGCTAAGTTGGAATATAGGAATTATCTTCCAAAACTGTGTTTGCTTGCTGTGTCTACATAAAAATTGATACAAGGTATGCCATGGTTTATACAATTTCTGGCACATTTACCTGGTCTCTGTTACAGGTTTGTGAAACCAATTTTTTTATTGTAAATAGTACGTTACCAGCTTAATTGCTTTAGAACCTAGACAGTCTATGTCTGTGATAGTAATTACATTCTTTCATGACTTTGTTTGGTAACCTGAATGTTGAACTAGCTCTACAGATTTAGGTCATGTCTGATGCTAGCCATTCCTAGGAAAAAGTGGTGAGGACTACATTATGGGCCTTTCCCCCTAGACTTAAAACTGTGAAGAAGTCATTTTGGGTTGAGGTATCCCCTGGTACCCTCTCCTGAACTTCAATAGAATAACATGATGTGGTGAATGAACCATATTAGAAAAACCAGCCAATCAGCCAAGATTCTTGTATTGACTCTTCTGATCTCCCTCTACCTCTCCTTTCCCCATCTGCCAAACAAAGGGTTTGGAACAGTTAAATTCTAAAGTGGTGTCATTGATGGCTCTCAGTATTCTGTGGACTTTCCTGGTTGATTCAGTACTTGTGATTGACCTGGACCCCCTGGTTTGGTCCAGCCTTAGAGCGGGTTTGCAGGTAGACACCTTCCTAATGTTTGTTCCACGTAAGCCCCCGGAGCACAGTATTTCCATCAGCTATTTTGTGGAAGTGAGCGATTCTCTTTTGGTTGTAAACCTTCACTATTTCATGTGGGTGACTTGACAATGGCTCCATTTTTGAATGGCCCATTGATAGTTGTAGTCTAAAAATTTCCAGAGATTACACAAGGGTTTATTTAAAGGGAATGGGAATAGGGAGAAGGTATAACCTTTCCAAAACAATCTTTAAGGCAATTATAAGCTGTTAGGAAATGTCATGTAATAATAACACAGATACCCAAGCTTATATCACATAAATCATTCATTTTGCATGTTTTTGACAGGGAGATTTATTTTCCAGGTTAAAAACAAAAAAGAAAAATCTTAAAAGCTTAAGCTTTTATTGTTTGCTTTTTTTATTAAAAAGTAATTTGGAGCCAGTAACTTAACCTGTTTTTCATAAACATGCTATCTAGAGGCAGCCAAAAAAATATTCATGCTTGCATAGTCAGGGTCCTCAAATGAACTTATGTGTTGGATCATGATAACTCTGGTAATTACTCGAATTACCCTTGTTGAGTAATAGTATGGACCCTGAATACAAGGGTTTGATTTATGTGGCCAGCTCTGTGCTGCTGGGTTTATGAGGACTTGCCAGATGTCATCTCCTAATTAAAATCCTTCTTTACCCTTAATATCCTCTCCTCTGTCCCCAAGAAATTAATCCATTCTATTGCTGGAGCATGTAACAGCTGATGTTGAAGTTACAAGTTTACAGCTTGAACTTTGCCTAGACTGTACCTTTTTTGGGAAAGAGTTTGCAAAGCTTTTAAGCCTGACTCTTGTCTTTAGATCACCAGCATCACCATGGTGCCTGGCATCAGTGGAGCCTCAGCAAGTGTTTATGGTGGAAACCTCAGAAGCTGTCACTTTCTCTGGCTGTAACAGTTGTCATCTTTGTTTACAGGGAAAATGCTCTTGAGAAAATGGAGGTCATTAAACACTCCAGCTTCAGCAATATCATCAGAGCTTTCCGTCACGTGAGTTATCTCACCAAAGGGTCAGATTCTGGTAAAAACTCTTGCCTTCACACTTACTTCTGTTTTATTTTGCCTTATTTGACATTTCACCAGAATTGATCCATAGGTTCAATAAGGCTCCATTCTGTTGGGACAAATCAAGCTAGAAAGACACTGAACTCTGGGGGTTACCAGAAATATCTGAAAGCAAAGCAGTGACTGTGAGGTGGGAATCTCTCTGAGAATCCTTTGCAGAACCATGTAACAGCTCTGCATCACTAGACGAGCCAAGCGAAGTGGTCCTGGATGGTTCAGTAGGCTCAAGCATTGAGGGTCCAGAGCATCCTTTGCCCCTGGACATGGAAGGGTTTTCATTGGGAGATGGCATTTAGGGCATCCTTATAAACGAGCAGGAGTAAACCTAGCAATAAAAACCAAACCTCTGCCTTCAGAGGTATATGCTATTACTTCTGCTTAAACCGTTGTCAGAGCTAACAGTTTTGGTTAGGGATTTTTGTGGGTCCAGGGCACGCCCAGACACCCAGATGCTTCTCTATGTTTGTAAGATGGCGAGTGTTGAGATGTCTTATAGGCTTATATTGAGTGAAAAGGAATAGGATCCTTTGTCAGTAGTAACTTAGGCTTTTTAGGTGGCCAGGGCAAGAGAACACCCCCCCTACACACACACACACACACACACACACACACCCCTACACCCACACACACCCACCCCTACACCCACACACACCCACCCCTACACCCACACACCTTCCCACACAAACCTACACCCACACACCTTCCCACACAGACCTACACCCACACACCAGGATTTGAAGGCTCTGCTAAGAGGCTACAACAACTGTAGCATACAACTAGCACACTTGTTGCTATTATGTGTAGGGGACTAGATGGAAAGAGTGCAGATAGGACTACCTACCATTCACCCCTACCAGCGAAGTGGAAGCACTCATCTTCTTTCCCTTCTTACCCTTTCAAAGCAAGTTGTTGAGGGATGAAGAGGAGAGTGACTTTAATCGTGGCTTTAAGTAGAGATTTTCTTTAGGAGTAATTGTTTCTCTCGACAGAGTGGATAGGCTTCCATAGTTGTCTTAATACCTTTTGTCCACCCCAAGGATTGACCCAGGCAAGGAGGATGAACCCTCCTCAATTTGGGAAAGTTAAATTTTAGGCACAGCAGGTCAAAGAGTAGGGAAGAGCTGCAGTTGTTGGAACCAAGTGACATTGATTTAGTCTGGAAAGGAGTCACAGAGGAATCAAAAGCCAGACCCTCCTGGCAGCTTTAGATGTGGTTGGGGTCTGGGAATAATGCTGGTCCCAAAATCACCTCTGGAACTAACTCCTGTAAAATGAAGCCTCTGCATCCTTCAGTAACTTACTTAAAATTTTGTTAGGGCTGCATTTTCTTCAAAGCCAAGTTCTGAATAAGAAGTATTTGTTTTGGGCTCTAGCCAGATTACTGAAGTATTGTTGAGGGAGATTTGCTGTGGAAGGTGTTGGGGGTACAGGGATTGTGAAGATAATGTAAAATATTTAACATTTTAAAAATTTTCAGTAAGTTCTCTTTCCCCAATGTCAGCATGACTTCTTCATTCATGTTCTTCCATCACTCTCCATTCAGTTAGAATCTCAATTGTGTAATATCAGTGGTAGCGACAATTATGAAATTCGTCCAGTGAGGAAAATCCGCAGAGCTAGAGCCCAAACCAGCAACTTTGTAGTGAGGATGACCCCACTGGCCGGGGAGAAACTGAACTGATTTTTTTTTTTCTCTCTCTCTCAGCTTTTTATTTTGAAATAATTTTAGACTTACAAAAAAGTTGAAAAAGCATCCAGGCATGGTGGCTTATACCTATAATCCCAGTGCTCTGGGAAACCAAGACAAATCTCTTAAAGCCAGGAGTTTGAGACCAAGCTGTGAGACTATCTCTACAAAAAAAAAGAAATTAAGTAGCCAGCAGTGGTGGCACGTGGCTGTAGTCTCAGCTACTTGGGAGGCTGAGGTGGGAGGATCGCATGAGCCAGGAGTTCCAGGCTGCAGTGAACTATGATCATGCCACTGCACAACAGTCTTGGAGACAGATTAAGACCCTGTCTCTTTAAAAAAAAAAAAAAAAAAAGTTTGTAAAATATCACCCAGTTTTCCCTAACGTTAGCATTTTACATAATCTATACACCAATTCTCACAGCCAAGAAATTAACAATGACACAATACTGTTAACCATGGACTATTTGAATTTCACCAGTTTTCCCACTAATATCCTTTTTCAGTCCCAACATCCTTCATTGTGTTTACTTACTATATCTAGTCTTCTCCAGTCTGTAAAAATGTGTCTATCTTTGCTTGTTTTT
This sequence comes from Homo sapiens, assembly GCF_000001405.40. Taxonomy (NCBI): domain Eukaryota; kingdom Metazoa; phylum Chordata; class Mammalia; order Primates; family Hominidae; genus Homo; species Homo sapiens. The sequence goes on from NC_000015.10 coordinate 98,836,773, forward strand.
CATGACCTTGATATTTTTGAATAGTATGGACAGGTTGTTGCATAGAATGCTCCAAATTGGTTCTAATGTTTCTCATCATTAAACTCATTTTTATACATTTTGGGGAAGACTACTACAAGATTGACATTGCATCTCAGTGCGTCACATCTGTGTGATGTCAGCATCTTACCACTGATGATCTCTTAGCCTTGAACACTTGATTGAGGTGGTGCCTGCCAGGTTTCTCCAGTGTAAATTTTCTGCTTTTCGCATTGTTACTGATATCTTAGGGCTGATACTCACAGTATGCAGATGTCTCGTTTCTCTTTTTTCATATTTCTTTTCTTTTTTCTTTTTTTGAGACAGTCTTGCTCTGTTGCCCAGGCAGGGGAGTGCAGCCTCAGACTTCTGGGTTTGAGCAATCCTCCCATCTCAGTTTCCCAAGTAGCTAGTGTGCACCATCACTAATTAGTGCCCCACCAGTTTTGTTTGTTTGTTTTTTTGTTTGGGCAGAATCTCGCTCAGTCGCCAGACTGGAGTGCAGTGGCGCAATCTCGGCTCACTGCAACCTCCAACTCCCTGGTTCAAGCAGTTCTCCTGCCTCAGCCTCCTCCCAAGTAGCTGGGATTACAGGCAGGCACCACCACACCCAGCTAATTTTTGTATTTTTAGTAGAGACGGGGTTTCACATGTTGGCCAGGTTGGTCTTGATCTCCTGACCGCCCACCTCGGCCTCCCAGAGTGCTGGGATTACAGGCATGAGCTACCATGCCTGGCCTTCACCAATTTTTAAATTTTTTGTAGAAACTCACTATGTTGCCCAGTCTGGTCTCGAACTCCTGGCCTCCCACCTCAGCCTCCCAACCACAACTGGCCAAGGTCCTGTTTCTCATCACATTGTCACTCACTGATCTTGTCATGCTTTGGTGGAGCTTATCTACAATAATTATTACTGCCATGCTTTAATGGCAATTTTCTATCTTATTGTCATTTATTCATTGGAATTTTTACATAGGAAAGACCTGCTCCTTCTCAAACTCTAAACAGTTTCATTCACCATACTTTTCTCCAGGTAACTTTCTGGGTGGCTGAAAGTGACTTTCAAAGAATGGAGATATCTTTTCAATGTTGAGAGAGTGGCAGTCTGCTGGTTCCCAAGATGCCTTCTTCACCTAGCATTGAGACTCTGCAGAATGCCTTGACCACAGTTGTGATTTGGATCTGTTGGCTTGCAAAGCCCATTTGAGAATTTACAAAATCATTTTCACGGCCTGAGAGTCTTTTAGGTACTGATTTTTTTCATCCCTTCTTTACTAACAGACTTTATTTAGTAGAGTATTATTGGACAGGTTTGGGGTTCACCTTTATGAGAAAAAACTTAGATTTTCTAATTTCAGCTTTTTTATTTTCTTCCATCAGTGGGACAAAGTTGACATCATTGCCTAAAAGTAATTTCTGTGATTATCTGTGTATTTCAGTTAACCATGTTCTTTGGACTCACTGTGGTCTTCAGCAGGGATGGTGGCCAAACTATGTTTAGAAAGATAAAAATTAAAATGACATCTGCATCCTTCATGTAAACCCATAAAAAATAGCACGTGACCCTGAAGATCCTCTGCCTCTCATTCCAGGCATTACAATTGAAAATGCTATCTGGGATGTTAAAAACTAAAACTATTCTAGGACTTAGTGGAATATTGATAGTTAGGGAATGCTGTTTGCTTTCTTGAATTTTGAACCTGTTATTGAGAAGGTAGATGCGCCTGTTTACCCCAGGAAGGCTCCTCTTTGAAGACAGTGCCCCTGGAGCACATGACCTTTTCATGCCCTTGCCTGTCAAGACTTTTCCAGTACTCTAAGGTCAAAGGGCGTTGGGCCAGGCTGATCTAATCAGGGTATTAACCTTGCCCCACTCATCTTGATTTATTCCTAGATCCCAGTTCCCAGAGCATCCCTTTAGAGCCTCAGAAATGGAACACAAGACAGCTGAAATAAGCCCGTGGCCAAAAGGCACTCTGAGCATGAGGGAAGTAAGCAGGCTTCCCTGTCACTGCTGAGGCTCTGTCATCCAGCCCCAGCTGTCCTCTTGTGATCACTCAGCAGACCCGGGAAAAATTCAAGAATTTGTTTTTTAGTGTCAGTGGGAGACGTGGGGATCCTGCTTTTGCTGGGAGAGCTTCAGTTGTCTGAGTCCCCACTCAACCCCAGGCTCCTGCCAAGGCCACCAAGGGCAGGAGCACTGGAAGGCTGACTATGGAGTGAAGAGGCCACTGGGTTTCACAAACAGCACTGTCAGCCAAAGCTGTAGCTTGTTAGCCATCCAAAAGAATCTTGCACCTGCTGCCAGTGAGCTTACACCTAGATGACAGCTGGAGCTGACACTCATTCAGCCCTTACTCTATGCCAGGTACTATTCTAAACACTTGCCATATACTCAGTTGTCCCACAGATACAACTATTTATCCCCACTTTAGAGACAAAAAATTGAGGCACAGAAAGGTTAAGTAATTTGGCCAAGGAAGTGCAGCTAGTAAATGGCAGACCTGGGGTTTGAACCGAAATCAGTGTGACTCTAGAGTACCTACTCTTAGACCCTACTCTCTACTGCCTCTCATTAGAAGTCTCCCCCACCTCCCTACCACCACCATCACCACCCACCCTCCCAGCCACATATATGCTCACACTGGGTGGTTCAGATGGCTAGAAGTGGCAGCTCAACCTTGTGTGCCTCGGACACGAAAATATTAGGTTCAGACACCACTCAGACTTCACATTTTCATTAGTTTTGGGTAGAGGAATGAGAATAAATATTCAGCGAGACAGCCTTTTCTAACTGCAAGATTGCATTCCTCTTCTTTCTAGATGCAGTGGCAAGAACAGTACCCTGGATGGTGGAGCTGGTAGTGGTAGATGAGATAGAGCAGTCCCTTGATTCTGCTTTGTCCCCATTAATGACAGATCTGAGGGCATCCAGAAGGAATCTCCACAAGCCCAGCCTCCACAGTGGCTGCTTCCTCTACATGGTAGAGTGGTGCTCACCTCCACTCCTCCATAGATGCCAAGTCATCTGTGGTATAGATGTGGATGTCTTTGTTCAAATGGTCCTTGAGTCTTTGCTCAGATGATCCTTGGTTCTTCATTTCACCTGGGAAAGAAAATAATTTGCCTGTTGTCATTTTATCCATAATATTAAGAAAACTTAATGGCACAATCTAAGCTTTTTACCATGTTATTTATCATGGGATTACTTTTTTCAGGTGTCTTCTGAACACGCAGTTGTCCCACCAAACTTTGACACTGCCCTTGTGATTAATTTTTGCCTACATTAATCACTCTCCCTTGTTTTAATTGCACATTACATTCTTTTCTGTCCTTCCCGGACATCTTTGCTAGCACAGTGAGTGCAGGGAGGACTGTCACGGACTCTCTCCCCTCTTGAATGGGGGCATTCCAGCAGAGTGTGTTACATGAGCTCAGAGCACATGATGTGAGAGCCTCGTGATGAAAGATACTGCAAAAACAGTGCGCACTGTTATCAAACCTGACTGCCTTCACATCTTGCTTTCTGTGGTGCAAAATAAGGTTTTTATAGTGTCCTGTTTCTTCTGTTATCATCTAAACCAATGGGGAACGGTGAGTAAGTAGTAATCTTCAGAAAAGAAGAAAAGACAGGGAGGAGAAAGTGTACTGGAGGCCTGCTTTACCATTAAGTTGTTAAGATGGAGTCTCACTCTGTCACCCCGGCTGGAGCGCAGTAGTGCAGTCGTGGCTCACTGCAACCTCCAACTCCTGGGTTCATGCAGTCCTCCTGCCTCAGCCTCCCAAGTGGCTGGGGACTACAGGTGTATGCCACCACAACTGGCTAATTATTTATAGAGATGGGGTCTCATTTTGTTGTCCAGGCGGGGTTTTTGTTTTTTGTTTTGTTTTTTTTTTTTTTTTGAGGTGGAGTCTTGCTCTGTCACCGAGGTTGGAGTGCAGTGGTGCAATCTCAGCTCACTGCAGCCTCTCCCTCCCAGGTTCCAGCAATTCTCCTGCCTCAACCTCCCGAGTAGACTAGCTGGGATTACAGCTGCGTGCCACCACGCCTGGCTAACTTTTGTATTTTTAGTAGAGACGGGGTTTCACCATGTTGGCCAGGCTGGTCTCAAACTCCTGACCTCAGGTGATCCGCCCGCCTCGGCCTCCCAAAGTGCTGGGATTACAGGCGTGAGACACTGCGCCTGGCCGTCCAGGCTGGTCTTGACTTCCTTTCGCTTGTAGCCTCCCGAAGTGCTGGAATTACAGGCGTGAGCCACCGCATCTGGTCTCTAAGTTTTTTTTGAAAGTGTGTGTGTATGTGTTGAAAAACAATCTTACTGCCATCATATTGAAGTTACCTAGTGCATTTCTTCTTCAGGGTACGAAGAAAAAAGAAAAGTATGTCCTGTGGTTGATAGAAATCAGTAAAATGGAGCCCTGTACGAGGAAGTGCTGATGAGACTCCAACTAACTCCATGGAGATGAGCTACAAAAAAAAATACTGATTGGGTTCAAATCCTTGGCCTGCCATTTACTGGCTGTGCTTCCTTGGTCAAATTACTTAACCTCTCTATGCCTCAATGTTCTCATCTCTAAAGTATGGAAAATAATTGCATCTGTGTGAAAACTGAGTTACTATACGTAAAGTTTTTAGAATAGTACCTGACATACAGTAAGTGCTGAATAAGTATCAGCTAGAGAGAGAGAGAGTTAGTTTCCAGCAGCCTGTTTCTGTTTGGGGTCACATGTGGTCTCTGTCCACCTGGCTTTTTAGGCCTCTCTTACCTGTTCCCTGTTTATCCTTGCCTGCCCCAGGGAGGAGTTTGAGTTGGTACATCCTGACTGGGTACTCTGCCTGTGGTTAGCAAATACTCTGCATGTTGAGTGCTTTCAAAATACAGAAACAAACAACTTGTGGAGGCATTGGAAAAGTGTGTTTGAGAAACAAGCAGCCTCACCATGAATGGGAGTTTGTTTCCCTTTCTCGTCTTTCTGGTCATCTGCTGCACGGGCAGGAGGAGCTGTGGGTTGCTTTTCTTCCTTGGAACATGGAGCACCACTCTCCCCTGTGCTGATACACTTACAAAGAAGTTCACCTACTCCTTGGAAAGTTCTGGAAAAGGGGCTTCTACACTGTTGGCCTCTCGAGGAGAACGGTTTTTGTTTCTGTCTTCCTGGAAAAGAGGTGACTGCTGGCATCATCTTTCTAGATAAACTCCTTGCTATGATGCCATTAGAAGCAGTGTTCTTTTGTGTTTTGCTTTTGTTTTTCCCTGTAGACAGGAATAACATTTTGACTAGAAACTTCCCTGATGTAATAACGAAGATGGCCTCCTTAGAAAGTTCCAGAACAGACCCCTTCACCTCTGTCCCCAGAAGCAGAAGTAGGTGATGCACTTTCTTGGCAAGCCACATAACTACCATTTCTCTACAATCGAAGCTCAAAAATCTGTGCTTGTATACGTTCATTTTTTGTTTTTACTTCTTTACTTCCTTTGATAAGACAGAAACTTCTGTATTAAAACTGATTTAACTCTGAGGGGCTAAGTGAACAACAATCTGTTGTCCTATAGAGGTCAAGGCAGTGCTCACAACAGGATCATTGTGCTGCTGTAGTTCAGTTTAGGGGACGGGGAATGTTTATAAAAACAAAGTTTTGAAATGAGGACAGGGAAAGGCTTTGTTTACCTGGGGCTCTAGACTTAAGGTACTCATTTTGCCTGCAGAATAATGAAATGCAGAGTTGTAATTAGAAAAGGTTGATGTAATTGATGTGTTAACAATTTTTGAGGTTTTTCTCTTTCCACTTTAGGACAGTCATGCAATTATTTTTCTGAACCAAAATCAGAACCATCAGTCGAAGGCTAAAACAGGCCTGGGGAAACACTGTCTTTTGGCAAAGAAAGACAAAGATCCTTGTTCTCTAGGCCAGTGTGCATATGTGTGTAATGCTTTAAAGAACAATTTTGACAAGAACTCTTAGGATGCAACTTGTAGAGTGATTTTTAAGGAGATGCAGTAGGATTTGTGCAAGTATTCTGCTATGAGCCTAAGATTTTCAACATGGAAATCTAGCCATGCAGTGACTCGTTCACTTTGGCAGTGTCTATCTTAGTCTGGGGGTGAGCGTTTGTAGAAAATATTTAGAGACTCAAGTACACTCATTTGAATTTTTGCTGTTAGCAAATAAATGGCAATATGTGTAACGTGGTGAATGGGATGTAAAGCTGTCTTTATATTACCACGGTTAGAATTTAATTTTGAAAGTTGCAAGTCAAACTGCTTCCTCTTGCGTCATTAAGTTGTGCCTCTTGTTTGCTCACCGGCATGTGTGTCCTTGTGTCATTTTGGTTGCTGTGAAATTGCTCTTACCATTCTTTCATCCTTCAACCTGCTGTGCTACAATCCTAACATGCTGTTTTTGTTGAAAATGCATTCACTCTTTTTGGCATCTTTTTTCCCCAGAAAGTTAGAATATTGGGAATTCATTGGTATTAGTGAAATTCCCACCTAATGCAGCAGTTTTTTTCTCTTACCTGCATAATAGACGCAGAACAAATTAACTCTAAACGGATTAGAGCTGTCAACTGACAGATACTGTGCGAGATACTGAGGAAGCCTCAGAGATGATACCAATAAACAGGACAGGGCCTTCTGGTCGTGTTTCTACTTCTCTTATTGGTTTGTCTTAGCAATTTTGAATTGCACTGAAAACGAAATTTCATAGGTACACGATACAGTAGTTAGTTTTAAAAGTTTTTAAAATATTAAAAAATTGAAAGTATTTAAAATATTTTTAAAATATTTTAAAATCTGCTGTGTGAGATAGATAGGAGACCTAGCTTTTCTTCCTTCTTACCTTGATCCATAGAGAAAGCAACCCTGAAAGAAGAAAAACTCACCCATTTGAGCTTTCTTTTGTTTCCACTGAGCAATACGGAAGAAATTCACCGCTGGTTATAGGTCTTCAGTGCTTTCTTCAGAGTGGGATTGTTTTTTGTTTCACCATAAGTAGTAGTCTATTAAATTAACAGTTGCTAGAGAAGAAGCTGCATCTATATATGCAGTTCTCTTCTTGTCAAGCAGTATATTTTCACGATAGCAATGAAAAAATTCCATCCTCACCAGCCGCTGAAACATAGTAATACTGCAGAAATTCCTGTGAACTATGCGTTTGCTGCTTCCTTTTGTTTGTTTGTTTTCAGAGCAGATGGGCTTGTTTGCTTTTTGCTTAAACATTAATCAAAAATCAATTTATGGCTATGTAAGTGGCATTAGATAATTCTCATTCTGACTACAGTAAATAATATCTATTTGTTCATGTTAGATAAGTCTGGGCGGCAGTGGAATGTAAAATAGAATTACATGAGATATGACATATGGCTATGTGTTTTATAAATTAATGCTTTTATGCATGTGGGAGGAGAAGTAATTTAGCTTACTGACAAAAAGAAAAGCAAAGGAAATTCCAGAGAAAGAACAGGATACCAAGTCTAAATAAATTTGGAAGACAAAGAGAATATCATAGTTTAGTTCAATCTTTTAAACAAATTGTCACAATTTATACGTTGGGATAAGAGAACCATGAGAAAAGGTATATTCTAAGTCCTGAACATCTTTCTATACCCTGAAGATGTTTTTATAGCTCTTCTGCTGACTCCCTGCCAAAAAAACTATTTACGGTTTGGGGTAGGGGGCGTGTCATGCCATACAGCTAAATACACTTTTTTCCTAATCTAGGAGGCATGTCTACTTACAAATAAATTGCTTAAACTAGTTAGGCTTGTGTAAATGTAACTGACATTTCCTTGAGATCAGAAAAAGTTTTGCTGATTAACTATATTTGTGTGTGTGTGTGTGTGTGTGTATTTAGAGAGAAGGAGGGATTTTATAATTATTACAATTTGATTTGAAATGTCTAGAGAAAGTGAGAGATTATGGAAATTACCATAAATGCTCCCTTTTTCATAGATTTAGATCTGTTAATTGCAAGAAATCTTTTTTTAAGTGAATCAATGGGAACTTTTTATTTCTTCCCTAAGATTCATTTAGCCTTGAAAAGGCCAAAAGTTGAATGAAGCTTCTAAATGCCAATCTTTCCCTCCTTCTGTTAAAGAGTATGCTTCAACTATAATTACATTTGCATTGTTTAAAATATTAGTAATTCTACAGCCAGACCTCTGAGATAGCTGAGAAACCAAAAAGTGAAGTTCAAAGACATCATCAGGCACCCTCTCCACACACAACATACCAGGCCCACCAAGGAGTTTACATGAGTGTTTTTGCCTTGTTAGCCGTGGAACGACCTGGGCAGTACCCAAAACTTAGCAAACTCTTCTTGTACCTTGTATTCAGTAGACGGTCAGTAGCACCGAGAGTAGGGAGAAGAGTAAATATGTTTCTAATACTTTATTCAATGTATGTTGTTAACAGTGTAGACACTCTGACTTTCCTTGTGAATTGCGCCTCAGTATTTAGTTTTCATTTACCCTGGATCAGATAGGGCATGATAACCTTTGAGGGGCTTTGTGCATATGTAATTTGGAATCTGAGTCAGTCGGGCTGTGTCTCTCCCAACTTCCCTTCTCATATTCTTCTCTCTCCTCCTCCTCCCCTCCCTCCTCCTCGCCTCCCTCCTCCTCCCCCTCCCTCTTCCTCCCCTCCCTCCTCCTCCTCCCCTCCTTCCTTCTCCTGCCCCCTCCTCCTCCCTCCTCCTCCTTCCTTCTCCTCCTCCCTCCTCCTCCTTCCTCCTCCCCCTCCTTCCTCCTCCTCCCCCTCCTCTCTCCTCTTCTCTCGTTTCTCTTCTCTCTCTTCTTTCTCTCTTCTCTCTCTACCATTGCTGTCAGTTGAGATGGGCCTGTGCGGCACTTTGTTTGCAGTTGATTGGCAATCTTCTGTTCTACTACTGCATCTGAATCATCACTTGCTTCCACCAGTTCTCTGAATGTCTTACCTAGTGATCCTGGTGGGGAAATTACAGTGATTAGTGTTCCAATTCTTGTTTGCCCATAAGTGTTTCAAAGTAGTATTTTTAAAAACTCTTCTAAGACATTCTCTCTTCTCATAGTAGATGCAGTGAATCTTAAAGGTGCCCTAACTAAAATTTTTGTGCTATAAAATTGGCAGCTTTACAAAATAAAAGGTTCGAGATATGAGCCTGATCAAGGCTCTGCATTTGCAACAATATCCTTGGTTTGCCTGGCCCTGTTATATTTTGCTGTTGTGATATGACTCCTGCCAGTGCTATTTCCATTTAACCTTTGTTTTTCTAAAAGACAGTAATAATTTTTCATTTCTAGGGAGTCTCTGACATCAGCTAAAGGAAAGACACTTTTCTTTGACTGTATATACATTTCTCCCCATTTCATTAATATCAAAGTTGCTCTTTCAAATGGCTTATAAAATTTTAAAATTACACCAGTTGCATAAGCCTGCATAAAAAGCAGACTCCTACATAAGCTGACAATGCATTTGTACCGTGGTGTTGAGCAGTTTTAACATCCTCCGTGCCTCTGTGCTTCTGCTAGCTACTGCTCTGATAAAGTTATCAAGGTATCATTGGATGCATTGACCAGGATGAAGACACAACAGTATGGCCTTATTAAATTTGGAAATAATGAACAGACGAGTAGAGAATTTAGGAGCAATATAGGCAAGCTTAATAGGTCTTTACTTTGGGGCCTGTAACTCCAACTACATATGGAAGAATTTAAGTACAGGAAAAGTTAAGCTCTTTTCCCAGTAGTTCTGCTGACAAGTTGGGTGACTTCGGGATGGTTACCTCTTCATGATACCACACGGTGATGGTAACAGAGGCACTGTCCAGTCTCTGGTTCATGCACACTGGTCTTCTCAGGGGTCCCTGTATAGGTGACACAGTGGAGAACAGGGCAGTACTGCCAGACTCAGGGACCCAGTTCATCGAGAGGGGCAGTGTTTCTCTTATGCTGCCTTAAAGGCATTGGATGCCTTTTGGAAAGCCAGTGGACAACTCCTGCATCCACCCAAGATTAATGTTAACAGCTTAAAGAATCATTGCAATCAAGGGAAATTTTGCAACACTTTGTTGGGATATTTTTAAATAAATGTGTGAACACCTTGTTTTAGGCTTGCTGAAAATGACCCAGGAATTCCTTGACCCGGGAATATAGTGTATGGCTGCCAATTATTATATTCCTTCATCAGACAAAGGCGGAACAGTTCACTCTTTTTCTTTTTTTTGGACACAAATTCTCACTCCCTCACCCAGGTCAGAGTGCAGTAGCATGATCTCGGCTCACTGCAACCTCTACCTCCTGGGTTCAAGTGATTCTCATCCCTCAGTTTCCCAAGTAGCTGGGATTTCAGGCACGTACCACCATGCCTGGCTATTATTTGCATTTTTAGTAAAGACAGGGTTTTACCATGTTGGCTAGGCTGGTCTCGAACTCCTGACCTCAAGTGATCCTTCTGCCTTGGACTCCCAAAGTGCTGGGATTAAGGTATGAGCCACCTTGCCCGGCTACCGGACAGTCCACTCTTTACAGGGGGGCGTCTTGGTATAAGTATGGAAAGCTCCGTAGATGCCGTGTCAGTCCATACCCTCACCACCTTCTTGACCCTGTGCCGATAAACTAAGAGATGTGGGCAGTGTACCATCTGGAAAGGAAAAGGCTTTGGAGCCAGGTAGTCCTGCCTGCATTTGAATCTGCTTTCTACCACTTACTTACATCAGGTTTTCCTTGTCTATAAAATGGAAGTCCTTGTACCCACCACCTAGAATGGAAGTGAGGATTAATCCAGACCAACGATGAAGAGTCCAGCATGCAGGAAATGCTCGTTTATAACCATGGAAGTTTCGAGGACTTTTGAAATTCGATGACATTAACCTTTGAGGTGCATTTTAGTTGGCTTGTGTGATGAGGCCTTTCTACTTCTAGTTCCAGAATCGTCTGGATCTACATTATGTGGGAATGTTTATTCCCCCCTTTACTTTCCCAAAATTTGCTAAACATTTTCATTGCTATTTGAGTTTTTTAGGAGACATACTGAGATGAAGTTAGGGATGTGAAAGGTTTACTGAGGATAACACCAATGAAAGGAAGAGAGGAGGAAGATGATGGGTGTGGGGAGCGGTTTGACCAGGACTCTGATAGGACAGACACTCTGCCAGCCCTCCGGGAGCTCATTTGCAGAGCCCCCTGTTAGATGGATATAACCGGGCCCTGGGACCATTGCTGGGCTCAGTTACTGGCCAGGAGCTGCCTAGGAAGAGTGTGACCTAGGCCAAAAGTTGAAGTGGACCCTAGAAGAGCTAGCAGCTGGAGGGCATCTGCTAGTGACACTCTGGAGCTGGACAGCAAGTCCTTTCTGAAAGAGGATCTGAGCTGAGTATCCCTGTGGTCCAGTATTTCAAGTTGGAACCTCTAGGTTTGAAAAATACATGTTTTGGGTGAGAGTTTGATTATTCTTAAAGGGACATATCTTTCAAACATATGGCTGTGGAAGAGGAAACTTGTTTTTGACTTGTAAAATACCAGCAGAGCCTTGCAGTGATCACAACTTATGTGAAATACAGACCATCACCCACAGTTTACGTGTTCACACTAAAGTGCCAGTCTCTCTATGGGTTTTAGAGCTGATTTAGATACATGCATTGCTAATACAGTCAGCCCAGCCAAGATAGTGCCATCCTCCGCAAGCATCCACTAAGGCATGGAGTCAGCTTCCGTCATTGTTAGATCAGTACTTGTTTCTTTCCCTTGCTTATTTTTCCTAACCTCTCTGAACCTGCTGTGTTGGAAGCTTAAGGAACATCATCCTCTGTTGGGCAGAATTCTTCCATGGCCACCCCAGCATTATGCCCCACACCATTTGACTTACTCATTTGTGAATGCCAACTCAGAATGTATTGCTTTGATTCTTGATTAGGATCTCAACCTCTATTTATTGTTAAGACTATCACCCTTTGATTCCCCCCCATCCCATTGTGTCCTTCTAAAGGCACAGAATAGAACATCTTCTGCCAGAAATAACATACAAATTTATCATCATACAACTGTACAATATGCAAATAACTTGCTAGATGATATTACTGAAGATTCTACATCCAATTAAAATAAAAAGAGAAAACACCTTAAGATAACCATACTATTAAAAGATACAGAAGACAACTGGAATAAATGGAAAGACATACCACATTTATTAGACAGGAATAATCATCATTAGCAAGATGGCAAGATGTCAGTTCTCCGTAAGTTTTTCAATTTAATATAAATCCAAATACAACAGATTTTTTTCTTTTAGTTAGATTCTGAGGTTATCATTAAAACAAAAACAAACAAACAAAAAACTGAACAAGAGCAAGGAGTCCTTACCAGGTATTAAAAACTTCCATAGTGCCTAAATAATTAAAATAGTGAGATACCAATAGATGAAGAGACAGACCAATGGAACAGAATAGAAAGTCCAAATGTAGATGCAAGTACCTGTGGAAATTTAGTTATTCGATAAAGGTAGCTTCACAAATCATTGGGACTAAGATAAACTCTTGATTTACTGGATTGGGGCATGTAAATTATGGCCCAATCATGCCATGTTTCTTTTCTCTGGAAAAGAAAGTAAATTAGGTTCATACATTATACCATGTACCAGGCTAGACTCCAAGTGAATCCAAGGTAAAAGTGTAAACAAAACTATGAAAGTCCTGGAAGAACACATAGCGAGTTCCTTTTTATAACCTTGGAGCAGAGAAAGCCTTTCTAGTTTCAACTCAAAATCCAGAAGCCAGAAAAGAAAACATTCATAAAAATTGAATTTAAATTACAAAAAAACTTTCTGCATGGCCAAAAACCATAAGCAAAGACAGATGCCAAACTGAGAAAAATATCTGAAACTTCTATCACAAAGAGCTAATCTCCCTTGTTTAAAAAAACAAAGTAAAACAGAGCTCCTAGAAATTGTTAAGGAAGAGGCTAACAGTTCAATAGGATTTGGGATGAAGTATTGAACAGATAGCTCACAGAAGAAGAAACACAAATAGCTAAGCATAGAAAAAAAGTTTGATTTCACTCATACGAGAAATGCAAATTAAAACTACACCAAGATACCATTTTTTCACTTCTCATATTGGAAAAAATCCAAAATATTTGATAACACACTCTTTGGAAAACAACCCCACATGGCTGGGAGGACGGCAGAATAGCACATCTATAGAGGAGAATTTGGCAATATCTCTCAGGTTATAAACACGTATTCTTTGACCCACCAATCTTAGAGGGGGCATTTACCCCATAGACTTGCACACATGTGAAATGACAGTTGTGCAGTTGTTCATTGTAGTGTTTCAAATGGCAAAAGATGAAAATGTCCCCCAAATTCCATCACTGAGGGAATAAGTAAGTTAGGGTGATAGCTCCCAAGCTTATTTTCTCTTCAGAATCACCTCATGAAGAAAATGAAGGTCTGTGTGATAGTAGCTGGCAGGTGGGCATGGTGGTGAGGGTGGTGTTTGAGCGGAGACCTGAATGAAGGTTGAGAAGGAGCCAGCCACTCACAGACACAGAGGAGGCCTTCAGGCTGAGAGAGCAGAGAAGGACCCTGTGGCAGAGACAAGCTGGAAACAGCACTGCTTCCATGGTCTGGAGACTGGAATATGTGGGTTCTGCAGACACCTGGGGGGGGCACCACCTGGTAAATCTGCCTTTCAGCTCTTGGTTCTTCCAGCAAACCATGCCAGCTGTGGCTCTGTAGCCATGTCCTCGGAAGATGGCAGAGGTTGCAACGAGGCCTCTCTGAGGTGCTCTGGGAGCACAGAGGAGTCAGGTGGAACTTGTGGCATGTTGCCAAGGGAAGAAGTGATTTTTAGACAGAATAGGAATTTGCCAAGAAGAGAAGTCAGAAAAGCATAACTGGCAGAGGAAGCAGCATACGTTACAAGTAACTGCATGTGTACAGGGAATCACTGAGTGATGGACAAGGGCTTGGCACTTGGTGGGGGGGGGTACCATGTTAACATGTTAGCAAGAAACTAGGTAGGGGTACTTGACTTGGGGGCAGCAGAAGCAGGTGTGAGTGTTGGACAAGACGAGAACTGAGTGCTGCAAATGTTTGGCAAGACTTGATTGAGTGCATATTGTGGACCTGTGTCTCCACTGGAGACACAAATTAGAATATAACACCTTGCCCTGGTATGCTCAGGGTCTACTGAGGTGGAGAAACCTGCAAGTAGAGTCGGAGTACAGTGTTGAAAACACCATCTGCAACCTTAACACAGTGCTACCAAAACCGATTTCGGAGCACTCCTGCAGGAAGTGGGCTGGCCAGGGCAAGGGAAGCCGTGGAGAACAGTGGCCTCTCCCGGGCAGGCAGGGTAAGGCCTAGAAAGAATAAGCTGAGTGAAGGTTTGTGTGTGGCCCATCCAGGGACCTGCGACAGGAACACAGCGGCTGAGGAACGGATGCTTGGAGAGGAGGGGGTGCTTTACATGCCAGGCGGGCAGGGCCGGGGTGGGGCCAGATGCTGGAGGAGAGGGCTGGCCAAGGGGTGGCAGAGAGGCCCCCCAGGTGGCAAGTTTGCACCCTGTTGCTTCCTGCAAGGAGCTTTTGTTTACGTTTTCAGCTTGGACAGTCTGGCTGTCTGGCCAAGAGTGACAACGTGACTTACCATCAGAGCGAAGCACCAAAGAGCACATAAATGAAGTGGAGATCCCTCCTGTGTCCAGCCTCCCCCTCCCCGTGGCCTTCTCCTACCTTCCCAGTCCTCCATCAGTACCCCGGGGCCTTGCCAGAATCTCAGAAAGAATCTCTGGACTCTGGCTCAGGACCTCTGAGGTGATTATGCATCTAGAGGCATCCCCAGGTGCTGCCCAATTTGGGGAAGCAGCACTTCCCGCTGGAAGCTGGGAAGTTTCCCCTGGCTGGGGGTCCTGTGAGGATGGAGAGGCCAGAATGAGGAATGGGTTGTGAGTCAAGACCAACCAGAAGGGGACTTAGCAATGTCAGATGATAGCCTGGGTGAACTACATCCTGTGTGGAAAAGGCAAGGTGTAACTGCTTATTTCTTGTCAAGTGAGCCTAATATCATCATGTTTCTTTTTATGCCTGCTCCCAAACTCAGCCCCTCCCAGTGAGATCACAGCTCCAGGAACTTGCAAGGAAAGGGACTAACGGGGCATCTGATTCACCCGTGTGCCCTTAATGGCGTATTGTGTGAATAAAGCAACAATTTTTAGTACAGGGATTTAAAACAACTTCTGCAAAGACAGAACTAAAAATTAATCTTAAAAGGTGGAGGGTTGGGGTGGAGGGCAGGAAAGAGGAGGAACTAAATTGCCATTCTCTTTGGAGACTTTCTAAAACCTAAGACGAAGAAGAGGAGCCGAATTATGGAAACAAAACCTTTGCGGTTTTCCACAGAACAAAAATGATGTGAAGCTGCAAGTCAGCAGTTCTGGCGCAGGGGCTCCGGGGGACGCCCGCTCCGCCGGCTGTGGTGTGCGCCCTTCCTGCTCTCCCCTCCGAGGGGCTGAGGCTCCTTTTGTCTGGCGCGCGCGCCCCACCCCGCCCCGGGTGAGGGAAGAGGGAGCGGGCACCCCGCGCCCGCGCCGCCGCCGTGGACCAAGGTTGTTTACTACTTTCCACTCCGAATAACACGCCAATCACCAGGGCCCACCCTCCCCGCCGGCCAATCGCTGCGTTGGGAAATTCCACCTTTCCGCGGGGCCCGGGCAGCGACTGGCTGGAGTGTCTGTCAGTCAAGTGGGCATCCCGCAAGGATGCAGCAGGAGTATTAGGGAGGCGATCACCAGAGCAGAGGAGGAGTAACCTTCCCCATAAACAAGATGTGTTCCCCCCACTAAGAAAGCGGGTGGAGGGTGGAGGAGCCAAAACACATCCCAGCCCCGGGGCCCCACCGGAGCGAAGCGGGCCGAGCGCAGAGTGCAGAGTCGGGGAATCCCTCCCTCCGCCTCCCGCCGTCGCTGCAGTTGTAAACACGTTTCCCTCCATGTCTGTTTTCCCTTCTCTCTCACCGTGGCCATTACGGGCTGCTGTTTACAAAAATCCTGCAGGCCTTTGACACCCCGTCCTCCCTTCCCCCGGCATCCCTGCCCTTATTCTGGCTTTCTTCTCTTCCATCTCCTGGTGAGCACAGCATACTGTTCTCAGGCTTGTTTTCCTTTTATTGCTCTCCATGTGGGACAGGTCATGCTTTATCAACATGTACCATTTTCTACAAATGCCGCCCTTCCTCTTTAAATTGCTTGGATGGGCAGATCGATTTTGATTAGCAACACTGCAGCAGAAACAAGGTGCATCTCTGGAAGGACTGGGTGGTTTTCTCGTTATTGTTGCTGGTTTGGGTCACATCGGATGCTATTTTAAATTCTGTGTTTTATTCCACGATGGGTCTTGAATCCTTTCCCTATTCCTAGGTTTGAAATATGTTTCCTCCCTTTAAAAAAAAGAAGGGGGGCAGTATTGTGTTGAACCAAATGTTTTTCTACCTTCTCCTGTGATCTGAATCAGGTTTCCCATTTCCAGCAGTACAATGTGGTTGTATTCAGTGTGATAGGGGCGTAGTGGACATGAATTATTTGCGACAGGGCTGCCTGGAAGATGCGGAGCGGAGTTTGCGTGGCCCGGAGCAGCTCCAGTGTCTGAGGCTTCTCTGTGTCACAGGCTCCAAGCAGGAAGCGCAGGCAAAATGGCAAAATACAGCATGTGGCATTCAGTTCAAAAATGCCCTTTTTTAGAAGTCGGTATTCTAAATGACATCCAGTCTTGCTTAGTTTTTTAAGAGAAAGGAAAAATAATCTATGAAGATGGTTTGGAATATTTTGTGAAAAGCCTTTTCAGCATAAAAAAGATGATCTTGAGGGTCTGGTTTGCGGAGTGGAGGATAAGCCTCCCTCCTGCGATTCTGAATTGCTTTTTGGTTTGTAGGAATTTCAGGAACATGTTGCAAAGCCGTGGCCGCTTGAAAGGGTCGGTGCCCTGCGCCCCGTCTCAGCCCCTGCGGCCCCTGAACTTTTTCAGTGATGGGGCACTTGGGGAGAAGTGCGGGGAGTGGAGGAGGAGGGGAAGGTGCATTGCAAATAGAAATGTAAGGCGTGGCCTGGGTGGCCAGGATGTGCCAGAGCAGCCTCCAGACCTACTTAAATCCCAGGAAAAGTCCTGCCTCAAGTTAGGCACAACATCTGACTTGGATTTCTCTCTGTTTTTTTCTCTTCCAGTTGTCTGTCTGTGCGCCCTCTCCCACAAGGAATAGTTTTCCACACTGATGGAATTAATGCATATCGTGGTATTATTGGTGGAATATGTTTAACCTTTGTTTCGTGATTTGAGAGGAATGGTTCTTGTGTATCGTGTGGTGACAGCAGGTTAAGGAGAGTGTCAGAGCTGGTGCAGAGTTTTGCCCCGGGGCCATGAGGTTCTGGGCATCATGACTCTCTTATGAAGTTACAAAACTGGGCAAGTGATTGAAGGCAGAAAGACACTGTAATAAAGTGTGCTCCAGTGATGTGTGCTCCGGCTTCTCTCCCTTACTCATCTGGGCCAGGTGCTTTCGCCACAGTGAGCCTGGGTGTCCCCTGCCTGAGATGAGCACAGTGATGTCTATGCGAGGTTGTAGGACTCAGTGAAGTGCCTTAGGGATTTTGCCTGGCACTCTCCTGGGCTCATGAGGTGCCTAGGGCTGAGACTTCCCCTTCTCTGTCTGGTAAATCATCTCTCCCATTCTTTCTTCTGCGGCCCTTCATATGAGCTTTGTAATTTACTCAGGGTGGCAGGGTGAATTCATCTTTTGCTGGGTTTCTGCATCACCTGCTCCTTTCTGGCCAGGTCAGCCTGTTCATTTTTTCCATGCCAACAGCCTCTAAGTGCCAGTAAGTCACGTCTGAACAACCAAAGCATGTTTCCCTGCGGGAGAATGCCAGGGCAGGCGGGTCTGGGAGCCAAGAGGATTTCTCCTGTTCAGATAAGTCGGGGGAATAGAAGAGCCCTGTGACTTGAGACAAGCTTTGAGTGACACCCAGTGAATCTCCCATCACTACTTTAATCCCTGCCCCAGTGTTCTGGTTCCCCCTTTCCTGCATGAGGCAGTACGAGTACCCTGGCCTGGCTTTGGGTTCTACACGGTCTGACTTTAGCCTGCCTTGGTCTTTGTTCCCCTCTCACTCCCTCCACCCCTGCCCCCCCCAACACATGTGGAGTACCTTACCCTGCCTTCCTAGTTCTGGAATGGCTGCCCCTGTGCCAGGCCACCCCATTTTCTAGAACCACCTTCATACAGCCCCTGCGCATCCCACTGTACTATTTCCTTGTTTGTTTTTCCTGTCAATCTTGCCTTCCGCGCTAATGGGACACTGATGCTGTATGGTGATGTGTTCTCCCACAGTCATCTTTTCCTCCTGTGGTTGGGGTGGGGAGCTTTCTCTGTGTCCCCCCATGAGAGTGAGGACAGTCTCATTTAATGGCACCATGGTCTGTGGAGCCAGGCAGGCCTGTGTGTCTGACTCCACTTCAGCGCTCTCAGCCAGCGTGGGCACCTCGGACCCAGACAGACGCCCCGAGCCTGTCTTTCTGGAGAAGGAAGTAGTAATACCTTTTCCTTGAGGGAGTTATGAGGATTAACTGTGCCTGGCCCTGAATTCGTGCCTTGCAGGTACTTAGGAAGTGAGTTATTACAAGCAGTGCTTTTTATCATCCATAGATGGAGATGTTATCTATGCTATAGGACTGCAGAAAGAATTACAGAGAATTATGTAGAATCACTAGGGACTTGATTAATATTTGTTTACCTTTCCCCCACATGGATTGATGTCCTTTATTATACTTTTGTACCCCCGCTTGGCAAGCCCTTGACAAATATTGATCCAACAAAAAATTAGCTCTTTAATGTATACGTTTAGAACCTGTTGCTTTGTCAGTAGTGGTTTTTATGAAAATGAATGCTTATAGGTCAGACTTCTGGAAACCCTAATCTGAGGGAATTGGGCCAAATAGGAAAGTGAGCCCCTTAAAGGCAGTTGTCTGACCAGTACTTGGAGCACAACAGGTTCTTGCTAAAGCACTGTGTTTTTAAAACAGTGGAGTTATTAGGTTGAAATTCTGAATAGCAAGAAAAAGAATAATGGAAGTGCTGCCAGCCCCGTGATGCTGGTGCAGCTGGTCAGTTTGCAGAAGGAGGCCAGTTACTAGAGCAGAGTGGCCGTAGAGGCTGCAACACGGTGGCCAAAGCATGAAGCTGCTGTATAGTGGCAAGGTCACAGTGATTTCCCCACAGCCTCGGTTTAGAGGGAGACGGGGTGTGCTGAGCTGTGCCTGCTTCTGTAGAAGGGGCCTTCTCCAAGTCTGAGTAGCCTTAAGCCATTAGGACTGCTGAGTCTTTCTCCACAAAAATATGTGGGAGGCCTGCAGGGCAGGTGCTCAACTAAGCTCTGGGGCTGCAAAGATCCAGAGCCATGCCCCTCCTTGGAGGCAGGTCCTTGTAGACGAGGACAATCGTAGCCTTCCTGATTAAAGCAGGAATTGTCCAATCAGGCTATATGACGGGCATCGTCCATAGTCTTCACCAGGGGAGCTTTTCTGACTATACATCTCTAGCCCTGTGGCTTGAGCCAGTCACTTAATTTCCCCTGAGCTTTGGTTTCCTCCTCCTGGTAGCAGAGAGACTATCAGAGTGAGGGGCAGATGCAATAGCATATGTAAAACACTTAGCGTTGGGCCTGGTGTTTAACTGCAATAAATGTTAGCTCATATTTTACTGTGACATAGATGCTGTATGCCTTTTGCTGAGTATTAAAGATACTGAGCTGTAGCATGCATACTTGCATGAATCAGTCTGCTAAGTTATTTTAAGTTTGCATTTGAAAATAAAGGGTGGATTGCTATCCAAATATAAAGAATTGGAACCAGGCTCTAAAAGGATGTTTGCTGTTCTTTAGCAAAATACCATTCTTCTTAAGTTTCATTCAATCATTCCACAAAAATTTAAGCATCTGTTTTGTCCCAGGCAGGCACTGTGCTTGTAATGGATGTGCAATAGCAAACAGAACACTTGCTTTCAGCTCACACAGAGCTGACTCCTGGGCAGAGAATTTCGACAGTAAAGAAATACAAGTGTGATGAAGGAGAAACCCTTTGGTACTACCTGCTACATGTTTTAATATTTAAATGTTGACTTAGGGAGGTCTTTCCATCTAAAAATAATGATTTGCCCTTTCTCCTGTAAATGACCCCTTTCTCTTAAGTTTTGGGTGAGAGATTTTTTTTTTTTAAGGAAGAAAGATATTCTACAATCGAATGTACAACTGAGATAATGCTTAGGAGAGAATGTATACTGGGTTTGTGCCTTGGAAGTTGCTTAGGGGAAACAGTTGTGTGCAGTTGGAAAGCTGATGCTTTAAAGAAGCTTCTATAAAGTGACCCCACAATTAAACTGTTTTGTGTACATCTTTATTTATTTATTTATTTATTTTTTAATTGAGACAGAGTCTCACCCTTTCGCCCAAGCTGGAGTGCAGTGGTGCGATCTCGGCTCATTGCAACCTCCACCTCCCAGGTTCGAGCAATTCTTCTGCCTCAGCTTCCTGAGTATCTGAGATTACAGGCATGTGCCACCACACCCGGCTAATTTTTGTATTTTCAGTAGAGACGGGGTTTTGCCATGTTGGCCGGGCTGGTCTTGAACTCCTGACCTCAAGTGATCCACCCACCTCGGCTTTCCAAAGTGCTGGGATTACAGGCGTGAGCCACCACGCCCAGCCTACGTCTTTAAAAATAAATGTAAATACCCAAGGCTCACAGTTCCGTTCTTCCATCTAGTCTAGCACCGTCCAGTGGAAGTTTCCACCATGATGGACTGTTCTGTGGATGCCCTGTCCAGTACAGGAGCCGCTAGCCACATGTGGCTATGGAGCACTTGAAATGTGGCTAGTGCTACGGAGGAACTGGATTTTGGATTTTTTTAAAGTTTTAATTTAAATTTGAATAGCTACATGTGGCTAATGGCTACTGGACATCACAGATCTAACACAGGATTAACTGACAAAATTCTTTCCTCTTAAAAATATGTGTTTATTTTGATAAGGATAACTGAGACCTGTACATTCCATTTTTCCTGTCATATTTAGGGCTCATAAAGGGGGTGGTATGCACGTTTTAAAAAATGCAACACAACCAGTTAAACCAGCTGTCTAATTGTACACATTTCCTGGAGCTGTTGGTGTTGATTATTAGCAAATACTAAGTACTTGTAATGACCTAAGAACTATAAGACAAGCAAGTCGTCTTCTGTAACTGAGTATCAGCGGATTCAAGCGTTAAGGAAAATGATTAAGAGAAAACAACCAAAAAAGTCTTAATGGTTCTGTCAATCAAGTGGCTATCAATTCATGGCTATTCAAAAGCTTTTGTGGCTATGAAAATAAACTAGATTGAAAAAATTCTAAAACAAAATTGAAACACTCATTTGAGTTTAAAATTTTAGTTGAGTTGATTTTTATTTCTTGTTTTGGTTCATTTGTAGTTTCCCCCCGCTTCGTTGTTTCCTCAGATATGGAGAATAAAGCCTGGCTGGTCAGTTTCAGTTTTTATTTAAATTCATTTTGTCTTCATTCCTTTTAATCTAGCACAGTCCTGTGATGTATTGGGATCACAGTGCTCTGGGGAAACATTGAAATATAAAAACATTTTCCTGAAAACATTTCCAGTTATATTTAATTTTCCTCCTTGAATAGAAAAATATTTCCAACTTAATCCTCCCTCTCCCCTCTTGAAATGAATTGCATGCTTTGGAAATAACATCAATCCACCCAAGTACACAAGGACAATCTCAGCCATTTAATCGAGATATAAAGGCTTAGAGAACTCTGGGCTTCGGAGGCACAGACTCCACCTTTCAGGATGCTAATAAACGTGGACGAGGTCTCGCCTGGGCTTCCTCCTCCATTGTTCAGCGCAGCAAACCAGCACAGCACTCCGTGGCCAGGGTTTGCGGGGAGAAATCTCTCACTCTGTTTTAGTAGCATCATCATCCTTATCAGCACCCTGCTTTTATTTTTGAACAGCCAAACTTCCTCTTTCCAAACTTCGTGTGACATCTGGGACCAGCTATGTTTGAAGGAGTCTGAACATGCCACATAGTGGCTCACGCTTTTAAGGGAGGAAGGCCAGTAAGCCTCCTCAATGGCAGAATTCTACTTTCAGTCTACCCTTTGGTTCTGTTGTGGTTGTTCCTTAGAACTTTATTCTGCTCATTAGGAAGCCCAGCCTCCGGGGAGGGTTTAGCTTCTCATCTAAGCAAGAAGTAAAATGTCATAATGGAGGAAAAAAAAAAAAAAGTCCAAACTTTTTTTGGACTTTTAGAAACACATCCAGTTTGAGCTCCACTGAGCTATCATTGCAGTTACAAAGCCCATGTATATTGAGATCGGTGTAAAAATTCAGCATGTCCACCTGCATAATTATGACCAGTGTATTGAAAGCACATTTCATTTAGTTTTGCAACAGCCGATGAGGTAGATTCTACCAACATTGTTTTACGGAAGAACAAATGGAAGCCTGGAAAAATAAATTGTCTACCTCACACACTTCGCAGGTGGTAAACACAGGATTTGAACTAAGACATACTTGATTTTAAAGTGTTTGCTTTTCCTTTGCACTACTGCATCTGCGATGTTTGCACTCAGACACTCTAGAATATTTGGTGTTGCATGTTTTTGCCCCAAGAAAGAACCCATTAAAATGAAACTTTCCAGTTCGTAAGCTTTGCCCTCAAGAAGGGAAAGAACTTCTTGCAAGGTTTCTGAAACAAAAAGAAAATGAAAAGTAACTTTACTGTATCTGGGTTTTCTGATTAAATTACGGTTTTTGCAAGCTTGTGCATTTCTCAGTGTCCAGATAGCCAGGATTTTTCCTTTTAATAAATATCACTTTAAAAAACAAACACACACATTCTTAAATGCATGATTAACTGTATAGATTGATTTAGTTATAAGATGTCCTAGCCTAAATATAAGAAGGTGTATGTGTTAGAATTAATTTCTTCAATAAAGAGAAAGAAATTCAGGAATTGTGGTTCTGTTGGTCTTCTGTACTGTATATTTTTGTGCAGCCAAAGCAGCATGCCTTGCTTCTTGGTTTCATGACCACATGGGTAGTTTCTTGAAGTTTTTTCTTTTGAGATGGAGTCTTGCTCTGTCACCCAGGCTGGAGTGCAGTGACGCGATCTCGGCTCACTGCAACCTTCACCTCCCGGGTTCAAGCAATTCTCCTGCCTCAGCCTCCCGAGTAGCTGGAATTACAGGCATGTGCCACCATACCTGGCTAATTTTTGTATTTTTAGTAGAGACGGGGTTTCGCCATGTTGGCCAGGCTGGAGTTTCTTGAAGTATTGACTGATCCTTGACTCTGAACTGTATGATCAAAGACTTTTGAAATGGCACACCGTTTCTTAACATTTAGGCCAATTTCAGTTGCTCATATCCAAAAATAAGTCATGATTTTCGGAGTCAGTGCGCAGCACTTAGTACAACAATCCAAACCCTTGTACAGACCATCCTAGTAGAAATGTGGATCTTGAGTATCTCAGCTTCTTAGTAGATTTTGAACTCCGTGAAAGCAGGAGCCAGGCCTCTCACAGCAAGTCTCTCCAATATGCTCAGTAAATATTTGTCAGAT
Organism: Homo sapiens; assembly: GCF_000001405.40. NCBI lineage: Eukaryota > Metazoa > Chordata > Mammalia > Primates > Hominidae > Homo > Homo sapiens. The sequence goes on from NC_000015.10 coordinate 98,860,433, forward strand.
CGAGCAATGACCAGATGATGAAATACATTAAAGCCTTAGGGAGAACTGAGACTACTGCACCAGTTTTTGTGCACTATCATGCTGGAAATCTTTCCAACATGTATTCTGTACTTCTTTGCTTCTTACTCCAGTGAATATAATTTAGTCATTTCTGGCCAACTTGAGGACATCAGCGAGCATAAATTGTTGTATTATGCATAATACAGTGATACCCTCAAGGCTGAGTGGGAGGCAGTTTGCCCTCTGCTGAAGGTTTCTTGTGCTTATTGTGTTCTTATGGTTTGGTTTTACCATTTTTATGTCTCCATTTCTGTTTAATAGACTTATTTCAGTAAGAAGAGAAAGCCGTCTCCATCAGCCCCTCTGTAGGTGATTATTTGCCACTTCCTTTTTGCTGTGAGTGCTTTGAAAACAGATTTCTAAGCTTGTTAGAGTTATGTGTTAAGAGTAAATAGGCAGTAAGTGAAACCAAGCTTCTTCCTGGTGCTTGACTACCCCAGAAATGTTTATTTGCTGAATAGTTGAGTTCTGGAAAGGTGAGGTATAAATGTGTGATAAATTTATTCCTTTGCATGATTTTTTTTTCTTTTTCTTCCCTCCCTCCCTCCCTCCATCTATGTCTCTGTCTTTCTCTGAACATCTCTCCGTCTCAGTCTGTCTCTCTCATGATAGTTGCTGGAATAATTTAAATGAATGTAACTCATTTACCCACATCGAAGCCCAACTCAGTAGTGAAAAAACAAATCTTCCAAATGAATGCACTTTCCCCTTGATGTGCTATATACAAGACCTTGGCACACCTAGTTCAATGACATAGTATTTTAGAAGGGCCTCCTTACACCTTCCTCTCAGATAAATATACATGCAGGGACATTCTGAAGAAGTTTGTTATCGGTCTTCTCCCCTCCTACTATTAGCTCCGCCCTCCTAGTCCTTCTCTTTCACCATGCTGACCCGCGTAGGGAGGACCCTTACACCCTCTGCATGCAGCGCTGGTGCTCCTTAGTGTTCATAACCCCAACCTCCATGGCCTCTCTCGCAGTTCTCAGGTTAGGCCCTGCTTCTAGGGGACATTAGCTTTCCACCCTCTACTACATACTTCCTAGTTGTTGCAGCCTTTGCAAGCAAAACTTGTTTTCATTTGGGAGACAGCATGGTCTGACAGAGCCTAGATCCTGGGGTGAAGACATTCTGGGTTTGTATCCCGTCTTTACCACCTCTGAGCCTCTGATGCTGGACAAGTCAGCAAGTCTTTGCACCTTAGTCTCCTTTCTGTAAAAAGGAGCTTATGGGGATGTAATCAGAGAAGCCTTAGCATGGCTCTTGGTACAAGGCACGGACCAAATCCATGGTACGCTCACTCCTTTCCTTTCAGTAATACTGCCTAAATAGGGCACATGTACCTAAAAGGATTTTGTACATTCCTTGACAGCAGAATTCTCATCTTCTGTTGCATATCCCATAATGCTGGGAACACAAAATAAAAATGGTAGCTTTTCACATTCACTTTTGGCCTCAATTTTTTGTTATTCCCCAATGAGGATCATTTCATTTGGGGCTGGTCTCCGGAAAAAAGTAGATCAAGCTTTTCAGATGAGATTTGGGTGAAACCCTGACAAACTCTTTTTATTGCCTTCCCTACCACATAGTGGTGGATCAGGAAACTGTAGGGCTTATGATGCTGGGAAATTTCTGCTAATGCAATAAAGATTTTTGCTGTTGAAAGAATTTGATCTGTTTTATGTATAACATGCAGAGAGCAGAAGCATATATTATCTGTAGCAGATGATAGAGCAGGGTATATGGGCAAGTTAGAAAAACACAGTTCTCACTACATTTGAAGAAAAAGGACAAGGAGTTGTCACAAGGATCCAGGAGAGTCGCACATAATTTTCTGTCGTGCATTTTGTTGACTGTTCCTCTTTGCATCCTTCAACCATCTTAACTTCCCACTTGCACCTCGCTGGAAGACAAATCTAAGCTAAATTAAATGCTAGGCAATATGTCAGAATGGAAAGGGCCCTCAACTTGGGATGCCCGGTTCTCTACCAGCCTGAATAAACTCCAGCAACAGTATTTCTCTAGGAATCATCTGTAAAAAGTAGAGGTTTGTCATATCTCTAAACTAGGGATTCACCTTATTTATTAAGCTATCAGTGACTTTATCTTGAGGTGCACGGCTTTTAGTAACTCTGGTTCAAGTGCAAGGAATGCAAAGTTAAGTGTATCATTGGAGGTGGGATTTTTGAGTTTGTCAGTCATTTATTGATTTGCATGTATCCTTATAGTTCAAAGGTCTTTTTCTCAACTTAGTTGATGATCATGCTGTAAGTTGTTTTCTTTTGCTTTATCAACTTTTAAAAACGTTTATTAACTTTTTAATTTGAAATAATTTCAGACTTGCATAAAGGTTACAAAGAGTACCAGGAGTTCTGGAACACCCTCCACCCAGCTTCCACAGATGTTAACATCTTACATAACCGTAATACGGTTATCAAAACAGTGTTCACTCCATACTCCAGTGCTGTTAATCTCCAGACTGAATTCGGATTTCACTATTTTCCCACTGATGTCCCTTTTTTTGGTTCCAGATCCAAGAGACGATCCTACCTGGCATTTATTGTGTTCAGTTTTTCTAATTCTGGGACGTTTTCCTGGGTTTTCTTTAGTCATTCACGAAGTTCGCACTTTTGGAGAACATGGGGCCAGTTATTTTGTAGAATATCTTTCTGTTAGAGTTTGTGGATGTTTCCTCCTGATTAAATTTGGGGGGTACATTTTTAACTTGGAGATCACAGAGGTGCTGCTGTTTGTGTCTTTGCGCATCCTGTCAGGAGATGCGTGATGTTTCCTTTCCTGGTGCTGTTAGCTTTGATCCCTTAGTTAAGGTGGTCTCTGTGGCTTCCTCCATTATCATTACTATTTTTCTCTTTGTAATTAGGAAGAATCTTTTGGAGGTAGATACTTGAGACTATCTAAACAAGCATTCTGTTCCTCATTATTCTTTCACCCACTAATTTTAACATCCATTACTGTGATGTTTGCCAAATGGTGATTTTCTATTTCTGTTTTCTACACTTAGTAATTGGATTCTACTCTCAGGATTTTATGTATTTTTTAACAGTGAGGGACATAAACTTTTTAACTAGCAGTGGCAAGTCCACTTTTATTTGGGAGGACAATTACTAGTCACATGAAGAAGAAAAAATATGCAGAAGCTTAAGAAATCCCACATATGAATGTTATTTGAAATGTTCTTGCCCTTTCTCCCTACAAAGGAGGTGAAGAAGATGACAGGAGATGTTAATTGCCAAAATAGTCTCATAGTTTTGGTCCTGGCTGCAAATCTCTCGTTTTTGATACTCAAGAGAATGCTATTGGGGAACTGACTCTGAAGCACAGCCCAGATGCTTGAGATGGGTTGGGAAGGTTTACATCAACACCATGAATTTAATTTATCATGTGACATTTTATTTCTGAGTTTTTAAAGCTGTAATTAAAAGAAGTGTTCAAAGTGTTGCTTTCCTCTTTTAGAATAAACGTGGCTGGGTGTGGTGCCTCATGCCTGTTATCCCAGCACTTTGGGAGGCCATAGGCAAGAGGATTGCTTGAGCCAGGAGTTTGGGACCAGCTTGGGCAACATAGGGAAACCACATCACTACAAAAAAAAAAATTAGCCTGTCATGGTAGCATGCACCTGTGGTCCCACTTACTTGGGAGGCTGAGGTGGGAGGATCACCTGAGTTCAGGAGGTCAAAGCTGCAGTGAGGTGTGATCATGCCCCTGCTCTCCAGCCTGGACAACAGAGCAAGACACTGTCTCAAATAAATAGGCAAACATTACCAACATGGCAAACAAGTTGGAGGAGGCCCCCTATTTAATTAAATTTCAGCAGTCCCAAATCTAATTGGTATGAAGAAATCATTATTCAGAATTTTCCATCACTGAAATACTAAAATCACTTGTTGTTTGAGACATCTTGGCCTGTCACCCAGGCTGGAGTGCAGTGTTGCTCTCATAGCTCACTGGAGCAGGAGCCTCAACCTCCCAGGTTTAAGTTAATGCTCCCACCTCAGCCTCCTGAGTAACTGCCACTACAGGCGTGTGCCACCATGCCCAGCTAATTTTTTAATTTTTCGTAGAGATGGGGTCTGTGTTGCCCAGGTCCCTCTTGAACTCCTGGCCTCAAGCTATCTTCTCCAGTCGGCCTCCCAAAGGGCTGTGATTACAGGCGGGAGCCACAGCGCTCAGCCTAAAAATAACTCTTTAGCCAAAAGAAAGTTTTAAAAAATTGTCTGTTGTATTCTTTGATTTTACTCTATGTGGTCTTTTCTATTATTTTTAAAATAAAAAAGATTTATACTCCTCAAGTGTAACATTTTATCAAATCTCATGCTTCTGTTTGATGAAACCGAATGGCTAAATTTTTTAAATATCATGCAATCCATCCCAGTTTGTAATTTTATTATGGCCCTCACACAAGAGCGTGCAAGCTATACTAAGCTTCCTGTGGCCCTCGTTTTTCCTCACTGATATTTGTAACTCATTCCAAATTAAATTTTAGGAGTCTGAAATGTAGCTGTTATATTTGGGAGATGTGAAGAAAAGAATCGTAGGCATCTCAGTAGGCTAGGTATCAGATCACACATGCTTGCTGGACCAAAGAGGACTCCTTACAGTAGGATACATGATTCTGAGTTAGTTTGTGTACTAAGTATATACTATATAGCTTTTGAAGGGGAGACGGGCACAGAATTCACAATATCATGCACTAAGGGTTATTTTGTGTTTGCAGTTTCCAGATGAATGTTTTAAAGTTGGCTGCAGAATACAGCGAGATAGGTAAAATCTATTTGAGTATTACTTACAGACCCCAAAGGATATCCCAAAGGATATGTTGGACTAATTCCTAAAATATCCTGTAAGTCATTGCAGGTACAGGCGTGGATCTGGGTTTGGAAACGCCGCCTGGATCGCTGGCTGGGCTCCTGCAGCCGCCAAGGAGGGGCTGGCTGGAGGTGGGGCTCGGCGTGCATAGCGGCCACGTGACTGCGCCCCGGCCACGCCCACCGTCCCTCACGTGGTCCCAGGCCACGCTGGGCTTCGGCATGTGCTAAAGTGGATAGAAAAGGGAGTGGGGCCCGGGCGTGGCTTTGTGGTTTGGGAAGATATGAACTCCTTGGGGTTTTTTTCTCTTTTAATTCTTTAATTTTGATATTTGGAAATGCGTAAAAGGTTTTTCATTTGTCCTTGACCACGTGGTCCAAACCTCAATTTCCCTAGCAGAACGCGGTTTCGATCACTGGTGGATCCGTCTCACAGCACCAGTCATGCTGCCTCGCTGGGAAGTGGAGGGCTCAGGATTCCCGTGGTTCACGATCCATTTTATGTTGGAAGGAAATCATTTTGAACTATCTCAGTACACACCCTAGTGTATCTTTAAACCTAATTGAGTGTTGATGGAAAATCTGCGGTCCGAGAACCGTAAGAAAAGGGGGCTCCCACCTCCCGCTCTGGGGTCGCCACTTGCCTCGCAGGCAGGAGGAGGCTCCCAGAGTAGATACAACTTGCCCGTCACCCGGATGGGTTGGTAGTGCACATATGCACGGGGCGCAGTTTAAAATGAAAGTAAAAGATGCAAATGTGTTTGCAAAAGAAAAATTAACATAGGATACGTGCGGGCGTTCTCAGTTGAACTCGGTCTTACTGTTCCACGCGAGCACCCCATGACTCAGAGCCCAAATCTCAGCGGAACAGCCCAGGACGCTCCTGCCGTCCACAGGAAGACGCCTCTGTCTCTGTCCCCCGCCGCCACCACACAGATGCACGTACTCTCTTCACTTCCGTGTACCCAGTAAATGCAGATCCTGATTTAAATCTGCAGCACGCTGCTTTCTTCCCATTGCATGTGGGAAGCTTCAGGTTCTCTTCGGTTTATTTTCTCATCACCTTTATTAAAATGCAGTAAAGCAAGGAGTATATTAATGCGGGCCTCTGCAAATAGAGGGAATTTATTGAAAAGCAGAATGGCTTGAAAGATTGAACTTCATCTTAAAAATCAGAAACAGACTCTTGTTATTAATAGCTTTAGAAACGAAAATCTAACTTCTGATAAATTATTTCAGAGGAGTGGTTCAAACGTGTAGTAGATAGCTCTGCCTGGTCATCAATTATAGTGACGTCCTTGCATCAGCTCCAGAAACTCAGAATATTCATGAGCTTTCCAGTCTGACTCAGACCTTCAGGAGCCATGAAATTTTCCTGTTGGGATGAGAGGAAGCGCTGGCGGTCGTTTCGGCAGCTTAATGAAACCAGAAATAGATAAGCACGAGTGAGGGGTGATGTCCGCTTGTTTGCTCCCATCATGTTGTTTTTAATGTGTGAAAGTGAAAGTTTTAAAAGTCATACTAAATGTGTGATCCTTTTTAGAATTCACTGGGTACGGGTACGTGGAGGAAGTGTTTTTGTTTTTGTGAATTTGTTTAAACAAATGACTGAGGCTTTGTTTTCCACTCTGTCTGGCCAAGCACCATTGCTACACTTTTTTAAATTCATGACATCCTGAGCAGTGAAGCTGTTCTTCAGCCCGCCTCTCCATTTGTGACTGGAAGACAAGGAGGCAGACACCAATGGCGCCTCTCACAATGGAGGTTTATTTTTTTTTAATCTAACGGAGGGATTGTAGATGGTGTAAAACTTCCTTGTGCCAGGAGAGAAAGGGGGAGAGAGAGAGAGAGAGAGAGAGAGAGAGAAATAACCCATTCTAAACAACTTTAGGAATAGATGATCCGTAGGCATCAACTTTGCGCAGCAACAAAAGCCACTTTCTGAACCTCGTTCTGTGAAGTTTTAAAACAAATTGGGTTTGTTTAATTAAAATATTTCTTAAAGGCAAAAAGCACTGAGCTAATTTTTAAGAATTTTAAGTTATATATTAATATGAGTAGTGATTTATAATTTTCTGTTGAAATACATAAATTCGAGAAGCCCCACCCCTACCACTTGCCAGTCTTGAGTCCCCACGGCTCCTTTGCCTAGGTCTAAAGTCACTGCTTGCACACTCCTGCCTTGCATATGCCTTGCCATCGTGTGGGCCTCTTGGCTGGAAGTGTTCTTGTCCTCCCGTTAGGTATCTTTTATGACGTGAATCCTTACCTCTAATTATTATCTGTGTGTACATCTCATCACCTGCATCTGACTGTGTGCCTTGTGTATGTCTCTTAGCCCTCACAATTGCCTGACATGCCTTACAAACGGGTAGACCAAGTGTTAAATGAACAAATATTTAATAAGAACTTAAAAGCTTTTTGACTTTATATATTTTTAAAGCCATTGTGATTAAACACTATGTTTGATGTGGTGCTAATTCTGTGCTTTATCAACTGTGTGAATTGTAGTATTTTTAAAGTAGGAATAATTGAGAAATATTTTGAAGTTAGGTTAAGCATAGCAGTAAAGTTTCCACTTTTTAAAATAGCCAAATCCAGGCCAGGCGCAGTGGCTCGTGTCTCCAATGTCAGCACTTTGGGAGGCCAGGGCGGGCAGATCGCTTGAGGTCGGGAGTTCGAGACTAGCCTGGCCAACGTGACGAAACCCCGTCTCTGCTAAAAATACAAAAATTAGATGGTTGTGGTGGTGCATGCCTGTAATCCCAGCTACTCAGAGAAGTGTTTGAACCCGGGAGTTGGGGGTTGCAGTGAGTTGAGATTTCACCACTGCACTCCAGCTGGGGCAAAAGAATGAGTGAAACTCTGTCTCCAAAAAAAAATCAGAGCGTGGTGGTGCACACCTGTAGTCCCAGATACTTGGGAGGCTGAGATGGAGGTCAAGGCTTCAGTGAGCCATGATGGCACCACTGCACTCCAGCCTGGACAACAGAGTAAGACCTTGTCTCCAAAAAAAAAAAAAAAAAGCCAAATCTGTTGGGTTTTTTTTTTTGGGGGGGGGGTCCTTTAGAATGGCCCTGACAGATCTTTAAGGCATGGAAATGAGCCTTATGCAAGCTCCTGGCAATCAGTATGTGAGTTCTGTCTCCTTGGCAAGATACAGCCTCTTAGACCCTCAGTCTGGGGAAATAATGCTGATTTCTCCTACGAGTTACGAGAATTACGCTAGAAAACTCTGTGGCGCATACAGGTGCCCTGTAGCCTGTTGGTTAGAAGCACTGACCCTGAAGTCAGGTCGCCCAGGTTGGAATTCCAGCTCTGCCTTCTTCAAGCTGTGTGACTCTGGGAAGTCACACACACTCTCTCTTTGTGCCTCAGGCTCTGGTTCTGAAGATGGGAACGGCAGGCCCTCCCTCTTTGGCTTGTTGCACAGATGAAATCTGACAGCGTATGCCAAGCGCTTAGCACGGGTAGCAGTGAGTGCCCCGTAAATGTTAGGTACCTTCCTACTACTACTAAACATTCATTCTTCCCTTCCCTGCTAGTACCTGCAGCTCTGACTCATCTCACACCCTTGAGAGAGGATTATCTTCATTAAAAAGTTTTTGGTCTGCCCAGAAGCAAGTGTTACCTGTGAGAGAGCTGGGCTTGTGCATAGGTTAGATTATTTCTTTGGGTTATTCCTGGGGAAACCTGCAAAGAAATGCAGCCAGAGGCCTCTGGTTCATTTTACTGCTCATCTCCTAAAAGTGGTTTCTCAGATTTTTATCCTTTTTTTCTCTTTTTCGAGGAAGGGGCAAGGAAATATTTTTTCATATTATTCTTGTCATCGTCTATTTATTTAATAACAGTTGACTGTTGAAACATAGGAAAGTACTTATCCGCCAGGAAACTCCCTTCTATTATTGGACTTACTTGCTTTCCATTTATATGTTGTCTAATTCCAAAGAGATTTCGAGACAGCTTTCAATTAAAAAAAACAAACAACAACAACAACAAAAAAAAACACCACATACCGCATGGGTATTACACAGGACCTGTATGGTCAAATTGGCAACGACCACACCACATGAGAAGGAAGATTATTCTTCCTGGAACCTGGCTCCCTTGAGATTCTTTTTTTTTTTTTTTTTTAGACGGCGTTTCGCCCTTGTTGCCCAGGCTGGAGTGCAATGGCACGATCTCCGGCTCACCGCAACCTCCACCTCTCGGGTTCAAGCGATTCTCCTGCCTCAGCCTCCCGAGTAGCTGGGATTACAGGCATGTGCCACCACACTCGGCTAATTTTGTGTTTTTAGTAGAGATGGGGTTTCTCCATGTTGGTCAGGGTGGTCTCGAACTCCCATCCTCAGGTGATCCACGCGCCTCACCCTCCCAAAGTGCTGGGATTACAGGCATGAACCACCGCACTCCCTTGAGATTCTTGTAAGCCAAGGCAGAAGAAGAGACATCTTAAAGTCTGTATGTGCACACCTGCCTCCCCCCATTTTATATACAATTCAAGGGCTTTGCTTTTGGAAAGTTTGCCTATGTAGTCGTCCAGGGCTAAATTAACACCTGTCTCTATCTGTGTGTAAGGCTCTCTGGGAGGAGCTGTGAGGCAAATAAAAATAAGGAATGGTGTCCCGCAAGGAGCTTACAATGTGTGCATTACAAGTATATACTGAGCATGGCCCTGGGAACACAGTGAAAAAACAGGATTCCTGCCCTAGTACAGTGTACACTAGTGGAAGAGAGAGAGGCAGTAAACCTAAAAGTAAGTCTTTTAAAAACTGTGGTAAAATGCACATAACATAAAATTTACCATCCAACCGTTTTTATGTGTACAGTTCAGTGACAGTAAGAACATTCACATTGTTTTGCAGCCGTGACCATCATTTATATTCAGAACTCTTTTCATCTCGCACAACTGAAGTTGTACCTATTAAACAGTAACTCCTCATTCTCTCTTCCACCTAGGCCCTGGCCAAAAACAAAAATAAGTCTTTGATTGTAAACACGATCAGTGCTTTGAAGGAGATGGGAAGGATGTTATCATAAAATGATGGGGCTGCAGGAATGGCACCTACTCAGAGAGGGCGGTCAGGAGAGACCTCTTGGGAATGATGACATCCAGCAGGCAGGTCATTAAGGCATCTCTAGGCAGGTCCAGAGTGCAAGGAGGCATAAGCCAGGCAGGTGGAACAGCGTGTGTGAAGGCCCAGAGTCAGGAAATGGTCTGCTTCCTTCCAAGGAAAAGAAAACAGCCAGTGTGGTTGGAGCAGGGGCTAGGAGAGAAAAGATGTGCATGTGTGTGTGTGTTTGTGTATCCCCATCATGATTTAGTACTGTCAGCGCTTCTGTGTTCTGAACCTGGAGTACAGGCAGACACAGCCGCATCCCAGAAGCTCAAGAGTGCCCATACCAGGAAATTACAGAAATCTTTGCCAAATGGATGAGTGAATGCAACTTCCTTGATACAGGGTCAGAGAGGGGAAATCTGAGAAAAGCAGGTGGGCAATGTACTCCTGACATACTCCCTTCCGTTGCAATGGCCTTGAGTGATGGAGCAAGAGTGAAGGAATGTTCCCATGGCACTGGCACCAGGATGACTTTTTGTGAAGCAGAGCAGTTGGTCTTAGATAGTGGAGGTGCGGGAGGCATGAGAACTGGGCAGTCTGACGGCTGCACCAGCCAGTTGGCTGTCCTTTCCACCTCCATGCCCAGGAGCTGGCCCAGGGCGCGCATGCACAAAGCCAGTGCTCTTTTCAATCAGAAAACAGCCTGCGTATGTTCTTGCTTGCAACTCAGATATCCAGCCCACTGATCCAGGAAGAGATTCCTTTGACCTGGGAAGTCATAATGGCAGATATTTAGACCCAGCTCTCAAGCAAGCATCCAAGTTGTTCCGGTGAACCCGTAACTTTGAGTAACCTCTGATTGAACCAGAGAGTAGGAACTAGGTGCAGAACCTTGTTGAATAGAATTGTTTAGCATCGTCCATTTGTTAGAGCATTTCAGGATGCCTGTCCTAAAATTTGGTATCATAATGGTATTTACCTCTCACTCACCTCCATCTCAGCCCAGTAATTAATAACAAGGGACTTGCTTCTTCACCTGTTTCTTTATTGGTTGTAGGAAGTCTTTTCCTTACCACAGAGGAAGGAGCTTCTGGATCCCTTTGCTACGTCCAGAGAGTTTTCATCTAATCTGGGTGTATTAGTCCATTTTCACACTGCTGATAAAGACATACTCAAGACTGGGCAATTTACAAAAGAAAGAAGTTTATTGGACTCACAGTTTCATGTGACTGGAGAGGCCTCAAAATCATGGCGGAAAGTGAAAGGTACATCTCACATGGCAGCAGCCAAGAGAAGAAGAGCTTGTGCAGGGAAACTTCCATTTTAAAAACCATCAGATCTTGTGAGACATATTAACTAATAACAGCAAGGGAAAAACCCACCCCATGATTCAGTTAGCTCCCGGCGGGTCCCTCCCACAACATGTGGGAATTATAGGAGCTACAAGATGAGATTTGGGTGGGGACACAGAGCCAAACCATATCACTGTGTAAAAGTTGAATAAAGTTATTTAGGAGCACATTGTATTGGGAGTTTGTTTGTTTGTTGAAGAGCCAAGTAAAGTCATTGGAAGCATGGGAAACTTTTTTCCCTGTCTAAAAGGAACTCCTTCCTAGTGGAAGTTGAAAGCTTTCTTGGCAGCCTCAGCCCCCACCCTACCTCCACCACCCCAGTGGGTACCTGCATCCTGAAGACCCTTCACAATAGCATCTGAACTATACTGGGCCTTCAAATGATGTCTTGGGTAAACCCATGTCCAACCTGCACTAAATGAAGATTATTTTCGAGCGAATGGATTGAAGAACAGTGCTGAAAAACTAGAATTTGTAATATTTTCATTTGAGCAGAGGTGAAATTTGAAATATTTTAGAATCTTGTCTTATGATTTTTTTTCTTTCTTTGCCACATAGCCCTCCCCTGGAAATTAAATCTGTGGATTACTAGTATATGAACTGATCAGAGACATGGCTTGGGGTCTCCCCATTTACCCACTTCCCAGCACGTTATAATCCACTGGACACCTCCAAGGATGAGAGACCAGCGGGTCATAATGCGAGACTGGACATCTCTCCTACCCCATGTACACTTCAGCTGAGCAGGCAGAATTAGCAGAGTCAGGACTAGAAGTTCAGTCTAGGGATCAAATAATAATAGTAGCTAATGTTTAAAGAGTACCTAAGATCCGCCAGGAGACATACTCAGTATAGTTCCGTGGTTTGCCACATTTCATCTTATACCAGTAGCACAGGTGAAATTTGTCTTATGTGTATACTGAGGAAAACAAGTCCCTCTGATACACAGCAGCCAATAAATGACAAAGCTGGGATAGAAACTTACTTCATTCTAACCCGAGAGTCCCTGTTCTTGCATGGGCACAGCCTGCCATCCCCATGCTCTGCCTCCTAAGCAGAGGATGAACTTAAGCATCTTAAAATTTTAAACATTGACTTTCCCTAAAACCAATTAAAAAAAAAAACAAAACAGACAGACAGACATGACTTGTGCCCTTAAAAATGCAGCCAGGCTGGCATATAAATGGGCGTAGGCTGTTTCTAAATTTTTTGCTTTAAATTTTGCCAGCATAGCTTCTGGACTGGTAGTTTTGTTTGCTTTTTAATATATTTTTGACACTGTGTACAGAGGAATGCTACCTCGCGTCATCATGTCCTCCTCCCTGAAGGCAAGCCAAGGATGTCAAGGGGCCACTTCAGGGGATGTGCACCCTGAAGGTAAAGCTGCTCCAGTGGGAGGGGTTGGGGTAAATGACAATGTTAGCAGCTGGTAAATTTTTTTACATGGGATATCTCACAAGACTTATTGATGCATGTTATACGTAATAACCTGAGGCACATCAACATTTTCCACTTTTTCCTATTCTTTCTGTATTTTCACTGATACTTTTTTTCAAAAAAATCTCCAATAAGTTTAGGATCAGCTTCAAGATTTCTCTTTAGGTAAATAGATTTGTATTTTTGATGGCCATCCTAGTCCAGTGTAAAGATATGGACAAGAAACCCCACATAAAGGAAGCAAGATCGCTGGCTGCTTTCTCTAGGTAGCTTGAGTTGTATACTAATTTGTAGATTATTTCTCTTCATCGAAAAAACAAAACATTCTGCAGAGGGCAGTCATGTGTCCGCTGTGCCTCTGCTCCTGTGTGCACCATAAAACTTGAAAGTGAGCCAGAATTTGAAAATATCGGATTGGGATGTGATTTCTTTAAGCCTCTGGCTAATTTAATATAAAGTGTTTACACTTCATTTTTCTGGCAGTGGATTTTCTATGTAGGTGGTGGAAGATTTCCTGTAAGTTTTGCAAGTTCCAGGGCAAAGAGAGTTGCAATATGCAATATCTTTCTGTGGTCACACCAACAGAAAGGGCGATTTCTTAACCTGCTGCAGTTACCATGTGTGTAGGTGGATGCTGGCTATTACAGATGGTATCCTTTCAACCCTCAAAATTGTTGCAAGTTCACAGGTATGTTAATGAAAATGAATAAGTGGCATTTTTAGGAATTCCAAATACTGAGTCTTGGAAGTAGATAATCTTTTCCCTAAATGTATGCTCCGGTCAGAACTGCTGCCTACCACACCTCGTGGGTGAAACAGATATTTCGAGCATGACTGAGCTTATTAAGAGCCCTGCGGCGCTTCCTCTGCCGGGGGTTTAGAAATTTCAAAGGATGGGGGTTGAGGGAGGGAGGAGTTATGGGCATGTGATGTGGACAGGGCGGGCAGGAGGATGGAAGTAACAGGTCCAAAATGTATCTTTGGTGGCCCGGCAGAGCTCTTGCATGGGGTGAGAATGGTAATTTAGGAAGAGCAAGTCTTCCCATCTGTGAAGCAGAAGAAAAAAGTGGACTTAAGGAGAAGTTCGGGTGCTGTTTATTTAGATAGGAGTAAGGAGAGTGCAGTTGGGGAAAAGCACTTCAGAGGCTTTACTTAGACTAGCAGAAGTCTGTTTGGCAGGGTGGGAAGCAAGTGCAGTTGGGAGAAAAACGTTTTCAATAGGCAGTTTCAGAATTGGAAATTGGAGGAGGGCAGTCCATTTCAACATTTCCAACAGTATTAAAGAAAATTTGCGGGTTGTTTGTCAAAAGGGGTCATATGCTTTAAAGATTGAGAGATCTTTTCGGTGAAGTAGGGGAGCTGGGGACATCGTGATGTGACAAGAGCCGTGGGCTCAGAGGCTGGGGACCTGGGTGTTTAACCCAACTCTTGTGAGTGGTGTGGCTTTCATAGCTTTGGTTCTCTGGTCTTCACTTTATCTGCCAAGTGAAGACATTTGACTGGATGTCGTGATCTTGAGTTGCTTTCAGCTCCAGAATTCGAAGACCCCTTCCATTGGGCATTCATCTAATTTCAAAGATGCTCCCTGGCTCCAGCTCTGCAGTGAAGCAGAACAAACTGATACAGCCTAGCTTGGGGGTGGGGAGTCGGCCCTCCTTTTCCCCTCCCTTCCCAGGTCCTCTGGGTGATTGGGGGAAACTGAGAAGCCGTTCTCTTCTCCAGAGCACTCCATTTAACAAGCATTGCAGAGCCTGGCTCGTGCTGCAGTGAACAAATGCTGACTTCAGCCTTTACCCTGGGTTTCAGGTCACACTGATTGTTTGCAAAACATGTTCTTTTTTTGTCACTTGCCAGTACTTGTTCTCTGTGAGTAAAACACAAACACATCCTCAGGGATGTTGCACACCAGTTTGCAGCCTGCAGCTTCTGCCCTCTGGCCTGCCCAGGTCCTCGGCTCCGGGACGAGGATGCTCCGGGATTTCGGGAGACAGCAGTTGTTTTGACATGAATCTCAAAGTTCCTACAAAGCTTATTTCTTTGAAGAAGGCCAAAAAAAAAAATGAAACATTTTCAGATCTTTGTTTTCAGATTATTCAAGTCCAGAATGTTGGATAAGATTTTTGAAGAAGAGATTTATGCTTGAGATTCCTTTTAGTTTCTTTCTTTCTTTTCTTTTCTTTTCTTTTTTTTTTTTTTTTAGGTGACTTGGCCAGTTTGGGTTTTTACGGTGTTCAGGGAAAGGGTTAAGAAGTTAATTTGGGAAGTACAGTCATGTGTTGTACAAGTTGCTGTCTACTGATCCCTTCATTGAGCAAGTAAACTTCACACATTCTCGTGTCTGCAAAGCATGTGGATGCATGGGCAGTTATGTGTATGAACTTTTTTTTTTTTTGAGAATGGCTTTAGTGTTCAGACCAAGGATGGAATGAAAGATCACGTGTGCTTTCCACTGTAGAGCTGCCCTGCTTGTTTTGATTTTATAGTTATTCTAAGTGTTAAGTTCCTTCATCTTTCAAAGCAAATTCCTTTGATCCCTGAAAATCAGCTAATGTTTGGGAGGCAATTAAAAGATGAGGCTGTGGGGTTGGGGTGAAGGCTTCCCCAGCAGGAAGAGAGGAGAAGCCCACTGGATCTGGGAGCACGGTGCTAGGACTCTCTAAGCGTGACCTCCTTCAGTTTGGCCCAGAGTGGTCAGATAGTTTGCCGGGGCATAGGATGGATGACAGGCCTCATACGCATCACGTCTGAAGGGAAAGCCCTTGAATTTTCCACGCTACTTTTTAGTAACAGTAGGCTTTGTCATAATTGGCTTCATGTTCCAGCTTTCCTAAAACTGTAAGTGATGTTGGGTGGGCCAGCAGCAAAATAATTCACTTTACAATTTGCATGATAGTCTGGAATGAACCGAATACCTAAAACCAGGAAATAATAGTAGATATTTAATGGTTTGGGGATCAAATAAGAATTTACTCCCAGATGTTTCCTAATTAATTGGAAAAAGCAGAAGGTTGCTGGAAGGCCATCTCCATTGGGCATTTACAGGTGAAATTCACTCTTCAACTAGGATTTTACTCATGGGATGCCTGTGTTCTTCATTTGAACCCAATTTTACCTATCATCTACAAAAAAAGAAAACTATTAAGAGTTAAAAAAAAAAAAAGAGAGAGAGAGTCTTGAACTTTGAAATCCTTCATCCACGTTTTATAAAGTGTGGGGTCAGATTTTTTCCCTAGTTGAAATTGAGGAAATGAGAGTTGCCAATATGATTGGATTTGTACTGCCAAGATGGGGTTTTAGCACTTCTAATGCATTCTGGCAAGGCTGGTATACTTGTATCAAGTGCACAGCCCCACTACCACCAGCTCTACCACCCACAAAAATAAAAACTAGCAAAATAAAATATGAGCCAACAGAATTCTGTGGGAATGGCAAGTGTTTTGTTTTTGTTTTTAGTAGTAATCTTTGCGAGAACATTCCAAAGATGATAGTTTTACATTTGTATGTTTTTTTCCGAGGCACTTTTGAATCATCAGATAGATTAAATATAAGTTCCATGTATTTTTGAAGGTGGGAGTGTTCTTTGGTACAGTTCCCCCAAAAAACTGGTTCTCATGAGGCTTATGTGGTAATTCTGTTAACGAGAATGTATGATTATCTGGGATACTCTGTTCTGCTCTCCATCCTGGATAAGAGTTTACTTTGAAAGTCTAGTTGATCTTTTGTGATTTCTGCACAATGTAAAAGGTACTTTAACTTCAGGAGATAGGGCCAGCAATCAGATTTGATGATGGAAAAGAGTAGTGTAGCATTTAAGCATAATGTATACTCTATAATAAATGTTTACAAGTCCAAAAGTGTGCCATCAGAAAGTAACCAGATCAAAGGAGAGGTGACCAGAGAAGCTGGAAAGATAAGAAATAAACAAGTTTCAAGGTTACTGATCTGTAGCTGTTGCTGTCCATGCTTCTTGGCAGCTTTAATTATGACAGGGAGAGGGACCCAGAGGGAGAGAGAGAGACTGACTTACACATAAAGGCATTTTATCACAAAGCCATCTAAAACAAAAGTGTTAAAGGCACAATGCTGTGTTTAAAAAGCATGTACTTCTTTAAGAGCTCAAATTTAAATATATAATACAAACTTAAGATCCAAGGAAGAAAATGGACCCAGGACACGAAGAGAAGTTAACGCCACAGGTAATGCAGATGGCCAAGAGATGTGTGAAAAAGATAATCCAGCCTCACCAACAGCCACAGAATTGAAATGAGATACCTGTTTCTGCTTCTGGCATTGGGAAAGAAAGAAAAATGGCACTAGCAGCCTTTTTTTTTTTTTTTTTTTTTTTTCCCCAAAAAATTTGCTACTCTTGAGGTTCTGTCAAAGAATGTGCTGTGGCCTCTAGAAGCATTTTTAAAAAGAGACTTTCACAAGTGATTGTGCAAAATTGTGAGGTCACTGAATAGGTGTGTATCCTCCTAAGGAGGTAGCGTTGGAGGAGCTGTTCTTGTTCAATTTACTCAGCACCTGTGAAGAGGCTTCACTGTGATTTGCCTGTACAGGTGTGCAGGTAAAAATCTAAGTTCCACAGGTAGTGCAAAAAAATCTACCTCCCTAGGTACCTCGTACATTTATCACAGTTTCCTGGTAAACAGTTCTGCTGTTGTTGACAAAATTTTATCAGAAACATTGCATACTCTTCTCTAAATAGTAGTTTCCCTACAAGTGGCTGTCTTCAGTTTAGTCGTTTAAGTTATGTTGACATAAATGATTATGTGTGTGGCAGGGGCTTTTGCGTAGGTTGTTGAAACATTGCACCTTTTGGACTAACAGTTTTTACCAAAATAGGCAGAAGTGACATTTGCAGCCACAGCTGTGTGGCATTGAGCGTCTAAGGTATGTGTAATAGGCAGTGTATCGGTAGCATTGATACCTTGGTCAACACCAGTAAGCCATGTAATTGCCCAGAAGTGGGCTCTAACACTAGTTTTAGGAGATGCAGCCAAAACGACAAAGCTGGAGGCCTCTCCCTCTGAGCTTGGCCTCCACTTGGTCAAAACAGTCCCCAGTTTGTCCCTACGGGACACAGGCCTGCCTTGTTAGGAAATCAGCAACATTTAGGAGCCCACAATACCTCACATAACTCTGTGTACAGTAACAGAGAATGGAAATAGGGCTGTAAGCATGAACAACCAGTCAAGTTACAAATATAGAATACTCTCTCAATTCCACTTTAGTTAGTCATGGAGGGACAGTGTGAGTTTTATAAACTTATAAGGAATATACAAACAGTTCCAAATTTAAAATAACTTGAAGTAACTTTTAAGTGTGTGAAAAGAATATTTTTTTCCACCCTGTCCATTTAAGCATCTGTGACAGGCAGTATTAAGTGATGGGTGTCTTTACGTACACATGCCTGTTGCTCACAGTACTGGGGAAGAGTTGCAAAATAGTCACCCATTCTGCAGTGATTTCTCTCTTCTTATTTGTGAAAGACTCAAAAAAAAAAAAAAAAAAAAAAAAAAAAAAAACAACAACAAAAAAAAGGCCAGGCACGGTGGCTCAGACCTATAATCCCAGCACCTTGGGAGGCCAAGTCAGGTGGATCACAAGGTCAGGAGAGCGAGACCATCCTGGCTAACACGGTGAAACCAACCCCGTCTCTACTAAAAATACAAAAAATTAGCTGGGCGTGGTGGTGGGCGCCTATAATCCCAGCTACTCGGGAAGCTGAGGCAGGAGAATTGCTTGAACCCGGGAGGTGGAGGTTGCAGTGAGCCGAAATTGTGCCATTGCACTCTAGCCTGGGCGCCAGAGCAAGACTCTGACTCAAAGAAAAAAAAAATAGGGGGGATGTGGGTTGTGAGAGCGACACTGTGTGTCCATGCGTGAAGAAACCCGGCTCATGATGACCTCGCCCCAGAACGCCGAAGCAGGGCCGGTCCAGCCTGGATTTCACAGTGTTCTTCATTGCCTTTGTCCTTGATTTTTTGTCGTTACCATTATAACTTATCTCTCTTTCCCAAATGTATAAGTAGGCTTTGAATATGAGTTTAAAAGAAAGAATTCGGGGATGATTTCAGAGTACACTAGAATATTTTTTAAAAGAATATTTTATAAAAATACAGTGATAGTAAAAGAAGTAGAAGGCCAAATTCCGCCCCCAGCCCCTTCTTAATATTGGACTTTATTCCTTTGCTTTTTTCCCTTGCTGCCATCTAAGGAGGCTTTCTGTGCTATAGCATCCAGTTCCTCTGCCAGGCATTTCTGTAAAGATGAGGCACCTTCCACTGTTTTATTCTCCATCATTAGAGCACGTGTCCTGCTGACTCGGAGCAGAGGGGAGGCACACGGGGGTGAACATTCCCTGACAGATTGGATGTCTCTTAACTCTTTTTTCCTGGTATCAAAGAATGGCACAATTTAGTTGATTTGATAGCGTTACCAAATCGTTTTTCCTTTAGAATGAATCTAGAATGCAGATAGATTCTGAGGTCCAGATGGGCCTCTCTCCACCAACCTGTGACCAGTGTACCTGTGATTTTATCACTGCACATTCATAGAAAGGTTACAGGGCTAATCTTCCCGTGATATGAATCATGAAAGTCAAAATTTATGAATGAAAATAAAAAGGAATGAAGTACTGATATATGCCACACCAGAGATAAATATTGAAAACATTACCTATGCTAAGTAAAAGAAGCCAGTCACAAAAGACACTACCTATTGTCTGATTCCATTCATGTAAAATATCCAGAATAGGCAAATCTATAGCGACGAAAAGTGTAATAGTGATTGCCTGGGAAAGGGGCGTGGGAAGCATGGCTAACGGGTATTGGGTTTTTCTTTGGGGTGATGAAAATATTGTTAAGATTAATTGTGGTGGTGTTTGTACAACTCTCTAAATATACTAAAAGCTACCAAATTGTACACTCTAAATGGGTGAGTTATAGGGTATGTGAATTAGATCTCAATAAAGCTATTGTAAAAAATGTGTGAAGGAAGGGGAAGCATCCTATAACCTATACCATCCCAACAGCCCAGCTAGAGGACGATTCCTGAGCCTCCTTCTCAGCCTTTGTGTTAATTCTTTGCATTGATGACTTCTCTCTCTTTACCCTTACTAATTAGCTCTCAAAACCTCTATTTAATAATGATGCTATTTATAACTTTCCTCCTTCTGGTTTCTTGCTTGCCCTTTTTGTGGTGTTTGCTTGTTTTTCTTTTTTCTCAATACTCTGCCCAGCGTTGCGTGTTGGTTCCGGAGACTTAAGTGATCCAGTGGGCACTGTCAGGCAATTATTTCTTTTGCTCATTAATTAAGTGTTCACAGATACATTCAGCAGCCAAACCTTGTGGCATGCCTTCTGTCCCAGACAGTGAGAATCTACTTGGAACTTGGATATTTCTGTGAGCCTTGATTATATACACCACCAAGGGGATGGCATAGAACTAAGTTTTTTCTTCTTCTCCACAACAGACTTTGTTCTTTAATTTCACAAGCTTGACATAGCCTATAAGACATCATAGTGGTACCATAGACAGTTTTCCCTTGATGCCCATGGGGGATTTGTTCTGGGACCTCCCACAGATACCAAAATCCACAGGTTTATCAGCAAGGGTCACTGCTCAATTGCAACAACTGAAGCAGAAGCTCCTCTCATCAGAGGCAGTTACTGCAGCATGTTCTGTAGGGCAAATATAACCATATGTAAGTGACTGTGCTATCAGGAGACAGAACAACAAGACCCAGAAAGACTCAGTGACCCACAGAGCCAGTTCCACCCAAACAAGTCTTAGTAATGAGATTAGATAATGAGAGTGTATTTTCTTCATCAATTCATGTAGCTCAGCAAGGCTGGAAACTGCTTGCACACTTCTGCAGAGAAAAAAAAAAGTTCCATTTGCTGGAACTCAATAAATAAAGAAGGCCTTAGTGGGTACGTGTTATCTCCTTAGCATCACCTGGATGCCTGACCCTTTTCCAGAGTGTCATGTTGCCTGGGTTTTGTCCTTCAGTCTAAGTGATACACCTCTTAGTGTGGCGGAGAAAAGGGTGCTGTATTTCTTCCTGATGGATACATGCTTAAATGGAAAAGTAGCATGAGATGAACTCCCATAGCCCCTTCCTTTTATTATTTTTAAAATATTCATTCATTTATTTATTTATTTTTGAGATGGAGTCTCACTCTGTCACCCAGGCTGGAGCGCAGTGGCGCGATCTCAGCTCACTGCAACCTCCGCCTCCCGGGTTCAAGCAATTCTCCTGCCTCGGCCTCCCGAGTAGCTAGGACTACAGGTGTGCCCACCACCACACCTAGCTAATTTTTGTATTTTTAGTAGAGATCGGCTTTCACCATGTTGACCAGGCTGGTCTTGAACTCTTGACCTCAGGTGATCCACCCGTCTCGGCCTTCCAAAGTGCTGGGATTACAGGCGTGAGCCACTGTGCCTGGCCGGCCCTTCCTTTTAGACAATAGAAACATGCTGCAACCACATACCACCATAAACACGGTGGGGGAAGAGGCTGCAATCAACAGTCAGGAGGATCTGGGTTCCAAGCCCAGGTTTGCAGTGTAACAGCTGTGTGCTCTTGGTGTGAACATTTGGTCATGTACAAATGAGGATAATGATACTGCCCCCTTGTGATCATTAGGGGGATTAAATTAAATGCAGAAATATATGTGAGATGCTTAATGTGTTGTAAGGCGCATGGAATATATTTAGTGAATATTAACTGTATATTAATACAAAGTCCTGTATTCAGAATCTCCAGTATAAATTACATTTATATAGTAGAGATATGAATAGTTTTTGTGAACAAGAAGACCTGGAACTTCAGGTGACTAGAAGCTCAGAGTGAGCCAGCTATGTTTGATGATAGTTATTCTTAAGATCACACAGAGAAACGGCAAGCAAGCTGCTTTGGGCAAAAAAGAGCATTTCTACACTGTTCAGACTGCCTCTGTACTGTTAGAATAGGTCTAGGGCGTGTTGCGTGAGTGGTGACTGAGTAAGATGTTCAGAGGGAAGCCGTGACCGTCATCTTGGAATATTGTTTGAAAGTCTGACCTGTACAAAGCAGCACTCACTTCCCCTGCGTGTCAGACACCTGCATGAGGGCTGGGGAGGGTCCAGTACAGGAAAGCGCATTTTTAATATGTGTATGGAGGAAGTTCGTCAAGATGGGTGCCATCTGGCAGTGGAGTAGCACTTCCTGGAAAGTAATGAGCTCCCTTGGACTTTGTTTGAAGAGTCACCCAGGTTTTTGTAAAGAAGTGTTTCAGATCAGTATGCAATGGATGACTGTAAATTTCTCTTCAGATCTAAGAATCTGTGATTGGATGAAAGGGAGAAAGGACTGCATAAGTGCTTGTTGCTTGTAAACTGGGCCAGGTGGATGTCATGGCCCTAGGAGCTTCTTGCCTGCCTTTGCATGCCATAAAGCAGTCCTGCAACCCAGTGTCACCTCAGAGGGATGGGAATGTAGAAGAAGAGAGTGAATAGGGACAGTGATGAGGGGTGAAAATATGTAACTCCTTGCCCCTTCTGTATACCCTAGTACATTAGGAAGTTCACCCTTGTCTAGGCTTCCTGTTAGGAAGACAGCAGACTCAAAATGGAGTCTCAACCCCTTTCAAAGACTGCAAGATCTCCTTGTACACACTGGACTTGGGAGAAAATGAGAGCTTTCAGGCCTGCTATCTTAACAGGTTCAGAAAGGTGTGGTCCAGCCCCCTGACTAACCAGCCCTGCTGTGCACACTGAGAATTCTGCTCAGGTGTACCTTTCTGTGTGCTCCTGGGTGCACCCCCAAAGTGCTGGTTCTCTTGAAAACCTTTTTATTTAGGTTCAGACAGACAAACTGTGGTATCTTCCATTCTGACCATAAAGTGTTTCTTCTGGGTCTAACTACTATAGTGGGATATTTTCTCTAGAACAAGAGGTTGTTTCTTTTTGGCATTGAGAAATGTTGCCGATGTGATTTTCTTTTGTGAACGTTTAAGACACAGCGCTTGCCACTTGAACTTTCTTTTGCCGTGCGTAGCTGATTCCACATAATGGCTGCAGCTCCAGGCAGAAACCTGTTTGGAAGTTGTTTTAAACTCTTCCTGGAATCTCTAGGCAGTGGCTCAGTGGGGTTTTTTTCCAACCATTCCTTAGGATGACCAGAAGCTTGACAGAATCCTCTTGTCTTCATTTTGAGAAAATATGTCTTTACTGTGTGTATGTGCAGCATTTGGTTTTACCTCGTGGGTCTAAGCATTTTCAACTAAGCTTCCTTTTCCAACCTAGCAGACTTGTTTAAAGAACTTCAAACTAATAGCCAAGCTGTAATACGGTGGCTCTCTCAGCCTGAGAAGCCTGTGCTCACCGTCACTCTCTTCTTCCCTGGGGTGATAGGGATGGGGAGTAGTGTGTGTGAGAGGACAGAAGCGAGGATTGATTGAAGATTATTTTACGAGGCGAGAGCATGGTGGCAC
Organism: Homo sapiens; assembly: GCF_000001405.40. Lineage (NCBI taxonomy): Eukaryota > Metazoa > Chordata > Mammalia > Primates > Hominidae > Homo > Homo sapiens. The sequence goes on from NC_000015.10 coordinate 98,883,649, forward strand.
ACCTGTCAGCTGAGTGGACTCAGCGCCTGCCCCGGCTAGGCTGTCCTCCTCCTGTGCCAGCCGTGGGTTCCCTGAGTCCCTCTGCAGTCATTCATGGGTGCTGAAAATAAAGATACCCTTTCTGTCGAAAGTGTTCGCCGGGCTGCCTCTGCCTCCCTGGAAAAGCAGCAGGGCACACAGGCTTCCTAGGCAGCCCCTGAGGGAGGGGCTCTTTTTATTGTCACTCTGGTTAGTTTGAAGACCAGACAGAAGGCAGCAAAAACCAACCCTTTGTTGAAAACTCTTTGCCTTTAGGCCCTTGGTACCATGTTCATGAGGCTCCAGATAATTCCACAAATACATTATTATTGTTACCTAGACTTGGGGACAGAGAAGGGTGAAACATGGGTCTGGGAATTCACAGATGAATATACTGTAATCCCCTCGAGCACATTTCTTTTAAAGGAATGGGGGTATTCTAAAGGAGTGAACACTCCACTGGGGGGCTGCTAGGCCCCTGTGAACGGTGGCAGCCTTGGCCACGGTGTGTGCTGTGATCTCTCCTGGGTCCCCCGGGCATCCTCAGACCTCCCCCACACCCAACCCACAGTCCCTTCTCCATCCATCTGCTGACCACACCCCAGGATGTTTCCAGCTCAGATCACGCCTGATTGCATCCACACAAACTGCACGCCAGGCATTTCCGTTTGGATGTGTACACAAAAACAACACGTCCCAGACTGAGCTGATCTTTCTGTACCCCTCAAAAGAAAAGTTCTGTACCCGGCCAGGCCTGGTGGCTCACACCTGTAATCCCAGCACTTTGGGAGGCCAAGGCAGGAGGATCACGAGGTCAGGAGATTGAGACCATCCTGGGTAACACGGTGAAACCCTGTCTCTGCTAAAAATACAAAAAATTAGCTGGGCATGGTGGCGGGCGCCTGTAGTCCCAGCTACAGGAGAATGGCAAGAATCCGGAAGGCAAAGCTGGAGCTTGCAGTGAGCTGAGATTGAGCCACTGCACTCCAGCCTGGTGACAGAGTGACACTCCGTCTCAAAAAAAAAAAAAAAAAAAAAGAAATTCTGTACCCTTCCAGATGGTCCTGGACATATCTTGAATCTACCCTGCTTTTCCTCATCTGCACTGCTGTCCTCTTGATCTGGGCTACTGAGGCTAGAATGCACATCTGATCATGTGCCTCCTGCTTAAAATAGTATTTTTCCTCTTAAGAGTAGTCCAAACTCCTATTGCTGGATTAAAAGGCTGTTCCAGGCTCTCCCTACCTCAGGGCACACCATCTTTCCTCCCAGTCTCCCCTCCCCTCTGTCTCCAGTGCTTCCATCCTTCAGTCATGCTGAGGTTGTCTTTGTTACCTTTGCTTCTCTTGGCCCGCACTCTCTGTTGGCTCTGCCAGCATCCCTATGCACCTGCTAGCTCCTACTCACTTGTCCAGCTTTGGCCTGGAAGTCCCTTCCCCTGGCAGGCAGCCCTAAGCTACCCTTTGCTTGCTACTGGCTCATATTCTCACTGCTTGTCCTCAGGCTGTGAGCCCTGGGAGGGCTGGGCTGAGTCCCCGAACCTGCCACGTCTATAGGGTGTAACCTACCTGAGGCCTGACTGCTAAAATCAAAAGAAGCCTTTCTCATTTGCTTAGCTGAGCTAAGTCCTTTCTGGAGAAGAATGCCCACGTCCTGGGTGGACTTCTGTTCGGCCTGGGGCAGGACGCTGCATGTCAGTTCACCTAGAGCCCCTCGCTTGCCCTCACCCCTCTCCCTTTCCTTCTCCTCCCCGTGTTGTCTCATGGTCAGTTCCTCTCCTGGCAAGGCAAGAGAATCATAAAATCTCTTTGGACCATGTGTCTCTCTGATGCACTTTGGAGGTTGAAGCTCACTTTCGTGAAGTTAGGAGCGGTTAATCCTCCTGCACGAGGATGCATGCCTGCTAGGGAAAGCCTCCCTGCGTTTATATGGAACAGTGGTGTGTACCTTAGGGCAACCCAGAAACAGCTGAGATGGCCCTAAACTCTTCCGTATTTTGATTCAGAAGCTTTACCTTATTTGAACATCTGCAGAATAAGTTCTTTCCTTTAGAAATGATTGGGGATAAAATTGTTTGCATTATGAAATATTGTATGGCCAGGTGGCCCCTCTTTCATGTTTTGTTCCTTGTGAAGAGGTTGAGTCTCCTATTTTTTTTTTTTTTTTGGAGATAGAGTTTTGTTCTTGTCCCTCAGGCTGGAGTAAAATGGTGCAATCTTGGCTCACTGCAACCTCCGCCTCCTGGGTTCAAACGATTCTCCTGCCTCAGCCTCCCAAGTAGCTGGGATCACAGGCACGTGCCACCACACCTGGCTAATTTTTGTATTTTTAGTAAGAGATGGGGTTTCGCCATGTTGGGCAGGCTGGTCTTGAACTCCTGACCTCAGTTGATCTGCCCGCCTCGGCCTCCCAAAGTGCTGGGATCACAGGCGTGAGCCACCACGCCCAGCCTATGGTATGCTTTTAAAAATGGTTTCTCTGCACTAATGATTATTTAAAAAAAAAACTCTGGCAAGAACAAAAACAAATGGTTTTTTAAAAACTCTAGAAATAATTTGATACATTCGAGGACTCTGGAGAGGGAGAGAGTTAAAGGCTGATGTGTGTGACTCTTTTTCCTCTCCCCCCAAGGAAAAAAAATGAAGAGAAGGAGCTTTTAAGTGCAGTGCCTCGTTTTTATGTGATTGCAAACCTGAACCAATCCTTTTAGTGGTGGATGTGGGACATGTTAGCTTTTCCAACAGTTTAGATGGGCCTTTGTTTTTATTGTTGGTCACTGTAAGAATTCCAAGGAATAGAAGGATCTCATGGGCAAAATCAGTTTGCTTTTTTCTCTGTATATTTGTTAGTTTATAGCAGCTTCTATTTTCCTCCTATTTTTAAAAGCTGAAATGCCTTTAATCGCACTCAGTGTGTTTATTCATGGAAGCCAGAGAAGAGGGTCCCTTCCTTTCCCCCATAGCGCCGTAATTGGAAATTTGGTAGTACTAGGTGAAATTCTCAGTTTTGGCGCTCGCATGGAACAGCCATCCATCTGCTGGCGAGACACACTGCCCGGGGCTTTTCAAGAAATCCCTTAATGGTCCTGAACACTAATAATATTTATATACATTGAGATGAGACAAAATTTACAGCGGGCTCTGGGGCTGGCTCCAGGACTCTCTAATCCCACACTTGCTCACGTTCTCTTGCTTGCCTCCTAGAATCCTTTCAGGTTGTGCTTCAGTGAGGGGAGCATGGTGTCCGTCTCTGCAGCAATGCTTATTTATGCAGTTCGTCCTCTAACAAACAGAGCAACTTTCCTTTTGACCTTCCCCTCTTCTCCCCATCACATTCCATTGCTGCCCCCGCATAGAGCATGTGCTTATGCATAGTTTGCATCATTTAACACGAAGGAACCCCTTGATTTGTGATCCCTTTAAGAAGTTGCTCTGTATATAAAGAAAATGATTTTTCCTGGTTGGTTTTACTGAAGTTCCTTCAGAAATAGCTCCCACCACCGAAACACACCTGACTTCCCCAGCCTGTGTATCGGTTGTGGCACGGACTGACTGACTGGATGGTATAATTTCACTCACTCCTTTGGGAAGTTTCGGGGGACTACTGCTCAGATGTGTGGGAAATGCGGAATATATCTACAGGTACTTTGTCAGTTTTTTTTTTTCTTTTCTTTCTCATCCTGGAAAATCCCGGCATTGATATTTAGGTATAACTATTTGCAAGCAAGTGCAGAGGGACATTTTTCTGTTCTTTTCAACGTTCTTATTACTACTGCATTAATAGCTACTTGATCTTAATGTCTATTACACATCATTTTATATAATGTTTTCTTTAAATTGTCAGGGAAAGGGATTCTGCAAGTAGATGTTGGTCCCCCCAGTTAGTGTCTGATGATGATGGTAAGATTCTCAGAGTTTCCTTCCTCTAATGACAAAGCATGGTGATGGTGATGTCTGAAGAGCAGCCTCGGTGCTCCAAGATGGGTGTATGCTTAATACTGCTGGCACACGCCTGACGAGCGGGAATGTGAGCGTTGTTTCTGTAACCAGTTTTACTGAACCTCACAGATCCATTATACGACGTGAATTTTGTGGGAATAACATAGGCTGGGAGTCTGCTCTCTTCCAGCCTGGTCCCTCTCTTCTTTCAGCCCTACCCTCTCTGATCATCATGTCCCTTGCACTGCGGCCAGGTAACCTTTCTGATACGAAGGTCTGGGCATGTTGTTCCCTTGCCTAAAACTTTCCATGGTTTCGTATTATCCACAGTTGGGCTAAACCCTCTGGGACAGGCCTTCAGTGCCTCCCCGGGCAGTGGTCCCTGGCCTTCTTCAGTAACACCCAAGCCCTTGCACCCACAGTGACCTCGTTGCTTTTACAAGCATTTACATGTGATGTTCTTTATTCCTCCCTTGCTCATCTTTCCACTTTCAACTCCACAAAACCGTCCTCGGCACCCAGAAGCCCAGGAAACACCAGGCAGCTCCACTCACTCCCGTACTTGCTGTGTCGTCCGTTCCCTGGGGACAGGATTGTCGCTGATCCTGCGTGCATCTGTCTGGCACACAGGTGCAGCACACATTAAATAGCTGCTAAATGAATAAATGAAGAATAGATGGAATTATATTCTGTTGTGACCAGTTTAAAAACATGAAATTGGAATACCCAATTGCAGTGTTTCTTTAGATCTTGGACCTTGAGGTGACCTCTGTAATGGATATATTTGAAATTATTAACTGTCTTCAAGTGGGGGTTTGATGAGAGAGAGAGAGAGTGTGTGTGTGTGTGTGTGTGTGTGTGTTTACAGAAAATATGCTAGGTTTGTACATTCAAATTTGTGTTATCCTCTTCAAGAAAGTCACCTTGGTAGACAGCATATATATCCCAACATTTTAGGAACTCATAAAATGCATACTTTTTTGGTGTGATCAGAGATGGGTAACTCCTTATTACTTGTGGGTTAGATTAGTTTTTGGAAATAGCCTGGAGTCATTGAGAGCCAATCCTTATCAACAAAATGGCATAAATGGACAGGAATGGGTTTCTTCTTCACTTTAGAGATAGCTCTGAAGACATGTCTCAGTTGGGATTAGTTCAGTTGCATATATGAATAGCAGTCATTGAAACAAGATAAAAGTGTATGTCTCTCACATCTAAAGAAGTCTGGAGTAAGCAGTCCAGGGTTAGCCTAGCGGCCCCACTCTCATAAGGGACTAAGTTCCTTTTATCTCGCTTCACCATTCTTGATGTTTCGCCTTGTGGTCCAAGGTTGGTACTTGAGCTCCAAGCATTACTACTGCATTCCAGCCAGCAAGGAGGAGGATGGCCATGCCCTCTTTGTTCTCAGGAGTCTTCCAGGAAGTTCCAGTCACAACGTTTGTTTATATCTCACTGGCCAGAACTTAAGTCATATGGCCACCTCTAGCTACAAGGAAGGCTGGGAGATGTAGTCTGTAACTGGATGGCCATATTATCAACTAAAAATTACTGAAAATGACAAGAAGAATAAATAATGGAAGGCAACCTGTTGTTTCTGTCAAAGGATGACTTCAAAAGAGAAAGTTGCAAAAGTATTTCAAGCTTGACAGTATCATGACAGTTTTCTTCAGAGGTGACGCTATTCATTTGCATGTCCAAGTTCTGATATCTGTTTTCAAGTTCACCTATTTGCAGCGAAATAGGAACTCTTGGAGGCAACTAGTGGGTGTGTAAACCGGTACAAACTTTCTAGAGGACAGTTTAACCCAACAAGATGAATTCTGGAAATTGATCCTAATGAAATGTTAAGGGTGCTCATGAAGATTGCTTTGCCGATTGCAATAATAAAAAGTAAAGAAAATATCTTATAATTGGGGACAGGTGTAACTTATGATACATTCCACAATGGAGTGTAATACTGCTGTTAAATGTTTGTGGAATTCACAATCTTTTATGCCAAAAGAAAGCTTTCAGAATGGCTTGTCTTTTTTGTAGATACTTGTATTTATATGTCCATGCACATACATAAGAAAGGACCAGGGAAGGTCTGCTTGAAGATATTAATAAAGGGGTCACTTGTGGGTAGGTGGACTTACTTGTTCTCTATATTCTCTTTACTTGTTTGTGATCTCTGGTTTTTTTAATCATGTATTTTTATTACAAGAAAAAACAAATTCTAGAATCTCCACTCAATATTGCATGTCAGAGTCAAAAAGATACACATTTAAATAATTTTGTATTGTTTTCCAATTTGAGGATAAAGTAGGAAATGTATAATGCAAACCAGATTTCATATTTTGTTGATTTAGACTTAATTTACAAGTAAGGCTGACAGCCCACAGAGTGTGATCACGACAGCATTGTTATGGAAATAAATGCCAGCTCATGCATTTGGGATGTACACCATGGATCTGTGGTTATTAGATACTGATTTCACTTTAGCACACGAAGAGGCTTAGCGGAGGTGGCTTCTAATATCCTATGGTTCTGTGGGCTCGGAGATGCTACTCACCCACTTGTCAGAGGCATTGAAACCAGAGCAACTGCATCTTGAATAGGAGCTAGGTAAAATGAGGCCGAATTCCCAGACAGTTAAGACATTCTGAGTCACAGGATGAGGTTAAAGGTCAGCACAAAATACAGGTCATAAAGACCTTGCTGATCTAGCAGATGCAGTTAAAGAAGCCGGCGCAAACCCACCAAAACCAAGATGGTAACGAGAGTGACCTGTGATCGTCCTCACTGCTGCACTCCCACCAGCGCCATGAGTGTTTACATGTCATAGCAACATCAGGAAGTTACCCTATATGGTCTAAAATGGAGAGGTATGAATAATCCACCCCTTGTTTAGCGTGTCATAAAAATGGGCAACCAGCAGCCTTCCAGGCTGCTCTGTGTATGGAGTAGCCATTCTTCTGTTCCTTTACTTTCCTAATCAGCTTGCTTTCAGTTTACAGACTCACCCTGAATTATTCTTGCGTAAGATCTAAGAACCCTCTCTTGGGGTCTGGATCAGGACTCCTTTCCTGTAACACACCTATGTTCTTGGACTTAAGAATGACCCTCAGACATGGTGACTTCTTTGTCATCTAACAGCTTTGGCTTATTTGAGGTAAAACCTTTGATATCTAAGGCAGCAGAAATTTCCCTGAAGTCATTTTGAATGGTATCATCTTTACTATAGTGTAGTTTAATCATTTTCAAAGTAAGCATTTCTGCACACTAAGGCTTTAAAAGAGTTTTCAGTAAGGAACATATTTGAAATGGAAAGTGAGCAGAGCACAATGCCTTTTAAATTACTGATAAACCATAGAGTTCCTGTAGGGCTTCCACTGGCTGACCCACGCCTGAGGCAACCCTCAAATGTGGGTATTATCCCCCTCATTTTACAGATGGGAAGAGAGAGGATCAAGATCACAGAAGCTAATGGTTTGTCCCAGACCAAACAAGGAGTTCCTAGGAGAGACTGAACTTTAAAGATATCGACTCTCTGCAGGTCTAAGTGGATGAAAGGACAGTGGTGGGGGTGAGGATTTCGTAGTGTGTTTTTGCATTGTCTCCTCAATGAGTGATCTGGTGCTGGTGGTAGCAGTGAATGACCCAGAAGGATGCTGGCCAGGCCCAGAGAAGGCGGTGCCTCCCCTGCCCGGTCTCATCTCCGTCTCTCCTCTCTCTCCACAGTGTGCCCAAGCACGTGTGGGAAGCGGGCGTGCACCGAGAACAATGAGTGCTGCCACCCCGAGTGCCTGGGCAGCTGCAGCGCGCCTGACAACGACACGGCCTGTGTAGCTTGCCGCCACTACTACTATGCCGGTGTCTGTGTGCCTGCCTGCCCGCCCAACACCTACAGGTTTGAGGGCTGGCGCTGTGTGGACCGTGACTTCTGCGCCAACATCCTCAGCGCCGAGAGCAGCGACTCCGAGGGGTTTGTGATCCACGACGGCGAGTGCATGCAGGAGTGCCCCTCGGGCTTCATCCGCAACGGCAGCCAGAGGTCAGTCGCGGCCACACGTGTGGTCACTACCCGCCCCACCTCACCCGCCACCCTAGCACACAAAGGTAGACTCTGTCGGTTGTTTCATCCGGGTGCAGCCCTCAGGAAGTTCACTGAGGTGGGTCATTTTGAGAGGGCTGGCTTACCTTAAATGTTTGGTGAGATTCTAGGAACAATTGGCATGGCTTACCGCCCCCCTCACCAGTTTGTTTTATATTTTAAGTGCATACTGCCTGGCCATTTGAAATTAAGTACTTGCTTGCTGGTTTCGATACCCAGAGTTCATAGTCTCTCTGGGTACTTGCCAAGCTGCCATCTAAGAGACAGGGAACTGTAGTTTTGGATTTTCCTAGTCTGGGTGCTGCTAGCCAGGTGAGGCTTTGGAAGTGCAAAAGAAAAGACATGCTAAGCCCCCACCACCATCCTTGAGACCAGCAAGCGGACCTAAACATCTTAGTGCAAGAGCTAGCAGCAGCTCAGAGTAGGCAGTAGCTTAAAATAAGGGACATTTTTCCATCAGCACTTCCTTCCTCTCATCCCCCTCTACCTTGACCCTCCCTCAGTGCTCATCATGTCCTTCATTTTCCTTCCTGAACTTTGAGACTTCACTTGGGAAGCAAAGAAGTTCCTTATGGCCAGGCATGTGGCTCACACCTGTAATCCCAATACTTTGGGAGGCTGAGGTGCTTGGATCACTTGAGGTCAGAGTTTGAGACCAGCCTGGCCAACGTGATGAAACCCTGTCTCTACTAAAAATACAAAAATTAGCACCTGTAGTCCTAGCTACTCCGAGGCAGGAGAATTGCTTGAACCTGGGAGGCAGAGGTTGCAGTGAGCCAAGATCACACTACTTCATTCCATCCTGGGAGACAGAGTCTCACTCTGTCTCCAAAAAAAAAAAAAAAAAAGAGAAGTTCGTTATAACAAATGCCATATGCCCTTTTGTACATGTCAACTGGACTTCTATAAATTTGTCATTGGTTTATGCTTTTGAAAATAAGATGTTAGCATTGTTTAAAAATGTGATAACTATAACTTTGAAAGCAAAAGAAGATTGGAGATTTGGGGTTGCTGTTCCCTTTCCTGGAGCAGAGTAAAGAACTTTTAGGGGCTCACGCCTGTAATCCCAACACTTTGGGAGGCCAAGGTGGGCAGATCCCTTGAGGCCATGGGTTCAAGACCAGCCTGGGCAACATGCAAACCCCATCTGTACAAAAGATTAAAAAAAAATTAGTTTGGCTTGGTGGCACACACCTGTAGTCTCAGCTCCTTGGGAGTTGCAAGTGGGAGGATCACCTGAGCCCTTGAGGTCAAGGCCGAAATAAGCCAAAATCGCCTCACTGCACTCCAGCACAGGCAACAGAGACCCTGTCTCAAAAAAAAGAACTTTTAGGAAAGTTCTGTTTTAGTGGACTAAATGCCTCCTTCATGATTAGCACCAGGGGGCCTGTCTTTCTGAGTCTGTCAAAATCTATTCTACAAATATAAAAATATCGTTAGAAAAGTAGGTGTTAATTTTAAATATAATTTTTGCTGCAGCTTATGAAGTACATTGAGGAAGTGTTTATAAAGGGGATTCTTTTTCTAGTGTATTATTTGGAGACGCAGCTTCTACTGTAGGCTTACCTTCAAATCAAAGATAATACATTCTTTTATAGTATTAGATGTAGAGCAACTTTCTCCCTCTTATAATCTGTATAACCATTAGCATACTAACAACAAGAAGAAAATTACTCTGAATACTTTAAAATGATAAATAGGCCAAGGACTTCAATGAGCTGTAGAGGATACATATTACATCCAAAATCAGTCTACCACATTGTACTCACATTTTGTTGGCAGCCTTCGAGTGTAAAAGGGCTTTTACTGGTGCACACCTCGGGCCCAGGGGCAGTGCCTGGAACCAAGTTGAGGCTCAGACACTATTCAGACGTCACCTTCCTCCTTGGGGTGGGGTTAGGGGAGTGGTAGCTTGTCCATGAACTCAGTGTGCTATCGTCTTTGTTTTGTGAATACATTTTCTTAATGACATTTGGAGGCCTTCAGTCGTTCTGCAGCCACCAGAGTTGTGGCAAAGTGGGAATGCTGTCCATTTGACAGTGTTGTTTCTTCCGCTCTAGTGCACTCTTCAGAGAATTGAGCCATTATTTCCCCTATTCATTCTTACAGTCCGTTAAAAACTATACATCTACCTTTTTGTTTAAAAATAAAACACCATAAAGAATAATAAATTCCCTTCTCTCAGCCTTTGAGGCTTATTTAACAATTACTTTGAAATATTTAATTTTTTCATCTTGTTTATACCTTCTCTATACCATAGTGGATTTGAGGAAGCTTAATCTATAAACATGTTATCAAAACACTTCCTTAGAAAAACATTTTTTAAGTGCTTGATGACTCCTAGACTTTTTACCAAAGATGATTGGTTCCATTTTTTTTTTCTTTTCTTTTCTCTTTGATAGACTCTGGCTGTGTCACCCAGGCTGGAGTGCAGTGGCACAATCATAGCTCACTGCAGCCTCAAACTCCTGGGCTCAAGTGATCCTCCTGCCTCAGCCTCCCAAAGTGCTGGGATTACAGATGTGAGCCACTGTACCCAGCTTCAGATTTTTCTATTTGAGTGAAAGATGGAGAGAAACTAAACATACACTTATGGTACAACCCAGCAGTTGTAACCCTGGATATTTATCACAGAGAAATGAAATTTATGTCAACACAAAAATATGTACACCATCGTCCATAGCAGCTTTATTTGTAATAACCCCAAATTGGAAATTACTCAGATGTCCTATGATAGATAGTTAGTTAAACTGTGGGACATCCACACCATGGAATATTATTACTCAGCAATAAAAAGGAACAAACCATTGAAGTACACTACTTGGATGGATCTCAAGGACATTATGCTCTGTGAAAAAGCCAACCTCAAAAGATCACATACTGTATAATTCCATTTATGCAACATCCTCAAAATGACAGATTATAGCCAGGCACGGCGGCTCACGCCTGTGATCCCAGCAATTTGGGAGGCTGAGGTGGGTGGATCACCTGAGGTCAAGAGTTTGAGACCAGCCTGGCCAACATGGTGAAACCGTGTCTCTACTAAAATTACAAAGTTTGGCCAGTCACAGTGGCTCATACCTATCTCAGCACCTTGGGAGGCTGAGGCAGGCAGATTGCTTGAGGTCAGGAGGCCAACATGGTGAAACCCCATCTCTACTAAAAATACAAAAATTAGCCGGGCCTGGTGATGGGTGCCTGTATTTCCAGCTACTCAGGAGGCTGAGGCAGGAGAATCACTTGAACCCAGGAGGTGGAGGTTGCAGTGAGCTGAGATCATGCCGCTGCACTGTAGCCTGGGCGACAGAGTGAGACCCTGTCTCAAAAAAAAAAAAAAAGACAGATTGTAGACATGGAAAACAGATTAGTGGTTGCCAGGTGTTAGGGACATTGGGGACTAGGTTGGGCAGGGCAGTGAGTATGAACAGGTGGCATTAGGGAGAGCTTGGTGGTGACGGAACAGTTCTGTATCTTGATTGTAGTTGTGATTACACAAATCTACACAAGTGATCAGTGACACAGCACCACACACACACACACACACACACACACACACACACACACACACACAGAGTTAATTTCCAGGTTTGATACTTATATCATGTAAGATGTAGTAAACATTGGAGGAAGTTGGATGAAGGCTATGTGGGATCTCTCTGTAACTTTCTCGTAAATCTTTGCAGCTTTTTGTGACTCTATAATTATTTTAAAATAAAATTTTTTTTTTTAAATGGAAAGTTTATAGGGTATGTAGATAAATTAGAAACAACAGAAGGCCAAGTAAAAAAGTGCTGAAGGAAGCCTCTACCCAGGCTGGAAATGAGAATGTTGAATGCAATGGTAGAGGAAGGACTCTCCCCATCTGTGGGTGGGTCCAGTTCCTGTAGGACCCTTGGGGAAGCCATGACCCCCATTCTCCCAAACACACAATAGGAAAATACCAGAGAAGTTTTGTTTACCTGTTAGCTTTTAAACAAAACAGAACCCTGCATCTTTGTCTTAGATACAAAATAACCTTCATGGGTAGGGGGAAGGGACATTAATAAAAAGAGCTATAATTTACATTGTTTTTCTTGAATGTTTTTACTTCACGAAATTTGAGAGATGATTTAAGAACAATAATGTACATATAATGGCTCCCCAGCTTACCATCCTATTACACACACATCGCATAAGTTCGTATTATTTGTCTTGTTTGGAAATCAGTCCAACTTTCTGACCCTTGTTCTATATATAACTATAGATCCCAAAGGTTCAGCTGCTGGGCTAGCATTTTGTCTGCTATTTCCTAAATAATGGTAGGTAAGCAGGAAAAGTGCCAGTCTTACTTGTCCCTGACTCTTGGTGGTTCGTGGCATGTTCAGGATAGTATTTGAAACAAGAGCTCATTACAAAGTAATGGAAACCCCTTGCTTTTATTGTGTATGCAGCAAAAGCAACATTTGGATCAATTTACAAGTTTCTGCAAAACACCGTCAAGAAATAATTTCGGTTGTGCTTTAGCAAGAAAATAATGGATCTGTGCTATACCACATGCCTTTTGGTATCCCTCACTGGGCTTTGCCAAAACACTGACTGCAGGAGCTAGACTACTGTTAGGCAGAGACACTGCACTCCCTTTGCTGTCCCTGCCTTCTCTCCTAGCGACTCCTCCAGGTACACAGGCCAGGGTCACAGTATCAGAAAGCAGCTCTGTTTTCCTCCAGAACCCCCCAAGCTTCCTTTCTGCAGCACTGTCTCTCCCACATGGAACCAGCTGGCTCACCAGTCAACAGCCTATGACACACAAATGCCTTGAGGATGCAGCATGTATTTTGTCTGGAAGCAAGCAACACGCTCTTCCTTTGTAGGCTGTTTCTCCTTTTGCTTGCAATGTGAGTGGCTTATCTTGGGTGGGCTTGGGGGTGAGATACCATGTGACCACATGAACACTTCAAAACAGTTGCTTTTTCTAATGCATGCTGTAATAACAATGAAAAGCATATCCTTATGGTTTTTTTAATGCAAGAAGACAGACTCAATTATGTGTGTTTTTGATTTTTTTTTTCTTCTTCAACAGCATGTACTGCATCCCTTGTGAAGGTCCTTGCCCGAAGGTCTGTGAGGAAGAAAAGAAAACAAAGACCATTGATTCTGTTACTTCTGCTCAGATGCTCCAAGGATGCACCATCTTCAAGGGCAATTTGCTCATTAACATCCGACGGGGGAGTAAGTATTCCATCCCCCTGGAAAAACGGCTAGATCTCATGGTTTTCTTTTGTTGATGCTTTTCATGCTCCCGTCCCTGAGTCACCACTAAAATATGGGCTTAGATAAACAACATGGTGTGTAAGCCTCACGCATGACGTCTCTTCTTTGAGTTTCCCTGAAAGATAAAGAACAGATTGAAAGGCAATCTGTCTTTTAGCCATTGGCACGTCATTTATTCCTGTAAAGAGGGTCATCGCTCATCTTTTTGTTAGTCACATCTTGCATAGGAGAGGCAAGCCCTGACACATACAAACCCCAGAAGAGACCATTGGATCAGACGTGTGACTCAGCAGACTCCAGCTGTAGCCAAATCCACACATCTTTCAAGTCTAAAGAGTTTTGGTTACTTGAATTTACTGAGAAGACTGAGCAAAGGGAAGTTTAGTGATATCACGTTAAAATTTTATGAAGTCCAAAAGAATGCTAGATTTCCAAATTTACTTGTGAGAGACAAAAGGATACAAGTGTGTGTCATTGTGTACATAAAGTTTCGGTCTCACCCCTGTACAATGACCTTTATTTGCAATAGATGGCATTCCTGGTAAGTTGCTTCTGAGTTGGATTTGTGCAAAGGATTTCCCACTGACTTAGCCTATGATCTCTTCACTTCTTTGGTTTTTTGTGTGTTTGTTTTTTGGTTTTGTTTTGAGACAGGGTCTCACTGTATCACCCAGGCTGGAGTGCAATGGCATAATCATAGCTCACTGTAACCTGGAACTCCTAGTCTCAAACAATCCTTCTGCTCAGCCTCCCACGTTGCTGGGACCACAGGCACACACTACCATGTCTGGATAATTTTAAAAATCTTTTCACTTCTGATTTTTCATTGCCAAGGGCTTCTAGTAATGGTGCCTTAAATTCTCTGCCACTGGGACCACTTGGTCAAGGTACTGATAGTTTTATAAGCTAGAATAAATATCGTAAAATGGCTTTGAAGTTGAAAGGAATTTTGGGGGGGGAATCCTTTTATGAAGAATTTTTTTTTTTTTTTACAGTTTGAGAGGAAAAATAATGTATTTTGAGAATGTGTTTTCCTTAATATTTGTTAAATGAGTAGACTGTATTCTTAAGGTTTAGAAAGGACAGAAACAAGTTTGTGCTTAGTTCTTCTGAATTAGTTGATATCCCTTGTTGCTGTTCACAATACACCCACTCCCAGCCCTCCGTGATGGAGATAACTCTGTTCCCCACAACTAGGGCTTGCCCACTCTCATGGTACTTCTGATGTTTAATTCTTTTGGCTGTGTCTGCATTTCCTCATTTACTTTTAATTTGCTTATCCCTAGAACATACCTTTTGAGTGCCTAAACTTTTTTATCTTCCTGTCCTGAAGACAAAAATTTAATCTGTGAATTAAACCCATGGAGAAGTATCATTTATGAAGGGATTGGTACATATTGATGCATGATGATGAAATGTGTCTTCTGGTTTATGTCCATTGCAGGAAATAGATTGGATTTAGGATGATGGGACATCTCATTAGAGGGGAAATTTCCTGATCTTGACTAAGGCATGCTTCCTGCCCCACGTTTAAAATTCAGGATCTCTTCCTTAAAACATCAACTGCACGCAACCTCTCATCTTTCCAACTTGAACTTCCCTTTAATTTTTCTTGGAAAGCTATTAAATTAAATTAGATGTAGGGCTTTATCCTTTAGTACCCTTATTATTTTATTTGTATCAACTCAAAGCAAAATAGAGCATTTTATTAAATATGTCTTCATAAATTACGCACAGTAAAATCCCATTAATTGGACCACACCCAGTTCATTATAGTGTTTATTATAATTTTAGCATTAGTTGAACTGAAAATTGGTTTTTGTTTACTATGAGAAAAAGGTAGACTAAACAAGATGAAACCTGTTGTTTGCATATTATGTTTGTACATCTTTATTAGCAACTATTTTTCCAACTATTTTCAACTATTTTTCCAACTATTTTCTAGTTATAAAAGCAATACATAAATACTATAGAAAATTTAGCAATGCAGAAATGAATTTTTAAAAATCCCTCATAGATAGCCATTGTTAACATTTTGGTGTATTTTCTTCAAGTCTTAGTAAAATGGAACCTTTAAATATAGATCCCTGTATCTTAGGAATTAGAAAGGCAGCAAAGGCAGTTCCTAATGAGATGGAGAAAATGTTGATTTAGTCATGCCCTTGTACTGTGGGGGCCATACTGTCTGTTGACAGAGCATATTAAAAGACGTTCCCTACATTCGTCAGCCTTAGCTAATTGGCAGTCTGGTATTTATGATTTTATATTTTGTTAATCAGCTTGGGAGCTGCAGTACCCCCCAGCCTCCTAGAAACTTGGCTTCCCCTGCCTGGGAGGCCTCGTTCCAGGAGTCGTTGTTGAGAGTCAAGCCAGGGAAGTGTGTTTTTGTCAGGGAGCAGCCAGTCCTGTGCTGGGAGCATCTCAGGGGGCACCTGCCGTTGAATTGTTCTCACTTGTGTTTGTAAGAATCCAAGTATGTCACCCTTACACCAAGTGAGCACACAGTGACACAATCCCCTTTCAATGTAGATAACATTGCTTCAGAGCTGGAGAACTTCATGGGGCTCATCGAGGTGGTGACGGGCTACGTGAAGATCCGCCATTCTCATGCCTTGGTCTCCTTGTCCTTCCTAAAAAACCTTCGCCTCATCCTAGGAGAGGAGCAGCTAGAAGGGTAAGTGCCCCAAATTTCATGAGCTGACGTTCTATTACAAAATAAGCAGCGTGCTTATGAAACTGTGTTGCTGAGGTAAGAGCCCTCCCTGCCTTGTTAAAGAGAAGAAAGGAGGAAGCCGCAGTATTGCCTGTGCTGCTCGAGTAGGTCTTGGGTGGAGTCATGGTTCTCCATTCTTAGGAGGTTGCTGTTTGGAAAACAGAGATGTTATCACCCTTACTGGATTTTGCCTCATCAGTCAAGGGTTGCGTGTCTGACTGTGACCAGTGAGACGGCAGACGGGGGTGCGCTTAGGGCTTTTCTGCCAAGAATGACAGCAGTTGGTCTGGAGTGCTCACCTCCCTGTGAAATCATTGTTCGCGCGACCCTCATCTGCCTCAGGATGCTGTACTCTACTACGCACAACTGCTCCATCTTTTAAGATATTGGAAGTGAGAGCACGGGAGGAGCATGGGCGGTTCGTTTTGTTAGAAAGAAACCCGGATTCACGAGATGGTTTTTATTGATTAGTTTACAGGATTTGCACTATTGATAGAGTTTTTGCCTTGGCACAGGCCTGCTTTGTGATAGGGGTTTTAAAATAACCGTGGGCTTTTCACTGGAGGATAAAAGCCGGTGCTTATTGCATGCACAATTGCTTTCCAGCCGTCAGCCTGTGTGTACCTTTGCATATGTACTTTTCTCTTTAAACTCTCCCTTTTAAATACGACTCTTGCCAGGCTTTAAGTGAATGCTTCAAAATAAAAGGAGTTATCAATTAAAGAGTGAATTCCTTCCAAAGAGAATTTGGGAAAATAATTTAGGAAAAGAAGAGGCGAGAAGGTCATGGGAAAGGTTGTCTTTGCTGATTTATCTGCCCCAACTGGATAAAGTTACTGCATAAGGGTTTCTTTACAGCCTCCCTGTTTTTCTCAGACTAACTCTTGGTCAGTCTTAAATTCTTAAAATTCCATCATCTGATAGAGCTAACGAGAGCGGGCAGCTCTTCATTCCATCCTTGAAAAGCACAGTGTCCTCCCCACTGGGGAACACCAATCCTTAAAAAACTTCTTTCTCATTGCAAATCGAAGGAGGCTGCCGCTGCACCCAGCCCCAGACTCCTCAGTCACTTACCTGGCAAGCTGAGGCCCTACCAGTTTAAGGTGATGATTATTGTTTCTTGTATTAAATTTTAAAATGAATTTTTCTCCGCTTTTTTTTTTTCTAAGTAGGTTTGTGTTTCTGGAATCTCGGGTGTCTGTGAGCATTTCTTCTTCAGCAGAGCAGTAGCTGTCAAATTTTCTTGTTGCTTAATGATATACTTTTTTGTTTCTAGACTAAGCAAATGATAGACATAGAGGTGAATGCTGAGAGGAGAGTTTAATTAATTTCCATTAGGAATTATTATGTGGTTACCTTTTCATGGAGTGTTAACTAAGTATTGTGCACTTAAATGTAGTTAGAAATTAAAGCCTGATTTTTATTTGCAAGAATATTTATGATGTCTTTCTCATTATCTGAAACTTGCATAAAACCTGAAGCATCAGCAAAATCTTTTTAAGGTTGCGTGCTCAGGTGTTTGGGAGGCTTTCCAGGTAAGCCCGGGCCCCTGGCCTGCTCTTACCATTTTAGATGCAGGGGAGGGCAAGTGGGCCTTGGGTTTTCCCTGCTGCTGCTGCTCCCCAGTAGTCCTGCAGCTCCAAGGATGCTGGCTCCAGCCTTTCATTCCTGCGTGCAGCTTCTAAGAGGCTCTTTCTTGAGCTTGGGCTCTTAAGAATCTTTTACCTCCCGATGGGAAGTTTTCTCTCACCCTGTCTTCCTGGCCCATGACCACAAAGGTATAGCCCATCCTCACGATGATGAGCTCCCCAAGAGCTCTGTTTGCTTCAGGTGTTGAGACCGCTAGCAACACCTCAGCTGTTCATTTCTCCTTAGACTCAGGGACAGAGTTAGGTCTGGCCCCTTCACTAGCTGCCCTCACTTCTGCAAGAAGGGAAGAGTCAGAGCGAGAAAGAGAAGGACAGGATACGATAGTCAGATAAACATCAGCAGTGCAAAGCAGAACTCGCACAGTGATACAAGGGAAAGAAAGAAATGTGCCCTAGGCATGGAGAAGAGCCAGATACCTGAGAAGATCAGACAGGCTTCTGACAAGAGGTGGCATTTGAGATGGGCCTTGAAGGCTTTCGGGAAAAACTTGAGGAAAGCAGAGGATTGAAGTGAAGAAAGGCAATTCAAGGTAGGGTGGCAGGAGCAAAGGCAACGAGTTGGGGCATCCTGGGGCCTGTTGGGCAACTAACACTGGAGAGGTGGGTGGTACTAGAGTTATGTAAGATGTTTTGCACGCAGGTATAAAGGGTTATAATTTAGGAAGACCATGGAACGTATTCAAGGCTTTTGAATAGAGGAGTGTTAGCAGAGCTGTCTGAAATTTTTATTTCGGTGTGCTTTTGGTTTAAGCCAAGATAGCTTTCATCCCAGTGTTTCTCAAACTTTGCTACACATTATGGAATCATTGGGGGTGGGGGCAGGGGTGGAGTTGAGAAATCCTGATGTCCAAGTTGCACCCCCACCCCAATTCAATAGGAGCGTTTGGGGTTAGGATCCAGGAATCAGTGCTTGTCTAAAGATCCCTAGGCACTTCAGCAGGCAGCAAAGATTGGAAACCACTGCTTTATCCCTTCATTTCTTCCCATGTGCATATCACAAAGCACTTTGACGGTTTTTTTTCCTAAATATTTTCCCCTCACACTGCTGCCTAATGTTTTAGAGGTTCACCCATGTTGTTAACACGTGTCACACTATTTTCTTGAACTTTTTTTTTTTTTTTTTTTTGAGATGGAATCTTGCTGTGTCGCCCAGGCTGGAGTGTAGTGGCGCTGTCTCGGCTCACTGCACCCTCTGCCTCCTGGGTTCAAGCGATTCTCCTGCCTCAGCCTCCTGAATAGCTGGGATTACTGGCACGCACCACCACGCCCGGCTTATTTTTGCTTTTAGTAGAGACGGACTTTCACCGTGTTGTTCAGGCTGGTCTCAAACTCCTGACCTTGTGATCCGCCCGCCTCAGCCTCCCAATGTGCTGGGATTACAGGCTTGAGCCACCACGCCCGGCCTTCTTGAACTTCTTTTATAGCCAGTGATAACATAAATGTTTCCATTTGGTTCAATAGGATGAAAGTTCTGTTCTGTAGCCTTTTGTTTTTGATGGAGAACAGAACAATTCAAGGTACAGAGATCCTTCAACTCTGACAACCTTGGCTTTCCAAAATGTCACTGAGATCCCCCTCAAAAAGTCTCCTGAGCCATCCAGAACAGAAAATTCAAGCATTTTACATAGAGTAGAGCTCTTATTCCTCACTCAGAGCCTGTTGACTTTTATATCGCACTCGGCGTGAGCTGATTTTGTAACCCAGTTACAAAAGCCATAGCCATGGTTTCCTCAAGGACACCATAGGGTGTATTTCTAGAGTAATGACCTTAGACATTAAGAAAATCAAGACCGCTCTGCTGTTTACAAAGGAAACAGGTTTTGTAATCCACATGTACACAATTTTTATAAAATAGCTAATTTTTAAGCTCTTGAGTAAGAGAATATTTTCACTATCTGGAAAATCCCCTTGTTTGGACAACCTTGTTTCCTGATGGCATCAGATAAATAAGGAGTTAAAGTTTCACATTATTTGGTGCTACCAAGGATTGTTGCCTTGAAAAGAAGAAGGAAAAAGTAGATGGAGGGTGGTGAGTTAAAAGAATTGAAATTCGCGGATAGGCATTTCTATGCTTTTGTTCCTACCACTCGACTGTGCAACACGCAGTGCTTTGTAATACCTTCTTGGAGCTCAAAGGTCAGGCTGAAACATGGCCGCTTTTTCACATTTCCCTGGGACTTTTGGAAAATATACACCAACCCTGTGACCTAGCAATTCCGGGATCCACCCAAGAGAAATGAAAACATGCCCACACAAGACTTGTGTATGAATGCTGGTAGCAGTATTACTCATAATAGCCTCCCGGGATTCCCCCGACCCCCAGCCCAAAAGAAAGACCCACTGGAAACCATTCAGATGTTCATCAGCAGATGAGTGGATAGAAAGATAAATGGATAAATGAAATGTGGCACAAAGGACAACTGACTACTCAACAATAAAAAGACGTGAAGTATGACACGTGTTACAACATGGGTGAACCTCTAAAACATTAGGCTAAGTGAAAAGAAAAAATCCAGACACAAAAGACTACATATTATATGACTCATTCGTATGTAATTTGCAGAAAAGGCAAAACTATAGAGACAGAAAGCAGACCAGGGATGGCTGCAAGGAAGAGGTGGAGATTGACCACCAATGGGAATGAGGGAACTCTTGGATGATGGAAGTGTTCTGGAACTGAGTAGTGGTGATGGTTGGACAGTTGTGTAAATTTACGGAAGCTCATGGAATGATGGGTGAATTTTTTTTTTTTTTTTTTTTTGAGATGGAGTCTCACTCTGTCACCCAGGCTGCAGTGCAGTGGCGCTGTCTCGGATCACTGCAAGCTCCGCCTCCGGGTTCACACCATTCCCCTGCCTCAGCCTCCCGAGTAGCCGGGACTACAGGCGCTCACCACCACGCCCGACTAATTTTTTTGTATTTTTAGTAGAGACGGGGTTTCACCATGTTAGCCAGTATGGTCTCGATCATCTGACCTCGTGATCTGCCTGCCTCGGCCTCTGAAAGTGCTGGGATTACAGGTGTGAGCCACCGTGCCTGGCCTGATGGGTGAATATTTGATAGGCAGGTTATACTTCAGAAGTAAAGCTATTTTTAAGAAACACCTAAACAAAGAGGAAACATTGTCTGAATATCTGTATGGTGCCTGGTTCCACCTAGATAGACATATCCACCCTTGCTGAACCCCTAAGGTTGATGTAAATATTGGATTTGGGGGAGAGTGGACATGATATAAACCAGCCTGTTTGCAGATGGATTGGTGGGAGCATCTGCAGAAAGGCAAAAAAGGCCAAATACTCTTATCAGTTGCAGATGGCTCTGTTGCTGATGACAGCCTGTGTCCTGGGTTCTGATGCCCCCTAGAGACAGCCGTGAAGAGGCAATTTTCTCCTCGAAGGAAGGAACTGGAATGATTGGTTGTATAATTGCAGAATTGTTTTCAGTATGTCAGCAAGCACTGAAAATGGGGAAACTGTCCCTTCCTACCTCTGTAGGCTGGAGACCTCGGGTTCAGCTCCATTTATCAGGGCACAGGACCTTCCTGTTCTGAGACTTTGTTCCAGGGGACTTTCACACTTCAGAGAATAGCACATGTCATCCTGCACTTTTGTGGGGTGATTAAAAGCTCACGGTATCCTTTTATGTTTAGCCCATCCAATTCTTCCAACTGGCCTCAGCCAGAAAAGCAGGGAAGGCACCCCCAGTTTGCAGCTGAGAGACTCCAGCCTGGGAGAGCTGAATAAATCTTTTGCCCAGAGGGGTTCCTCAGTAAATGCTGGAGATGAGGCTCAGACCTGACCTTTGGATTCCCAGATGGAGTGCTCTGAACCGTGTACCTGGGGCTGTCTTCACCACTCAAATATCGATAGAGATAACATAGAGATGTCCTCAGGAAGATAACCAACTGTTCCCATCCTGTGTGGTCTACAGATTGGGAGATAGGGCCTACCCAAGTGTAGAAATAAACATTTTTTACAACATAGAGAAGGCTGAGAACCAGGATACCAATATCAATAAAATCTGGATATCATAGAGCACATGGAAGCTAAAGAAAAATAAGTAACTGGTCAGGTGTGGTGGCTCACACCTGTAATCCCAGCACTTTGGAAGACCATGGCAAGGCATTGCTTGAGCCCAGGAGTTTGAGACCAGCCAGGGCAACATAGTGAGATACCAGCTGTTAAAAAAAAAAAAGAAAAGAAAAATTAACCAAGCATGGTGGGGCATACCTATGGTCCCAGCTACTTGGGAGGCTGAGGTAGGAGGGTAGCTTGAGCCTGGGAAGTTGAGGCTGCAGTGCTCTGTCATTGCACCACTGCACCCCAACCTGGATTACAGAGTGAGACCCTGTCTCAAGGGGAAAAAAAAAAAAAAACCTAATTTTTAAAAGCATTCTTTGAATGTAAAGGCAGTAAGCTAAGAAACAATTAGGAAATCACATTTACTGAATAATTTACTTAAGTAATCTTTTTCTTCAGGAAACAATGATAACTTTAGCGTATGCATATTTTAAAGATGTGCAGACAGGTCTCTGCCTTTTACCTTCTCTTAATTCTCACCTAATCATGGAAGGAATTTAGCGGGGAGCCTTGCCCCAAGCTGTGGCTCGAAAAACAAGCATGGTATTGACAGGCAGCTCATGAATGGCTTGATTATTATTTTGACAAGGGTTTTATTTTTATTTTTCTTTAGCTTCCACAGGCTCCATAATGCCTGGGTTTTATTGATATTGGTATCCTGGCTCCCAGCCTCTTCAATGATTGTAAAAAATGTTTGTGTTTACTGTAAAAAGATAATCTTGCTTTTCAAAGTGATTAGTCAAATACACAGAATTTCAGTGTGCCTGCCATTCATTTGTCAAATTCCTGGTTTATAATTCATGCTTCCTCCCGTGGGGGAGAAGAATGTTTTGTTCAGAAGGTATTTTTGGTGTGGTTCCGTTCCCTGCTAGTGAAATTAGTTTATGAAAAGAGGCCTGGTTCTGGGTGTAGATGGAAGTTTGGCCTGATTAATTGGTCCTTACCGGCAGCCCAGAGGTTTCTTCATCAACAAGGAGATTTTGTCCTGTAACTAACTCAGGTACCTGGAAGCAGCCCGACATTTGGGGGTGCATCGCTGCAGTCTCCTTTGGAGCTGGAGAAACCTATGAGCAAGAATGGGCTTATGACACATCCATTTCCACTCCATCCCTCCTTCCGTTGTATGACTGCATGGAGCCCCTCTGACCTCCAGCAGTGTCACCTGCAGCCTGGTAGTGAGAAACAGCAGGTATGGATGGGGTCTACCCCCAGCAACAGTAGCGCCAGCTGGGCCATATCCTGGCACTGCTCCCCAGGAAACACACCTTGTGTTGCATTGACCAGATCTGGGATCATTTGGACAATGTCTTATGCTGCTTTTCCAGGATAGCTGTGTGTTCAGGAGGGAGCCCTTACTGAAAGGAAAGAACTGTTGACTTACAAGTTTTTGCTACCGGTTTGGTGGTCACTAATGTGTCCAGAGGCCTGAAGATGGGCGTGTGAGGAGCCTGACTTAGCTTCAGAGGCTCTGTCTTTCGACTCACTTGTGTGCTCACTGCACCCCTGTGCTGGCAGGACTCCAACCTCCACCCCCAGCACTTGTGTGGACAGAGAGCCCAGTGCTCAGGAAAGGGTTGGGCTTCAGGCTTGTGATGCAGATTCCGTGGTGGCTCTGTGACTCCTTCTGGTCGTTCTTAAAGTAGACAGGGAGCTTAGATGTCACCTGTGCATTCCCCTTGTTGTCCTACGAGTGAGTAAACAGGGCTACAGATAGCACTAAGGGATCTGCGCATGGCTGTGCAGCTCATTCATGGCATTTCTGGTCCTGGGTCCCAGTCTCTGAACTCCTTCCTGGTCTGACGTCCCTTTGTGAATGTTCAGGAAAATGTCACAGGGCTGCTTGGCAGCATTGTAACCATAATTTGTGCTTTACTGTAAATGAGAATCAGGCTGAGGATTGACCAGCTGGTTAGAGGTCCTGGTTTGGGTGTAAATGAAGACCCTCACCAGATGCAGAGAGATCCCCAATGGACATAGCCTCCAGGGCAGACGAAGCCTTAGGGGTTCTGTTTTGTCCTGGCTACGCTGGCTCTGCAGGGAGGGCTGGGGTTCTTTCTCCTTTGTGTGTTTATACATTAGATCTGTGAGTGGATCTTAGAAGTCACTCAAAGTACTGCACTGATTCCCAAACTTAGTAAGAAGCAGAGCAGGAAGAGGAGAAGAAGGATTCACGGTCCATGGGGATCAGGCCCATCAGCACAGAGGACTCAGAAGTCAACCCTGGCATTGTCTGCTGCCTTCCTGGGGAAGCCAGAGAGAAAGGCCCACTGCGGGGATCTTTCTCTAGACCTAAGCCGTAGCTGTCTGCTTTCTTGCCTCTCCAGGGATGGACTTGTCCTGCCACCTGGGTAGCCAGATAGAACGGCTTCCTGTGCTGGTTGGATCTGCTACTCGTGTGCACACCCTCTGGGGCAGAAGCCACGTCTGGTTTGGTGGGCTTTGGTCCTCCACCACCTCACTGGAACTCAGCCTCTCCTAGATTGCTGGTTCTCCACGTGTGGTCCAGGGACCACAGCAGGGGTCAGCACCACCTGGGATTTGTGATAAATGCAGATTCTTTGCCCACCCCAGCTGAATCAGAAGCTCTGGGGGTGGGGCCCAGCCCTTTGCAAACAAGCTTTGTGCACACTGAACTTGGAGAACCACTGTGTTGGACTCCGAGTCCTCTTGCCTGGATGAGAGGCCCAAGAGCACTGCATGTTAGTGGCTCTTCCTCCTCCCCCACACCTCCAGGGACTGGAGCTGGGGCTGCTCAGAATGAAAGATGAATGGGGGAGGGAGAAGGCCCAGGGTTGACCCCCCACAAGCTTGTCTCCCTGTCTCATGCTGTCTCCTATCCCATCATGCTGCTGATTGGGCAGGATTTACTTCCATGGATAATGGGAGACTTTAGAGCAAAGTGTACGCTGTTCCGATTGGGTAGCAGAGCATGTCTGTTCTCTCATGGACTGCTTTCAAGCACGTTGTACATACTTGGCTGAGAAAAATAACCAAAGGCATTTCTTGGGAATGATTCTAGTAACATCCTCTGGTACAAGAAGCATTATTTGATGGTAATAGTGGTCATAGAATTAATTAGCATCTTACCGATTTTGATATGTTATCCTTGAATCATGTTGCTGCCATTGTTAACAGCAACTGTCTGTTCTCCTATAGTGTTAATAACTAAATCTCTTATTGGCAAAGGAAATGTATTGTGGAGCAGGTGGCAAAGAGGACCTGTGTTACGTGGCCAGCAGGCTAGAGGGGACTGTGGCCAAGGGCAGGTGCGCTAACATCGATTTCTGTGCTTCTAGGAATTACTCCTTCTACGTCCTCGACAACCAGAACTTGCAGCAACTGTGGGACTGGGACCACCGCAACCTGACCATCAAAGCAGGGAAAATGTACTTTGCTTTCAATCCCAAATTATGTGTTTCCGAAATTTACCGCATGGAGGAAGTGACGGGGACTAAAGGGCGCCAAAGCAAAGGGGACATAAACACCAGGAACAACGGGGAGAGAGCCTCCTGTGAGTGACAGCATCCAAAACACCGTGGGCCCAACCATCATGATAACAGCAGACCCTCCTCCCATGTGTGATGGCAGCTTTCCTCTGCGGCCCCTCCTGGTTTCACATGGGGGACCACTAGACCATCTTAACTAGCACTTTGCTCCTACTTATATGTCATCACAATCAGTAGTGGGCAGATACGTGATGTATTCGTATTTATAAATTCTGTACATCTCTGTGAGTGTGTGAAACACTTATAAGTAGGTTCTCAAACTTTAAAGTGCTGCTTACAGAATGCACAGTTAAATGTCCTTTTATACACAGGTGCACAGTTAGATATTTCTCTTTCTTTTTTCTTTTCTTTTTTTTCTTTTTTTTTCTTTTTTTTTTTTTTTTTTGAGATGGAGTCTCACTCTGTCACCCAGGCTGGGGTGCAGTGGCATGATCTTGGCTCACTGTAACCTCCACCTCGGTTCAAGCGGTTCTCATGCCTCAGCCTCCCGAGCAGCTGAGATTACAGACACCTGCCACCATGCCCAGCTAATTTTTGGATTTTTAGTAGAGACGGGATTTCATCATGTTGGCCAGGCTGGCCTCAAACTCCTGACCTCAAATGATCCACGTGCCTCAGCCTCCCAAAGTGCTGGGATTACAGGCTTGAGCCACCATGCCCTGTCCGATTATTTTTCAGGGAAGAGCCAGTGTGCTTCAGCCCTATGAGCTCTACCCTTCTGCTCCCACAGAAGGGAAGCACAGGCCTGTGGGGTGGAGGGGGCTCTGCCCTAAGCGCAGCCCCTGTGGGCCACGGGTTTCCTGTCCCTTACACTCGGCCGCCTTGTTTCTCCCACCCCAACATGAAAAAGATGGAGTGAGCCTGCAGCCCTGAGTTGATATTGCTTTTTAAATTGAGAACAATATAATTACAGCCTTGTACTGTTTATAAAACTTTAAGGTCTCATATCAGAGATACAGCAGTGCCTTTCTCATCTAACCCTGTGTAGAATACGGCTGTTGAGAATGGCGTGGCTCTCTGGCTGGATAGGGTTATAAAAGTAAATCGTCTTTTCACCTTTGGCTTTTAATAAGGGAAGGGTATTAGAAAAAAAGTAATTTGTATGATGAAGGGTGATTTGTGCGTGTGTGCAGACAGACACACATGCAGGGAGGCAAATCAGAACCGATGCGTGTTTGGCTTTGGCTTGTTTCGCTGGTGTCTGGATTTACCTGGCGACACTTGTTGCTCTGGGGGATCTTAGAGGGAAGCACGCTGACTGACCTAGGGCTGAACAGCAGGCTGACGACCAGCGCCGCCTCCCGCCCCCTGCTCACTCTATCCCTGCAAAGCCCCTGCCTTGCTCCCTGTTCAGATCATAGTAAAATCGGATGTATCCGAGTATTTCAGAGTGCTTGTCTCCTTAGAGTCAGCCAGTCTGACCTGTCAGATCATAATACATAGTAGCCGTTTATTTTCTTTTGAAAGCAAAATCATGGTTTCCTCTCTAAATAACACTTCAGCAGGAACTGTGACATTTCCCAATCTCAGTTGCGCACATTTTGTCCTAAAGACTTCTTAGCTCTTTTACTGTCTTCAGTCCCTCTGCTTCACCTCTTGAGTGTGTAGTGGGATTCAGGCAGATAAGAGGGCGAAAGGACAATTCGTCAGAGAGCTCTGGGTCTCCATGAGGGTGGGCAGTCATCAGTCTTTCCCTGGTCCTTATCGTAGTTTGAATTTGGTCCAAGGAATAAGAGAGACACTTGGCACAGCTTCCCTGCCATACCCGCCAGCCAGGCTACTTCCCATAGAGCACGTTAGGCTTGGCCAAGTGAGATCTTCTTGTCAGTGCTTAATCCAGCCTCCCGTTGTTTGTCAGCCCTAGCTGGAGGCCTCACAGGAGTTCCTGTGTCCTTCCAGTTTGATACCAAGTTTAGACCAAGAAAAGTTCCTTTCTGTGGCACACCTGTAGTCTCTTACCTGTCTTTGGTGGTTGTACACGAACAGGCAGATATCCACAACTGCAGAACAAGTGTCATCGTCTCTCTTAAGAAGTTTCAGGGCAGCCTAAAGGCTCACCTTCACCCTACCAGGCCCCCTTTCATAGCCAGGATCTTAGGGATGGAGAAGAAAGATAAGTTCACCTCGTTCACTGAAGTCGCCCCTTGTTTTCAGGTTAGGAAACCCAGGTTCATGTCCAAGTCCCTGGGCAAGTAGCCAGCGTAACTGATTGACCTAAAACAAAGGATGGAGCCCTTGGAGCTCTGCATAGTGAAATGTATGATTTCTTAGTGGAAAACGAGAAAGCCACTGAGGAAGCCCAGAAGGGAACTTAGCATATACAGCCAGCTTTGGGGAAGGGGGAAGCAGTGCCAAGCAAGACAGGTGCTTTTCAGAGACACATGAATCTCTGTCACTCACGGATGTACTCTTTGCCCCAGGTGAAAGTGACGTCCTGCATTTCACCTCCACCACCACGTCGAAGAATCGCATCATCATAACCTGGCACCGGTACCGGCCCCCTGACTACAGGGATCTCATCAGCTTCACCGTTTACTACAAGGAAGCGTGAGTTTCTGCTTTGGGTGATGCCATTCTGTTGACAGGGCTACGAATGGGAGAGGCCAGTCTTTCGATCCTTGAATGGGCTGGCTGAATACAGGGGGTCAGCAGAGTCCCCAGGGAGAGCCACGCCAAACATCCCTACTTCATCCTCATGCACCCTCTCGGGCTGTCCCTGTGATGTCAGTCACAGCCAGTGACAGCCATGATTGGGAAAGTGTTAGCTCGAGGCCTGTCATTCTTTAGTGAGTGATTAGAGGTGTTTGAATAAAATAAACCCAAAATGGGGAAAGCTTGCTTTTTCCAGAATTAGGTCAGTCCAGACTCATGAACGATGATGGGGGACTTCACTGAAATATCGTTTCAGCCTCCTTACCTACTAGGCCTACTCCAGGAACACCCTGCAGGCACGTGGCTCTTTTGTATCATCTTATTCCTGTCTCTCTCTCTGTGTGCCTCTCCCAAGCTGTGGCCCTCTGCTCTAGGTCATGAGCCTTCCAAACAAGCGAAGAAAAGTGGAGAGAGAACAACCTTCATGTCTTGAGCCTTTTGTGACTTCTCCTAGACTCTGTTGGGAGCTTTTCCTGTGTGATCACATGACATTCCCCCATCTAAGCAGCCGAGGCTTATTCCTCCCGACTGCAGCCCTCTTTGATCTCCCTCTTCCTTCCTTTGCCTTCTATATCCAGGTGGCTACCCCGGTCTACTTAGCCATCCCCCTTACCCAGGTCCCATGTTAATCCCATAGTTCTCTCTCCCAGATGTGTGGCTTCCAAAGAGCAGCAACCAGAGGCACCTTATGACAGCATCTTGTACTCTTTCCTCCTGCCAGAGCTGGGGTCCTATGAATGAGAAATTGGGTACTTAGGATTACTAGGCTTTCAGAGTTTGTACACAGGGGAGCCCCTCATGATCTCCCATCCCATGACAGCAGACGGTGTTTTGTTCATGTTTGTTTCAGAAGCCAGCGGCCAGCAGCTGTCCAGCCCTTTTAGCTGATAAATATAAAATACCTACCCAACCATGCATCTGTGCGAAGTACTATATTCTCTGATAGTCACACCAGTGCTTTGGCAATGTCAGCTGGTAATTTCACTGAGGACTTGATGCTGGTTTCTAAGGCAATCTGGAAACTAAATATTTGAATATTATAAGATGCTTAAGCATCAGAATTGTTTATGAGCAATCTGAATTTTAGAAGCTACTTCTGTTTGTCTGTAGGAAAGTCATTTTTCTCCAACAGTTACCTTCTTTCAATATCTGATATTTGCATTAACTGACTATGCTTGTTTTTTTCTTGATGAAAAAATGCTGCAATCAGAAGAGAGAAAAATAGTTTTTGCATATGTTCTTAAGGAATAGTAACTATTGAATCCCAGTAACTGTTGAAGTGGCTCTTCCTGAGGCAGACCATTCAATTCTGTAATGCCCGACTGGGGAAGCCCAGAGTCCAGTCACTTCATTTCTTCTTCTATAAAAGTCTAATTGATTATTTGTTTATTTAGACCTCCCATTATAGAAAGTGTGACATGCTGGGCCTCTGGGGAAGATTTTTGAGGGTTTTGATGTCAGAGCCCCGAACTTTCTCTGAACTTAATTGTCTTTCAGACCCTTTAAGAATGTCACAGAGTATGATGGGCAGGATGCCTGCGGCTCCAACAGCTGGAACATGGTGGACGTGGACCTCCCGCCCAACAAGGACGTGGAGCCCGGCATCTTACTACATGGGCTGAAGCCCTGGACTCAGTACGCCGTTTACGTCAAGGCTGTGACCCTCACCATGGTGGAGAACGACCATATCCGTGGGGCCAAGAGTGAGATCTTGTACATTCGCACCAATGCTTCAGGTATCCATGCCTAGACAAGCCCCCAGCATCCACACTTCTTCGCAAGCTCACTGGCCTTGCTTGTACCAGGTGTCATTGTAGGGTTAGCAGTGAGCTATGCCTGTTGTCTTTCTTGTCAATAGGTAATACTGTGTCATATTCATTTCCCCACTGCTAACACATTAGGCTCTTCTGTGCCATTTTCTGGCCTCGGTACTATCTTCCATCATCTCCTGCTTTGTGCCTGTGAGCCCAGGTCCTCCAGGGTGCTGGGCTGGTTTCATTGGAAGGCCCAGCCTGGAAACAGCCGTCTTCAGCTGCCCTTGTTTCTTGTTTGTTTTGATGTTCAATCCTCCAGGAACTGAAACCATGCTGATCTGTGTTCCACTTAATTCATGTAGCTCACTGGTTTTCCATCTTCATTCTGGAGCTTATAGAGTTCCAAAGAGGTCAACAAAAGTTGAAAGCCTGCAGATGTAGTATGTTGTGGATATTCAGAGTATTCACTGATGATGAGGTTCCTCCTTCCTTTATCTTTAGGTTCTAAACCATCTCATTTCTCAACTCCAGATCTGGAAACAGTAAAAGCAAACGTTAATAGTTTCCAGTATATAAAAACTAGTTTAGAAGTAGGAAAATCCACTTCAGTTTTAAAGACACTGATTGTTTTAGTGTATTGGAGCTTCTATCACAAAAAAACAGTGTAGCCTGGGTGGCTTATAAGCAATAGAAATGTATTTCTCACAGTTCCAGAAGCCACAAAGTGCAAGATCAAGGCGCTGGCAGATTTGGTGTCTGGTGAGGGCCCACTCCCTGGCTCATAGATGGCTGTCTTTTCATTGTGTCCTTGCATGGTGGCAGGGATGCGGGAGCACTCTCCGGGGCCTCTCATAGAAGGGCCTGGATTCCATTCATGAGGGCTTCACTCCCATGACCCAATCACCTCCCAAAGGCCATGCCTCCTAATTCCATCCCCTTAGGGGTTAGGATTTTGACATGTGAGTTTTGGTAGGGGACACAGGCATTCACTCTATAGCACTGATAAACATTCTTTGATAATAGCCATTATTTTAGTGGGTAAGGTGTTTTTAAATACCCATAAGCGAGCACAAAATCAGTTTAAATGGCAGAGAGGAGGGTGAGAAGAAAATGCTGGTGGGGAAAACCTTTTGCTGTGCACGCCTGCTCCTTCCTCCACTCCTACCCCATCTCCATGACCCTGTAAGTGGCCACAGTCATGTCACTGGGTAAAGTGCTTATTGAAACAAAATTGGCACAGGCTTCTGATCCTGCGTGTGGGTTGGTGTAGCAGAGGTTCAGTGCAACAGAAGAAGTTTTTCATCTTAAAATTTGGAAGTAACCCCTGGCCAGCAATTCACTGTAGTGTTTGGGAAACATAGGAATATCTGCTTATTGTGACAGATTCTCAAGAAACCTGTTTCCTTTCCACAAAGATGGAAACCAGGCACTGTACCAATGAGTCAGTTCACTACGTTTTGTCCTCTGTCCTTACACGCAGCGGAGACAGACGAGAACTTGGTCCTCTGCCTCTGCTGTTTGGTGACACCTATCGTAAGAATGTATCTAGGAATGAGCTGTTTGTTTTTGAAGTACTTATTTTTGGAAACCCTAAAGTGGCTGAGCATCAAGTGGTTGTGTTTTCTCTGAAAACGCCAGTATTAGTCATAACCTTTTTCCAAAGTATCATCCCTTAAAGATGTTCAGAACCTTGTGTGTATCGTATAACCTGGAGCACCCTCAAGCTGTCCGCCCTTTTCAAGTTTTAAAAATGGCTTAGGCAAACATATTGCTTAAGTGATATCCAGTGAAGGTGTCTCCTGTGCTTTGAAAAACCATCAACATTGATGCTTTTTTGTGACCCAATAAGGACAAGATTTCAGTGGTTCTGGGATGCATTTGATCTTTATGCACACTTCAGCTCTGGGTTTCAGTTCAGGGGTCAGCATAAGTAAAGCTTGATCAGATAACTATGCTTTGCCTATAATCGGCATTCATTCTGCTGGTGACAGAGTCCTTTGCTCAAAATGAGGCTTCCATGCGTTTGCAGTTCTAAACTGCTTTTCAGAGTCATGCCTCAGTCATTGTACTGAAGGATGCCTGTGGAAATGGTGGACTTCCGTGTTCTTTGCATTGCCTCTCCCCCATCCCTCTTACACACAGCTGTGACATGGGCATGCACACTCCTTCACACACACAGACTCTCCAGGCCCCTTTCCACTTCCTCTTTCCATTTGGCTTCATGACATTTTTATCAGAGATTCAAAATCTCAGATGAAATCCAAGTCAGCCTGTTTTACCAGTTGTCGAAATTGCCGGAGTGCAGCACTGTGGAGAATGGCAGTTGTAATAAATGAGAAATACCAGGTGTTTGAATTAGCTGTAGATTTTCACATTGTCTCTTCTAACCCTGCTTGTGCCCCCGCAGCCTTTTTCCATTTACAACTCAGTAATGTTTGTTTTCACAGAGATTACCGGAGGAAATAGATTATAAAGGGAAATGTTGGCATTTATAGTAGTACTATTTCAAAATAAGGTTCACTTTTCACTTTGTATTTCATTGTTCATTGTTATTTTCTTATCCAGGTCAAACTGGCAGTTTCCTGTTGGCTTGCCAGAGTATCTGATAGCCTGACTCTTAAGTTCATTTCATTTTCTAGAATGTTCTTTGTTCCCCTCTCCAGTTCCTTCCATTCCCTTGGACGTTCTTTCAGCATCGAACTCCTCTTCTCAGTTAATCGTGAAGTGGAACCCTCCCTCTCTGCCCAACGGCAACCTGAGTTACTACATTGTGCGCTGGCAGCGGCAGCCTCAGGACGGCTACCTTTACCGGCACAATTACTGCTCCAAAGGTAAGGGTGCAGCAGCGGCCTGGACGGAGGGTGTGACCGTTCATTCCTGTGGTTGTAATGTGCCTGAGCCCTAATATTACACGTATCAGACAACAGTGTAGTTCTCCATTGGAAACCAGCTATCTTCTGGTTTTTTTTTTTTTTTTTTGAGACAGAGTCTCACTCTGTTGCCCAGGCTGGAGTGCAGTGGCACGATCATGGCTCACTGCAATTTCTGCCTCCCAGGTTCAAGCATTTCTCATTCCCCAGCATTCCGAGTAGCTGGGATTACAGGCATGCACCACCATGCCCAGCTAATTTTTGTATTTTTAGTAGAGACGGGGTTTCACCATGTTGCCCAGGCTGGTCTGAAACTCCTAACCTCAGGTGATTTGCCCGCCTCGGCCTCCCAAAGTGCTGGGATTATAGCCTTGAGCCACCACATCTGGCCGAGACCAGCTATCTTCTTGATTAAAGGTACTGAGAGCTATTATTTTTCCTTACAAGCATGTATAACGGCTTTCATTCCCACTCTTGTTTTGGCTTTTCTTTTCCGAGAAGACAAAATCCCCATCAGGAAGTATGCCGACGGCACCATCGACATTGAGGAGGTCACAGAGAACCCCAAGACTGAGGTGTGTGGTGGGGAGAAAGGGCCTTGCTGCGCCTGCCCCAAAACTGAAGCCGAGAAGCAGGCCGAGAAGGAGGAGGCTGAATACCGCAAAGTCTTTGAGAATTTCCTGCACAACTCCATCTTCGTGCCCAGGTACCCAGCTCATGTGAAATTTCAGTTGGCAAAACCCACTGCTCAGGCCGGTTCTGTTGCCTTTCTCCCCACCAGGTAGTGTGTAAGTCAGCAGCTGGGGGGTACAATACAGTAGCCACTGAGACGGAGCCGAAAAAGATGACAGGTTCGGTGAAGTGAGTCCCTGCGGAAGCCAGTCAGCCCTGAAGGGAACAGGGACCAGGGCTTGGGTTGCTGGGGCCACCGGTGTGACAGGTACTGCTGTCTCAGCCACAACCCCCCACAGAGA
Organism: Homo sapiens; assembly: GCF_000001405.40. Classification (NCBI taxonomy): domain Eukaryota; kingdom Metazoa; phylum Chordata; class Mammalia; order Primates; family Hominidae; genus Homo; species Homo sapiens. Next base: position 98,917,145 of record NC_000015.10, read on the forward strand.
GCAGGTGGGCACCCTGTGGTAGAGGCAGGGAGGGGAAACTCAAAGAGTATTGACAGCTGCTGCCTGGTGAGAGGAAAGGCCAGGATTTGGGTCCATCTCTGCCCTTCCTAATTATCTTTACTGCCTCTCTCAGCCTCACAGAGGAGGAGTGAAGCAAGAGGGAAAAAAGTCAGAGTCTGTGCTGGAAAGGGCCTGACTTCAAAACATAGCCAGGTGCCACAGGCATCCTGTACAAGTAAGTTTGGGAAGCAGTGTAGGGCGACAGCCTGCATTGGCTGTTTATTCCGTGGTTACTCTGTCTTTCAAAGCAACACAGCCCCTGCCCCAGGGACTCTGCTCCTCTGCTGTGGTCTTGGTTTCTGGGGAGTGGGGACAAAAGCAGAGGAAAGTAAACGTTCATAGCAGGACTGTTCATAGTAGCCAAATCTGGAAACCCAGTGTACATCAACAGGTGAGTGGCTCAATAAAATGGGCTCGAACCTTACAGTAGAATATTATTCAGCCATAAAAAGGGAGGAAATTTTGATCCATGTCACAACACAGATGAACCTTGAAGACACCATGCCAAGTGAAACAAGGCCAGACACAAAAGGACAGATAGTGTATGATTTTATGTTGTGTGAAATATATGGAATGGGCAAATGTATGGTGACAGAAAGTAGATTTGAATTTACCAGGGGATGGGGATAGAGTGTGGAGGGGAATGGGAATTATTCCATAATCGATAGGTTTTCTATTTGGAGTGATGAAAATTTTTGGAAATAGATAATGATGATAGCTGTACCATTCTGTGAATGCAATTAATGCCACTGAATTGTACCCTTAAAATGATTAAAATGGCAACTTTTTATCTTACATATATTTTGTTTTGTTTTAAAATTTTATTTTAACACAATAAAAAATGTTAAACAATTTTTTTTTCCTTTCAAAAAAGGATTAGCCCAGTAGTGTGTGGGAAAGGAGATGGAAGCACAGTGGTGCTCCCTGGCCCCCTCTTCCTGTAAGATTATAGTGCAGATTTTGGAAACGACCTCATGCCTGAAAACTAGGCCAAGGAGTTGGATTTAAATCAGCATGGCACCCATGAGCTGCCCATCCGCAGTCCCCACAGCACCCGCTGCCAGCACCCCACCCAGCACGTTCCCTTCCCCTCACTGCCCCCGACCCTGAGAGGAGCCTGTAGCGGCTATTTATTCCACAGTGACTCTGCTCTTACAGGCTTTCTTAGGCTGTAACAACAAATGGTTTTTAAAGTGATTTTTTTTTTCTGCCAAGTGACCTTTTTGATATTTGCAAAATGGTTGAAATAGCTATCTCACTTCGAGAAATCAGTAAAGTGGGAAATAAAGACTGGTTAGAACTGGAGGCATTATTTCCTTTTGAGAGTGCGCCTCTTCATTGCTTGGTGGCTTTTTTCTCCTCCCCTCCTCTCTCGAAGTTCAAACCACCAGAGCAGCCAGGCGCGGTGGCTCACGCCTGTAATCCCAGCACTTTGGGAGGCTGAGGTGGGTGGATCACAAGATCAGGCGTTCGAGACCAGCCGGGCATCATGGTGAAACCCTGTCTCTACTAAAGATACAAAAAATTAGCCAAGCGTGGTGGTGCACACCTGTAATCCCAGCTACTTGGGAAGCTGAGGCAGGATAATCGCTTGAACCCGGGAGGTGGAGGTTGCAGTGAGCTGAGATCGCACCGTTGCACTCCAGCCTGGACAACAGAACGAGACTCCATCTCAAGAAAAAAAAAACACCAGAGCTGTGAGAAGGGCCTGCGAGGCCCTCATGGCCTCTCCTAGCCTGCCCCGCTGGGGGAGTCTTCTGCCTGCTGGTGTGTGGCAGGGCTTTGAATGTGAACCTTGAGGTTCAGTGCCCAAGGCCATTTTCTTATCCAGGATATCTTTGTATCACTGGTGGTTCCTAGAAAGCAGAAAGTTTGAGGACTAGAAAGATTGCAAAGAGGTTTGGAAACTGGAACTCAATGAGGTTTGGTGACTTCTCTGACATCCTAATTAATTAAGAATCCGTTTGGGACCTGGTCCTCATTCCCACACACCGACTCTTTTCCCCCTCTTCTCCTCCATTGCGTTGCTTCTCGTGGTCCTTTCCACCTAGACCAGCAGAGGCTTAGCTCGTGGCAGCTCCTGCTGCCCGCCACACGGAAGGATGGATTTAGAGTGTCCCAAAGCAGGCTGGGCGGGAAGTTTGTTTTTCTCTATCATGGGCCCTTGGTTACGTTGCTGTCTTGTTCCACCAACCAGCAGGAGGTTCGGGTTGTGAGTCAAGGTTTTGGAAAGATTTTGCTGAAAGGCCCCTTGCTTTCAGTTGTAGTTACGAGGCAAGACCTGTTTTTTTCTCATCAGATGTGGAGCACAAGGTGAAGTGACGTGAAGGCAGAGCTGTGATTGACATGTTATTAATGCACAGCATTGGTGGTGTTGGGTTCAAAACAAGTTTCCTGTGTTCTACTGGAGAAGTGTGTTTATCTGTCCCCCGAGTCCTTCCTTTCTCTCTCCTAAGACAAGTCCAACTTGTGATTCTCTGTTTTCATGGATGTATATGAAGACAATATTTTGTCCGTGGTGAGAGGCCATAATTTTTAAGAAGTTAATATTTGTTTTTTTGCCTCCTACTGAGTTCTGGCAGAGTCCAGGTGAAGGAGTGTCCAGCAGAGAGAATGACTGAATCACAGAGGCTGGCTTTCTGTTTTACACGTGGATTGTCCGAAAATGGATTTGATTTCTTTCAGTTCATTCTGAGAACAATGTATTTGTGGGATAAAACCAGTTAAGTAAGATTTAGTTCCTTATAAATTGTCCAGAATATCCTGTATGTTTTGAAGTACAGTGGAAGCTAGAGTTTGTAAAACTTACTAGTTTCTGAAGTCAATATTCGCAGTAAATGCCTTTCTTTGACTACTGTCTTTATTTTGTAAATCACATAGTTTGGTTTAACTAGCTAAAATGTTGACAGATGTTGGAAAGTAAAAGGTTTTCCAATAGGGCTAGGTTGTATTATGGGATGGAGTGGGGAAAGTTGGCAGTAATGTTTGCTTTTGGGCGTACGATTTGGAAATGTAGTTGTTTACCAAAAAAAATGATGTATGGGCCATTGTGCTTCCCCTGTTCCTGCCTTCCAGATAATGTTCTGTGTCACCTCCCTCCCCTTGTCACTGCCTTGATGTCATCAGCATTGAGAGCTGTGCAGTCCCTAAAAGTGTGATGTTGATAAACAAGTAAACTACTGAGTATACTTCATGAAGTAATCCCAGTTAAATGGGGGTGGGCTGAGCCGGGAGAGGGGTTTTGACAGAATTATTTTGCGGTACATCAAACCTAAGCAACTTCTGACAGACACAAGTGTATGTTGTGTTGGTTTTGAAGGTAGGCAGGAAATTTGTTGATGATGTGTTGACAAAGATTTCCCTGACAGTAAATGTGGTTTCTTGTGTTTTTCCCTTCCGGGAAGCTTGGTTAGCTAGTTGGTTGGTTTGCAGAGTGTGAGGATTGTGGATGATCAGCCTCATGTCCTTACCCTTCCTCCCCCAGTATTGTGAAAGCAAATGTACACGCCCTGACCTTGTGGTTTTCTGCTTGTTGGAACGAGCATATCTGTGTTGGGCAGTTCATGCCTTCGGTAGGACCCCCGTGTGCCACTACACAAAGAAGGACCGTGTTTTCCTCAGGGGAATCCATGGGCTGAGAAGACTGGGGAGCCTCAGAGGCCCTTTCCCAAAGCCCTCTGCTCTCCCCTTCCAGGTTCTGACCTAAGGACCAGCCAGAAGCCTGCCGAGCGTCAGCCGAACCTGCAAGTGGCTTCTGGGCTGTTCCGTTCCCTGCGTGAGCTTTCCCTCTCTGCTGCTGCTGCCGCGCTCTCCCCTCCATGGCACTGATGAGCTTCCCACATTCTGGACTTTCTCATTTCCCTGGGCAGATAGAATTCATCCCATTTGCCCCCTGCCTTTTGCCTATTCCTAAGACCGGTGACCCCAGCCGAAGGCCTCAGCCCTGTTTTCTCACCATTCGTCCATGGCTGACCTGAGGGTTGCCCTTTCTCCATCTGGGTGCTCCTCTCGTATTCTGTTTGTTTTTGTTGGTTCCTGTAAACATTAGAATTCTGTTTTAAGGTTTCTAGGGGGAGCCACAAAGCCCATTTCTTCATATTTGACCAAAGCAGCAATTAGAGGGTCGCACCCTCATGCCTCATCTGCCCTTTTTGGTGAGAATGTCCTTTTTGTGATGACTTTATGCACTCCCTTTTGCTTTTCGGTTGTTCCAAGCCCCATTCAAATCCATGACGAGGACTCTGCTCTCTGATGGGCAGGACCTTGATGAGGCCACAGGTGCTCACTGCTGAGTGGGAGGAAGCCTGGGTGGGCTCCAGGGACCTGCAGAGTGTAGCAAGCACAGACGCTTGGGGTTGGGGGTGGGCTCGCAGCAGGAGCCCCCAAGAAGAGAGAGCCCTGGGGTCCGTGGAACTGCTTGCTGCTAGACTCCAGGCATCTTTATTTCCACAGTCAGAGCAAATCCAAGGAGCCACCACCACAGGCTTTCATATCCCTCTGCCCCAGGTCTCTGGGGCCTCTGCCACACACCTCACCTCTCCCCTCCTGCCCTAATAAATCTTAACCACAGCTGATAGGTTTGCCACCTTTAAGGCTTAACCATAAGGTCTGTGACCAGATGGCCTGAGTGTTCTGATGACACAGCCAGGACTGCCTGGCCAAGAGTGGCAGAGACACTATTTGCCTCTAGGTAAAATCGAAGAACCACTCTGAGAGCCGGGGGGTGGGGGTGAGAGTTTGTGTGCCCATTCTGACACTTGCAGAGTAGAGAAAGCAAGATAATGAGGAAGGACATCCCTGTGTTATTCATGAGTTCTTACCTAAGGGGGCTCAATAGCTCCTTCTATTCCACGGTTAAGATTCTTCTGTTACTCTTACTCAAGTCATAGAAAAGACAAAAGAGGTAAAAGTACTTAAAAGCCACATTTCTCTCCTCCTTGCAGACCTGAAAGGAAGCGGAGAGATGTCATGCAAGTGGCCAACACCACCATGTCCAGCCGAAGCAGGAACACCACGGCCGCAGACACCTACAACATCACCGACCCGGAAGAGCTGGAGACAGAGTACCCTTTCTTTGAGAGCAGAGTGGATAACAAGGAGAGAACTGTCATTTCTAACCTTCGGCCTTTCACATTGTACCGCATCGATATCCACAGCTGCAACCACGAGGCTGAGAAGCTGGGCTGCAGCGCCTCCAACTTCGTCTTTGCAAGGACTATGCCCGCAGGTATGGTATGATCCAGCTGGCCCCATTGCCACCTTCCTCACAACCTAGTGGAGAAGATGTGTTTTATGGACACAGGGTCTGACACCCAGGGCCATGACCCTTAGACCCAGGCCTGCCTGCTAAATAACGTGCAGTCATTGGCAGGTGGCGTGTAGACCAGCTGCCCAGGGAACAGAGCCCACGCTCTCCTAGTGACACCACTCCCAGCTTGGTCTCTCCATAGAACGTGCTGGGAGCAGGGAGCTGTCTGCAGGGTCCACCCTCCACCTGCTACTTGGTGCACATCGTGCATTCCTGCTGTCCTTTGCCCCCTCTTGCGCACAAATCGGGTTGCCCCCTCCTGAGCTCTCACATGTCCAGAGATGTCTCCAGTTAGTTGCCTTGATCCAGAGTAAACATTGCCCCTCAAGATCAACTCCTGGAGCAGCCTCTGGTCTTGCTTATTTAGTCTTTGGCTTTCCCTTGTTGTTAGACACTGCCTGTCACTCGGGCATTCATCCATCTTTGAAGGTGGGTGCCTTCAAAGACAGAACAAGAGCTGCCCTGTCCTTTAGTAGGCCTCAGGTGGTAGAAAGAGCACGGAGGTGACCAGAGTCTGGGGTGTGGGGTCCTCCTGGGTGCAGTTCTGGCACTGAAGTCCATTGTAGCGTGCCTTGAGGCAGTCGTCAGGCTCCCTGCCTCAGTTTCCTTAGCCCTCCTGGGAGAGACATAGCCAGCTAACCCCTCAAGTGCCTTTTCCGGCTGTAACTTTCCATGACCTTTGCTTATCACAACTTTGTTTACTGCTTCAAGAAGCAAAAGCAAGAAAGGAACCACTGCAAGGTCAGCCAGCCGCTGGAGGAGTTGGTGCCGGCAGGGAGGGCTTGCCCTGCTCTTAGCACCAGCCTCCTAGCAGCTTCCTCACAGGCCGGGCTCGGGGCCATCCTTCGTGCCTGCATAAAAATTGCAGTTGCCGCGTGTAGACGCGGGCCACGGAGGGTCCCTGTCACAGCCGGCAGGCCCCGTGTCCTGCTTCTGCTTACTCAGCATCTTTCCAGGGCTGCTTGTGTTTGATGGCTTCACAAAGCTTTCTTTTTTCAAGTGGTAGGCACAGGGTAGAAGAAAGTTACTTAGGTTGCCAAGATTTTCCTGCTGTGCTTGGCAGCAGGCTTTTTTTGTTGAGGGACTGGGGAGAAAGGAGGATCTTGTGGCATCTTGAGACGTGCAAGTTTTGTGGTTGGTGTATTCTGAACCCTCCGCTGTGTGAGCAGCCCGCTCAGGGGCAGTGTACGTGGCTGATCTCCACTGTCCTGCCCGCGTGGATGGGGGCGTTATTCTCAGTGTACGTGGCTGATCTCCACTGTCCTGCCCGTGTGGATGGGGGGGTTATTCTCAGGTCAGCCCAGTGTTGGCCTCCCTCCCTGGGAACCCAAATCCAACTTTGTCACCTGTTTAAATTGTACAGAAGGAGCAGATGACATTCCTGGGCCAGTGACCTGGGAGCCAAGGCCTGAAAACTCCATCTTTTTAAAGTGGCCGGAACCTGAGAATCCCAATGGATTGATTCTAATGTATGAAATAAAATACGGATCACAAGTTGAGGTAGGACTGGGGCAGTGGCCCGTGCCTGCATGTACTTCCATCCATTGACAGCATATGCTACCTGACTGCACAGGTTACCTCCTGGTTAGCATAGGACTTAAAACAATAAAATCCATGCCAAGTTGGTGAGGATTTGGGTCTTTCTACCCACTCTGTACTCTCCAAGGAGTACTGCATAGTGTGCAAAGAGCTAGGCTGCTTTTTGCCCTCAAGAAACGATTTCATTGTGTAAGATAACCTTGTGGCATAGGCCAGGTCAGTTCTAATAACTTTTAATCCTTCTGGAGTTCTTGGTTACAAAAATGTTTGGTTAAAGCTTTTGGGTGTGCTTAAAGCTACTTGAAGACGACCTTTTAAGATTTGATTTCTTTGTCTTTACTGACACTCAGGATCATTGTTAGGTGGGAGGTCAGATCAGGCAGCTGGAGTCCCCAGTGTGGTGAGTTTAGTTGGCAGGCCCCAGATTTCTCCTGCATTCATGGGAAATTGACATGTATGTTTTATTTCCCCAGGATCAGCGAGAATGTGTGTCCAGACAGGAATACAGGAAGTATGGAGGGGCCAAGCTAAACCGGCTAAACCCGGGGAACTACACAGCCCGGATTCAGGCCACATCTCTCTCTGGGAATGGGTCGTGGACAGATCCTGTGTTCTTCTATGTCCAGGCCAAAAGTAAGGCTTGTGGAGGGAGAAGAAACGTGGTAAAACTGAAAGCAGGGTGGTCCAGGATCAGGACAGCCCGAGTGTTCATGGCTGTCTTATTTTCTGTTAAAATGGAGTTGGCCAGCTTCCAGAAGGGTCATGCTAAGGTGCCGGCACATACCGGCACTGTGTGTGAAAGGTTGGGCAGGGCAGATGCCGAGCTTTGGGCTCCTACCTCATGTGGCAGGAAGGGAGAGGATCCGAGCCTCTCCTTTGAGGTTGTGTAACCACTGGAGAGCCAGAGGAGACAGTTGCTTTCAACCTGGCTTACATTCAAAGACTTTTTTTTTTTTTTAAACAAAAGACATTTTATAAAGCATTGAATTGACCATTCCACCTCCTACTTGGTCAGTAAAGCTAGATAGGGCTCGGATTCAGGGCTTGAAATCCTAAGGGGTGTAAGGAACTCCAGAGGTCATCTGGTTCAGCCTGCTACAGGGCAGGAATCTCCACGGTAGCATCGCAGACCCTCCACTGTCCTTTTAAAGTCCCCACATGCATTGGAAATGTACGGTGCTCACCCTTTGGTACAGAGACTGAGGAATGTGAGTTTATGCTCAAGTCATTAACAAGACAGAATTCTTAGGCTGTTCTGTGTGATGACTTCAGATTTTAAAACAAATTATAAGATGTATAAGCGCAACAAGGGCCACATACTTGTTGTTTGACCAACAAAACTTAGTATTTTGGTGAAATTAGTTCTGTGTTGAGTTTCTGTTATTTCTTATTTCAAACCCAGTTTTTAAGATTATTTCATGTTCATGGAATGGGATCAAATTTGGCATAACACATAAAATAGCAATGCAGCCTCACTTAGTGGTAACACTTTTGGGTCTAGTGGGCTGATCTTTCCTGGTGTCCACATTTCTGCTACTCACATCTGGAGTTACGTTAAAACATGCACTCCGCCGGGTGCAGTGGCTCACGCCTGTGATCCCAACACTTTGGGAGGCCAAGGTGGGTGGATCTCTTGAGGTCAGGAGTTTGAGACTAGCCTGGCCAACATGGGTGAAACCCCGTCTCTACTAAAAATAAAAAAATTAGTTGGGGGTGGTGGTACACGCCTGTAATCCCAGCTACTTGGGAGGTTGAGGCAAGAGAATCTCTTGAACCTGGGAGGCAGAGGTTGCAGTGAGCCAAGATATGTCACTGCACTCCAGCCTGGGTGACAGAGCAGAACTCCATCTCAAGAAAAAAGGAAAAAAAACAAAAAACAGCGCACTCAATAGGTCCAGCAATCTCACTTCTAGTATATTTCCAAAGGCAATGAAATAGGTATGTCAAACAGCTCTCTGCACTCCCATGTTCACTGCAGCACTATTCACAGTGGCCAAGACATGGAATCCACCTGATGTCCATCACTATGTATATGAATGGATAAAGAAAACCTGGTACATATACATTATAGAATACTATTCTACCATAAATTAGAAAAGAAAAATGTCGTTTGTGGCAACCTGGATGAACCTGGAGGACATGATGTTAAGTTAAATAAGCCAGACACAGAAAGAGAAATACCACATGATCTTTCTGATAATGCGGAATCTAAGAAGTTAAGCTCATGGAGAGTAGAATGGAGGTTACCAGGGGCTGAGGGTGAGGGAGCAGATTTGGGGAGATGTTAGTCAAAGGATACAAAATTTCAGTTAGATAGGAGGAATAAGTTCAATAGATATATTGTACATGATGACAGTAATAATGATGTATTCTTAAAAATTGCTGAGACAATAGATTTTAAGTGTTCTCACCACACACAAAAAAATGTGATGTAATACATATGTTAATTAGGCTCATTCAGCTGTTCTACAATGTATGCATATTTCAAAACAATATGTTGTACATGATAAATATACAATTTTTATTTGTATATTAAAATTAATTAATTTTAAAAAAGATCTCCAGTAGTCACCTGGTCAGCACCAGATATTCTAATCTGTTTGTGATATCTGAAAATCCTAATACAGACAGCAAAAGCAGGATGGGGTGAATAGAACTGCAAATCTTGAGCCAACATTTTATGTGCCTGGCACTGTTCCTGGGTTCAGGTTTTTAGGGGTAAATGGATGTTTAGGCAGATAATTTTGTCAATTAAAATAGTCTGAATTGTTCCATCTAGTCCAGTTAACCTAGTCTCACCAGTTAGTCTATGCCACCTTTGCAGCACCCAGAAGCTTCATAATATTCCTGCAGCCTTGTCCAGGGTAGTGGCTTGCTTGCTTTCTATCTTTCCCCAGCCTCCTTCCCTCCTCTTTTTCCTCCCCTCCATCTCCTAGAAACAGATCCTAGTTTGGGGGTCTGTGATCTGTGAAACAGCAACCTTGGCTTCTGGGGTTGAGTGAACTCAGCTTGTTTTGGTGACATGACATGTTCCTGTCTGGCTTTGCTGCTCCATTTTTAACCTTGTAAGTGCCAGGATGCCAGTGGGAAATCGGGAGTCCTTCTGATAGAATTTTTCCAGCAGATGTTATCACGTACTGCAGGGAAATTGGATCTGCGTGCTGGCCTTACTGTTGAGAAATTTTTCCTTATGTCAGACAAGACTCTGTCCTGCTACAGTTTAGTCTCATTTCCTCTTATTTAATCCTCAGAGGAGATGGAAGGTTTGGAAGCTTTCAGGCAACTGCCTTCCTTTTAGGAACTCCTTGTGTGCCTGAATACTATTAAATTACTCCTCAGACTTCTCTTTTCCAGATGAAATAATCTCAGGTCTTTTGGCCTTTTCTTGTAGCCCAATATCATACACCAGTTTCCTAGCCATTTAATCATTTTTGTTATTCTCTGGATGTGTTCCATTTTCTCCATGTCCCTGTTGAAATGTGAAACTCAAAAAGAACACAGTACAGCCTGACCAGTAGTATAAGTGATATAAACAGTGATATAAGGGCCTTGGGGGAAGAAAGAAAAATCTGCCAGCTTTCCGTTGGTAATGATCACCTCTGAGTGTTTTTAGGAATTGCAAAATGCTGGAGCCTGCATCCATTTTGAGAGCTACAATATCAATAAAAATATTTCTTTCTTCGATTAAAATACTTCTAATTTTAAAAATTAAAATAGCTGTAGTAGTCTTTAAAGAGTAACCATGATCACAGTTTTCCATGGCAAAATAATCATTGATAGGGGACTTACGATTAATGTTTACTTGATCCCCAGTGATTCCAGGCCCATTTCCACATAGACATCTGTATTTGGACGTCCCAGAGAGGTCTCAGATTCCTTGTGCCAAAACCAAAATCACAGTTGTTGCCCTCGAAAGGCCTCTTCTCTCCTTTGCTCCTTAGCTCAGTCAGTGGTCTTGTAATCCATTTGTTACCCAAGCCAGGAACCTCACAGCATCCTTCACTCTTCTTTCTGTTCAGCCACCCCTTTTTCATTCCAACCCAAGCCTCATGGATTCTGCCTCTTAAATGTCTCTGGAATCCAGCCCTCTGTCACCACCAGCACCGCCACAGCTCAGACTCCAGGTCACTCGCCTTGGGGGGATGGTATGAGCTGTCATACTGTATGAGCCTCATCCTGGGGCCATGACTTACCAAGCCAGATCATCTCTGTGAGTCTGCCTGGTGTAAAGACAAGGATCAGTGACTTCTTTGTAGGTCTGAACTGGGTAATGCAGAGCATGCCCTGGAGACATGGCATGTCCCCCCAATTCTCCAAGACATGACAGTGCCTTCTCTTACTGCCAGGTCCCTCCGTCTGTCCTCAGCACAGCCATTTCCCTGGAACGCGAATCTGATCAGTTCACTGCTGGGCCTGAAAGCTTTCGCTGACTCCTTTTAATCTGCAGAATGAGGGTGAAACTGCTTAGCTTGGGCTGGGTCCCTTGTGAGCTGGCCCTGACTTCTCTCCAGTATCATCATTTTCTAGGAAAGCCATTTCCCCACAACCCCCAAGGAAAGCATATCATAAACAAGTTTTCCCTTGGGGAGGTTCCCTCGACTCCCTTCTCTCCTCTCCCTTCCTCTCTGAATTGTTGCCATATGTGAAGTCCACTTTTCTAGTTGTCATGCTACCTGTTGACACTAATTTCCCATGTCCCACAGAATGTTCCAGGGTATGGGTCCATGTGCCTGGTGCCCAGCCTAGCATCTGCCATACAAGTGCTGGTTCTGATGATCAGTGGCTTCTGTGGTCTTAGACTTGTAGCAGGACTCAAATGTCTGCAGCGGCATTGGAAAGGGGTGCCGTCCAGTGTGTGCATGTGTGTGTGTGTTTATTTTAAATTGTCTGTGGAACTATCTCAAAGATTGAGGCCAGCAGGACTTGACCTATACATAGATGTAGACTGTACATAGATGTAAGAATTTCTATTCATTTTATGAAAATGAATAGAAATTTTCATTCTATTTATTAGAAATAGAATGCTTGCTGCTGCAAGCATTTGAGTCCTTTTACAGGTGTGAGATCACAAAGACCGCTTACCAACAGAACCAACACTTGTATGGCAGATGCTAGGCTGGGTACCGGGGACATGGACCAAACCCTGGAACATTCTGTGGAATGTGGGAAATTAGTGTCAAATGTATGCATTTTCACTAACAGTCATTAAACTGCGTACAAAGATTATTTTTCTTCAGTCTATCATTGAAACTATTGCACCAGAATATACTGTACTTTAAAAAATGAGTATATGCCTCAGTCTGCACATATTTACTCTTTTTTCAAATAATTGTTTGTTTGCCGTGTTCTATTTCTGACACCATTTACCTTCAGGAATTCTTACTGTATGATGGGGAGTAAACGAATATACAGGTATTTTTTTCATACTTCCAACTGAATGTGAAGAAATGAAATGAGCAAATTGTTCACCTGGTGATATTTTATCATTTCCTCCTCTTTGCTGCAGCAGGATATGAAAACTTCATCCATCTGATCATCGCTCTGCCCGTCGCTGTCCTGTTGATCGTGGGAGGGTTGGTGATTATGCTGTACGTCTTCCATAGAAAGAGGTCAGTGATGTGCAAAGTTATGACACTTTCTGTGGCTGAGTGGTTTGATGATTTGAATGTGAGTGAAGGTGATATTTTTGAAGATTTCAAGGAAATATTTTATGGACTGGAAAACCTGATTTTCCCATCAAATGTTCTTCCAGGAAAAGAGAACCTTTTCTAATGATTTTAACAACAGCCAAAATAATTTTTCGATGGTACAGACCTTCCCCTGGCTGGCTTTTCTGGTATACAGATACTGCTGCTGGTGCATACTTTTCCAAACGCGATGCGCTAGCCTTCCCAATCAAATAAGCCTTTTTATTTCCAATGAAGTAAAGAAACAGATGTTTCTTAAAAAGCGCTAATCTCAGGCTACTGAGGAAGCCAGAAGATGTGTTAGCAAATGTCTGCTGGCTCACCCAGGCCTGAATTGGGAGTGTAGACAAGAGCTGCTGTAGACAGTAAGCTCTCCCCATTCTGTTCTGATACCGTGTGAGAGAGGATAAATGAAACTGTTGTAGCGAAGATGAAAGTATATACAGGAATGTATGGAGGTGGGGTTTTGTTAACGTGAATTTAATCTTTTTGACAGAAATAACAGCAGGCTGGGGAATGGAGTGCTGTATGCCTCTGTGAACCCGGAGTACTTCAGCGCTGCTGATGGTAAGAGTCCGGGCCACCAGCACTGCCAGCGTGCAGGGCAGGTAGATCGGGAGCTTTCAGGAGGGTTGCTAATTTGGGAAAGGAAGGAGGTTTGCATTATTTTGAGCTACCTTTGGCCTTGGATCTGTCTTCATTAATATTTCTTTCTTTCTTTTTTTTTTTAATCAAAGTTTTTAGCAGTTCAGTGAATATGTCAAAACTTGTGGGACTGTATGGGGTGCCCCAAGGAAACACAGGCTTTAGAGATGAATGTGGCCAGCGCAGTAATCAATTTATTTAATTGCTTGAGATGTTATGCTAGAATGAAAACAGCTTTTTAATTGTTAACATCTAGTCAGAGGATATGCTGCAGCTGACAAAACAGTCCTTTTAAACTAGTTTCAGCTTGAGTATCATCTCATTATAATTGTCTTTGATGAATTACAGCTCTGCTTTTTTTTTTATCATGGAATTTTTCTGTCATTCCCTTCCGACTAGGGTCATACGCTCGTGGCTCATTCACATTCCCCTTGGTAATAACTAATGAGGGCCATTCAGTTAAGTGGCTGGGAAGGTCTGACATGGAAGTTGGGTGATCCTCAATGGTTATTTCCTTTTTTGCTCTTTCTAGCATTTTTATATCCAGACCTTTTGAGTGAGTCGGATTAGGGTGAGGGGTTGGTCACTGAGTCCAGTGATACTAGGACCCTTAACTGGCACTTTGCTAGGGGCTTTTACAAACACCATCCCATTTGTTTCTTAAACCCCTGCAATGTGCGTTTTCTTAATGCCCATCTGCAGGTGAGGAAATGAACTCTGGGAAAAAACTTGTGCAGGCTCACATGGTTAGACAGTTGAGAAGTCAGGAGGAGAATGGAATCACTGTGGAAAGGGCTGTGAGGTCCCCCGGGCAGGCAAGGAAACAGCCCTCAGGAGGGGCTGGACCGGATTCATCAAATGAATAATAAATAAGTGCATGATGTTGAGTGAGTACATTTAGAAAAAGTGTTTGCTGTCTTCTTGCCTCGGGAGAAGTGAAAGTAGATGCAGGAGATGTGAAATAAAGAGACATGATTATTCTAATTATTGTGATCAAATAAGAAAACATAAGAAAATACTTTAATAATGTGAAAACACCGTTATACTATGTAGGGTTTTACTATGGTTTCTTTAATAATTTCTAATTCAGTTTATAGTAAAGTCAATCAAAAGCAGCCTCCTCTGAATGGGAATCAGGTGCAGAATAATGACTTTATTTCTATCTACATAAAGGTCTCACAAAGTTGGTTTTTTAATAGTAATATATATATACATACTTCTGTAGTGTGTGTATATAAGGCAGAGAGAACATTCTGGACGGATGCACACCACACTTACAAGAGTTGTTACTTGTGGAGAGGATCTTTCCCTTTAAAAAAAAAAAAAAAAAAAAAGCCAGATGTGGTCGAAGGCACCTGTAGTCCCAGCTACTCGGGAGACTGAGGTGAAAGGATTACCTGAGCCCAAGAGCTGCAGTGAGCTAGAATCCCACCACTGCACTACAGCCTATAGAGCGAGACTGGCTCTTAAAATCCAGCAAGAAGATAGATATGCATTGTTTGTATGAATAATAGCTTCTAAAAAGAAAATCAGTAAGGAAGGGAGTCATCCCAGATGATGGAATTGATAGAACAAGGCAAGACCACTTTCTCCCTCTGTGAGGGTGGACTGTGACTCTACGAGAGAAGCTATTCTGCTTTGAAATGCGGCACTAGAGGTTGGTGTGTGTAGCTTTTGACTGTGAAGTGTCCAGGAAGAGAAAGCATCAATACAACAAATTCAGATTCTCAGGGCTCTCATGGTGACTTGAATTCACATTTTGTGTCCTTCTAGAATGCTTTCATGATACGTCTTGGTACTTCATTACAACAAAAACAAACTTATTGCCACCCAGGTCGACAGGTGGGAACAGTGTCACCTTATTTGAACTTAATTTATTCGGCCTTTGAGAAGCACTTATAGCCAGTTTCCTCGAGGGGCAACAAAATGACATTGCAGTTCAAAAGTGCTTTAAAAACTTCTTTTTCCCAAAGCTATAATCTGCATGTCACCATTCTCCAGAGTACATTGAAAATCCCCTACAGGAAAGTGCTGATAACATTGTGCACAGAAACCGCTCCTGGCTGGTGGCACTGGGGACGCCTGCTTAAAGTCGGAGCCGTTGGGTTGAATCGAGAGAAAAGGATTGAGCGTATTGACTTCAGGGACCTCCCAGGGAATGAATGTGATTGGTTTCAACTCCATGTTTTATGGCAGGCTAAACAGTTAATTCTGATTAAAAGCAAGCCTGGATTCTCAGAGATAAATGGCTGGAGACAGTGAACTCTTTACACTTTCTGAGGCGCATTGTGAAGAGCCTTATCTCCTGGGTTGTCTTGCATACTTACTCTCCTCTGACAAGCACCCGCCTCTTCTTCAGGGGTGCAAGCCACCTATGCCAGCTGGAGGGCAGAGTTCCATTCGTGAAACCCTTGAAACATACGTACTATGAAATACAAAAATGTGTAGGAAAGAAAACAAGATTATTAATGAAGTTCATATTGGACACCCCTCAGAGGTCTAAAATGATGGTGCCCCTCCTGGGCCTAATTTATAATAAACATCTCTCCTTTGAGACATCACTTAAAGGTTGATAGTTGGGATATGGAGATGTTAGGATACAGTTGTCAGCCTCTCACATCCAGCCACAGGCCCAGGGTCAGCATCTGAAAGCATGAAAGCAAAAACAGGCACCTTCTCCACCTCCTTTCTGAGCCAGGACCACCTCCTTCCCACAGTCAGTGTGTGGTAGAGCCTGGTGGCAGGTCCCGTCAGGCAAGGACATTAGCACACAGCGTCAGAGGAATTACTGACATTTCATATGGATCTTATGGAACAGGTTGATTTTATTTTCGTTTTTACCCTACCCATTTGGAGGTGTAGAATTGAGCCTGTGTTTGGTTTTGTTTTCTTTCTTTCCAACCTTTTTCCTTTCTTTCTCTTTGTTTTGCCTTCCTTCCTGCATAGAAATATTTATTTATTCATTCATTCATTTTTTTGAGACAGGTTCTCACTCTGTTGCCCAGGCTGGAGTGCAGTGGTGCAGTCTCAGCTCCCAGTAGCCTCAACCTCCTGGGCTCAGGCGATTCTCCTGCCTCAGCCCCCTGAGTAGCTGGGATTCCAGGTGTGTGCCATCACACCTGGCTAATTTTTTAATAGAGACAGTGTTTTGCCATGTTGCCCAGGCTGGTCTCAAATTCCTGGGCTCAAGCGATCCTCCCAACTTGGCCTACGATTACAGGCATGAGCCACCGCACACGGCCCATTTATTTTCTTAAACCAGATCGAATCTAAACAGAAACAGAAACTGGAGAAGAAATCCTATTCAGGCTTGGTATCTACTGTGCATTCCTCCCAAATCTCTACCCATTGGTCAAGGTCCCTGAGTTCACAGAGCCCAGGCCAGAGCCCTGGAAACGCCTCTGCCCGTCCGCTGCCTAATTGCCTGTCCACGCTGGGCACCACCGGGTCTCTCCCTCAGTCTCAGAGCTCAGTTGCTTCTGCACCTCATCAGGGATCCAGCCATCAAAGCCAAGGCTGGGGGACACTTGGACTAGAGTAATCCTACCAATAATGCAGTTCAGCTTTGTAACCGCAAATTTTCTAGTAGCCGTATTTTTTAAAAGTAAAAAGAAACAGATCAAATGCATTTTAATAGTTTTTTAGTTCCAATAATACGTTTCGTGTAACCCAGTATATCCAAAATATCCATTTTAACATGGAGTCAGTATTAAAGTTACCTAAATATTTCACTTTTTTTTTTTTTTTTGTCTAATCTTTGAAATCCCATGTGCATGTCTCAAATTGGACTGGCCACATGGAATGCTCAGGAGTCCCATGTAGGGACCAGCTGCCATGTTAGATAGCCCAGGCATAGCATCTGTGTTGAGGGCCCTGACACCTCTTTTGGATTCATCCAAGAAGTAGGACCTTACGTGCACCATCATCACCTCTCATATGTGACTCTGGCCTTTTTCCCGACCCAGCATAAGAACTCTTCCCTCTCCCTACTACTCTCCTCCTTTTTACATTTGCGTTTTAATCTGTTGGTGAAGATGGGTAAAATCCTGCTTGACCATTTCATTCAGTTTCTCAATCCCCTGTGGTTAATTTGTTTTTTTCAAAAATGTGTTTTTATGTGATGAAAAGAAATTTTTAAAAACCAACTGCTTTCTTTCCTATACTAGACTTCCTTGCTTTGTTCTGGTCCTTCTATCTGTTAGTATCCTCAAATTATCTTGAAATCCTCAGAGATCTGAAATACTAGTACTGACTGTACAGTTTTCTTACTCAAATCTATAGCATGTGGAAAGTTGACATCAAGCCATGCCATCGCCTCCTGGTATTCTCTGTGGGTTTAAGGAAGCAGCATCTTATATTCTTTGGCTTAGAGTTCCCCCAAAGCACGTTCTGTCTAAGGGCTTGTTTCTGTACCTGCTTTAATTACGGTTTCTTCTCCAGTGTACGTTCCTGATGAGTGGGAGGTGGCTCGGGAGAAGATCACCATGAGCCGGGAACTTGGGCAGGGGTCGTTTGGGATGGTCTATGAAGGAGTTGCCAAGGGTGTGGTGAAAGATGAACCTGAAACCAGAGTGGCCATTAAAACAGTGAACGAGGCCGCAAGCATGCGTGAGAGGATTGAGTTTCTCAACGAAGCTTCTGTGATGAAGGAGTTCAATTGTCACCATGTGGTAAGAGAAAGTTCCTGAAAAGCCAAAATGCAGCACAGGGAGAGGGTATCACACAAGCCTCCCAGTATGTTCTTGGCTGCATGTACCCGTGGGTTTGGTGTCTTGCCTTTGCCTTCTGGATAGTTACCCCATTACCTCACTGCTACCTTCAGACCCCTGTGCTCAGACCAGGCCGCAGCACCACAGAGACAGTTCCAGACAACACAGGCATCAGCAAGGGCCACCTGACCCTCTGAGTCTTTCTCTTTTTGATTCCTCCCAGGTGCGATTGCTGGGTGTGGTGTCCCAAGGCCAGCCAACACTGGTCATCATGGAACTGATGACACGGGGCGATCTCAAAAGTTATCTCCGGTCTCTGAGGCCAGAAATGGAGGTCAGTTTTCATTTCCACCGGTATTGCATGTTGCCTGGCCTGCTCTCTTTTCCTTTATAATCTCCCTGCAAGGAAATGCTGTGTCTTTAAATCAGTTTACTTTCCAGCATCCAGTGTTTCTTACTGCATGCTCAGTTGTAGGTCATTTATGCAAAGGATTTCCCCAACTAGAGTCAGACTCTGATCTTCGTGAGGGGAACTTCCTGTTCCTTGGATCCCCTCTGCTAAGCCCCTCTGTGCCTTTGTTCCTGCATTCCCTCCACCCCCAGTCCCCTCCCCACATCAGTGTCCACCTGCCAAGCCAGGCCAGCGCCACTCCCTCCCCGAAGCTTTCCTGCCCCACTCCAGTAGCTATCTTCTCTGCTAACTTCTCGATGCGCTTGACTCACATCCTCGTATGTGTTCTCTCTCGTTATGTTGTGTTGTGCTGTTGTTGGAGTGTGTCCCCCCTCCACCCCGTTGTGTTTAGCTTTTCATCTCAGTCCAAGTGTGTGGCTCAGGGCCGCATTTGTGGCAGGCACTCTGTCAATAAATGTATGTTACAGTTCAAGGTTAAGCTGCCTGGATTCTTGCCCTTGCATCTGGGAAGTTGCTGGGTGATTTCCCACCCAGCTCCGTGCGCAAGATGTGCACTCATTCATAAACCCCCTCCCCACACACAGTCCCCTTCCCCGGCATTGTTGGCGGTCCTTGTCTTTGCCACTGGGAATCTGGTTTCCTCAGACTCTACGTCCACGTTTCAGGATTGATCCAGAGTCAGTGTCCTGCTTACGCTTTTGAATGAATGATCCCACCTCAGCTGCAGGATTTCTGCTTAGTTTCCTAAAAATTTCACTTTGGGTTATGAGCTTCCAATTCTAAACCTGCTAAAGTCCTATGCAATTTTTCATTAAAAGTCACCGTGGTGTCTCCCCCCTCTGTAGTATTAACCCACAGGCCAGCTTTTTAACATATGCGGGCATGACTTTTGAGTAATTAATTCTACAAATAAACTGGGAGATAAATGCTGAGACATAAAGCCAGCAAGAACTGAGTTTTCATTTGGTTGCCTCCGTGGGTCTGAAGTCTTTGACCCTTACTTTGCTGCTTACTGGGTAAGCAGTGTGTCTGCTTTTATTCCTTAGAAGCAGTGACTTCCCCTTCTCGGCCCCTTTGGAAATTCTTTTGCTGTTCTTCATTTGGGCTTAATTTTTTTTTTTTTTTAATGTTCTTTGAATCGGCAACTTAATCATCTCCCAAGTGACAGTTTCTTAATTTTAGTTCCAAACACCTGTTCACATATGACTTCATGTATTTGCAGCACATGGTGTTTGGGGCCAAGTGTGGACTGGGGCTTCAAGCAGGATGGTTTACAAAACTCCCACCCTCTGTTCTGCCAAGCATTGGTCCCCAGCACCCCTGGGTGTTAGTGCCTCTTCCTGGTTCACTCACTCACTTTCTCTGGCCCTCTCTGTGTCTCTGTCACTCTCTTTCTTTCGAGATGGAGTTTTGCTCTGTTGCCCAGGCTGGGGTGCAGTGGCATGATCTCAGCTCACTGCAACCTCCACCACCTGGGTTCAAGCGATTCTCCTGCCTCAGTCTCCCAAGTAGCTGGGATTACAGGTGTGTACCACCACGCCCACCTAATTTTTGTATTTTTAGTAGAGACGGGGTTTCACCATGTTGGCCAGGCTGGTCTTGAACTCCTGACCTCAGGTGATCCACCCACCTCAGCCTCCCAAAGTGCTGGGATTACAGGTGTGAGCCGCTGCGCCTGGCCCTTGGTTCACTTTAATACACAAAACAGCATGAAGGAGAAAAGCTTGATGAAATAGGTGACTGGAGATCTGGCAGAGTATTTCTTGCCAGCATCGATTGAGGCACCTCTGAAAAGTCCAAAACTCACTCCCTTCCTCCCCAGTTTCAGGCACAGAATAAAAATTCAGAACACATGGCCTTGGTCCTGGCTCTGCGGCTGGCTGCCTGTGGTCCTCAGACAGCCGCTGCAGGTTCCTGGGCCTCAGTGTCCTCAATATAAAATAAGAGGGTGGGACAAGATTACTGAAGTCCCTTTCAGAACTAAAATTCACCTTTAGATTGGTCAGATTTAAACTTTTTCTTTCTAGCTCATGTCAAGTATTAAAATGTGTGCACTTACCCTGCAGTTTCATTATATTCAACCTGCT
Organism: Homo sapiens; assembly: GCF_000001405.40. Classification (NCBI taxonomy): domain Eukaryota; kingdom Metazoa; phylum Chordata; class Mammalia; order Primates; family Hominidae; genus Homo; species Homo sapiens. The sequence continues at coordinate 98,937,592 of NC_000015.10, forward strand.
CCCCCGACCAAGTTTCACTTACGTATCTCACTACGAGTAGGTGTATATGTATACTTGTCTTAAATAGCTCTAACCAAATTAAAGGAAAGAATGGCAGTGTAACACCATGAACTGACAAAATTTCAGCCCTCTGTCTTTCTCCATGCTTAAAGTTGAGTGCTTTTGTTGATTCTGTTGCTCACGGCAATTATAAATGACCACTTCATAACACATATAGGTCATACTGTAATATTTAAGAATTGTGAGCATAAACTTTACATTTCATGTGCATATTTCCTCATGCATCACACGTATCTAAAGCCCTGAAAAGTAGTGATTTGGACTTACCCCCAGTGACTTAATGTTGCTTCCCCAGATAACCACGTGATAAGTGTTTTAAGTCACCAAGAGACAGCTTTGACAGCCTGTTCAGAATTCAAAGGTTTGTGTCACCAAGTGTAGAGAACCAACCCAGAAGTACCGAGGAGTTGTTATAATGATTCCAAATACTAGCTTTCAGTAGAAACTAGCACCTCACAGGGCAGCAGCCAGCATCCACTGGGCATTGACTATGTGCCACGCACCACTGGGCACTTTCTGTGCGTGGCCCCAGGTCATCTTCTCGTCAGTGAAACCACTGTGATACCCCATGTGGAAAAGCCTGGGCATGCTCAGCTGGTGGCCGGCCTGCAAGTGTGGGACCTGTCAGAGCCCTATGGCTTTGCAGTGCTGTGTGAGATGCTTTGTGGTCAAGAAAACCAAGGTGTAGAGTCTGTTGCACTTGTATATGCAAAAGTAAAAGGTAACATTAAAATTAGGGACTAGTGATTGTTTTAGGATGGAGAGACTTGGGCATGTGTTTTATATAAAACTTTTTTCTAAATGGATGTATTATTTAAGGGTAATTCTTTTTAATTCCAAAGCCAGCACGTTGCTGTCCTCTGCAAAGAGGAATGCTTATCCCTGTTACTTATTCCTGGTTTCCTCCAAGACTAGTTTCAGCTGGACTTCAGTTGCCAAGGACTTGTCTTCCGTAATGCCGACAGAAAATAATAATGCCACATTGTAAGGTGAAAACAGTAATCCTGGTATTTTTGTATTTTAGAAGAAGGTTGAAGGGAAAGAAAAGGATTAAATAATTTATAACGATGCTCTTATGGGAAATAAAATATACCATGTCCATTTGGAAACACATTTGCTTACTTCCACACAGCCTTTGTAACGTGCTCTCCTTCCTCTTACCTGTACTTCGGTGATGGAAATAAAAGGAACATATAAACAAATAGGAATTTGAGTAACTGAGAATCCTTACTACCAAAAATGGCTTGTTTCACTTTAAAAAAATGTTGCCCTACCCAAAATAGAAAATGTTGGTCCTAAAGAGTGCAAATTGGTGTTTCCCTCACCAGCTCTGATGTGGTCAGGGAGCAAGTGCAAATAAGCTTGCGGGGAGCAAGCAGGTGCCATGCTCTCCATGATGGTTTGTTCCTTCCGAGCAAGTCCTGGTTTCTTAGCATAAACAACCCACGGTGCCCAGATTGAACAAAGATGATATGCAAACCTCGAAAGAAATTGGCATGGAAAAAAAAAATCCAAAATTCTCATGTGAATTTTTTTAAATCTCCAACAGAATAATCCAGTCCTAGCACCTCCAAGCCTGAGCAAGATGATTCAGATGGCCGGAGAGATTGCAGACGGCATGGCATACCTCAACGCCAATAAGTTCGTCCACAGAGACCTTGCTGCCCGGAATTGCATGGTAGCCGAAGATTTCACAGTCAAAATCGGAGGTGTGTCCTTAGCTTTCCAGGTCTGGGCAAGAACTAAACTCAGGTGTTTTGAGGACTTTGTTGGCATTAGTCTGCCCCTGGAGAGGTTTTCTAGTGTGTCCCTTGAGTGCACGGACTCCTTCTTGGGAATGATGTGATTGTCTCCAGTTGATGGTCACAAACCTGGCACGGTCGGTCCCAATGCTGATAGCTCATGGACATGGTGGTTCAGATACTGGGCACGGTCCCTGAGGCTGGCTCTCCAGACGTTTGAGGCATTTCTTGGTAGAACACCTCTTAGCATTGGTTACAGAAATAATTAAGACAATGTCTTCAGGAGATTTTGACTTGGGAATAAAACTCACTGTCCAACCTTGCATTCATCCCTCCAATTTTCCTAGCTTTTAAGGAGCATTGCTCCCCTTCCAGGGACCCACATTGGTTTCTAAGAGGCAAGCTGCCCTAATGACGAAGCCTCTGCACGGAGCAGGAGCAGTGGCAGGAGCTGGCATGGCAGTCCCTTAGGTGAGGGACGATCACTGCTCACTGGGTTTCACGGCTGGGGCTGGCCAGCCTCCAAGCTCTCGACCACTCTCTCACAACACTTACTGTCCTGCTCTTAGCTCACCAGCCTACTGGTTAGACTCCCTTGTTGCCACCACCCACTGTCACACCAGAAAAAAGGGTTGGATTGAATTTCTGAGCAATGGTTAAAACCCACTTCAGCCTTTAGGTTTGTGTTTTTACTTCGGTCTTTTAATCTGCCTAATAAAAACACACATAACATCAGGGCTGCTCAGGAAACCACCTGCTTTTACCAGGATTCTCATCTTCCCACTATGATACAATGATAGTTTAGAAAAATACCAAATATTTATCCTGAGAAACTGCAGGGGAGATTTAACACCCAAAAGAAGCTATTTCAAATGGACCTCTGTGTCTAGTTCTTGAACTGCCTTTTCTGGAAGTGTTCACCTTCCTTTAGTAACATATTTTTTTCCTTTAGTAGTGATGTTTTAATGAAATGTTTTAGCCCCTTTGGTGAACAATGAGAATCTTTTAGAGAACGGTTTCTTTTTTTGAGACAGAGTTTTGCTCTTGTTTTCCAAGCTGGAGTGCAGTGGCACAATCTTGGCTCACCACAACCTCCACCTCCCAGGTTCAAGTGATTCTCCTGCCTCAGCCTCCTGACTAGTTGGGATTACAGGCGCGTGCCACCACACCCAGCTGATTTTTTATATTTTTAGTAGAAACAGGTTTTCATCATGTTAGCCAGGATGGTCTTGAACTCCTGACCTCAGGTGATCCACGCACCTCGGCCTCCCAAAGTGCTGAGATTACAGGCGTGAGCCACCACACCCAGCTGAGAATGGTTTCTAAAGTAGGGGTGAGTGTCTTTCTTTTTACTCTGTAGGAGCTAGAGGTATTGAAATGGAACCATATCCCAGAGCCCACATCCCTCCGTCATCAGAGTTCCTCATTCAGGATCCACCAGTGTGTCCCTAGGTTTGGCACGTTGAGACGTCCTCACGTTTGGTGCTCTGTGAAGCTGGGCAGCCCTCAGAGAGGCAAAGAAGTCCCAAGAGGCCGTCCTGCCTCAGGGCTCTCAGGAAAGAGCCGCCCGCGTCCCTGGCTGGGCTTCCTTGGTGCACCCAGCTCATTTCTCCTTCCCTCTCTGTAGAACTCACATTGTCCCCGTGGAAATGCCAGCCAGCTCCCCTTTCCCAGTGCAGGGGGGAGCCAGGTGGGCCTGAGGTGGGCCAGTTCTGCCGCTAATGGGTGAGAGACTTGGGCCAGGTGCCTTACATCCGGGAGCCTCAGTTTCCTCACCTCGGAAATAGGGTGATAATGTAACAGACCCCATGGGGTTATGAGAAGGACTTGGTGCAGGAAAGCAGCAGCACGTGCCTGGCACAGGGCAGGGCCTCTCCAGATGGCAGTTCCTGTCTGTGTCTTATTCCCACCCTCCGGGCACATGGGGGGAACTCAGTTTCTCCCCACTGCGCGTCACCCTGGGAGAGGTGTTTTTTGTGCCAATTGCCATTTTAAATCCAAATCAGCAGGGATCATGTTTGCTGTTCAACCATGTGGCATATTTATAGTGATTTTTTTTGTAATCATGGTTTTTCTTTCTGGAATTTCAAGTTTTTCATTTGTGCTGAGGAAGGTCGTTTGTGTTTTTTAATAGGATTCCTTCTTTTCCACCTTGTGCAAGTAAAGGCAAATCCCCTATTTGCATGTCACTGTATTAATTCACAGATAACACTTTCACACTTCATTTTTATTCTTCTCAAGGGCTCAAGATGTTTTCCCAATGCCCAGCGTCTCATGGATGACAAATATGACAAGTAATTTTACCAGAGGCAGTTTGAGGGCTCTTAGCATAGCACAAGTAAATTATGTTGGTTCAAGTCCAAGGAACTTTGTTCTCTTTGTGTTTGCTTTTGTAGCCTTACCTCTTTGGGGCATGAGTTAGAGACATACATGAGCATTTTAAAGTGGAGCAGCCCTTTCTCCTGGGAAGGAGAACGGAAGAGTCCACTTAAGAAAAGGTTGTATGATTGAGTGCAAAATCAAAATCTGACAAAGCAGCAATAATTTAGGATTATAAAGCGAGCCTGCCATCAAACATAATTATGTGGCATCTTCTGGAGACATGGAAAATGGAAGAAATTTTCAAAAATGAGTGGGAGGATTATGTTGAAAAACAGTATTGAGTAATAGCTTCAGGGGCCTCGTAAATAGCATCTTTTCGGCATCTTACTGGGTACTTTTGTCATCATGAATTGTTACCCTGAATATTTTCCCCCTTATTAAGCAGTGAAATTATTTACTTTTCTCCAGTGGTGGGGCAGTGCTACCAAGTTAAGTAAGCATCTGTACTCTCCTGTTTATTTGGTCAGGTTTTAAAACCATGTGTAAATGACCAGTGGTCTCTGCAGTACTATATATTTTCTTAAATTGTGGGACTCTAATTTTTACACCGCTTCCTTTTTTCTTATTTTTATTTTCAAGACAGGTTCTCACTCTGTCACCCAAGCTGGAGTGCAGTGTTGTGATCATGGCTCACTGCAGCCTCAACCTCCAGGGCTCAAGTGATTCTTCCACCTTAGCCTCCCAAGTACCTAGGAACACAGGCGCACACCACCACTCACAACTGACTAATTTTTAAAATTTTTTATACAGACAGGGTCTTGCTGTGTTGCCCAGGCTGATCTTGAATTCCTGGGCACAGGCGATCTTCCTGTCGTGGCCTCCCAAAGTGCTGGGATTACAGGCGTTGAGTCACTGCGCTCAGCCTGCCTCTCATTTAAATGCAATAAGGGCATTAACTTCCTAAGGGAATCAAATTGTAAATATATTAAAAGTGGAGATTGCTTGGTATTTGCTCATCATGTGATTAATCATCCCTTACTGTCTCCACCTTATAAAATTGCAAACCCTAATATTTGGCCACCTTAAAGTGGGACGTGTCTGTGTCTTGCCTTGCGTCTCTCCACACATAATGAGTGTAGGGTCCTCTGCTGTGACAGCAGTGGTGCCTGCTCCAGCGTGTGACTCTGCGCCCTCTCTTCCCTTACAGATTTTGGTATGACGCGAGATATCTATGAGACAGACTATTACCGGAAAGGAGGGAAAGGGCTGCTGCCCGTGCGCTGGATGTCTCCTGAGTCCCTCAAGGATGGAGTCTTCACCACTTACTCGGACGTCTGGTATGAGAACCTTTACTGCATTGCCAGCCTGGAGCCCCCAGCCTCTGCACTTTCCACCAGCTCAGTCTCTAGGGCTTTATCTTTCTCTGTTCATTGTTACCCGTTGCCAGCTTTAGCTCAGTGTTGTGTGAGCCACACTTCTTCATCATTGAGGTGTTCCTGTTGTCAGTGGGCTAGCTAAGGGCAGAAGGGCATTCGTGGGATTTTAAAGAATTTATGGGACCAACATTCTTTCCGCCTTCAGCAGATACCGATTATGTTTCCAGGAGGTGGGATGTGCCAGAAGCCGTCACCTCTTTTTGTTTCTCCCCTGCCTGCCTTCTTTCTCTTTTCCTCTTTCTCAATAAACAGATACTGTCTGTGTGTCTGCCTCACCTAATCTAACCCTCAGATTGCAGACAGTGCTTTATTTAGACCCAAAGCTTATGAGTCCTGATTGTGTTTTCCTGCTGGTCCCATCTGCTGTCTGTCTTTCAGTGGGCATCCACCGTTGTGGACCCAGGGATGGTTATGGGAAGCAAAACGTCTCCCTTAATCATAAACAGTGTCTACCAGTGGAAGCCCATCGACCGAGGGATCAGAGGCCTCTCAGTAGTATTGTTTATTGCAGTTCCTTGGCAACATTGCAGAGAGGCAGTCAGGTTCTGAAATACAACTGAGGTTATTGGCAGGCTGAGGCCCTGGCACAGGCACCTTCTAGAATATCAGCTAGTGTCTTGGCTTTCCTCTGGGGGGATCCCGTTGCTGTTGTGTTACAGAAATGGTAGTTGTTTACTCCAACAGTCTGGATGACCGCATAGAGGAACTATTTCAATAGTGACTGACATCATTTTTTTTTTAACCTCGTAAACCTTTCACAGTTCAGGGGCCTTGGATCTTATTTTGAAGACAGGTGCAAATTGGAAATAGCATTTGAATATGACCCGGCAAAGCATGATTGCTTCTTAAGCTCAAGTATGAGATCTGTTTTGCAATCAGCTTGTCCAAGATGGTTATCTCTTCACTGTCAAATCAAAGTGCTCTGCATGGTGTTTAGAGATTGGGATGGTGAGGAGAGAGCAAGCCTGGGTATGTGCATGCATCTGTTTATTCTAGGCTTCGTGCCTCCAGGAGCTTGGAGGTCAGCTTGTAGTATAATAAAATAGAAAACTATACAGCCGGGGAGAACAGAAGCAGAATAGAAGGATAAAGTGTTGTTCATATCTCTCGGGCAAATTTTACCCAAATTCTGACGAGCAGTTACTGCACAAGCAACAACAAAGGGACCTAGAGTGTGTTCATTGCCAATTCTGTCCATTTGGCTACATAACTACTGTGAACCAATACAAAAAGATATGTATAAACATGAATAGGCGTTTGGTATTCATTCCATGAAATGCTCAGGCATTGACAGCGCTTCAGGTTTTGTTTGCTTTTTAACACAGGCTTTGAGGATAGCACAGGTCAGGAAGGCTAGGGCGTTGGAGCAGGTTTCTCAGCGGTCCAGGCTCTAAACTAAAGCTGTCCCTCTCAAAAGAATGGAAATGATTTCAGATTGTATTCAGCAGCACGAAGCAATGATTCCTAAATAGTTAAAAATCTAGAAAGAAACACTAAGAATTGTATTGGGCTTTGTAGAAGAGACCCCAGAATTTTAGGATTTGGGATGTATCCCTGCAGTCAGGCCCAGTCCCCAGTGCACCTGCAGATCTTTGACAGCTGCTGGTTGAGCTTCTGCTAAGAGGTTTCCTTCCAGGGACTCCATGTTCACTGCCTCACAAAGGCAGGCCAGCCTCATGCTTTAGACATCCTTGCTCTTAGCAAATCTTTCGTGTTCTGCTACGTCAGCCTCTGTGTGACACCCATTGGACCTTCTCTCTGTAGCACAATTGCATACCTTGCTCTGTTCTTGATAAGATAGGTCTAGGAGTCATCGAAGAGGTGTGTCTGTTCTAGCCAGAACACCTCCAAGTTTCCTGCTGTCTTCCAGGACTTCATTCCCAGGCCCTTGGGCACTGTGGCTGCTCTCCCTGCAGCTCCCTGTAGCACCATGTCCCTCTGAAATGACAAGGGTGCCCTCTAGGCATGGAGGAAACCAGACGAAGGACTGGGGAGCTGCACCCCACAGCCTAGAGCTGTGCTTCTTCCCGAGCATCTGGATCACCCAACACATAATCTTTATTTTTTATTAAGAAGCTTTCCAAATAGTCACAAATAGCCAAGGTTATTTGCTTCTTTCATGACTAATTACCATCTGTGGGGAATGTGGATTTCTCTGTAGGTTTTAATTTGCTGGTGAGTGGGCCATTGCTACCATCCCCTCCTGGTGTGGGGAAGTATAGTTACTGAATGCTGCCTCCAGCCAGCACGGGCATTGCAGGGGGACTCACAGCCGCCGGTCTTCCCCCTGGGGAAACAACGTCAAGGTTCCTAATTAGAAAGGGCTTTACACAGAGACATGTATCTACTGTTTGAAGATTAAATCTGTCCATGAAATGGAAGACTTGATTTTATATGAAGTCATGAAGAGCCAACACCACATAGTAAAATACCGGCTTTGAAAAACACAGAGGTGTTGCATATTTCTCGGTGCTTCTGACTGGCTGTGTGGCCTTGGTTAAACCTCAGAGCTTCTCTGGCCTTCGGTTGCTCCATCTGTAAGGCAAGGTCTGTCTCGAGAAGTCTGCGGTACCTGAATAGATGTTGAAATGGCTCCTGTGGCAACTGGTATTGTGTAGAGATGGTTCAGTGTCCACACCTTGCAGTTGTCACATTAAGCTGTGAAGGACGACTGACTCTAGCACTCAGTGGTCCTCAGTGGCAGGTGATGTTGACCTCAGACAAGAGTTGCTCAGGAGATAGGCTTTGCAGTTCACCTCGACAAGCGTTTGTGGAGAGCTAGGTCTGCTACCTCCTGTATCGTTGCCTGTGGGTGATGGTAAGGCTCTTGGGGGTGTGGAAGATGCGGGGATGATGATGATGACGATGATGACGATGACGACGATGACAGCGTCGTCGTCGTCCTGGTCCTGGAAGGATAAAGTCTTGTGGAGAAGAGGAGGCAATTCTGACAGTTTGGGGTTGCATCATCTTCTTCACAGAAGAGATGAAGTTGTGTAGGCACCCTAAGTATGGATTGTCACAAAAAGAGCACTAGGAAGCGGGGCGGGGCGGGGCAGGGGTGGGGGGTTCCTGGCAGTGGGAATGCTGGGCAGGCATGGCAGTAGGGAGCACCTGCTGCAGGTGGGGTTGGTGAGGTTTCCTCGTGGGACTTAGGCTGCAGAGAGATCAAGACAGGCCTCAGCTGTTGTATTAGGCATCCTGGACTAATTCTTTAAGCCCTGTTAAGGTTTCTGAACCAGAGGGTGATTAGAGCTGTGCTTGAAGTTCTTGTTAGCCGGAGTATACAGCTGCATTGAGCAAGATGTTGTAACCAAAGGAGAGGTGGTGGTGGGCCAGGCAAGCAGGATCCTGCACACTCAGGGAGCTCTGAGGGACGGAAGGAGGGTGCCAGACCTTGGACAGATGTGAGCCTGGGTGGACAGTTCGCAGTGGGACTCCGAGGAGGCCAAGGGCATGGGTGACAGCAGGCAGACTGCTCGGGTGGAATGGGCATCAGCTGCAGGGAAGCCGGGGGAAGAACAGGGCACAAATCGGAGTTCAGTGTGAGACGCAGTGAGTTTGTGGGTAGCCCAGTAACTGGGAACTTGGAATGGAGCAGTTGGGCCGGGAGGGCCAGGGTGGGAGCCGTGCCGTGAGAACTGGCTGCCTGCAAGCCGCTGACACAGCCAGGAAGGGCACGTGGGGCAAGAGGAGAAGTGGGTCTGGGAGGGAGCCACATCCTCAGGCCATTTCCCAGACCAGCCTGCAGTCAGCAAAAGCAGAGAGCTAGTCATTTCTTCTTATTTTATTTTTAATTTTTTGTTGTTGGAGAGCTAGTCATTTCTTGTACCAAGCTGCATTTCAGATGTGTGGGTACTACTGCCACTGGCATCTGAGGCATGCTGCCTGTATGGCTGGGCTGGTTGTGGAAGGCAGAGCTTCCCGCACAAAGCTGATGGAGAGCCCCTTCTCCCCTGGGCCCAGGCCTCTCTAAACTGCACTTTTGGCCTCTGGGTGTCTTGTACAACATGAAGACGACAGCATTTCTTGGTCACTTGTAATTAAAAAGGACCTTGGGTTGGTCTGTCCTCTGATTGCTAAGATTCTATTTCTGTCTAACATCTACTTTTAGTATCAATTTGTACAAAAATCTTTGATTCACCGAAAGTAGCTGAAGCAGCGAATAAAACGTTCTCATACAGTCAGGAGCACTGTGGGCTTGGGCACAAGGTCAAGGTCCCAAGAGCTCTTGGTTGGAAATCTCCTGCCCCAGGTTTTTCCATGTGGCTTGACCAGCACCTGCAGCCCAGGACAGGTCCAGCTAGAATCCCTGCTCCCCACCCTGCTCCCGCCCCTACTTGGTGATGAGTAGCCTATTTTACTCCACCAAAGTGAACCACATGGAAAGGCACACAGGTCAGGGAGAATTTGTGAATTACGGAATTTGCCCTGGGAGGGCACATTTGTTTTGCAGATTCCAGCATTGTCTTTTTTAACATTCTGTCTGAAAGTTGTGTGTGTACTCTCTGTTTTGTTTTCCAGTGGTTTGATCTTCTAAACTGGCAAAGCTGCATGCATATGGCAGAATTGCTCACTACAAAGTTATTCCTCAGCCAACTTCTCTGCTTAAGGATTCTTTGTCCATGATACCCCCTCCCAGCCAGTGCAGCCCACCCTGGTCCCCCCACCTGTGACACAGAGGCCCTGCAGGCCAGCAGCTCCCCAGCTCTGTTGTGGGTGGGGGAGCAGCAGGAGTTCTCTTCTCCCTTGGCCCAACTGGACCTCAAGATCCCTATAGATCTTCTAAACATTCCAGGTCCCAGGCCCTCACCCCAGACCAATCAAATCAGAGTTTCTATTGGGTGCCCAGCCCTCTGTTTAAAAACCTCCCCAGGAGATTCTCCTGTGCAGCCGGCAGTGAGAACCACCTGGGTAGAGGTTTCCAAAATTGTCTGATTGTAAAAATCACCTGAGGAGCTTGGTAAAGCTTGACTGTCCCAGGCCTCATTTGAGGCTACTAAGTCAATGTCCAGGCTGGGGCTTGGACAAGAATGTCATTCTTTTTGGGTCAAAGCCAGGTTAGGTGATACCGCCTTGCCAGATAAATGGCCGGGACTAGGTAGATGCTGAACCCAGTATGCTCTGCGTTCAAAGCACAGATCAGGGGCTTCCTGACCGTGCAAGGGATGCCGGAAGCGCCCTCACCACCTTCCTTAGCTCCACCACCGGGGCTGAATTTAGTTTACGGGGAACATTAGCAGCAACAGAGGGAGGATGATATCCCGCACTTAGCCCAGGGCCTGGCTCGCTGTCTGACAAGCACTGTCACCATAGTAAGGACAGTTTATCTGCTCGGGATGTAAGAAGTGCTGGAAAGGAGGGGGCAGCATTGTTCAGTCCATCCCTTTCCAAGCTCCTCACAGTTTTTTTCTCCCTGTAGGTCCTTCGGGGTCGTCCTCTGGGAGATCGCCACACTGGCCGAGCAGCCCTACCAGGGCTTGTCCAACGAGCAAGTCCTTCGCTTCGTCATGGAGGGCGGCCTTCTGGACAAGCCAGACAACTGTCCTGACATGCTGTACGTACTTCCTGGGCCCTCCGTGCTCTTCTGAGTTCTCTTCTCAAATACCTGTTTTCTTGGGTCACAGGAGATTAGGAGATTAAAGCCATTCTCTCTGGTCCTGCGCCTCCCTTGCCAGGCGTGGCTAAGAGGTTTGTCCTTGTGGAAGGAGCTGAGTGGGTTGGTCGACCTGTGCTTTTCCGTGGGTACCTTAATTCTACCCCATATTCCGTAATGCTTTCGTTCCGATTTGCAGTTCACACTGTAGTTTCTCAGGCCAAATGTCTCTGTGAAATGTTTGGCCAGAGTAATCCATCCTTACTCATCCTCTCCATGTGAGGTTTTTGTTTCTTTTTAAAGAAGGCTACAACACAACACATACTACTCTGAAGTCGAATTCAAGAGCCCCGCGCCCCACCTGTGGCAGGCCTGAGGGAGCCGCCGCAGTGAGTGTGCACACAGCTGCATGGCCAGGACTCCGGCATGCACCACGTAGGGTCAGCTTGGTGTCTTCTGAACCCTGCCCCACATGTCTTCTCTGTTAAGTGTTTACAAAAGTCATAAACCATCTAAGTAACATGCTCTCCGGAGCTTCATCCGCTGACCAATGTGGACCTGGAGCGTGTGTGAGCTGACATCCCTGCGGACAGAAGGATGCCAGTGCTGGTGAATTTGTCTTCTCACTGCACTTTTTTTTTTTTTTTTTGAGATGGAGTCTCGCTCTGTCGCCCAGGCTGGAGTGCATTGGCGTGATCTTGGCTCACTGCAACCTCTGCCTCCCGGGTTCAAGCAATTCTCCTGCCTCACCCTCCAAAATAGCTAGGATTACAGGCACCCACCACCACTCCCAGCTAATTTTTAGTAGAGATGGGGTTTTACCATATTGGCCAGGCTGGTCTTGAACTCCTGACCTCAGATGATCTCCCCGCCTCAGCCTCCCAAAGTGCTGGGATTACAGGCATGAGCCATCGCACCTGGCAACCCCACTTATTTTGAAAAAACACTTTGCAGCTTTTAGTCCTAAGTTTTGTCAGATGACGAGAGAGAGTTTGTGATGCCTCACAGTGTTGGTGAGGCCTCTCTGCTCAGCGCCCCCTGGAGAAGCCCCCCTTTTGGTGGAGGACTTGCTCTGTGTCCGTGGACGGTGCTGTTTTGTGGCTCAGTGGAGGTCAGAGCTGCTGGAGCAGGGAGGCCTTGTTGTCCTTCCTGGAATGAGTTTGAGGAGGGGGTGAAGGTGTTCCAGTTCAGTCATCAGGCGCACAACAGGTACAGGTTGGGAGCAGTGGCCTTGCTTTTGACATGCACTTTAAGGCAGGCTTCAGAGATTGATCTGGATCTCCATAGCTGAACAGGAAGGTGGGCTCCCACTAGTATCTCAAGACCAATTCAGGAGATTTCCAGAAATGCTTTTCAGGACAGGTTTGGCTTCATTTTGGAAAGGATCCTGAGGAATTGCTGGGCTGTTATGTCTGCATGAAGGCACCCAGCTCCTATCTCTCACCCATCCACCCCCCTGGAGCCAGCACAGACTCAGGCTGGGCCCACAGTGGCGGGATAATAGATAGATATGAACCAGACATGTGTCAGGTGGACAGGAGGGAATGAGGGCTCCAGCAGCCACAAAAGTTTTGCTCATTTGGTCTCCTACAGTGTCTGTGGGCCAGGAATCCAGATGCAGGTGTTCTTGCTCTCAGCTCAGAGTCACAGGAGGCAGAAATCAAGATGTCAGTGGGGCTGCAGTCTCACCTGAGGCTCAGGGACATCTTCAGGCTCCTTCAGGGTTCTGCACTTGCAGGACTGAGGTCCCCATATTCTTGGCACCTGTCAGCTGGGGACTGCTTTCAACTCTTGGAGGCCAAGGCCACTCACAGTCCTTGCCATATACAGCCTCCATAGGCCCTCTCATAACAGCAGCCTATTTCTTCAAGACTGATAAGAGGACAGCTCTCTACTGCTTCTACTGGTTTTTTACCTGATAAAGTCAGATCTACCCAGGATACTCTCTCCCTTTTAAGTGATTCACAGTCAATTGATGAGAAGCCTGATTAGAGGAGTGAAGTATCCTCTCATGTTCACAAGTCCCACCCGTACTCAAGTGAGGGGATTATATGGGATATTTACACCAGGGGCAACGATCTTGGGGGGCATCTTAGAATTCCATAGTCTCAGAAATCATTGTCCCTAATCAAACAATCAAGGTGCTATTTTTGTTTCAAAGCACTTTGAGTGTTGCTACAAATACTGAATCCCTAAGCTCCTTGTAAATGGCCGGCCAGCGGAGGGCATGGGGTGGGGAAGACTGGATACACACCCCTGTGCTCTGGGAGTACGTTGGCTGGGCGGCATGCTCATTAGCTGCTGCTTCCGAACATAGGTTCAGCTGAAGTGTATCCCAGGCAGTGGACACTTCGTGTGGAATTCAGAAAGGTGGCGCAGGAAGGATACCAGGGAAAGCCAGAGTGAAGGCATCACCCTTGCACAGCTAGCACATGTGGGGGCTCCCATTGTCCCATCAAGGCAGGGCCAGAACCAGAAAGTCGGCTGGTGCCCTGGGCCTGGGCCAGTGATGGGAGGCTCCTCTTCTCTGAGGGTGGCACCTACAGATGCAGTGGCACTGGGTTTCCTGGAGCCCTCATCAAGGAAACTTCCCAGCATGGCCTCTTCAGAACTCCACAATCCAAACTTGGAAGAGACTCGAAAGACCACTTAGTACCTTTTCTTGCCCAGTATAGAAATTCTTCTTCTCCCCTTCTGTGTTAGTTTTTTATCGCAGTATAACAAACTACCCAAAACCTACTAGTTAAGAGCAACAGTAAACATGTATTATCTCTCAGAGGTTTCTGAAGGCGAGGAACGCAGGAGCGGCATAGCTGGCTGGCTCTGGCTTGGAGCCCTTCTCGCGGTTGCAGCCCAGCTGTCCGCCGGGGCTGCAGTCATCTGAAGGCTTGCCTGGGGGAGGCAGACCCACTTCCAAGGTGTTGCTGCATAGGTAGTATGCCCTGCATGAATCGCCCTGTTCTACGTGGGCCTCTCCGTAGCACTGCCCAAGTGTCTCAGGATGTGTAGCTGGCTTCTCTGAGTGCAGAGTTCGGCACACTCTTTCTCTAAAAGGCCGGCTAAAAAAATGTTTTTGGCTCTGTGGGCCCATACGACCTTGACTGTGACTACTGGACTCTGCCACTGTGGAGCAAACACAGCTGTGGGCGTCACATAAGCTAGCGTGGCTGTGTTCCAATACAGCTTTATTTTTAATACTGGAATTTGAATTCCACATCATCCCTGTGTTGTCACAAAATATTCTTATTTTGAATTTCTTTTAGCCATTTACATGAAAACCATTCTTAGCTCATAGACCTTGGAAAACTAGGCAGCAGGCCAGATTTTACCCACAGGTACATAGTTTGCCTGCTGTGCCCTAGAGTAAAAGATCCAGGACCTGAGCAGAAGGCACGACGTCCTTTCTGACCAAACCTCAGAAGTCACACTGAGGCTCTCACCTTCTCCTTCAGGTTACACCATGTGAGAGTCAATCACGTGGGGATGTGAGCTCCAGGACACAGGGGAGAGGACCACTGGGGATCCGGGAGCCTGGCTACCCCCCAGTACCCCACCAACACACACACACACACACACACACACACTGCCCCTCACAGGTGACCATCTGCTCCACACTTTGAGCAGCGCAGCCACTGTTTTCTTGCCAGCCATTATGAGAAAAATCATGCTTTCAAGTCTGAATATAAGCCATGGAGTAAGAGGTCTGATGACCACTGAATCTGCATAAAGGTACAGTGCTAGAATCTAGGCTAATACTAGAACTGGTGGTATTTTAGCAAGCTTAGAAACAGCCCATGAAAGCAGGTGTGAGTTCTGCTTCTGTGGTTTAGGGTGGGTGAGGGAGAGCGGTATTGTTCTGTGCTTTCTCTTTGACTCGGGTAAACGTTTATCTACAAGAGACTTGTGGGATTCTTACTTGGTCCACCTCCAGGTGACTGGGCTTTTACTATTAATGTAAACTGCCTGGGACGCAGCCCCTGCCATGGGAAACGCAGGGCACTTCCTGTTCTCAGCATAGAGTGACAAGGAAATTTACTCAGAGCGGTTACTCTGACATTCAATGTTTAGTTCAGGAGGCATTTCTGCTTTGCCATCGAGAATTTTTCTCCCTTCTAAGAAAATGTTTTCTCCTGAGAAAATTTTTCTCCCTTCCAAGAAAAGAGTAGAATGAAAGGAGGCAACTTGGTTTCATAGGGAGTGTCATGTTGTCCTTCTGAGTTTACTGATGAGCTTACCTGAGAAAGGAGGGTTCTAGCATGGGAGTTCTGTTGCTACAAGACATGAAAGAATGGCCTCCGTTTATCCCGGAGAGGAGAGTCCCTGAGCCCTTGGGAGTTGCCTTGAAACCTCTGCCGGGTCCCAGGTGAGAAAGTGTGTGAGTTGTGTGGTTCTGAGATCTGAACAGGCACCATCTGGTGACACTAGGGGCTGAAGGAGCTCGGTGGCTGCAGGTGGACTGGAGCTCACCATCAGGAAGTAGCCAGATTCTCACCCCTCAGTGTCACCGAGTGTTCTGGCTTTAGAGGAAGGACTCCGTGGTCCCCAAGCCACAAGGTGTCGAGGTCTGAGTCTCAACGCCATGACTCAGTGTGAATTAACTTAGCAGGTATCACAACATCAGATTTGGGTTGTGGTTCCCTGCTGGGTCTGTACTTTAGATTGATGACAAAGCCCGTCCTCAGCCTTATTTCAGCCCAGATCTCGGTATTTATGCCACAGATACTGTTGAGCTCCTCTGGGTGCGTGCTGACCCTGAGGTCACACAGATGAGCCAGGAGTGGCCCTGGCTTTCAGGAAACGTAGTGACGTAAAAGGTCCCGGCTGCTGCGGGATAAGGGCCAGGGCAGAGGTGTGAACGCAGCCGTGGAAGACTTGGGCCAGGAAGCCATTTGTTCTGCTGCTAACACTTCCACAGCTCCACGTGTCCAGACTGTTGCCAGAGACGTCTTTGGTCTACAGGATTCAGGAGGGAATCTGAACTTTAGCCTGGAGCATTATCAACTCATAGATGAGTCTGAAACAAACTTAGTGAAATCTGATGTTTTTTGTAGTTTTCCAGTACAGTTTTTCCCATCGCTGGAATCCTGGTTTGGTTCTGCGGGAATCGAGTGCTTGAGTGGGACCCAGACAGACAGGAAGGGCGCTCCTGCTCAGTTAGCCCCAGTAAGCTCACTGAGGCACACAGGCCCCATGTCCACAGCCGCTCCTGGCTGAGGCGTGGTTCCTAAGACGACCCTTACTGTTGAGGGCTGCCAGGAGGGAGAGACACATTCAGCCCCGCAGGTCCTCTGGGAATCCGGTGAGCGTCGGCACCGGGCTGGGGCCGTGCTGATTCCCGGCAGCGTGTGGGAATGTGCGGGTGCCTCGTGGCCTGCTGACATCGCACACAGGTCACAGCCTGTCCAGTTCAGGACATCAGGGCCAAGAGTGAAGTGAGAATACGGAGGCACCTCTGTGTGCTCACCCTGCTGACCGTCACCCAGCCTCCGGGGGGGGTCACAGCTGGCCCCCAGGAAGCTGCTTCCCAGCAGGGCAGGAATTCCATTTGAGTCTTGTCCCTGTTCCAGGAGAAGGGCTGGGTATGTGTCCCCCAAAGGGGAGAGCATTCGAGAAGGATGGCGCCAGCCTCCCCAGAACTGACCTGTGGTTAAAAAAAAAAAAAAAATTGTGCTTTTTAAAAGATGAGTTTTATCAGCTCACACATCCTTCTAGAGTCTAATGGAGATTTTTTGTGTGTGTGGAAATAGTAAACAAGGTCTTGAATCCCACAGAGCAAAAAAGACTTCCTTTCATGGGCAGCACTGGAAGGGTTGTTACTCTGGAATGGTTTAAAAGAGGCGTCACATGGCTTGTTTGTGCTGATGTCACTGCCTCGCTGCTCTCCTGTGGCACCTCCTCGGTCCCTGGCCACAGGGCACAGAGCCAAGCACATCTCATGCTCTTGGCCCAGTTACGCTTCTGCCCAGGGGTAAGTCAGCTGGAGAGGAATTCACAGCCCAGGCATTTCATGTCGTTATGGCCTATTTTAATTTTTTTAACCCCAATCATTTTTCTTAGGAAGTGATGGGGAGTTTGGAAAGGCAGGCTTATTTGTCATCAAGCTGCCAGCTTTTATCAATGCAAACCACATCCCTGTGACATCTGTGACTGTTCCTTGGACAGTTAGGTGAGGGAGGGTCTCCTGGTGGCCCCAGGGTTACTCTTATTTAGGTTGAGAAAAATTCCTTTTTCCAGGATCGTTGGTGATCAAAGTGTAGTCATTCTGTTGCGCAGAGAACTCCATCCCAGCTCCACCCTCATGAATTTTGTAATCTTGGACAAATTATTTAGTATCTTAGTGCTTCTGTTCCCTCATCTGTAACATGGGGGTATATTATAGTCAGTAGCACCTGCTTCACAAACTCGTGAGGACTTCAGCAGTTCACACACATAACTGCCTCGCTGCCTGGCACCTAGCGTGCACATGGCATTCTACCGTGGGGTAGACTTTTAAAATTCTGGCTACAGAGATACTTTTCCATAAAAGTGGCCACATGGAACTCTCCAAATCTAAGAAGCATACTGTGGGGGCCTTCATATTTTGTCTAATTCTTTTCTCCCCAGAACAGGAACCTGCACCCTTCCTTCTTTTAAAGGGCGACGTGGTAAATAAACATTTTTAGACTTGCAGGCCACAGTCTCTGTCCTAATGTCCTCAGCTGGTAGTTGTAGCTGGAAAGCAGCTGCAGCCCACATGGAAATGAGGGAGCGTGGCCCCATGCCAGTGCAGCTGATGTAGAGGCGGGCAGCCCCGGGTTAGGCCCTGTGGAGACGCAGGCCCCCGGGCTCTAGAACGCTGAATTCTAGTGAATTCTGGATGGCTCTCCCTCACACCCAGGCCCACCCTCCCTCAAGGTTGCACCTTCTCCACCTGAAGGAAGCTGCCAGGTGGCCATAGGAGCCCTTCTCTTGGCAGGCCAGCTTCCAGGCCCAGTGGCTTCTCTTACATCAGGGGCCTCCCCTTGGAATGTTCCCTGAAGGCCAGACACGGGCAGGTAGTCTGTGGTCAAGCAGCCACCCTGACAGGAGGCTAGATGCCACTGGGTGTGCTTTGAGTTTCCTAGATGTGGAGAGTTCTGTGTGGCCACTTTTATGGAAAAGCATCTCTTTAGCCAGAATTTTAAAATAAAGAGGATAACTTCCTGGTGAGAACAGACGTGGAAAGGAAGGCACTTTGGTTTCACGCTCATGTAAGAGAGGGCTGTTGGCGGTCACTCCTCAGAACTATGGCCAGCCCTGGATGGTAGCCAGCTGCTTTTTGCCCCAAAAGTCTGTTTAGCTGGGTCTCTGCATTCTGGAAGCTTGTCAAAGCCCGGGCCTTTCCTGGGTCAGGGCAGCCGGCTTTCCTTGTCCACGTGTGGCCGGCTGTTTTCTTGGGGAGCCCCGGCCACAGCCGGCAGGACTCCCTTTGCTCCATGTGACTCTGAGGGCCTCACAGGTATTTGCAGCCCAGGTGCTGTCGGAGCCCAGCCGATGCGACCGACACACAGCACAAGCGTCATCCTGTTCTGCCTGTCCCTTGCGTGTGGAGGGGACTCGTGCCCAGGGCTCTCCTTGCTGGCTTGTTGGAATCTGGCTTCAGGTCTACACGGGGCCTCTCGTTTGGTCCAGAACAGCCTGGCTCATCGGCTGGGGCTTGCTTGTGCAGGGCTGGAGCGAGCACGTGCTAGATGGAGACAGCAGACTCGGAGTGTGCATTTCTTCGTGTTGCAAGCCTGGCCTCACAGTGCCTTCTTCCTTTGGTTGTCTGCCAGGGGTAGCCCTGCACCAGGAGGAAGCTTAGAAATAGCACAGGTGGGAACCGGAGAGAGAGCACTGTTGGGGAAGCTGCGGTCACTCATCAGCCTTCCTGGTGAGAAACCAGGGGTTTCCTGCTAATTCTGGAAAGGATGTTTCAGCAGTGCCTGCATGAGACGCCTCAGATAGAAAACTGGTTATTTTTGTTTCTTAGCACTGCCACCATAGATAACAGCTGTCACGATGGACAGTGTGGACCTGGATTAGTCCTTCTTGGGAAAGGAGAGTTTGGGTTTTGTACCGTGGTGGTTCTGGGTTCTGGGGGAAGAGAATGGAACCGTACGAGGTAAAACAGGAGACTCTGAAGGCCACTTGGCCATCCAGGCAGAAAGCCAGGGATGGAGAGGGGCAGCAGGGCTGTGTTCAGTGCTCCCGCCGTACGCTTGTATGCGGGAAACCACTGCAGGCGGCCCATGAAGCCTCCTGGCCATGTGCGCCCTCCCGGTTTGGACCCCCTCCCGTGTGTCTTGGCTGCAGGTTTGAACTGATGCGCATGTGCTGGCAGTATAACCCCAAGATGAGGCCTTCCTTCCTGGAGATCATCAGCAGCATCAAAGAGGAGATGGAGCCTGGCTTCCGGGAGGTCTCCTTCTACTACAGCGAGGAGAACAAGCTGCCCGAGCCGGAGGAGCTGGACCTGGAGCCAGAGAACATGGAGAGCGTCCCCCTGGACCCCTCGGCCTCCTCGTCCTCCCTGCCACTGCCCGACAGACACTCAGGACACAAGGCCGAGAACGGCCCCGGCCCTGGGGTGCTGGTCCTCCGCGCCAGCTTCGACGAGAGACAGCCTTACGCCCACATGAACGGGGGCCGCAAGAACGAGCGGGCCTTGCCGCTGCCCCAGTCTTCGACCTGCTGATCCTTGGATCCTGAATCTGTGCAAACAGTAACGTGTGCGCACGCGCAGCGGGGTGGGGGGGGAGAGAGAGTTTTAACAATCCATTCACAAGCCTCCTGTACCTCAGTGGATCTTCAGAACTGCCCTTGCTGCCCGCGGGAGACAGCTTCTCTGCAGTAAAACACATTTGGGATGTTCCTTTTTTCAATATGCAAGCAGCTTTTTATTCCCTGCCCAAACCCTTAACTGACATGGGCCTTTAAGAACCTTAATGACAACACTTAATAGCAACAGAGCACTTGAGAACCAGTCTCCTCACTCTGTCCCTGTCCTTCCCTGTTCTCCCTTTCTCTCTCCTCTCTGCTTCATAACGGAAAAATAATTGCCACAAGTCCAGCTGGGAAGCCCTTTTTATCAGTTTGAGGAAGTGGCTGTCCCTGTGGCCCCATCCAACCACTGTACACACCCGCCTGACACCGTGGGTCATTACAAAAAAACACGTGGAGATGGAAATTTTTACCTTTATCTTTCACCTTTCTAGGGACATGAAATTTACAAAGGGCCATCGTTCATCCAAGGCTGTTACCATTTTAACGCTGCCTAATTTTGCCAAAATCCTGAACTTTCTCCCTCATCGGCCCGGCGCTGATTCCTCGTGTCCGGAGGCATGGGTGAGCATGGCAGCTGGTTGCTCCATTTGAGAGACACGCTGGCGACACACTCCGTCCATCCGACTGCCCCTGCTGTGCTGCTCAAGGCCACAGGCACACAGGTCTCATTGCTTCTGACTAGATTATTATTTGGGGGAACTGGACACAATAGGTCTTTCTCTCAGTGAAGGTGGGGAGAAGCTGAACCGGCTTCCCTGCCCTGCCTCCCCAGCCCCCTGCCCAACCCCCAAGAATCTGGTGGCCATGGGCCCCGAAGCAGCCTGGCGGACAGGCTTGGAGTCAAGGGGCCCCATGCCTGCTTCTCTCCCAGCCCCAGCTCCCCCGCCCGCCCCCAAGGACACAGATGGGAAGGGGTTTCCAGGGACTCAGCCCCACTGTTGATGCAGGTTTGCAAGGAAAGAAATTCAAACACCACAACAGCAGTAAGAAGAAAAGCAGTCAATGGATTCAAGCATTCTAAGCTTTGTTGACATTTTCTCTGTTCCTAGGACTTCTTCATGGGTCTTACAGTTCTATGTTAGACCATGAAACATTTGCATACACATCGTCTTTAATGTCACTTTTATAACTTTTTTACGGTTCAGATATTCATCTATACGTCTGTACAGAAAAAAAAAAGCTGCTATTTTTTTTGTTCTTGATCTTTGTGGATTTAATCTATGAAAACCTTCAGGTCCACCCTCTCCCCTTTCTGCTCACTCCAAGAAACTTCTTATGCTTTGTACTAGAGTGCGTGACTTTCTTCCTCTTTTCCCGGTAATGGATACTTCTATCACATAATTTGCCATGAACTGTTGGATGCCTTTTTATAAATACATCCCCCATCCCTGCTCCCACCTGCCCCTTTAGTTGTTTTCTAACCCGTAGGCTCTCTGGGCACGAGGCAGAAAGCAGGCCGGGCACCCATCCTGAGAGGGCCGCGCTCCTCTCCCCAGCCTGCCCTCACAGCATTGGAGCCTGTTACAGTGCAAGACATGATACAAACTCAGGTCAGAAAAACAAAGGTTAAATATTTCACACGTCTTTGTTCAGTGTTTCCACTCACCGTGGTTGAGAAGCCTCACCCTCTCTTTCCCTTGCCTTTGCTTAGGTTGTGACACACATATATATATATTTTTTTAATTCTTGGGTACAACAGCAGTGTTAACCGCAGACACTAGGCATTTGGATTACTATTTTTCTTAATGGCTATTTAATCCTTCCATCCCACGAAAAACAGCTGCTGAGTCCAAGGGAGCAGCAGAGCGTGGTCCGGCAGGGCCTGTTGTGGCCCTCGCCACCCCCCTCACCGGACCGACTGACCTGTCTTTGGAACCAGAACATCCCAAGGGAACTCCTTCGCACTGGCGTTGAGTGGGACCCCGGGATCCAGGCTGGCCCAGGGCGGCACCCTCAGGGCTGTGCCCGCTGGAGTGCTAGGTGGAGGCAGCACAGACGCCACGGTGGCCCAAGAGCCCCTTTGCTTCTTGCTGGGGGACCAGGGCTGTGGTGCTGGCCCACTTTCCCTCGGCCAGGAATCCAGGTCCTTGGGGCCCAGGGGTCTTGTCTTGTTTCATTTTTAGCACTTCTCACCAGAGAGATGACAGCACAAGAGTTGCTTCTGGGATAGAAATGTTTAGGAGTAAGAACAAAGCTGGGATACGGTGATTGCTAGTTGTGACTGAAGATTCAACACAGAAAAGAAAGTTTATACGGCTTTTTTGCTGGTCAGCAGTTTGTCCCACTGCTTTCTCTAGTCTCTATCCCATAGCGTGTTCCCTTTAAAAAAAAAAAAAAGGTATTATATGTAGGAGTTTTCTTTTAATTTATTTTGTGATAAATTACCAGTTTCAATCACTGTAGAAAAGCCCCATTATGAATTTAAATTTCAAGGAAAGGGTGTGTGTGTGTGTATGTGTGGGGTGTGTGTGTGTGAGAGTGATGGGACAGTTCTTGATTTTTTGGGTTTTTTTTCCCCCAAACATTTATCTACCTCACTCTTATTTTTTATATGTGTATATAGACAAAAGAATACATCTCACCTTTCTCAGCACCTGACAATAGGCCGTTGATACTGGTAACCTCATCCACGCCACAGGCGCCACACCCAGGTGATGCAGGGGGAAGCCAGGCTGTATTCCGGGGTCAAAGCAACACTAACTCACCTCTCTGCTCATTTCAGACAGCTTGCCTTTTTCTGAGATGTCCTGTTTTGTGTTGCTTTTTTTGTTTTGTTTTCTATCTTGGTTTCCACCAAGGTGTTAGATTTCTCCTCCTCCTAGCCAGGTGGCCCTGTGAGGCCAACGAGGGCACCAGAGCACACCTGGGGGAGCCACCAGGCTGTCCCTGGCTGGTTGTCTTTGGAACAAACTGCTTCTGTGCAGATGGAATGACCAACACATTTCGTCCTTAAGAGAGCAGTGGTTCCTCAGGTTCTGAGGAGAGGAAGGTGTCCAGGCAGCACCATCTCTGTGCGAATCCCCAGGGTAAAGGCGTGGGGCATTGGGTTTGCTCCCCTTGCTGCTGCTCCATCCCTGCAGGAGGCTCGCGCTGAGGCAGGACCGTGCGGCCATGGCTGCTGCATTCATTGAGCACAAAGGTGCAGCTGCAGCAGCAGCTGGAGAGCAAGAGTCACCCAGCCTGTGCGCCAGAATGCAGAGGCTCCTGACCTCACAGCCAGTCCCTGATAGAACACACGCAGGAGCAGAGTCCCCTCCCCCTCCAGGCTGCCCTCTCAACTTCTCCCTCACCTCCTTCCCTAGGGGTAGACAGAGATGTACCAAACCTTCCGGCTGGAAAGCCCAGTGGCCGGCGCCGAGGCTCGTGGCGTCACGCCCCCCCCGCCAGGGCTGTACCTCCGTCTCCCTGGTCCTGCTGCTCACAGGACAGACGGCTCGCTCCCCTCTTCCAGCAGCTGCTCTTACAGGCACTGATGATTTCGCTGGGAAGTGTGGCGGGCAGCTTTGCCTAAGCGTGGATGGCTCCTCGGCAATTCCAGCCTAAGTGAAGGCGCTCAGGAGCCTCCTGCTGGAACGCGACCCATCTCTCCCAGGACCCCGGGGATCTTAAGGTCATTGAGAAATACTGTTGGATCAGGGTTTTGTTCTTCCACACTGTAGGTGACCCCTTGGAATAACGGCCTCTCCTCTCGTGCACATACCTACCGGTTTCCACAACTGGATTTCTACAGATCATTCAGCTGGTTATAAGGGTTTTGTTTAAACTGTCCGAGTTACTGATGTCATTTTGTTTTTGTTTTATGTAGGTAGCTTTTAAGTAGAAAACACTAACAGTGTAGTGCCCATCATAGCAAATGCTTCAGAAACACCTCAATAAAAGAGAAAACTTGGCTTGTGTGATGGTGCAGTCACTTTACTGGACCAACCCACCCACCTTGACTATACCAAGGCATCATCTATCCACAGTTCTAGCCTAACTTCATGCTGATTTCTCTGCCTCTTGATTTTTCTCTGTGTGTTCCAAATAATCTTAAGCTGAGTTGTGGCATTTTCCATGCAACCTCCTTCTGCCAGCAGCTCACACTGCTTGAAGTCATATGAACCACTGAGGCACATCATGGAATTGATGTGAGCATTAAGACGTTCTCCCACACAGCCCTTCCCTGAGGCAGCAGGAGCTGGTGTGTACTGGAGACACTGTTGAACTTGATCAAGACCCAGACCACCCCAGGTCTCCTTCGTGGGATGTCATGACGTTTGACATACCTTTGGAACGAGCCTCCTCCTTGGAAGATGGAAGACCGTGTTCGTGGCCGACCTGGCCTCTCCTGGCCTGTTTCTTAAGATGCGGAGTCACATTTCAATGGTACGAAAAGTGGCTTCGTAAAATAGAAGAGCAGTCACTGTGGAACTACCAAATGGCGAGATGCTCGGTGCACATTGGGGTGCTTTGGGATAAAAGATTTATGAGCCAACTATTCTCTGGCACCAGATTCTAGGCCAGTTTGTTCCACTGAAGCTTTTCCCACAGCAGTCCACCTCTGCAGGCTGGCAGCCGAATGGCTTGCCAGTGGCTCTGTGGCAAGATCACACTGAGATCGATGGGTGAGAAGGCTAGGATGCTTGTCTAGTGTTCTTAGCTGTCACGTTGGCTCCTTCCAGGGTGGCCAGACGGTGTTGGCCACTCCCTTCTAAAACACAGGCGCCCTCCTGGTGACAGTGACCCGCCGTGGTATGCCTTGGCCCATTCCAGCAGTCCCAGTTATGCATTTCAAGTTTGGGGTTTGTTCTTTTCGTTAATGTTCCTCTGTGTTGTCAGCTGTCTTCATTTCCTGGGCTAAGCAGCATTGGGAGATGTGGACCAGAGATCCACTCCTTAAGAACCAGTGGCGAAAGACACTTTCTTTCTTCACTCTGAAGTAGCTGGTGGTACAAATGAGAACTTCAAGAGAGGATGTTATTTAGACTGAACCTCTGTTGCCAGAGATGCTGAAGATACAGACCTTGGACAGGTCAGAGGGTTTCATTTTTGGCCTTCATCTTAGATGACTGGTTGCGTCATTTGGAGAAGTGAGTGCTCCTTGATGGTGGAATGACCGGGTGGTGGGTACAGAACCATTGTCACAGGGATCCTGGCACAGAGAAGAGTTACGAGCAGCAGGGTGCAGGGCTTGGAAGGAATGTGGGCAAGGTTTTGAACTTGATTGTTCTTGAAGCTATCAGACCACATCGAGGCTCAGCAGTCATCCGTGGGCATTTGGTTTCAACAAAGAAACCTAACATCCTACTCTGGAAACTGATCTCGGAGTTAAGGCGAATTGTTCAAGAACACAAACTACATCGCACTCGTCAGTTGTCAGTTCTGGGGCATGACTTTAGCGTTTTGTTTCTGCGAGAACATAACGATCACTCATTTTTATGTCCCACGTGTGTGTGTCCGCATCTTTCTGGTCAACATTGTTTTAACTAGTCACTCATTAGCGTTTTCAATAGGGCTCTTAAGTCCAGTAGATTACGGGTAGTCAGTTGACGAAGATCTGGTTTACAAGAACTAATTAAATGTTTCATTGCATTTTTGTAAGAACAGAATAATTTTATAAAATGTTTGTAGTTTATAATTGCCGAAAATAATTTAAAGACACTTTTTTTTTCTCTGTGTGTGCAAATGTGTGTTTGTGATCCATTTTTTTTTTTTTTTTTTAGGACACCTGTTTACTAGCTAGCTTTACAATATGCCAAAAAAGGATTTCTCCCTGACCCCATCCGTGGTTCACCCTCTTTTCCCCCCATGCTTTTTGCCCTAGTTTATAACAAAGGAATGATGATGATTTAAAAAGTAGTTCTGTATCTTCAGTATCTTGGTCTTCCAGAACCCTCTGGTTGGGAAGGGGATCATTTTTTACTGGTCATTTCCCTTTGGAGTGTAGCTACTTTAACAGATGGAAAGAACCTCATTGGCCATGGAAACAGCCGAGGTGTTGGAGCCCAGCAGTGCATGGCACCGTTCGGCATCTGGCTTGATTGGTCTGGCTGCCGTCATTGTCAGCACAGTGCCATGGACATGGGAAGACTTGACTGCACAGCCAATGGTTTTCATGATGATTACAGCATACACAGTGATCACATAAACGATGACAGCTATGGGGCACACAGGCCATTTGCTTACATGCCTCGTATCATGACTGATTACTGCTTTGTTAGAACACAGAAGAGACCCTATTTTATTTAAGGCAGAACCCCGAAGATACGTATTTCCAATACAGAAAAGAATTTTTAATAAAAACTATAACATACACAAAAATTGGTTTTAAAGTTGACTCCACTTCCTCTAACTCCAGTGGATTGTTGGCCATGTCTCCCCAACTCCACAATATCTCTATCATGGGAAACACCTGGGGTTTTTGCGCTACATAGGAGAAAGATCTGGAAACTATTTGGGTTTTGTTTTCAACTTTTCATTTGGATGTTTGGCGTTGCACACACACATCCACCGGTGGAAGAGACGCCCGGTGAAAACACCTGTCTGCTTTCTAAGCCAGTGAGGTTGAGGTGAGAGGTTTGCCAGAGTTTGTCTACCTCTGGGTATCCCTTTGTCTGGGATAAAAAAAATCAAACCAGAAGGCGGGATGGAATGGATGCACCGCAAATAATGCATTTTCTGAGTTTTCTTGTTAAAAAAAAATTTTTTTAAGTAAGAAAAAAAAAGGTAATAACATGGCCAATTTGTTACATAAAATGACTTTCTGTGTATAAATTATTCCTAAAAAATCCTGTTTATATAAAAAATCAGTAGATGAAAAAAATTTCAAAATGTTTTTGTATATTCTGTTGTAAGAATTTATTCCTGTTATTGCGATATACTCTGGATTCTTTACATAATGGAAAAAAGAAACTGTCTATTTTGAATGGCTGAAGCTAAGGCAACGTTAGTTTCTCTTACTCTGCTTTTTTCTAGTAAAGTACTACATGGTTTAAGTTAAATAAAATAATTCTGTATGCATTTCTGTCTCTGGTTTGGTTTTGTCCCTCCTGGAAGCATCACTACACTTTGGTGGCAGGGAAGCTGAGCTATGTGGGGCACGTGTGTTCACGCATGTTGCCTGGAAGCGTTCTCCAGAAAAGCATTGCCTCTTCTCTGACAGCTGAGCTTTCTCAGCATGCAGATTGCCAGTAAAGACGACAGGGAAGCTATCTGTTTCTCCCTCCATTAAATCATCTGGAAAGAAATTTGAATACATAAATTACGAAACTCTGTACTGCAGTTCCGACTGATTTGTAGACTTTTTTCCTATACCTTCCACTAACAACAGTCAGGCCAAGGCAAGTCTGATCTGCATGACCCCAAGGCAGAGGACTTCAGTTCTTCACATTTCCCATGTGCTTTTTGGTCTTTCACAGCTGACATGCCCACCTCGGGGGGATGCTGGTGAGAACCCAGTGGGCCTCACGCAGAATGTGGGTCACTGGAGGAGCTCCAAAGTCCTAGTTACTTTCTAGCTGCTGCTCAGTGATCTCTGTCTGCCCCTAGGGACCCTACAATGTAAACATTATTTTTGTCAGGGGAAATGGCATGTATGGCAAGGTGTGTTCTAGAATCAGACTAAGGATTCAGACACATCAGGCAGAGAAGCTGGTCATTTCCTTCAACTTTATCATGGGAAATTATGCTCCAATAGCAAAATCGGGCCAGTAGAAGAAGAGCTGTCCAGCAATGTATAGGTAGAAGTAAACCGAAGACCATGGTTACTTCAGACCTGTTGAGCCTCAGAAGTGTTTGCACCTAAAAGCAAAGGCCTTTCTGAAAGGGGACTCTCAGCTGGGGTGCGGTGGCTCACGCATGTAATCCCAGCACTTTGGGAGGCTGAGGTGGGTGGATCACATGAGGTCAGGAGTTCAAGACCAGCCTGGCTAACATGGTAAAACCCCATCTCTACTAAAAATACAAAAAATTAGTGGGACATGGTGGCGGGTGCCTGTAATCCCAGCTACTTGGGAGGGTGAGGCAGGAGAATCTCTTGAACTCAGGAGGCAGAAGCTGCAGTGAGCCAAGATTGTGCCACTGTACTGCAGCCTGGGTGACAGAGTAGGACTCTGTCTCAAAAAGGGTACTCAAGCTTGGCATTGCTTCAGGGTTACTGCTCAGTGTTGTCACCGAGTGCCTGGCACTCAGGGGATCTTCATTAGGTGACTGATGATGAGGAGGTCTCAATTCTGAGGCTGGAAAGCCCAACAGGGCCTCCTCCTTCCCTGGTCAGGTAGATGCTGCCCTTCCAGGTTGCCACAGTGCAGTCTGCACTTGGCCTGCCCAGCCAGAAGGAGCAGCAATATCTAAGGATGAAGGTGCTGGGTCTTCAGAAGCATTAGAACCTTTCCCCTCCAGGCCATTTCTTAAGACTGCAAGCCCTCAAGAGCTATTTCTGCATTTACCCCCCAAGTCCAGGTATGAGTCCATACTCACTCAGATGTGTGATTTTTGTAGTGTTCTAATGTTGCTAAAAAGACCTTCACATCCATTCTCTCACCAGATGTTCACAATCACCCTGCAAAGGAAGGATTTTAATTACTCTTACAGATGAGCAAACATACAGGCATGCTCAAGACCCCTCCCCCGCCCCCCCACCTCCCCACCAGCTACCAACTCAGGACTCAGCCTCTCAGCCTTTTCTGCTGTGGTTCTCAATCTGGCTTCAGCACTGCCAGAACTAAGCAGGCTCTGTGCATACTGACAAGGGATGCTGGGTGAAGTACACAGCCCAGGTGTGAATGAGACTTCTGGGGTTCTCCCTGGAGAACTTCAGGGGCCACAGCGGGGGGAAATGATGGGGAAGTTCTTGAAGAGGGAGCTCTGGGCCTCCCAACTGGATAATATCTAAAAATTTAAAAAATGTTATGGCATGCTGCCAGGCAGTCTGAAATATAACACTGGAGCCCAGTCCTGGGGGCCCCTTGCTTGCCAGTGTCCTGGGACAGAATTGCCCATAGCAGAGACAGATCTCCACATTAGCAACCATGCAGCCAGACCTGTGCACACCGCCCAGCACCACCTCCCCCCATCCCCCAATATGTGGGCTTTGATCTGTTTTCTAGCAAATGATCCAGGTGTACTTGCAAAGGGAGTCCCCTAAAGGCTACTCCAAATGCAAAAAGCGTGCTGGCGGCCTTGACTGCTTCCTTTGGTTTTCTTGTGGGTTTTTGTTTGTTTTTTTTTTTTTTTTTGAGACACAGTTTTGTTCTTATTGACCAGGCTGGAGTGCAATAGTGCAATCTCGGCTCACTGCAACCTCCGCCTCCTGGGTTCAAGCGATTCCCCTGCCTCGGCCTCCCAAGTAGCTGGGATTATAGGCACCCACCACCACACCCGGCTAATGTTTTTGTAATTGTAGTAGAGACTGGGTTTCACATGTTGGTCAGGCTGGTCTTGAACTCCTGGCCTCAAGTGATCCGCCCACCTCAGCCTCCCAAAGTGCTGGGATTATAGGTGTGAGCCACTGCGCCTGGCCTGGTTCCTTTGTTAGGAAGCTGCAAATGCTTTTCTTAATAGTGAATGAATCCAAACACTAACTGATGAATTTTTTAAATGTAGTCAAGTGAAAAATGGTAGTTGTAAGCACACCAACGTAACAAGAAATTTCCCAGAGCTCACCTACCTTCACTCACTTCCTCCAAAAAAAAAAAAAAAAGCGATGTTACCAATGGGACTCCCAAAGGAAATCTGCCCCTAGAAAACACTGAACAGGTAGAATCTTGCTGGGAGAAGCTTGGCACAAGACCCGGTGCTGTGTCATAAAAGCAAAACAAAACATGAAACAGAAAGGAGATTCTGCTTTTAAAAAGGGAAGACACCATGGAGAGAAGCTAAGCCCGGCTATTAACCTGCGCCTTCAAACCAAACACTACCAGTGTGACTGTAAAATGGTGCAGCCCCTGTGCAAAACAAAATGGCAGTTCCTTAAAAAATTAAACACAGAATTAGCATTGAATCCAGGAATTCACCTCTGGAGATTGACCTGAAAGCAAGGACTCGGATACATATTTGCACGCCAGTGTTTGTAGCAGCATGATTTGCAAGAACCAAAAGGAGCAAGTAACGTAAGTGTTCATCTACAGCTGAATGGATGAAATGTGGTCCATACATACACTGGAATATTATTCAGCCTTCAACAGAATGAAATCCTGTCCCATGCTACAACATGGATGAACCTGGAGGACATGAGGCTGAAATAATACGCCAGATGTAGAAGGACCAGCGCCGCATGACTCCCTCATATGAGCTACCTACAGTCAGATTCATAGGGATGGAGGGTGGAGTGGTGAGCACCAAGTGCTGGGAGGAAGAAGGAATAGGGAGTTAATAGGTACAGAGTTTCAGTTTGGGATGAGGAGAAAGTTCTGGAGATGGATGGTGGTGATGGTTGTACAACAAGGAAATGTACTGTATACTACTGAACTGTATGCTTGAAATTATTAAAATGAGTAGTAAAAGGGGCAAACACAGAGACAGAGAAATCATACAGTAGAGCCTCGGTGGCTTCGAGGCTACCCAGGACCTGGACACACAAGCTCAAAGGCCAGGAATGGGGTCCCTGGAGCAGCGGCTGTCTCTGTGCTTCTGTAAGCATCTCCAAAACAGGTCTGTGGTCCCCACAGTCTGCGCAGGATCACACAGACCCACTGTGTAGATTTTTGGAAGAAAACAGATGACTCGGATTTCATTTTATTGTCATGAAAACCATAACTGAAGCTAGTTCATCCCCTGTGAAATGTCCACCTTTCAGAGTGTTCTTTCTCCTGACAATAAAATAACCCTTTGTGATTTTGTTGGGCTAATTCAGAGTTTTCCACCCTCTTTGTCTTACAAGCAATTTTTGAAAAAGTTTCTCAATGCACAGTTGAGTGCTACATACAGGATTGAAACATTCAATTTTCTCTAGAGGAGCAATCCCCCGGTCAGTTCCCTTTGGCTGGAAGGACCATGGTTGAGTTTTCTTCGAACTGGGCTCTGTGCTTGGGCTTTCCCACCTCTTCCAGCATTTCCTGGATGATGACTCTCAAGGCTCTTCCCAGCAGGCTGGCCGGGAGCCCGCGCGATAGTGGAGGGACATGGATGAGTGCCGCGCAGCCCTTTCCATGATGCAGAGACAGGTAATAGGTATAATCACAGACGTATCTGCAACCACAGGAAATGCCACATTAATTCTCGGACCAGCCTCTAACCTCAGTGAAACATACGCAGAAGTGGCAATGCAACACCCACAAAGCCTGAGGAGGGAGCACTGCCACCCAAGGGAGACTTGTGTTGTTTCACCTCAGAAAGAACATGGTGCCAGGATGAGCTGGGGAGAGCTGGCTCTTGGCCTCATGGCCTCATGACCGGCAAGTGGCCAAGGCAGAAAGGGGTCAGATATTCCACAGCACCTGCATCCCAGTGAATCCCTCTCATTCATGTCTTCGTTGAGTCACTTACTCATTCATTCACTGGGGAAAGGGGAAAAACCACCTACTGGGGATCGGAGTTTGGAGAAACAAAGGTAAATCAATCTTTATCTGGGGCTACATCAACACAGTTAACTCACAACTTCGGTCACCCCAAAAATCAAAATCAGAAAACATTCACGAAATGTTAGTGGCTCTTGAAGTCTGCCTTCCCATCTCTTCTCCTAGATCAACACACCAAAGACCGTGTTTCCACAGGCAGGTCTCACAAACGAGACCTCAGGCAAGGTGTGAGCAACTGTGCTGGCCTGCACACAGCAAAGAGGGGCAATCTGGGGGCGGCACCGCATGGCCAAGTGGCCAGCTGGACGATACAGGATGGCTTCTTGGAGGTCGGGGGGACGCTGACGGCCATTGCTTCTCTCCTACCTGCTCAGAGTCCTGACACCCACAGAGCATACCTGCCTGCATCTCGGGAAAAGATCACGTCGACACCCTCCACAGCTACGCGCTTGCAGACTGCCTTCATGCAGACCCCTGACTCCAGCACGTCTGGGCTGCCAGGTAGGCACACGCCGCCCTCGGGCCAGAAGCTGCGGATGTCGGCGTCCCGGTAGCCTTGGTTCTTGCCAGACTGTTCCAGAATGATCGCCTTGGCGGCGGTGTCCATGCCCACATGCACGACGAGCTGTGTGAACGGGTAACAGCAGAGAGAACCCAGGAAAACGAGGCCCACCCTGCTCACCAAATGTGCAGAAGGGGCCACTCCTTTTGAGAGCCCGGCTCTGTGCAAAACATCTCAAACCCCAAATCCACTGGGAAACCCCAGGATCCCCCACCAGTGTCTCCTAATTAATATGGCTGGAAAGAAAAACAGCTGGATTCTTTTAGCTGAATAAAAACTCATGCTGCATTTACATTTAAATGCTTTTTACTTCAAATTATTCTTACAGGGTAATGTATTCTCTTTTTGTGGGGGGAGGGTTGGAGGGAGGAGAGGCAAGCTAGTAAGTGGTGAGGCTACCACAGCAGAGTCTTCGTGTTTTGGTGGAATCCTGAATCTTTTTATTTTATATTTTATTTATGTATTTATTTATTTTTATGAGACAGAGTCTGGCTGTATCACCCAGGCTGGAGTGCAATGGCACCATCTCAGCTCCCTGCAACCTCTGCCTCCCGGGTTCAAGTGATTATCCTGCCTCAGCCTCCCGAGTAGCGGGGACTACAGGTGCACCACGCCCAGCTAATTTTTGTATTTGTAGTAGAGATGGGATTTCACCATGTTGGCCAGGCTGGTCTCAAACTCCTGACCTCAAGTGATCCGCCTGCCTCGGCCTCCCAAAGTGCTGGGATTATAGGTGGGAGCCACCGTGCCCGCCTCCTGCATCTTTTTTTAAATGAAACTTTAATAAAGGAAGTTAGTGGCCATCCAGTGAAATCTTCTTAGAATTTATTCAAGCTGATTATTTTTCCTTTTTGAAAAATAGCTGCCCAAGTATGTTATCAAAACATCTGGGGCATTGTCTGAATGGCTTGATAGTGTATGTTTTATTAACCTCATCACATCTGGTCCTTGTTTGGGGTTTTTTTTGGGGGGGTGGGGTTGTATCTGTTTTTTATACAGTAATTATGTCCAGATAAAATGGGCTCGTGCTATGAAGATGGGCCTCCCCTAGGCTGGCCACCCTCCCAGTCGCTCCCTGGGCACAGAGGTCCTTGCCTCACGTCCACCTTCAAACCTACCTGCCCCTCATGGGTATGTGTGGGGCCCAACCCAAGGGCCTCTCCCTTAGGTGGAAACTATTTTTGAGTCCTGGCTGGGAATAATACTTCCATTTCTTTTCCTCCTCCTTTCTCTCCAGATTTTCTATTAAGATCTAATCCATATTTTGGCTTAAACTTTTACAAACAGACCCAGAACCTTACACAATCAGCTGGGACCTTGCATGACTGGTGGGGCCTGGGGACGGGGTGCCCCTCAACCATCAACCCTAGAACCAGGACCCGGGGGTTCAGAGGCTCCAGCTCCACATCGCCAGTCCCATGCCCCACTGCCTCTGGCCATCACTTACTTGCGGCTGATGATCTTCCCAGATTCCGGTGACCCTCCGCTTAGCCTCCCTGTAATCTACAGGCAGCTCCAGAGTCCGCAGCTGCACCACTGTTTCATTCCCCAGGCCCAGCTTGGAGAGCTCCTGAGGAAAGCGGCAGGTGGACTTGCCTCAGTTGATGGGGGGGGGGGGGGGGTGGGCACCAAGAGTCCCTGAAAACCCAATCCTTGGGGTCTACTTCCAGGGGTCTTCCGCAGCCTGGACTTTGCCCTCAAGGAGCTCACAAAGTGGCAAGGGGCCAAGAAGAGAGCCACAGTTCCTACCAGAGAGGCAAATGCACACAGCAGCACCTGTCTGTAATCCCAGCTACTTGGGAGGCTGAGGCAGGAGAATCACTTGAACCTGGGAGGTGGAGGTTGCAGTGAGCCGAAATAGTACCACTGCGCTCCAGCCTGGGTGACAGAGCTAGACTCTGTTTCCAAAAAAAGAAAAGAAAAGAAAAATCCAAAGTGTGAAGGAAAAAAAACCCACCAACAACAATACTGTACCCAGCAAAGCTATCCTTCAAACATGAAGAAGAAATAAAGACTTTCCCAAACAAAAGCTGAGGAAATCAATGCCAGACCTGTCTTACAAATCTAAAGGGTTCAACTTGAAAGAAACAGATACTAACATGTAACAAGAAAACTTCTGAAGGTATTAAACTCACTGGCACAAGTAAGAAAACACATTCAGAATACTCTAATATGGTAATGGTGTTAAGTGAATCATGTACGTCTTAAGTGTGAGACTAAAAGACAAAACTATAAAAAATAATTACTACAGTTGGTTGAGAGATAGGCAACATAAAAAGATAAAACTGAAACACTAAAAAGTCAAAAATGTGGGTGAAGGTTGGTGTTAAATTGTAGTTTGTTTTTGATACTTTTCTTTGCAATCCATGTTCAGTTGTTATCATTTAAAAATAACTTATTATAACTATCCAATTTTTTTATAAGCCTCATGGTAATCACAAAAGAAAAACCTGTTAGAGATACATTAAAAATAAATAGCATGGGCCAGGCATGGTGGTTCACACCTGTAATCCCAGCACTTTGGGAGGCCGAGGTGAGTGGATCACTTGAGGTCAGGAGTTCGACACCAGCATGACTAACATGGCAAAACCCCATCTCTACTAAAAATACAAAAATTAGCCAGATGTGGTGGCAAATGCCTGTAATCCCAGCTACTTGGGATGCTAAGGCAGGAGAATCACTTGAACCTGGGAGGCAGAGGTTGCAGTGAACTGAGATCGTGCCATCGCACTCCAGCCTGGGCAACAAGAGCAAAACTCCGTCTCAAAAATAAATAAATAAATAAATAAATAAATAAATAAATAAATAGCATGGAATAAAAACATTCTACTAGAGAAAATCACTTAACCACAAATAAAGATAGTAAGAGAGGAAAAAAGGAAGAAGGGATCTACAAAGCAACCAGAAAATAAGTATCACAATGGCAGTAGTAAACACCTGCCTATCAATCATAACCTTGAGTGGAATGGATTAAATTATCCAATTAAAAGGTGCAGTGGGCCGGGCACAGTGGCTCACGCCTGTAATCGCAGCACTTTGGGACACCATGGTGGGTGGATCACGAGGTCAGGAGATCAAGACCATCCTGGCTAACACAGTGAAACCCCCCCATCTCTACTAAAAATACAAAAAATTAGCAGGGCATGGTGGCAGGCACCTGTAGTCCCAGCTACTCGGGAGGCTGAGGCAGGAGAATGGTGTGAACCCAGGAGGCGGAGCTTGCAGTGAGCAGAGACCGTGCACCACTGCACTCCAGCCTGGGTGACAGAGTGAGACTCCGTCTCAAAAAAAAAAAAAAAAAAAAAAAAAAAAAAGTGCAGTGTAGCTGAATGGATTTTGAAAAAATAAAGATCCAACTATACGTTGTCTACAAGAGACTCACTTTACCTAAAAAGATATGCACAGACTAAAAGTGAAGGGTTGACAAGATATTCCATGCAAACAGAAACCAAAAAACAGCAGGAGTAGCTATACTTATATCAGATAAAATGGACTTTAAGTCAAGAATGGTGAAAAAAAGGACACAGAAGAACATCATATAATGACAAAGGGATCAATAAAGCAAGAGGATATAGCTATTATAAATGTATATGCACCTGACACCAGAGCACCTGAATATATAAAACAAATATTAATAGACCTAAAGGGAGAGATTAACTGCAACCAATAATAGCAGGAAACTTTGATACTCCACTTTCAGCAATGGACAAATCATCCAGACAGAAAATCAACAAAGAAACATTACAGTTAAACTGCACTCTAGACCCAATGGAAGGAACAGACGTTTACAGAACACTCCATCCAACAGCTGCAGAATACACGTTTTTCTCAACAGCACATGGATCATTCTCCAGAATAGTTCAAATGTTAGGTCACAAAACAAGTAACAAATTTTGAAAAATTAAAATTATATCAAGTATCTTTTCTGACCACAATGGACTAAAACTAGAAATCAATAACAGAAGGAATGTTGGAAACTGCACAAACTCATGAAATTAAACAGCATGCTCCTGGACAATGAATGAGCCAGTGAAGAAATTAAAAAGAAAATTTAAAAATTTAAGACAAATGGCAATGGAAACACAATATATCAAAACCTATGGGATACAGCAAAAACTGTTCTAAGAGGGAAGATTATAGCAATAAATGCTTTCATCAAAAAGATAGAAAGACTTCAAATAAACAGCCTAATGATGCACCTAAAGGAACTGGCACTAACCAACCAAACCACACATTAGTAGAAGGAAAGAAATAATAAAGATCAGAGCAGAAATAAATAAAAATTCAAACTAAAAAAGCAATACAAAAGATTGCTGATATGAATAGGTGGTTTTGGGAACAAACAGAATCAACAAGCCTTTAGCTAGACTAAGAAAAAAGAGAAGACCCAAATACATAAAATTTGATATGAAAAAGGAGACATTAAAATCGATACCCCAGAAATACAAAGGATCATCAGACACATAATGAACAACTATAAACCAACAAATTGGAAAATATAGAAGAAATAGGCTGGGCACAGTGGCTCATGGCTGTAATCCCACCACTTTGGGAGGCCAAGGTGGGCAGATCACTTGAACCCAGGAGTTCAAGACCAGGACAACATGGCACGAACCCGTCTGTACTAAAAGAATACAAAAATTAGCTAGGCCTGCTGGCGCACGCCTGTAATCCCAGCTACTCAAGAGGCTGAGGTAGGAGGATTGCTTGAGCCCAGAAGGTTGAGACTGCAGTAAGCCAAGATCACAGCACTGCACTCCAGCCTGGGTGACCGTGTGAGACCCTGTCTCAAAAAAAAATAAAAATAAAAATAAAATAAATTTCTGGACACATACAACCTACCAAGATTTAACCACGAAGAAATAAAAAACCTAAACAGATCAATAATGAGTAACAGATAGAATCAGTAATAAAAAGTCTCCTGACAAAGAAAAGCCCAGAACCTGATGGCTTCACTGCTGAATTCTACCAAACACTTAATGAGCTGATACCAATTCTACTCAACTATTCTAAAAAATTAATGAGGGGCCGGGCGCGGTGGCTCATGCCTGTAATCCCAGCACTTTGGGAGGCCAAGGCGGGTGGATCACCTGAAGTTGAGAGTTCAAGACCAGCCTGGCCAACATGGTGAAACCCCATCTCCACTAAAAATACAAAAATTAGCTGGCGTCATGGCACACATCTGTAGTCCCAGCTACTCAGGAGACTGAGGCAGGAGAATTGCTTGAACCCTGGGAGGCGGAGGCTGCAGTGAGCCAAAATCGCACCACTTCATTCCAGCCTGGGCAACAAGAGCGAAACTCCACCTCAAACAAAAACAACAACAACGACAACAACTAAAAAGAGATATACCATATTATCCAGAAATCTGACTGCTGGGTATATATCAAAATAAAGGAAATCAGTATATCAGAAAGATATCTGCCTTCCCATGTCTTTTGCAGCATTATTCATAATAGCCAGGATATGAAATCAACCTAAGTGCCCATGAATGAATGAATGAATGGATACAGAAAATATGGTAATCATACACAATGGAATATTGTTCAGCCAGAAAAAGAATGGAATCCTGTCATTTGTAGCAACATGGATAGAACTGGAGGTCATTATGTTAAGTGAAATAAGCCAGGCACAGACACACAAACATTACATATTTTCACTCATATATGAAAGCTAAAAAAGTTGATGTCATGGAGGTAGAGAATAGAATGATGATTACCAGAAGGTGGGAAGGGATGAACGGGAGGGAAGTATGAAAAGAGGTTGGTTATTGGATACAAAAATGCAGTTAGAAGGAATAAGTTCCAGTGTTCAATAGCATAGTAGGGTGACAATAGTTAACATTAATTTATTGTACATTTCAAAATAGCTCGAAGAGATTTAGAACGTCCTCAGCACAAAGAAATAAGTGTTTGAGATGATGGATATCCTAATTACCCTGATTTAATCATCAAATGTTGTGTATGTATGTGTCTAAATATCACTTGTACCCCATAAATATGTACGATTGGCCTGGGCATGGTCGCTCACGCCTGTAATCCCAGCACTTTGGGAGGCCGAGACGGGCGGATCACTTGATGTCAGGAGTTTGAGACCAGCCTGGCCAACGTGGTGAAACTCCGTCTCTACTGAAAATACAAAAATTAGCCAGGCATGGTGGTGCATGCCTGTATTCCCAGCTACTTGGGAGGCTGAGGCAGGAGAATCGCTTTAACCCAGGAGGCGGAGGTTGCAGTGAGACAAGATCACGCTACTGCACTCCAGCTTGGGCGACAGAGCGAGACTCTGTCTCAAAATAAATAAATAAGTAAATATGTACAACTATTATGTATTAAGAAAAAAATTGAAAAGAAAAGATGTATGGTGAAATAAGCCAGATTAAAAAAAAGACAAATGTGTGATTTCACTTATATGAAGTATCTAGAATAGCCAAATTCTTAAGAGAAAGAACATACAGTGATTACCAGACGTTGGGGGAAGGAAGAAATGGAGGGTTATTGTTAATGAACACAGAGTGTTAGTGTGGGACAATGGAAAGTTCTAGACACGATAGTAATGATAGTTGTACAACAATGTGAATGTACTTAATGCCACTTACTTGTACACTTTAAAGGGTTAAAATGGTAAATTTAATGTTATACATCAATGTTATACATATTTTACCATAATTTTAAGAAAATTATGGCTTTCACCATCACCAACATTTTTTAACCTGACTAAAAAGTTTGCTCTGAACGAAGACTAAATCCGTAGTAAATCATTTAGCTCAGGCTAACATCCCTCAGGGATAATAATTAAGTTGGGATTTTAACTAAGCATACTCTTTTCCATATCTGAAAGCCTTCTAGAGTTCTATGGAATCACAATCTAAAAGTCATTTTCTCATATCACAACAATAAAATCTGAAGCCTAACAGTATTTAAGCTGCTGGTTTGCTGAAAATGTCTCAGGACTTGAGGTGTCCTGAAGAGAAATCATTATGGATGGCAATTATTCCCATATAAATGCTGTATTGCAAAAACCCAGATCAAAACATAGATGTTTTCCTAGGAACAGAAGAGGCAAGGAGGGGCAGTGGCCACTCCAGAATTTTCTGGTGGCTGAGGCCTGAGCACGGTGAGCTGGCTGGAGGAGGGCATGGTCTTGGTAAGGGAAGCTCATGAGTAGATTATGTTTACTTGCTGCATCTCAGAGACATGAGTAAAGACATGAAAATTTTAGTGGAGATAATACATTTTTACAGATTATTATTTTATTTCACTGAATTATCACAGCAACCTTTCAAGTTAACAAGAGGAGAAACAAGGAGGGCCTGGTCAACTTGGGCCTCATGCTCCTCACCTGTATAATGGGTACAACAATACTGTATCCACCATAATGATTATTAGGACCCTAGAGAGGTCAAGTAAAATGGCAAAAAAAAAAAAAAAAAAACAAGTCTGTAGTGACTTTGATAAGAGTAGTTTGAGTATGGAACCAGGCCTGGAGGCCAGGCCATGGTAAATATATTTAAAAGTTAATAGAAATGGTCTTTTATTTTTTTTCTTGATCAATCTAAATGAAGGTTTATCAATTTTATTAATTTTCTCAAAATATTAACTTTTGGGTTTTGGTTTGATTTCTATTGTTATATTTCTGCTACTTCATTGATTTCTGCTTTCATCTTTACTATTACCTTTCTTCTGCTTAGTTTAATTTGTTCTGTTAGTTTCTTAAGATAGAAATCAAAGTCACTGATTTGAGAACTTTCTTCTGCTATAATATTGTTTAGTGCCATAAATTTCCCTCTGATATGTTTTAATTTTCATTCATTTCAAAATGCTTGCTAATTTCCTTTTTATGTCTCCTTTCATCTCTGGCTTATTTAGAAGTATCTTGTTTGGTTTCCAAAATTTAGGAAATTTCCAGATGTCTGTTATTGATTTCTAATTAAAATCCACTGTGGCCAGAGAACACACTTTATGTGACCTGAATCCTTTTGAATTTATTCAGACTGGTTTTATGGCCCAGGGTATAGTCTCTGTCTTGGCAAACACTGCATATGCACATATGAGAGTGTGTTCCATGCTGGGTGGAGTGTTCTACAAATGTCAATGAGGTCTGGTAGGTTGGTAGTGTTGTTAAAGTCTGCTGTATCCTTTTTGGTCTATGTGTTCTGTCCGTTATTGAGAGGGGTACTGAAATCGTTGACTATTAACTGTGAATTTATCTATTCTCCTTAAAGTTCTATTAGTTTTTGCTGCACGTATTTTACAAGCACTGTTATTAGGAGCATGAATGTTTACATCTATTATGTCTTATTTATTGACCATGGTTCATTGAATGCTTAATACCTAATTGCTACACGACATTCTGACTCCACATTGTGAGCTCTAGAACACAGCTCTCAAGGGAGGTAAAGGTCAGGAATAGTCTTACAAGTGGGCAAAAAATAGGGTGAGCCCAGCAGGCTGTTGGCTGAGGGCTGCTGCCCAAAAGGCATCTTGTGGCTCCCCAACCATTTCCCCATCTCTTGGGGACCCAGTGCCTGAAATTTCACCTCCAGAGATCTTTTCGGTTCATTAGTCCCTGTCTAGATAATTTTGCAAATGCCTGCAAGAGAGGAAACACAGCAGCACACATGCTTCCCTGATGAAAGAGAAGGCGCTGTGTGTGAGCACTAGGGCCCAGAGTGGAACCCGAAACTGGGAGAGTCGGGGCACCCCTGAGAGGTGCAACTTCCCAAGGCTGGTCTGGGGTATGGAGTAATCATCTGTGATTACAGATGTCAGTGTAGAGTCCAGGGACCTAATTAATGGCATCTCAAACTGGCTCACAGCCTGCAGGCCCAGGCAGGCCTACTGGATTTTGGAATCCCAGATTTGGCATCTGTAATGTAATGCTGACATTTTTCAAGATTTGTACCATGGAAGTGGATGTGAGGATGGAGATGAGAAAAGGTTTGCCCAGTAGACTTCCCTTTTTTGTTTTTTCCCCAAAAAAAACTGTGTAGAACGGAAAAGAACTAAGACTTATCTTCTGAATCCTGGACCAAATTAGACATTCTGCTGCCCTAAGTAACCTGCCTGATTTCCAGGGCCCCACTTATTTGTGTCTTTTTCTCTAGCATTAGACTGTGTATATATATATATATATATATTTTTTTTTTTTTTTTTTTTTTGAGGCACAGTCTTGCTCTGTCACCAGGCTGGAGTGCGGTGGCATGATCTCGGCTCACCGCAACCTCCGCCTCCCGGGTTCAAGCAATTCTCCTGCCTCAGCCTCCCGAGTAGCTGGGACTACAGGCACGCGCCATCACGCCCAGTTAATTTTTGTGTTTTTAGTAGAGATGGGGTTTTACCATGTTGGCCAGGATGGTCTCGATCTCTTGACCTCGTGATCCGCCCACCTTGGCCTCCCAAACTGCCGGGATTACAGGTGTGAGCCGCCGCGCCTGGCTACAGGATATATATATATATATATTTTTATTACATTTATGGCAGCACAAATATAGCCCCAATGCCCTCAAGATTCTGGTCTGGATTCTGTGAAACAAGATAAACAGGTCAGACTGTTTCCCATGCTGACAGAGTGCGTAACCCAGGAAGGATGTGATGGATTTCATCAAATCTAAGTCCCAGAGATGGAACATCGAGCATTACTGTACGAACCAGCAAGACAGTAAAAGTACTGCTCAACTATGACAAAGCATAAGATGCAGCTGCCTGTGAGATTCATCTGATTTCAGGATGCCAAAATTAAAACAAAAAAAAAACCAAAAAACACCTGGCTCTTTGCATCAATAAAATATGGTAGGCGATGAGTACAAGAACAGGAGGACATGCACATAGCAACACAGCACAGACTTCTATATATAAGTAGTGTGGTTATTTAATAAGTGCCCAACAATTTGCAATTGCAGAAATGTGAAACCAGCCCAAATTCCCATCAATCAATGAGTGGATAAAGAAACTGCGGTATATAGATAGGATGGAATACTACTCAGCCATAAAAAGAAATGTATTAATGGCATTTATAGCAACCTGGATGGGATTGGAGACTATTCTTTTTTTTTTTTTTTTTTTTTTTTTTTTTTTTTTGGAGACAGAGTCTCACTCTGTCACCCAGGCTGGCGTGCCATGGCACAATCTTGGCTCACCGCAACTCTGCCTCCCGGGTTCAAGCGATTCTTCTGCCTCAGCCACCACAGTAGCTGGGACTACAGGCGAGTGCCACCACACCCGGCTAATTTTTGTATTTTTAGTAGAGATGGGGTTTTACCATATTGACCAGGCTGGTCTCGAACTCCTGACCTTGTGATCTGCCTGCCTCGGAGACTATTATTCTAAGTGAAGTAACTCAGGAATGGAAAACCAAACACCATATGTCCTCACTCATAAGTGGGAGCTAAGCTATGAGGATGCAAAGGCATAAGAATGATACAATGGACACTGGGGACTCGATGGGAAAGGGTGGGAAGCAGGTGAGGGATGAAAGACTACAAATTGGGTTCATGTATACTGCTTGGGTGATGCTGCACCAAAATCTCACAAATCACCACTAAAGAACTTACTCATGTGACCAAATACCACCTGTTCCCCAAAAACTTATGAAAATAAAGAATAAATAAATGAAAAGTGTCCAACTTAGTCTAACTTTTAATACAGCTAAACACACAGCCATAAAAACAAAGTGTGGACTCGTGCCATTTCCCTTGGAGCAGAGAAACCTGAACGATCAGGGAGGCATTGTCCTAGGATAGTAAAGGGAGGAGGGGGGAGGAAAAGGTTTCAGGAGGAGACAGACTTTCAAAAGGAAACAAGCCATAGGCCAAAATATGAGAAATAAATATTCATGAGTCCATCCTGATCTAATGAAATGACTACATACATAAGTAAACAAATAAGTAAGTGGGTCCAGGAGGAGGACTCAGCTCTCTCATGCACTTGCACTCCCAGTAACCGATGTAACTCCTCTACCCTGAAGCAGAGAGGAACTCCCCCACTCGAGTGTGGGCTGCGCAGAGTTACTTCCTTCCAAAGAGGACAGGATAGAAGTGGGGACAAAAAGTAACTGTATGGTGGCCAGGTGCAGTGGCTCACGCCTGTAATCCCAGCACTTTGGGAGGCCGAGGTGGACGGATCACCTGAGGTCAGGAGTTTGAGACCAGCCTGGCCAAAAGAGTGAAACCCCGTCGCTACTAAAAATACAAAAATTAGCCAGGCGTGGTGGCATGTGCCTGTAGTCCCAGCTGTTCAGGAGGCTGAGCCAGGAGAATTGCTCGAACCTGGGGGGCAGAGCTTGCACTGAGCCAAGATCACCCCCACTGCACACTAGCCTCAGTGACACAGAGAGACTCCATCTGGAAAAGGAAAAAAAAAAAAATTAACTGTATGGTAGAGAGGCCTGACAAACACTCCCTCCACCAAGTAAGATCAAGGTCATCATGGACAGTGCTGTCACACTGATACTGTGTGCCCTTGATCTGACAGGATGAAAGTGACACTTTACCTCTGTCTTCCTCCCCCTAACCTCAGTCTGATCATGAGAAAAGCAGCAGAAAAGTCCCAATTGAGGAACAAACTATCAATTCCTGGCCAGACTCTTCAAAACCATCAACGTCATCAAAAACTAGGAAAGTCTGGCCGGGCGCGGTGGCTCCCGCCTGTAATCCCAGCACTTTGGGAGGCCGAGGCGGGCGGATCACGAGGTCAGGAGATCCAGACCATCCTGGCTAACACAGTGAAACCCCGTCTCCACTAAAAATACAAAGTTAGCCGGGCGTGCTGGCGGGCGCCTGTAGTCCCAGCTACTCGAGAGGCTGAGGCAGGAGAATGGCGTGAACCCGGGAGGCAGAGCTTGCAGTGAGCCGAGATCGCACCACTGCACTCCAGCCTGGGCAACAGAGCAAGACTCCGTCTCAAAAAAAAAAAAAAAAACAAAAACAAAACAAAAACAACAAACAAAACTAGGTAAGTCTGAGAAATGGCCACAGCCAAGACAAGCCTACGGAGACTCGAGGACTTATGAATGTGGTGTTCTGGCTGAGATTCTGGGACAGAAGAGAGGCATTAGGGGAAACTGAGGGAACCCAAATAGACTATGGACTTTATGTAAAGGTAATATATTCCTACTGGTTCCGTCATTGTGACAAATACACCATACTAACGTACAAGGTTAATAATGGGAAGAATTGAGGAATATATATTCTGTGCTATCTTCACAACTTTTCTGTACATATAAACGTATTTTTAAATAAAAAGTTTGTCTAAAAAAATAAACAGGGAACAAGCTGGAGAGGCTGCTCTGTTTAGCACCCTGGAAAAGGGTAAGGACTCTAGACTTGCTGGGGGCCATGTAGGAAGTAGGGGGACCCACAGTAACATCCGGGAAAAATGTGGGGGTCATTCTGAAAGATCATCTTGGTCTGGTTTTTCTGGCTTGTCTTCCTGTCAACGTGGGAATGGATTTGGGGTTTAGCTAGAACTAAACATATGACTCACTTGTCTGTGAATAGCAAACTTTTCTCCAAATAAGCAGAAAAAATATGTTTCCTTGAGCGTTTACTAGGAGCACGGTGTTTGTGGGGAGGACTGTGAAGCCACAGCAGACACCCTCCATGCATGTGGACCGT
This sequence comes from Homo sapiens, assembly GCF_000001405.40. Classification (NCBI taxonomy): domain Eukaryota; kingdom Metazoa; phylum Chordata; class Mammalia; order Primates; family Hominidae; genus Homo; species Homo sapiens. The sequence continues at coordinate 98,982,202 of NC_000015.10, forward strand.
GGGGTCTCCTCCACCAAGGTGTGGATTCCATCTGCACTCGCCTCGATCCTTGGGAGCTCCCTGGAGTGCGGCCCCTTGTGCAGGCGACTGGGACTATGAGAGCACAGGCTCTTTGCCATGGACTCACACAGTCCCCATATTCTTGTGGATTCTTGTGGATTCTTGTGTCATTTCGAAGTGAGAATGCAAGGACAGTCCTATTTCATGCTGTTCCAAGGCCAGAGTGAACTGTGTATCACCACTTGGTTACTTCTCTTCCCACTAACAAGGTGGGGCTCACACTACAGTCACCAGACTGAAAAAAGGAGGTGTAAGACGTCATGGGAAAGTGCATTTGGGTTATCCAACCGTGGAGGCCAATGTTCAGATAACCCACTGAAGCGGGTGCCCAGGACATGGTTGACGCTGAGCTGGGGGCTATCATAGGTGAGGTCTGTGTAAACTAGAGAGATGTCTGAGGTCTCCCTTCCTCCTCACTCTGGTTATTTTTATCTGAGGCTTTTTTTTTTTTTTTTTTTTTTTTTTTTGAGACAGAGTCTTGCTCTGTTGCCCAGGCTGGAGTGCGGGGGCATGATCTTGGCTCACTGCAACCTCCGCCTCCCGGGTTTGAGTAATTCTCATCCCTTAGCCTCCTGAGTAGCTGGGATTATAGGCACCAGCCACCACGCCCAGCTGATTTTTGTGTTTTTAGTAGACACAGGGTCTCACCCTGTTGGCCAGGCTGGTCTCAAACTCCTGGCCTCAAGTGATCCACCTGCCTCAGCCTCCCAAAGTGCTGGGATTATAGGCGTGAGCCACCGCACCCAGCCTGAGGCTTTCTCATTTTAGTCAAGAAAACAAAACAAACCCACTCTGGACTAATTGGAAAAATGTCTGTCATATATGTGTTTGTATTCACCTAGGTTGGAAAAAGGTTTTGTCCTGGGATTTGGTGGGAAGAATAAAGGTTCTCTTGGGAAAAAAAAAAAAAGAAGAATCAAGAGAAACAATTTTCTTTCACTTGGAAAGGTTTGCAGTTACTTTCCTATCCCTGAACAGGACTCAGCTTTCATCCTAAAGCACCGTTCAGCTTAGAAATTCTTTGACTGTTCTGATTCACGGCTCTTTATTCATTATTATTATTATTATTTAAAGCAACATGTAAGAAAGGCACCAGGCCACCTCATCTTTGGGGCAAAGAGAAATTATTCTGCATGTCAAGTTTATCAAATATGAGAAGAGCCCTGACCTCTTGGCTGCCTAGGCTGTATTTTAAGTGCAGTTACGTAATGTCTTGGCCCAACTGACCCTGGGTGTGTTTTCAAAAACCCTTGTTTTATTTGCTGACTCACCAGGCTGAGGCACTTAAGAGCTAAGCATGTAATTTCTTTTGAATGAATATGAGGTGGTAGTGGCTCCAAAATTAGAGTATCCAGAAACCAGGGAATAATGATGTAACTACTGCACAGGTCACTATGTAAAACTTGAGACTAAGAAGGGAAGAGTGCCCGTCCTAGTCTGGCTCAATGTTAAATATTTTGGCACATACTGCAAACAGCATTAAGTCGCTTTTCTGGGAGTTTGTAGGAACTGCCTCTTTTCCTTGTGAACTTTTAGCATGTATAATAATCTGTCTGTATTTTTCTTCTTTTCAAAATATCCTTTTCCCATTCATGAGCAACCACAATAAAAATGCATTTGAGTTATTTGTTAAAAGCTCACCTCTCTTAGAGGCAAAATGCTGCGGTGTAAAATTGAACATTTTTTTCCTTACTATCTATAATTCCATGAGTTCCCATTTATAATGCCTGGCAGTGGAGTAAGTAGTCTTTTTTTTTTTTTTTTTTTTTTTTCTATTTTGAGTCTCACTCTGTCGCCCAGGCTGGAGTGCAGTGGCGCAGCTCACTGCAAGATCTGCTTCCCGGGTTCACACCATTCTCCTGCCTCAGCCTCCCAAGTAGCTGGGACTACAGGCGCCCACCACCACGCCCGGCTAATTTTTTTGTATTTTAGCAGAGACAGAGTTTCACCATGTTAGCCAAGATGGTCTCGATCTCCTGACCTTGTGAACCACCCACCGTGGCCTCCCAAAGTGCTGGGATTACAGGCCTGAGCCACCGTGCTCGGCCTGGAGTAAGTACTCTTTAAACATTGCTTGGTAATGCTCTTGATATTGATAAAATTGACTCTTGCTGGGAGAATGCAGGAGGATAGAAAAGAAAACTATTCATTCATGTATCTAGTGAACACATAGCCGGGCCCTTGGTGGAGATGGGGATATGTTACACAGGACCCTAGAGACAGTGAGACGCTTGTATTGACTCAAGATGCCATGTGCCCTTTTGTTCATTATTCAGCCCATCTAAGTCTATTTCTATATCCGTGTAATGGGTCAAATGAACGTCCATGAACATTACCTTAATACAGCCACTTAGATGATTATACCTACTATGGACACTTTTGGCTGTATACTGGCACTTTCAGTGGGTACTACGAATGAGGTCCCAAACCAGAATCCCAGTGGATCCTACAGACATGTTAGTGGAGGACCTGGAGTGACCCAGGATAGCCCAGGAAGAGACAGTGGTCCTGCAGATTGATAGTGAAGAGAGCTTCTAAAGAGGTTGCAATGAACTCTGCCCAGACGAAAATACCACCAAGAAGGGGAAAATGAAAGCTAGAGACTGATAGCAAGGACGGTGGAGAAGACAAACTCGACTGGCAGAGGGTACCGGAACCCTGGACGTGGGCCTGCCAGCCTAGGAAACTGCTGCTTCCAGATGCCATTCCTGGTAGTGCTCCTTGCGGGTCCATCTGCTGTTACTGGGGCTTCTGTTCTGGTCACCACGCACACGGCCCTATGGTGAGCAAGAAGATTGAGCAGCCTATAGTGCAGTCTATGTCTAAGGCACTGGACGCAGAGCTTGAGGAGGGGCAAATATGAACTCACGGCACAGGGACAGCCATGAAGAGATGGATATAGGGCTGAGGCATTAGGGTGACTATCCTCACTTCGCTCACCCTCAGGTCCTCAGGTTCTTCTATCTCTTGATTTCTACTAAGTTTTAAACCCACTGGCTGGGCACAGTGGCTCACACCTGTAATCCTAGCACTTTGGGAGGCCAAGGCGGGAGGATCACCTGAGGTTAGGGGTTCGAGACCAGCCTGGCCAACATGGTGAAACCTCATCTCTACTAAACATACAAAAATTAGCTGGCGTGATGGCAGGTGCCTGTAATCCCAGCTACTCAGGAGGCTGAGGCAAGAGAATTACTTGAACCCGGGAAGCGGAAGTTGCAGTGAGCCAAGATGGTGCCACTGCACTCCAGCCTGGGCAACAGAACAAGACTCCATCTCAAAACAAACAAACAAACAACCAAACAAAAAACCCACTCTTGTGCTAGAAGTGATCCTCTTCCTCTGAACTAAATGTTTCCTGACCCCAGGAGAAGAGCGCAAGTGGGCTGAACCTGGCCTTCCCTCACCAGGACCAACTGAGGTTGGAATTCAGGCACCACCACTTTGTGGTATGTGCCCTCAGGCCAGATGTGCAACCTCTCTGAGCACCCCTTTCCTCATCTGCAAAATGGGAACAATTTCAATGCCTCTGGAAAGCAGGAAGAATTCAATGAACTACTCTGCATAAAAAGTCATTTTGAGAATTTATTCCAGCTTTTCAGAAGAAGTTAGCCTTCATTGCTGCTTCCACCAGGCAGCCTTCCCAGCTACCCTCCCTCCAGGGTAGTTTCTTTTCAACTTTGCTTGAGCTTCCTCATTATGTTGCTTTCTTCCATATGTTTTTCAGGATGAAATTAATGTCTTTTCTTCCTCAGATGCCTACAGTGCAGCATGCAGCTCTTCTTAGAATCTGCTTTGTGTTGTAATTATTTTGTTTATGGACCATGTCCTCTCCCTAAACAGGAACCCCTATAGGGAACTGTGGCATAAGAGAGAGTATACTTAGCCTGTGTCCCTAGTTCCAGGCACAGAGCTTCAAAAACCCTTAGAATTTTGTAAGTGATAGAAGTGTCTTTCATGGGAATGAGGTGACTCATGTGGGCCCCTAAATAGCTTCAGGATGGGATCTGGCCACCAGAAAAAAACAATCAAGTGATCAGAGAGTTAGGCTTTCTGGTACCAGATCTTCAAAAAGGGGAGGTGGACTGAAGATTGAGTTTAATCATATGACCATTGATGTAATCAGTCATGTCTACATAAGGAATCTCCAATAAAAACTCTGGATACCAAAGCTAAGTAGAGCTTCTTGATGAGTGTCTGGATGTTTCAGGAGGGTAACGTGCCAACACCATAGTGAGAGGGCATGGATTTGGGATCCTCCCAGACCTCACCCTTCATAATGAAACTGCAATGTAAGTATAGCACATTCTTGAGTTCTGTAAGTAGTTCTGATGAATCATTGAACCTGGGGTTGTAAGAACTCCTAAATTAATAGCCATTTGGCCAGAAGTACAGGTGGATCTGGTGACCCCTTGAAGTGTGGCTGGCATCTGAAGTGGGGACAACTTCATGGAGAACTTTGCTCTTAGCCTACGGGGTCTGTGCTAACTCCAGATAATTAGTGTCAAAATTTTATGCAGTACACCCAGTTGGGGTGGAAATGGAAGAGGAAGAGACTAACATAATAATAATCTTTGTGCTCCACATCAGGAATGGATAAATATGTCAGACTTAGAAGAGCTAATTTAGGCTGGGCATGGTGGCTCACACCTGTAATCCCAGCACTTTGGGAGGCTGAGGCAGGTGGATCAAGAGGTCAGGAGATGGAGACCAGCCTGGCCAATATGATGAAACCTCGTTTCTACTAATAATAGAAAAATTAGCTGGGTGTGGTGGCATGCACCTATAGTCCCAGCTAATTGGGAGGCTGAGACAGGAGAATTGCTTAAACCCGGGAGGCGAGGTTGCAATGAGCCAAGATTGTGCCACTGCACTCCAGCCTGGGTGACAGAGTGAGACTCCATCTCAAAAAAAAAAAAAAAAAAAAAAAAAAAAAAGAGAGCCAATTTAATTTTTGATATTCATATGGACATTTGTTATTTCTTTGGCCTTCCTCTGTTTGGGGACACCCCTGATATTGGAGTGTTGGTGGTAGAGTCTGGCTCTCACTACACCTGCTGAAAAGGCCAGATAGTCTCTCCTGCAGCCAGGACAGGGTCACATGACTTTGGCTCAGCCAATATGATGCACTCACCCTCAACATTCCATCAGGAGCAAATGTTTCTGATAGACGCAACACCACCAAGCTTCCCAGGACAGAAGTAAAGCCTGAGGTGGGCAGGGGTGGTGGTGGGGTTGTGGTGGGTGCAGTATCCAGCGGCATGGGGACAACTACAGTGCCTAGTGTTCAGCAGGGATGGCAGTGGTGCCTTTACCCACCTTGTTCTATGGGGTGATTTTTGGTCTCTATGACTGAAGCTTTGTTTGTTTACTTATCTGTTTTGTAATTTTATTGAAACCACATACTCTACTTCTACTCTTTAATAGTTACTCTTGAAGATAGCCAAATAGGAGCAGCTCCAGTCTGCAGCTCCCAGCAAGATCAACCAGAAGGCAGGTGATTTCTGCATTTCCAACTGAGGTACCCAGTTCATCTCATTGGGACTGGCTGGACAGTGGGTGCAGCCCACAGAGGGTGAGCTGAAGCAGGGTGGGGCGCTGTCCCACCTGGGAGGCACAAGGGGTCAAGGGATTCCCCTCTCCCAGCCAAGGGAAGCTGTGAGAGACTGTACTAGGAGGAACAGTGCACTCCAGCCCAGATACTGCGCTTTTCCTATGGTCTTTGCAACTGGCAGACCAGGGGATTCCCTCCGGTGCCTAGGCCACCAGGGCCCTGGGTTTCAAGCTCAAAACTGGACGGGGGTTTGGGCAGACACCGAGCTAGCTGCAGGAGTTTATTTTTTTTCATACCCCAGTGGCACCTGCAACACCAGCGAGACAGAATCTTTCACTCCCCTGGAAAGAGGGTTGAAGCCAGGGAGCCAAGTGGTCTGACTCAGTGGGTCCCACTCCCACAGAGCCCAACAAGCTAAGATCCACTGGCTTGAAATTCTCACTGCAGCATAGCAGTCTGAGGTCGACCTAGGACCCTTGAGCTTGGTGGGGGGGAGGGGCGTCCACCATTGCTGAGGCCTAAGTAGGTAGTTTTACCCTCACAGTGTAAACAAAGCCACCGGGAAGTTCAAACTGGGCACAGCTCATCACAGCTCAGCAAGGCCACTGCGGCCAGACTGCCTCTCTAGATCCCTCCTCTCTGGGAAGGGCATCTCTGAAAAAAAGGCAGCAGCCCCAGTCAGGGACATATAGCTAAAACCCCCATCTCCCTGGGACAGAGCACCTGGGGGAAGGGGCAGCTGTGGGCGCAGCTTCAGCAGACTTCAACGTCCCTGCCTGACAGCTCTGAAGAGAGGAGCGGATCTCCCAGCAGTGTCTGATCTTTGATAAGGGACAGACTACCTCCTCCAGTGGGTCCCTGACCCCCCACGTATCCTGACTGGGAGATACCTCCCAGTAGGGGCCGACAGACACCTCATATAGGAGAGCTCTGGCTGGCATCTGGCAGGTGCCCCTCTAGGACGAAGCTTCAGGCGGCAATCTTTGCTGTCCTGCAGCCTCTACCAGCAATACCCAGACAAACAGGGTCTACAGTGAACCTCCGGCAAACTCCAGCAGACCTGCAGTAGAGTGCCCTGACTGTTAGAAGGAAAACTGACAAACAGAAAGAAATACCATCAACATCAACAAAAAAGGACGTCCAGACACAGAAACCCCATTTGAAGGTCACCAACATCAGAGACCAAAGGTAGAAAAATCCATGAAGATGGGGAGAAATCAGTGCAAAAAGGCTGAAAATTCCAAAAACCAGAATGCCTCTTCACCTCAAAAGGATCACAGCTCCTTGCCAGCAAGGGAACAAAACTGGATGGAGAATGAGTTTGACGAATTGACAGAAGTAGGCTTCACAAGGTGGATAATAACAAACTCCTCTGAGCTAAAGAAGCATGTTCTAACCCAATGTAAGGAAGCTAAGAACCTTGAAAAAAGGTTAGATGAATTGCTAACTAGAATAACCAGTTTAGAGAAGAACATAATTGACCTGATGGAGCTGAAAACAGAGCACAAGAACTTCAAGAAGCATACACAAGTATCAAAAGCTGAATCGATCAAGTGGAAGAAAGGATATCAAAGATTGAAGATCAACTCAATGAAATAAAGTGAGAACACACGATTAGAGAAAAAAGAGTGAAAAGAAACAAAGCCTCCAAGAAATATGGGACTATGTGAAAAGAACAAATCTACGTTTGATTGGTGTACCTGAAAAGTGACAGGGAGAATGGAACCAAGTTGGAAAACACTATTCAGGGTATTATCCAGCAGAACTTCCCCAACCTAGCAAGGCATGCCAACATTCAAATTCAGAAAATATAGAGAACACCACAAAGATACTCCTTGAGAAGAGCAACCCCAAGACACATAATTGTCAGATTCACCATGGTTGAAATGAAGTAAAAAATGTTAAGGGCACCCAGAGAGAAAGGTCGGGTTACCCACAAAGGGAACCCTATCAGACTAATAGCGAATCTCTCAGCAGAACCCCTACAATCCAGAAGAGAGTGGGGGCCAATATTCAACATTCTTAAAGAAAAGAATTTTCAACCCAGAATTTCATATCCAGCCAAACTAAGCTTCATAAGCAAAGGAGAAATAAAATCATTTACAGACAAGCAAGTGCTGAGAGATTCTGTCACCACCAGGCCTGCCTTACAAGAGCTCCTGAAGGAAGCACCAAATATGGAAAGGAACCACCGGTAACAGCCACTGCGAAACCATACCAAATTGTAAAGACTATTCATGATATGAAGAAACTGCATCAACTAACGGGCAAAATAACCAGCAAGTATCATAATGACAGGATCAAATTCACACATAACAATATTAACCTTAAATGTAAATGGGCTAAATGCCCCAATTAAAATACACAGACTGGCAAATTGGATAAAGAGTCAAGACCCATTGGTGTCTCACGTGCAAAGACACACATAGGCTCAAAATAAAGGGATGGAGGAATATTTACCAACCAAATGGAAAGAAAAAAAAAAGCAGCAGTTACAATCCTAGTCTCTGTTAAAAGAGACTTTAAACCAACAAAGATCAAAAGAGACAAAGAAGGGCATCACATAATGGTAAAGGGATCAATGCAACAAGAAGAGCTAACCATCTTAAATACATATGCACCCAATATAGGAGCACCCAGATTCATAAAGGAAGTTCTTGGAGACCTACAAAGAGACTTGGACTCCCACACAATAATAGTGGGAGACTTTAACACCCCACTGTCAATATTAAACAGATCAATGAGACAGAAAATTAACAAGGATATCTAGGACTTGAATTCAGCTCTGGACCAAGCAGACCTAAGAGACATCTACAGAACTCTCCACCCCAAATAAACAGAATATACATTCTTCTCAGCACCACATCACACTTATTCTAAAATTGACCACATAATTGGAAGTAAAACACTCCTCAGCAAATGCAAAAGAATGGAAATCATAATAAACAGTCTCTCAGACCACAATGCAATCAAATTAGAACTCAGGATTAAGAAACTCACTCAAAACCGCACAACTACATGGAAACTGAACAACCTGCTCCTGAATGACTACTGGGTAAATAACGAAATTGAAGCAGAAATAAAGATGTTCTTTGAAACCAATGAGAACAAAGATACAACGTACCAGAATCTCTGGGACACATTTAAAGCAGTGTGTAGAGGGAATTTTATAGCATTAAATGCCTACAAGAGAAAGCAGTAAAGATCTAAAATCAACACCCTAACATCACAATTAAAAGAACTAGGGAAGCAAGAACAAATTCAAAAGCTAGCGGAAGACAAGAAATAACTAAGATCAGAGTAGAATTGAAGGAGATAGAGGCATGAAAAACCCTTCAAAAAAAAAATCAATGAATCCAGGAGCTGGTTTTTTGAAAAGAACAAAATAGATAATATGCTAGCCAGACTAATAAAGAAAAGAGAGAAGAATCAAATGGATGCAATAAAAAATGATAAAGGGGATATCACCACCAATCCCACAGAAATACGAACTACCATCAGAGAATACTATAAACACCTCTACACATATAAACTAGAAAATATAGAAGAAATGGATAAATCCCTGGACACATACACCCTCCCAAGATTAAACCAGGAAGAAGCCAAATCCCTAAATAGACCAATAACAAGTTCTGAAATTGAGGCACTAATTGATAGCCTACCAACTAAAAATAGTCCAGGACCAGATGGATTCATGGCCGAATTCTACTAGAGGTACAAAGAGGAGCTGGTACCATTCCTTCTGAAAGTATTCCAAATAGATAGAGGGAATCCTCCCTAACTCATTTTAGGAGGCGAGCATCATCCTGATACCAAAAACCTGGCAGACAAACAACAAAAAAAGAGAATTTCAGGCCAATATCCCTGATGAACATTGATGCAAAAATCCTCAATAAAATACTGGCAAACTGAATCCAGCAGCACATCAAAAAGCTTATCTACTACAATCAAGTCAGCTTCATCCCTGGGATGCAAGGCTGGTTCAACATATGCAAATCAATAAATGTAAGCCATCACATAAACAGAACCAAAGACAAAAACCATGATTATCTCAATAGATGCAGAAAAGTCCTTTGACAAAATTCAACACCCTTCATGCTAAAAACTCTCAATAAACTAGGTACTGACGGAATGTATCTCAAAATATTAAGAGCTATTTATGACAAACCCACAGCCAATATCATACTGAATAGGCAAAAACTGGAAATTCCCTTTGAAAACCAGCACAAGACAAGGATGCCCTCTCTGACCACTCCTATTCAACACAGTATTGGAAGTTCTGGTCAGGGCAGTCAGGCAAGACAAAGAAATAAAGGTATTCAAATAGGAAGAGAAGAAGTCAAATTGTCTCTGTTTGCAGATGAAATGATTGTATATTTAGAAAACCCCATCGTCTCAGCCCAAAATCTCCTTAAGGTGATAAGCAATTTCAGCAAAGTCTCAGGATACAAAATCAATGTGCAAAATTTACAAGCATTCCTATACACCAATAACAGACAAACAGAGAGCCAAATCATGAGTGAACTCCCATTCACAATTGCTACAAAGAGAATAAAATACCTAGGAATACAACTTACAAGGGATGTGAAGGACCTCTTCAAGGAGAACGTCAAACCACTGCTCAAGGAAATGAGAGGACACAAACAAATGGAAAAACATTGCATGCTCATAAATAGGAAGAATCAATATTGTGAAAATGGCCATACTGCCCAAAGTAATTTATACATTCAATGCTATCCCCATCAAGCTACCATTGACTTTCTTCACAGAACTGCAAAAACTACTTTAAATTTCATATGCAACCAAAAAAGAGCCTGCATAGCCAAGACAATCCTAAGCAAAAAGATCAAAGCTGGAGGCATCACATTACCTGACTTCAAACTATACTACAAGGCTGCAGTAACAAAAACAGCATGGTACTAGTACCAAAACAGATATATAAACCAATGGAACAGAACGGAGGCCTCAGAAATAACAGCACACATCTACAACCATCTGATCTTTGACAAACCTGACAAAAACAAGCAATGGGGAAAGGATTCCCTATTTAATAAATGGTGTTGGGAAAACTGGCTAGCCATATGCAGAAAGCTGAAACTGGAACCCTTCCTTACACCTTATACAAAAATTAATTCAAGATGGATTAAAGACTTAAACGTAAGAAACATAAGACCTAAAACTGTAAGAACCCTAGAAGAAAACCTAGACAATACCATTCAGGACATAGGCATGAGCAAAGACTTCATGACTAAAACACCAAAAGCAATGGCAACAAAAGCCAAAATTGACAAATGGGATCTAATTAAACTAAAGAGATTCAGCATAGCAAAAGAAACTATCATCAGAGTGAACAAGCAACCTACAGAATGGGAGAACATTTTTGCAATCTACCCACCTGACAAAGGGCTAATATCCAGAATCTACAAGGAACTTAAATTTACAAGAAAAAAACAACCCCATCAAAAAGTGGGTGAAGGATATGAACAGACACTTCTCAAAAGACGACATTTATGTGGCCAAGAAACATATAAAAAAGCTCATCATCACTGGTCATTAGAGAAATGCACATCAAAACCACAATGAGATATCATCTCATGCCAGTTAGAATGGTGATCATTAAAAAGTCAGGAAACAACAGATGCTGGAGAGGATTTGGAGAAATAGGAATACTTTTACACTGTTGGTGGGAGTGTAAACTAGTTCAACAATTATACAGTGTAGCGATTCCTCAAGGATCTAGAACTAGAAATACACAGATACAGAAAATCAAACACTGCATGTTCTCACTCATACTGGGAGTTAAACAATGAGAACACATGGACACAGGGGTGGGGGTGGGCATCACACACCGGGGCCTGTCAGGCGGTGGGGGGTGGGGGAGGGATAGCATTAGGAGAAATACCTAATATAGATGATGGGTTGATGGGTGCAGCAAACCACCATGGCACGTGTATACCTATGTAACAAACCTGCACGTTCTGCACATGTACCCCAGAACTTAAAGTATAATAAAACAATTACATGAAAAAAAAAGAGAACACAAAATTGAAAAAACAAAACAACAAAAAAAGTTACTCTTGAAATTTTGCCATACATATATAATTTAACAAAGTCTAAAGCTGATATCTGGATGCCTGTCCTGTAGAATACAAGGACCTTAAAAAACAAATTTTGGCCTGGCACAGTGACTCATGCCTGTAATCCCAGCACTTTGGGAGGCCGAGGCAGGTGGATCATGAGGTCAGGAGATCGAGACCATCCTGGCCAACATGGTGAAACCCCGTCTGTACTAAAAATGCAAAAATTAGCCAGGCATAGTGGCACACACCTGTAGTCCCAGCTACTTACGAGACTGAGGCAGGAGAATAGCTTGAACCTGGGATGTGGAGGTTGCAGTGAGCCAAGATCATGCCACTGCACTCCAGCCTGGGTGACAGAGCAAGACTCTGTCTCAAAAAACAAAAACCTTAAACTTTGATTATCCTTCTTGGCCTATAAAAGCTTTCATTGTCTTACATTTTAGTTCAGTTCTCTATTTAAAGCCTAACAAGAAGCTACTGGCCCGGCGTGGTGGCTCACACCTGTAATCCCAGCACTTTGGGAGGCTGAGGTGGGTGGATTGCTTGAGTCCAGGAGTTCAAGATCAGCCTGGGCAACATGGCAAAACCTTGCCTCTAATAAAAAATAAAAAAATTAGCCAGGCATGGTGGCACGTGCCTGTAGTCCCAGCTATACTGCATTCCAGCCTGGGCAATTGGAGTGAGACCCTGTATCAAAAAAGAAAAAAAAATGGAGCTATTATTACTACGACCTTATACAAATAATGCTAGTTTAGATTTTGCCTGCGGGCTCACTACCCCTCCTTGCATTTCACACTGTCTTTCTCAGATCATTTTCCTTCCTTTTGAAGGACATCCTTTAGTTGTTCCCTTAGCACTGTGTCTTTTGATAGTAAACTCTTGGTGTTTGTTTTTATAAAAATGTCTTTGCTTCATTTTTCATGTTTTTGAAACAATTTTGCTGGGTACACAATTATAGTGATAATTTTTTGGCACTTTGAATATATTACTCTATGTATTCTGGCTTTTACTGTTGCCTTTGAGACATTTACTCTAATTAGATTGTCAATTTTTCCAAGTAATGTCTTTCTCTCTGGCTAAAGATCTCCTTGTTTTTGGTATTCTGTAGCTTAACTATAATGTGTATCCGTGTGGATCTTGTTTGTCCTTGCTTGGTCTATTTTGTGCTCATCTCTGTGGATTCATGCCTTTCATCACTTCTGGAATATTCTCAGTCACTATCTCTTTGAATATTGCTTCTGTTCCATTCTCATTGTTCTCTCCTTCTGGAACTCCTACTAAATGTATTTAGAACATCACATTTTATCGTCCACATTTATTTTCTGTCTTCTTTCTGTATCTCCTTATGCTGCTCTTTTGAGTAGTATCTTCAGATCTGTCTTCTAGTTCACTAATTTTCTCTTCATTTGTCTCTAAACTTCTATATATGCATATGCATGTATATCTATATGTATATCTAATCTGTCTTTATTGAGATATAATTCACCTCCCATACAATTATCCCATTTAAAGCCTACAATTCAGGCCGGGTGCAGTGGCTCACACCTGTAATCCCAGCACTTTGGGAGGCCAAGGTGGGCAGATCACCTGAGGTCAGGAGTTCGAGACCAGCCTGGCCAACATAGTGAAACCCCATCTCTACTAAAAATATAAAAATTAGCTGGACATGGTGGCATGCCTGTAATCCCAGCTACTTGGGAGACTGAGGCAGGAGAATCTCTTGAACCTGGGAGGCAGAGGTTGCAGTGAGCCAAGATGGCACCACTGCACTCCAGCCTGGGCGACAGAGCTAGACTCTGTCTCTAAATAAACTCTACAATTCAATGGTTTTTAGTAGATGCAGAGTTATGTAACCATTACTACAATCAATTTTAGAATCTATCACGCCCAAAAAACCCCATATTCATTAATTGTCACTCCCCATTTCCCCCACCACCTTCCTCCTCTTCACCTACCCTAGGAAACCATTAATCCTCTTTTTGTCTCAATAGATTTGCTTAATCTGGACAATCATGTAAGTAGAATCTTACCATATGTAGTCTTTTGTGACTGGTGCCTTTCATTTACCGTAATTCTAACCTGCCTTTTAAATCATCTGTTAAATTTTTCACCTCAACAACTGTTTTAAATTTCTGTAAGTTTTATTACTCTCCTTTTCATTTTACCTGATCTTTTCAGTCTTTTTGCTTACTTTTGTGATTCTATCTTTAAGTATTTCATATGTAGTTATGCTATTTTCTGATCATTCTTGTAGCTGAAGTCCTTGAGCTTCTAAATCTGCTTCTGCTGATTCCTACTCATGGTAGTTTGCTTCTCTGTATATTTGGTGATCTTTAATTGGAAATTGACATTTAGTTTATCTTAATTTGTGAAAAATCAGAGGTTTTCATTCAAGAGAAATTGCATAAGCTTCTGCAGGAGTCAGGGTGCTTGAGACCACAAGGTCCCTTAAGGGACTGACTTAAAGAGGCTTGGTTTCATCTCCACCCCCCTTGCTGCTCACAATGCTGATCATGAAACTCACCCTCACCTGTGTATGTGTGCTAACCACTCACTCACCTCAGCCTGAAGCTCTTGGTATGTGTATATGGGTGTATGTCTAGATGTATACATGCATGTGTATATAGGGGTATGTGTGTGTGTGTGTGTGTGTGCATATGTATAGGTATGGGTGTGCATGCATGTATTATGTGTGTTGTGTATGCTTGTTGTATGTGTATATGCCTGCGTGTATGTGTGTTGTGTGCATGTTGTATATGTATATATGCATGCACGTGTGTATGCCTGTGTATCCATGTGTGCACGCGTGGGTACGTGTTTGGTCCTCAGAGCTGCCCTTTACCTTCTGCTTGCCCAGCCATGCAGAGGCTCTATCTTACCTAGTGATATCTACCTTATCTGTGAATCATCAGAGTCAGATCCTATTTGCCTGCAGCTAAGAACCTTGACTCATGGAATAGCCTTTTAGTAATAGAAGAATTATATCTGTGAGCACTGGCAATATGCCCCACCTGGTTCTAAGGGGTTTACATGTGTTAACTCCGTTAATCATCACACCTTCCCATTTCACAGATGAGAAAATTGAGACACAGAAAAGCTGGGTGACTTGTCTTGGGTCTCGCAGCTTGCCACTGTTGGAGCTAAACCCAGGAGGCCTGGCTCTTTTCCATTCTCATGACTGTAAAAAGAAATAGAAGGGTTCAGGATCATCGAGGATTTGGCAAAAAAGGTCCTGTGTTTTGAGGAACTGCCTGCAGACACACAGGAGCCCATGAAAGCCCCAAGCTGGCCTTTCTGGTATGTTGTGTGCAGCAGTGAGGCTTGGCAGTGGCTCTGGGATGCCCTCAGCTTTTTCCTGGTTGAAAGGAACCTAAATTCTAACTCAAGAGTTGAGAGTTTTCCTTGACTGCATCTGTACTGACAGCCTAGAAAACCGATGCTGCAGCTGCTGCAAATGCATGGTGCAAGGGGTTTTGCTGCATTTTCAGCTTGACCAAAAAACTCAGAATAAAGACCTCACCTTGATCCAACGGAGGCATGAAATTGATGGCCAAGTGTGAATAAGCAGTTGGCGGTGTGTCACCTGAGTGACAGCTGTATGGGGACAGAGAGCAGACAAGTGCCCCAAGGAGAAGAGGCAGTTCCCTCCTCAAGGCCTGTCTGAGGTTGTGCTTTCTCCTAGTTGGCTTTCTTACAAATAAACATGTTGTTTATGACAACAGACATTTATTAAGTGCTTTCTCTGTGCCCAGGTGCTAAAATAGCTGCTTGTACAAAGTGGCTTTACATTACATACTTACCTCTTTGGGTCCTCAGAACAACCCTGCAACATCTGCTTTATTATTCCCTCATTTCATGAATGAGAAAACTGAGGCTGGGGGAAATGACTTTCCCCCGGGCCCCATAGCCAGAAGGGACACAGACAATAGAAACCTCGCTCTGGGCCAGCGAACCTGCTCTGAGGACACTCCCCATCCCTCCCAGGAGGGTCCCTTTAGGCCCCTTTCTTTACTTCAGAGGCAGGAGGGGCATGAGGCAGACAAGTCACAACCCAAGTGCCAAAGACAAGCTGTTCTCCCAGGGGCCCATGCACTTGTTTTTCCCCCTGCCCCTGCGGATCTGGTTACTGACGGGCCTGAACGCCGGAGGTTTCTCAGCAGCCACAGAAGAAACTCATTGGGCGCTGAGCTCCTGGGTCTTGAGCTACAGGGTTTTTACCTTCACTGCTTCCCAGCTGGAATTCACCAAGTGCTGCCGGAAGGGCCCAAAACCTGAAACCAAACATGCCCAGGTTTGCTCAAGCCAGACCTTGGGACTGGGGCCTCTACTCCTGGCTGCACTCGAGCACCAGGTCCCACCCCATAAGACTCTGTTCCTGCTCCTCAGACCATCTTGGGCCCTAGGGATCTTTGCACGTCCCCTTCCCCATGGAGGCTGCAACTGTGCCAACCTGGGAGCATTCTCAGAGTCCTCACATGTGAGGCATTGTTGGGGAGCAAAGAAAGAACATGGAGCTGACCCACTGCCAAGCTGCGAGGGCTTAAGAACATGTGTGCACAGATGTCTGAATAAAAAGCATGCTTTGTAAAGAACCCTGGAATAGACCCACATGAATATGCCCAATTGTTTGTTGACATAGGTGCAAAAGCAATTTCAATGGAAAAGGGATAGGTTCGTCAACCAATGGTGTTAGAACAATTAGACACTAACAGGCAAAAAACCTGAACCCTTCAACCTAAGCCTCACCCCTTACACAAAACTTAACCCAAATGAATAATGGACTTAAATATAAAAAGCAGAAGTAGCCTGGCATGGTGGCTCATGCCTGTAATCCCAGCAATTTGGGAGGCCAAGGTGGGTGGATCACCTGAGGTCAGGAGTTCGAGACCAGCCTGGCCAACATGGCGAAACCCCGTCTCTACTAAATATACAAAAATTAGCCAGACATGGTGGGCACCTATAATCCCAGCTACTAGGAAGGCTGAGGCAGGAGAATCGCTTGAACCCGGAAGGCAGAGGTTGCAGTGAGCTGAGATTGCGCCACTTAACTCCAGCCTGGGCGAAAGAGCAAAACTGTTTCAGAAAAACAAACAAAAAACTAAGTTTTTTGGGGGGAAGGAGAAAATCTTAGGCTTTAAGGCTAGGCAAAGAGTTCTTAGATTTGAAACCAAAAGCAGGCTGCATAACAGGAATAATTAACAAACTAGATTCCGTCAAAATTAAAAACTCTTGCTCTGTGAAAGTCCCTGTTAAGAGGAGGAAGAGATAAGCTACAGATGGAGAAAATAGTTGCAAATCATGTATTTCACCAAGGCTTTGTATATAAAATACATAAAGAACTCTTGAAACTCAAACAGTCCAATCAGCAGATGGGCAAACCACATGAAGAGACATGTCAGTGATGAGGATATACAGGTGGCAAATAAGCACATGAAAAGATGTTCAACATCATTAGCTATCATAGAAATACAAATTAAAATCTGGATGAGATGTCACAGCACACTTATCAGAGTGGCTAAAATAGAAAGACTGATAACACCAAATGTTGGCAAGGATGAGGAGAAACTAGGTCACTCACACATTGCTGGTGGGAATATAAAATGGTACTGTTGCTCCGGGAAATAGTTTGACAATTTTTTTTTAATTGAAAGTGGATTTACTAGCATTTGCACTCCTGGACATTTATCTCAGAGAAATGAAAACTTATTTTCATACAGAAGTGTATACAAAAACGTTCATAGAAGCTTTATTTGTAATAGACCAAAGCTGGAAACTACCCAAATGTTCTTCAGTGGGTTAACAGTCAAACCAATCATGGTTCACCCATCTCACAGAATACACTCAGCAGTGGAAGAGAGAAGTAGAAACATCAAAATGTCCATCAACTGATGAATGGCAAACAAAATGTGGTATAATCCACACAATGAAATATTATTTGTCAATAAAAAGGAATGAAGTACTGATACATGCTACTGAGAAGGTGACAGCATGCTGGCAGTCCTTGCAGCCCTTGCGCACTCTCAGCCCCTCCTGTGCCTGGGCTCCCACTTTGGTGACACTTGAGGAGCCCTCCAGCCCACCACTGCACTGTGGGAGCCCCTTTCTGGGCAGGCCAAGGCCAGCGCCAGCTCTCTCAGCTTGCAGGGAGGCGTGGAGGGAGAGGCGCGGGCGGGAACCGGGGCTGCGTGCAGTGCTTGCGGGCCAGCGCGAATTCCGGGTGGGCGTGGGCTCCGCGGGCCCCGCACTGGGAGTGGCCGGCCAGCCCCGCCGGCCCCAGGCAGTGAGGGGCTTAGCATCTGGGCCAGTAGCTGCTGTGCTCAACTTCTCGCTGGGCCTTAGCTGCCTTCCTGCCGGGCAGGGCTCAGGACCTGCAGCCCGCCATGCCGGAGCTCCCCCTCCTCCGTGGGCTCCTGTGCCAACGAGCCTCCCAGACAAGCTGGCCCCCTGCTCCACGGCGCCCAGTCCCATCGACCACCCCAAGGGCTGAGGAGTGCGGGCACATGGCACAGGACTGGCAGGCAGCTCCACCTACGGCCCCAGTGCGGGATCCACAGGGTAAAGCCAGCTGGGCTCCTGAGTCTGGTGGGGATGGAGAACCTTTATTTCTAGCTAAGGGATTGTAAATACACCAATCGGCACTCTGTATCTAGCTCAAGGTTTGTAAACACACCAATCAGCACCCTGTGTCTAGCTCAGGGTTTGTGAATGCACCAATCGACGCTCTGTATCTAGCTACTCTGGTGGGGACTTGGAGAACCTTTGTATCCACACTCTGTATCTAACTAATCTAGTGGGGAACTTTTGTGTCTAACTCAGGGATTATAAACACACCAATCAGCACCCTGTCAAAATGGACCAATCAGTTCTCTGTAAAATGGACCAATCAGCAGGATGTGGGTGGGGCCAGATAAGAGAAAAAAAAGCAGGCTGCGGGAGCCAACAGTGGCAACCCACTCGGGTCCCCTTCCACACTGTGGAAGCTTTGTTCTTTCGCTCTTTACAATCAATCTTGCTGCTGCTCATTCTTTGGGTCCACACTGCCTTTATGAGCTGTAACTCACCACAAAGGTCTCCAGTTTCACTCCTGAAACCAGCGAGACCACGAACCCACTGGGAGGAATGAACTCCAGACACGCTGCCTTAAGAGCTGTAACACTCACTCCAAAGGTCCGCAGCTTCACTCCTGAGCCAGCAAGACCATGAACCCACCAGAAGGAAGAAACTCTGAACACATCCAAACATCAGTCAAGAAATAAACTCTGGACACGCCGCCTTTAAGAACTGTAACACTCACCACGAGAGTCCGCGGCTTCATTCTTGAAGTCAGTGAGACCAACAACCCACCAATTCTGGACACACTACCACGTGGCTCAACCTTGAAAACATGCTAAATGAAAGAAGCCAGAGGCAAAGGACCACATGTAAAATGATTCCATTTATATGAAATGTCAGAAGAGGCACATCTATAGGGACAAAGTATATTAGTGGTTGCCAGAAGCTGGGTATGTGTGTTGTGGGGGGACGTGAGTGGTGAAAGCTAAGGGGTGTGGGGTTTCTTTCTGGGGTGCTGAAAATGTTCTAAAATTGACTGTAGTGATGAATATGTAACTTCGTGACTATACTGAGCCACTGAATGTTACTCGCTTTAAATGAGTAAATGGTATAGCATGTGGATTATATCTCAATGAAGTAGTTTAAAAACTTTTTATAATGGACTATTGATACATACAACCTGGATGAACCTTAAATTACTCCAAGTGAAAAAGAACCAATCTCAAAAGGACATGTACTGTATGATTTCATTTATATATTTGTGTTTTTTATTTTTGCTTGTTTGCTTTTTGAGACAGAGTCTCACCCTGTCACGTAGGCTGGAGTGCAGTGGTGTGATCTCAGCTCACTGCAACCTCCGCCTCCTGGGTTCAAGCAATTCTCCTGCCTCAGCCTCCTAAGTAGCTGGGGTTACAGGTGCCCATCACCATGCCCAGCTAATTTTTGTATTTTTAGTAGAGATGGGGTTTCACTATGTTGGCCAGGCTGGTCTCGAACTCCTGCCCTAAGTGATCCACCCCTCTGGGCTTCTCAAAGTGCTGGGATTATAGGCATAAGCCATCGCACCTGGCCCTATTTTTATTTTCAGACAGGATCTCACTCTGTCATGCAGGCTGGAGTGTAGTACCACGATCATAGCTTACTGCAGCTTCCATCTCCTGGGCTCAAGTGATCCTTCCACGTCAGCCTCCCGAGTAGCTGGGACCACAGGTGCATGCCACCATGTCTGATTAATTTTTTGTATTTTTGCCAGGTTTCCCAGGCTGCCCTCGAACTCCTGGTCTCAGGTGATCTGCCCATCTCAACCTCCCAAAGTGCTGGGATTACAGGTGTGAGTCATTGTACCCAGCCTACATAAAATATTTGTAAAATAAAATGATTATACAGATGGAGAACAGACTAATGGTTGCCAGGTGTTTGAGATGGGAGGAAGCGGGTGGGTGTGGCTGTAAAGAGCTAGCACGAGTGAGCTTTGTGGTGATGGTACTGCTAGGTATCTTGATTGTGGTGGTGGTGATAGGAAGCTACACTAGCTGAAATTACACACACACACGCACACATACTGCAAGCACAAATTTTGAATTATACCAATGTCAATATCCTGGCTTTTATATTGAAAATGTTAATATGTCAATATCAGGAGAGGCTGGGTAAAGGGTACAGGGAACCTCTGTACACTTCTTGGCAAATTCCTATATTTATTTCAAAATAAAAAGTTTTAAAAAGTGTGTGGCCTCCTGTGTGGGAGACTAGCCAGTGCCAGATATGCCTGTGATGGAGTCAGGTGCTCAATTAAGTGGGCTGCAGATACAAGTGGAATTCTCTAACTCAGCTTTATCCCGGAGTACAGCTGAGGTTTTCAGTTCCACCTCTGATTCCTGTGACATTTCCACCTCTGATTCCTGTGACATATTTCTCAAGTCATTCATATTCTTTGATGAGGAAAGGGCTGTGACTAAATGTCAGTCTCTGAGAACCCAGCTCCCTGGACCTCAGGCCTTTAGACTAGGAACCAGTTCTGGAGAGAAACTTGAATTATACCTTTGCAATTCCTGAACATCTGGGTCTAGACCCACAAACAGGGTTGGCTCATGAGGAAGTAAAAACTTTCTGAGGGAATGAAACAGTTTTGGACAGAACGTCCCAAAAAGCCCATGGTGTCCTCTGATTCAACCAAATCCTTCAGAATAAATAAGACTTTAGCTGCCCTTGGAAACAGCCAGAAAAAAAAAAGGGCAGTTATAGAAAATAGTGAGATTAAAAAAAAAAAAAAGCACTGAGAAGCCAGGTACCTCCTGGGATAATAAAAATACAATAAAAATGCAGCAACACACACAAAAATCACATTCTGCTTTAGAATCATATTTGTATCAGCAAATATGACATCTCTTATCTGTTTTAAATTAGAAAAATCAACTCTGCAAGTGAAGGTTTGAAGCTCTTGTGTTTCAAGTTCAAACCTCACTTTAAACTTGGTCAGCCCCCAGTGCAACTTGCAAACGGAGCTGGAGAAATCTTAGAATTCTGAGAGGCCCGTGGGAGGGATGCACGTTTTCTCACTCTTGTGGTTATCGTTGGTGCCAGTCTGAACACTTTGATCTCGAAGCAATTTGTCGGAGCCCTCGTTCTCCCACCATCTGTCTACATGCCAATTGTCTTGAGGAGATTTACACACGAAGCAAATCCAATTAAATGAAGAGACTGCCCCTGGCAGCTCTAAGCATTTCTAACACAGGAAGGCCACGCTCTGGAATCCAGCGGGCATTCCCAAATCATGGCTGATTATCAGGTATTTCATCAAACAATTTCCAGTTTGCCAGCAAACCACAGGCTGACAAGACAAAGGCAGGGGTCAGTGTGATTCTAAGATGGTGCTTCAATGTTCATATTTCATTCATGACAAGCATTGCATGCATTAGAGTACAGTTTCCTTAGGAATTCAAGAGTAATTTGAACCATTCAATCTCCAGAACCAAAATAACACAAATAAGAGCAAGGGAGATAAAAGGTTTCCCAAAGAACTTTTTCTCTGAAGGTCGATAGGAGTTAGAATTATAGTCTGAAAAGATTAAGCGACACAACTTTCAATTTCCCATTCATCCAGGAAACCCTGCCTCTTCATCCAACACAATTCAGAAAACTTAAAACCGGCCAAATGTGTCTAACTAAAAATGAAGGCTGGACATGATGGCTCATGCCTGTAATCCCTGCATTTTGGGAGGCCAAGGCGGGAGGATCACTTCAGCCCGGGAGTTAGAGACCAGTCTGGGGAATACAGGAAAACCCTGTTTCTACTAAAAACTAAAATAAAATAAATTGGGGGGTGTGGTGGTGAGTGCCTGTTGTCCCAGCTACTCCAGAGGCTGAGGTGGGAGGATTACTTGAGCCCAGGAGTTTGAGGCTGCAGTGAGTTATGACTGAGCCACTGCACTCCAGTCTGGACAACAGAGGGAGACTGTCTCAGAAAAATTAAAAATATAAAAATAAAAATAGGGCCAGGCGCAGTGGCTCATGCCTGTAGTCCCAGCACTTTGGGAGGCCTAGGCGGGCAGATCACAAGGTCAAGAGATCGAAACCATCCTGGCCAACATGGTGAAACCCCATCTCTACTAAAAATACAAAAATTAGCTGGGCGTGGTGGTGCGTACCTGTAGTCCCAGCTACTCGGGAGGCTGAGGCAGGAGAATCGCTTGAACCCAGGAGGCGGAGGCTGCAGTGAGCTGAGCTTACGCCACTGCACTCTAGCCTAGCGACAGAACAAGACTCTGTCTCAAAAAAAAATTAATAAAAATAAAGACCTTTGTGAAGATCAGGCCCCCAGGGACCAGCTGGGATGCTGACTTGGTGAGGCAAGTGTGGGTGGGGGTGACTCTGGATGTGCTGGTGTTTGCAGGAGTGAGCAGCCACCATTCCTTCCAAGTTGACCTTCTGGGGCTCAGGGTCTCCAGCTAGTGGCTCTCGGGGGGTGCTTCACAGCTCCCTGAAAAATGGAAGTTCTTACTCTGGAAGTGGGGACTGTGTGTTCCTTTGCGGGTGGCTGTTGTAGATGGGTTTGCAAGCCTTGTGAGGGCCCTGTGGTTTCTGGGCGTATAGATCCCTCTTCCTTGCTATGAGCCTGCACCCCCAAGGGATACCTCACGTGCCTCGGGCCCCACTCAGGGAAAACAGGTACCAGCCTCAGCTTCCTCCCTGCTGGGTTGAAAGGCAAGGTCTGAGCCTAAGCCACCAGTGGCACCTTCGTGCCCGCCACTCGAGAGTTACTTGAAGCGAATGAGCCACAGAAGCAGAAATGCCTGTGATCCTGATTGTTTATTAATAGGGCACAGCAGCAAGTTCGTTTCCATCTGGAATTATTAGCACCACCAGTTGCCATTCTTTTTTTCCCTCAGGGAACTATTTAAGACCCAGGATCAGGCCAGTGCGCATTCCAGGGGCAGGCTAAAAGCAGCAACAAATAGGAGAGAAAAAAATTATGTAGTCTTACCAGTCACCACCACGCAGCTGGGCTGGGAATCCATGAAGACGAAGTGGGAGCTCGCGCTGCGCCTCCCTGGCTCAGGCAGCGGCCCAGCGGCCGGGCTCTGCGCGCTCTGAGCTCCGGGCACCTTCTCTGCCTGGCCGCGTGCTCGCCGGGGACCGGGGTGGAGCGGGAGCCCAACCCCTCCTGGCCGCCCGGCGTCCGTAGCGTTCTGGGCCCCGAAAGGCCAAGGATCTAGGGGAGGGTGATAAAGCAATGCCCCTTGAAAGCAGAACGATCCAGCTCAGGACAGCGGGTTGGAGCGCCAGCAGGGACTTTCTGGACATTTGAGTCTGGGTCACTTTGTTGTTCAGGATGGTTCAAAGGTGAGCTAAGGGTTTGGCTACCAGCTGTCCCGGTTTGCCTGGGACAGAAGGATGTCTGGGACGGAACACCACATGGTGCTCAAAGAGGTACTGTCCTAGGAACTGTGGGCTACCCTACAAGTCGTTTACTTAGATCTTATTTTTTCCTCTTTAGTAATCCCTGCCAGAGCCCCTCATTGTGTTTGGCCATTATGATTTGGTAAAATTTGATTGCTCTGAAAACTAATTCCACAAAATATGTGAGATGTGAGCAGAAAAAAAAGAGAGAAAACCATAGATGAATCTTATGGCGCCTGCCTTTAAAATATTGATTGCAAGCACCGCTGCCTAGGAGCTGTGGGTCCTCAGGGAAGTTAACCTCTGTGCTCAGGTTTCCTGTTTTGAGAAACGAGGATCGCAGCACCGGATCCTGTATGGATTCTTTCTGTGCCCCAGGCACTGTCCCCAGCTTCATCAGCCCTGAGGAACAGAGGCTTGCCACCTAGCTAGCGTCTGTGCAAGCTTGCTAGCTCTGTGCTCACCACCCTGCGTTCTACCTGCGAAAAGTGCTTTCTTGACACTGTGCTGGACTCCTTAAACATGCCACTGACAGTGAGCCACAGCCGTGGCATGCCACCTGGCTCTGCAGACAGTCCTCTTTTTAATGTGTCAGAATAACTGAAAAAGGCTAACATTTGAGGCTATTTCCTCTATCGAAAAAGCTGTTTTCCAATATCTTGATCTTTCGGAGAATTCTATTTAAAAACAAAACAAACTTTTGGCCAGGTGCACTGGCTCACGCCTTTAATTTCAGCATTTTGAGAGGCCAAGGTAGGAGGATAGCCTGAGGCCAGGAGTTCAAGATCAACCTGGGCAACGTGGCAAGACTGCATCAATTATTTTTTTCAAAACGTGGTATATGCCCATAGTCCTGGCTTCTCAGGGAGGCTGAAGCGGGAGGATCACTTGAGCCGTCAGTCGTAACTGCACCTCTGCACTCCACCCTGGGTGACAGAGTGAGACCCTGTCTCTAAAAATATTCTTAAACTTTTTTTTAAACTGAAAATACTTTTTTCCTGAAGCTGTATATTAAGAGGAAGAAGACCCATGATTCTCTGTCCCCATCTAGGTCTGGGGAGGAGAAGCTCCCTTCAGGGAAGCAGGCAGAGCCTCTCAAGCACCCTGCGGCCTCTAGAGAGCTCAGTGTGACAGCAGGACCACGTGGCTCCATCTGCTGAATTGTCCTCCTGATATAAAGCGCTCCCTTTTAATTGGGATCACCCCCGCGGATTAGACCCCCCTTGGTGGCTTTCTGGGATTCTGAACCAGGAACAATTCCCTTTAATTAGCTCCTGGTGTGGGCTGCAGGCCTCTTCACTGCCAACAGGTGGGAAGCGCCATTTGCTCCCACTAGTCTCCCACTCCCTGTCCTGAGAAGCTGGGCCCACCTTGCCATGAGTGGGATGCAGAGGATTTTTGTACTTTGCCTCATTTCACAGAAGTTACCCGGTTTCTCAATATACCCCGGATGCACTTGTAGACTTGGTCTCTACCTCCTCTGGTGAGCAGCTCTCCTAGCTCCTATCACTTACCTAGTTCCGTCATGGTGTGTCCAGAATCGGCGGATTCTTGGTCTCACTGACTTCAAGAACGAAGCCGCGGACCCTGGCGGTGAGTGTTACAGTTTTTAAAGGCAGCGTGTCCCAAGTTTGTTTCTTCTGATGCTCGCATGTGTTCGGAGTTTCTTCCTTCTGGCAGATTCGTGATCTCGCTGACTTCAGGAGTGAAGCTACGGACCTTCATCATGAGTGCTACGGCTCTTAAGGTGGCGTGTTTGGAGTTATTCGTTTCTCCCGGTGGGTCCGTGATGTGGCTGGCTTTAAGAACGAAGCTGCAGACCTTCACGGTGAGCGTTACAGCTCATAAAGGCAGTGCGGACCCAAACAGTAAGCAGCAGCAACGGTTATTGCAAACAAGCAAAACAACAAAACTTCCACAGCACAGAAGGCGACTCCAGCAAGTTGCTACTGCTACCTGGGGCAGCCTGCTTTTATTCTCTTATCTGGCCCCACCCACATCCTGCTGATTGGTCCATTTTACAGAGAGCCGATTGGTCTGTTTTACAGAGAGCTGATTGGTCCGTTTTGACAGGGTGCTGATGGGTGCGTTTACAATCCTGGAGCTGGACACAAAAGTTCTCCACGTCCCCACTAGATTAGCTAGATACAGAGTGTGGACACAAAGGTTCTCCAAGTCCCCACCAGAGTAGCTAGATACAGAGCGTCGATTGGTGCATTCACAAACCCTGAGCTAGACACAGGGTGCTGATTGGTGTGTTTACAAACCTTGAGCTAGATACAGAGTGCCCATTGGTGTATTTACAATCCCTTAGTTAAACATAAAGGTTCTCCAAGTCCCTTCCAGACTCAGAAGCCCAGCTGGCTTCACCCAGTGGATCCCGCACCAGGGCCGCAGGTGGAGCTGCCTGCCAGTCCTGTGCAGTGCGCCTGCACTCCTCAGCCGTTGGGTGGTCGATGGGACTGGGTCCTGTGGAGCAGGGGGCGGCACTCGTGGGGGAGGCTCAGGCCGCGCAGGAGCCCATGACGCGGGGGAGGAGGCTCAGGTATGGCGGGCTGCAGGTCCCGAGCCATGCCCCGCACGGAGGCAGCTAAGGCCCCGCGAGAAGTCGAGCACTAACAGCTGCTGGCCCAGGTGCTAAGCCCCTCACTGCCCGTGGCCGGCGGGGCGGGCTGGCTGCTTGGAGTGCGGGGCCCGCCGAGCCCACGCCCACCCGGAACTCGCACTGGCGCGCAAGCGCGGCGTGCAGCCCCGGTTCCCGCCCGCGTCTCTCCCTCCACACCTCCCCGCAAGCTGAGGGAGCCGGCTCTGGCTTTGGCCAGCCCAGGAAGGGGCTCCCACAGTGCAGCGGCGGGCTGAAGGGCTCCTCAAGTGCCGTTAAAGTGGGAGCCCAGGCAGAGGAGCCGAGAGTGAGTGACGGCTGCGAGGCCTACCAGCATGTTGTCACCTCTCAGTGGGGGCTTGGCTTCCTCTGCACAGTTAAAGGAAGAGATTGGACCATTAAGAAATGCCCACTTCTTCTTTTTTTTTTTTTTTCAGATGTAGTCTCGCTCTGTTGCCCAGGCTGGAGTGCAGTGGCGCGATCTCGGCTCACTGCAGCCTCCGCCTCCCAGGTTCAAGCAGTTCTCTCCCTCAGCCTCCGGAGTAGCTGGGATTACAGGCACCTGCCACCAGCCCTGGCTATTTTTTGTATTTTTAGTAGAGACAGAGTTTGACCATCTTGGCCAGGCTGGTCTTGAACTCCTGACCTCGTGATCCACCTGCCTCGGCCTCCCAAAGTGCTGTGATTACAGGCGTGAGCCACCGCGCCCGTCCAGAAATGCCCACATTTGTAAAGTTGGTTGCTGCTAGGGTCCAACTCTGCTATCAACATTCACCTATGAGGTCTGGGAATGGGAACTTGTGTTTAAGGAGACTCCTTAAGTGCAAAGACTGCCCATCTTTAACCATACTACTTTTCTGATAACAAAGCTGAAATTTTCATCATTTTTTTTTTGATTTGACAGGAGCTATTATTTTAACTAAACTGGAATGTGTCCTGCAGTTTTCACTTTCCCATAATTCACTTATTTTTTTCTGTTCTAAAGTTTTCTCTAATTTTGAAATTAATAGAAAAAACAACACAAAATATTTTACTTAGTCACAGTGATATGTCTATTTTTGTATTCATTCACCTCCCCTCTCCCCACACAAGAACCCCCCAGCACATTCCTACTTTCTGGAATGAAAATAGCTCTGAGAAGTATGGATTTTGAGGTTCAACATCTGCACTTTTATTTCTTTTTCCATTGTAAAAACAAATGGTCTCTAATAATTGATGTCAAACACAGTCTTTAGGCTGATGAAATACAGTAAGCCTGAGAACGAATAAGGCAACTAAATGGAGCTGTTTTATTTAACAGAGAGCACAGTGATCTTCCTTACAAGCGGGATTCCCGAGAGGAAAATGTTTGTAATCAGATTTGACTCTAGGATTAAGAGGGCAAGGTGCGACCCTCTTAGTGAACCGGAAAGTAAGCAACGGTACACAAGTGTTCTCACCAGGGACAGCAAATGGGAGTTGCCAAGATTACAAGATCCCAAGACCTCAACTATTTCACGTGCTGAACTAAACTCAAAACTTTGTGGGATTTGTTTTAAATTTCTCATTGGCAAGTGGTGACTTCCTGCTCTCGCAAGAAAAAAGATTAAAGGGGTTTGTTTACTGTCTCTGACACAAACAGCTCTTACAACACATTTTGTACACTTGACATAAATGAAATTTAATCAAACTGGTCAAATTCCTTTGGGAGGTGGGGAGAAAATAAATCAATCAGCAAGAAGCACTTGTGATTTCCAAAATAATGATAACATAAGTCTTTCTCCATGTCAAACATCACTGTTTCCAGATAAGCGACTTAGCTCTACTATAAAACACAACCCATAGCCAAATTGCTTCTTGTCAAAGCACTAAGGGATCCTCCAATAATGTCACTCTACCAAGGCAGATTCAGAACTCACCCTCCTCTATACCTCTGCCTCTGCAGCTTTGTACCCCAGCAGGGGCCAGCCAGCACACGATTTCTGAAAAGGGCCATAAAATAAATGAATAAATGTAGTAGACTTTTTTTTTTTTTTTTTTGAGACAGGGTCTCACTCTGTGGCCCAAGCTGGAGTGCAGTGGTGCAATCTCGGTTCACTGCAACCTCCGCCTCCCGGTTCAAGCAATTCTCGTGCCTCAGCCTCCTGAGTAGCTGGGATTACAGGTGTGCACCACCACACCCGGCTAATTTTAGTAGTGCCTGTAGTCGCAGCTAATCGGGAGGCTGAGGGAGGAGAATGGCGTGAACCTGGGAGGCAGAGCTTGCAGTGAGCCGAAATCGCATGCTGCACTCCAGCCTGGGCGACAGAGTGAGACTCTGTCGCAAGGTGATATTTCTGTTACATTTTGTAGGAGAAGGATTTGTCTTTATTTTTCTTCTGTCTTATATTTTTCCCTCAGACTTTTGCTAAGCCTTGATCACTTTTTTTTTTAGGGACTACAGCTCCTTGACTGCAAAGTAACAACTGTTGCAAAAGGAAGTTTTCTACTTGTTAAAATCCAGTAGCTTGTTACCCCTATTGTTTAAATACTGGATTTTTCTTTCAAATTTCACAAATATCTTAGGAATGACTGGAACATTTGTGTTCTTAACACTGAGGAAATTCCTGTGTAGACAAATGAGGCCAGATGGAGGGTGCAGCAGAGAGCTTAATATCCTCTTGGAATGGAAGAGGGGCCACACTAAAACATGCACCAGGCCTTCGAGGGGCCGCTATTTTCCAGTATACACATGTAAGAGGCATTTTTCTTTTTTTCTTGACTGGGGCCAAAGGTAACTTTCGTGTCAGAAGTGAGTGCTAAGTGGCTGAGTAGGTTTGAGGAAGGCTTAGCGATCCAGCTTATTTATAGACAATCCGATTATAATATTTATGATCATTGATTTTTAAAAATTACTGGACCTCTTAAAAATGGTTAGATATGAGACTGGTATATACTGAAGCTAATAGCTTTCTCTTTTTAAAGAGATAGTGTTTCTCTCTGACGACACACAGGCTGGAGTGCAGTGGCACTGTCAGAGCTCACTGCATCCTCAAACTCCTGAGCTCAAGCGATCTTCCTGCCTCAGCCTTCTGTGTAGCTGGGACCACAGGTGTGTGCCACCATGCTTGGCTAATTTTTCAATTTTTTTTTTTTTGTAGAGATGGAGTCTTGCTATGTTGCTCAGGCTGGTCTTGAACTCTTGGCCTTAACCAATCCTCCTGCCTTGGCCTCCCAAAGTGTTGGGATTACAGGTGGGAGCCACCTCTCAGGGCCTAAGAGTTTTCTTATATATCAGCAATAACTAATTCTAATGTAATTGGAGAAAAGAGCCCATCCACAATGCCCTTCAAATATCAGAAATCTCTAGGAATAAACCTGGCAAGAAATGTATGAGATCCTTTTGTGGAAAACTGTGGAACTGGCGGGGTGCGGTGGCTCACGCTAGTAATCCCAGCACTTTGGGAGGCCGAGGCAGGTGGATCACCTGAGGTCAGGAGTTCCAGACAAGCCTGGCCAACATGGTGAAACCCTGTTCTCTACTAAAAATACAAAAATTAGCTGGGCGCGGTGGCTCACGCTAGTAACCCCAGCACTTTGGGAGGCCAACGCAGGTGGATCACCTGAGGTCAGGAGTTCCAGACAAGCCTGGCCAACATGGTGAAACCCCATCTCTACTAAAAATACAAAAATTAGCCAGGTGTAGTGGTTCATGCCTGTAATCCTAGCTACTTAGGAGGCTGAGGCAGGAGAATCACTTGAACCCAGGAGGAGGAGGTTGCAGTGAGCCGAGATCGCACCATTGCACTCCAGCCTGGGCAACAAGAGTGAAACTCTGTCTCAAAAAAAAAAAAAAGAAAAAGAAAAGAAAAAAGAAAAGAAAACTGTGGGACTTTAAGAAAAAAACATAGAAGACCCGAATAAAACAAAGGATGCCATGTTCTGTAATGGGAAGATTCGAAACTTTAAAAATGTTAATGCAAACCGATGTTAAAGACTAGATGCAACTGGCTTGCCTTCCCAGATATCCAAATATATGCTAAAAGCTAGGGTAATTAAAATAGTGCAGTGTTGTTGTAGAAATAGGAAAACTGTCAATAAAACAGCTAGAATGTGTATGAGAATTTAATATATAGTTAAAGAGATAATTCAAATTAGTAGCGGAAAGAATATACCATTTAATGGTGTGGGAACCATGAGATATAGCTAGATCCATTCCTTATGCCATATAGGTCAGTAAATTATGATTGGATTAAAATTCAAATCTGAAAATCAAGACAGTAAAAATACTGGAAGTAAATTTAGAAGAATTATTTTCTAGTTTTGGAGTAGTTTCAAAATACTCATGCGAGACGCAAAACTCAGAAACTAAAAGGAAAAGAGGAGGTATTTGACTAATACTGACTTTGGATATAGGAGTTGAATGAGAAGCAGGGAACTTTTCAGTTCATTATTCTTTATATATACTGTATACACACACACACACATACATATTTTAAAAGAACTGTTCAAGCTCTATACATGTAATTTTTTTTTTTTTTTGAGACAGAGTCTCGCTCTGTTGACCAGGCTGGGGTGCAGTGGCGCGATCTTGGCTCACTGCAAGCTCCGCCTTCCGGGTTCACACCCTTCTCCTGCCTCAGCCTCCGGAGTAGCGGGGACTACAGGCGCCCGCCACCACGCCCGGCTAATTTTTTTTGTATTTTTAGTAGAGACGGGGTTTCACCGTGTTAGCCAGGATGGTCTCGATCTCCTGACCTCGTGATCCGCCCGCCTCGGCCTCCCAAAGTGCTGGGATTACAGGCATGAGCCACCGCGCCCGGCCCTATACATGTTATTTTTTAAAAACAAGAGAACTTTAAAAAATGTAACAAAAACGTACATCAAAAAATGTATACTTCAGACCTTGAAGAAATATATTCTACATTTTTACAGCAGACATTAATGAACCTTTAGTCCTGTGTGCCTGTGGCTGACTGCCACAATTACTACTTGAGACCGTCACTATGACAGTTATTACCGTTACTACTTGAGACCGTCACTACGACAGTTATTGTTACTACTTGAGACCGTCATTACAGGACTGAACGAAAGGACAAACGTAGAAATGATTAAAGAAATCTGTTTTAAAGGAAGGGGAAACCGGGAAGAAGGGAGCTCCCTGCTTCTAGTGAGCGAAGGCAGCCCCCCGAGCTTCCACAGCCCTTCGCATTCATTGGGAGAATGAGCAGGGAGGAGGCCCTAAGACTGGTCAGCTGTTTGATTATCACAAGTTCTCATTACTAACAGGCTTCAGTTGTGTCTAATCCTAAACACTTGCACCTGGGTGGTGACTGCCCTCAGCAGTCCTTCTGGGCGGCAGACACAGGTTGTCAGTTTGCCAACACCCTGCTCTCATGAGAAACAGTTTGCTGCTTACTCACGTGGCCTCCAGTGGTATACTGAGTTGATCACGACCCTCAATCTTTCGGCCCCTAAGAGCCGCAGGGGGGTGGGGAGGTGCCAGGCTGCTGAGGCCTTTGGGTTCCTAGGCTGCTGGCATTTTAAAACCACCACTGTATTCCACCTCCCCTTGGATAACACGCAGAAACAGGCCAAGAAGAAATTACCTGCTGTTGGTTATTTCTATTTCAAATGAATACTAGCTGAACATTTACTAAATGACATTGTCAGGTTTCAGCAAAAGCGGCCTGTAATAGTTGGGTGAGGACAGGGAAAGACTTTGAAATGGGCAGAAAAGATTACGGGATGTCCTGCAGGTTCAGTGTGCTTTGGCCTATTTTTCAACTGTCTAAATTTTCGCCGCCAAAGTCGCCAAAACCGCCTCCGCCGCAGCCTCCTCAAAAGCCGCCCCCGCCGCCGCTGCAGCCAAAGCCTCCTCCTCCTCCTCTTCCTTCTCTCTCCTCCCTCACCTCCTCCTTCCTTCTAGGAAGCTTACTGGAGTGAAACTTGAACGTTTTCAAAAAAGGTTAACGCAAATGATTCTTGTCCAAAGAAACAGAAATAATAGAAGTGTGAAGGGGCGTGGGAGGGGGTTGACATGTGCCGCGTTCAGGCCCGGGGCACCGGCGAGGGTGGGCGTGTGAGCGGGGGGTGGGGGCGTTAACGGTGTCTTCTCCCCACAAATGAAAGAGAAATAGTAAATTCTCCTGGGGTGGCGAATCAGGTGGGAAGGTGGAGCCCACAATCTTTGCAAACTCTCTGGGGAGCCAGGGGTTGGTAGCTGGGAAGACTGTTGGGTGGTGACCCTGGGGGAGGGGAAGGGGCCGGGGAGCGGGGAACGGGGGCAGCCCCTGGGGAGGAATGGGAGAGGGAGGAGGACGCCAGGGGCACAGGGACAGCCTCCGGGGCGGGGCGCGGCGCCAGCCTAGCCCGAGGATGGAGGCTGAGGCCGCCTGTTGAGTCACAGGTAAGGGGAGCCGCTCTGGCCAGGCCCAGGGCCGCCCTCGTTCCTCCCGGAGCGCAGCGACAGCTCCTCCCCGCGTCTCGGGTTTCAATGGCTCGACCTGCCGGAAAGCCCCGGGCCCGCGCGCTGCAACAGGATCCCGTAAACAGCGCGCGGCGGCCAGGGAAACTTTCCCCGGAGCCGGCGCCGGGGTGCGGCGAGCCGCGCACCTGTTGTTGCCTCGGGACTGAACTGCAGCGGCGGACCGGCGAGCGGGGGGCCTGGACGTCGAGTGCGGGGCCGGCGGGGCCCCCGCACTCACCCTCGGGAGCGTTTAAGTCCCTCCCGGGAAGAAGGGGGAGGAAATGCTCGGGGGAGCCGGAAGAGGCACTGCCAGCATCAACTCCACGCGCGCCCCGGCCTCGGCGCCCGGCCTCGGTCACGGCTTCTCTCGGAGGTCCCCCGGGGACACCGGGCGCCGGGACTGACCCGGGCTTGCTTCCCAGGCGCGGGAGCGTGGGGAAGTCCCTGCCTTCCCAGGGTCTCCGCTGTCTTGTCTGTGAAATGGGAACCGCACAGTGGGGGAGAATTCTTTACGGCCGCTCGGGTTACTGCCAGCGCCCCTTCCGCCCCCGCCACCTTCCCTGCGCCGGGACGCCTCGGCTGTGGTCGGGGGCGCAGAGGTGGAGCGGGTCGGGGTCGCCGGAGCCCGGGCTTCGTGCCATTTCTGGCCCTGGAGCGCGCGCGTCCCCGAGCCTGTCGCTTCCCGGGCCCCAGGGGGTGCCATGCTTGGCCCTATCTCCAGAAAACCAGGCAGAGCGGGTGCACCTTCTGAATCT
This sequence comes from Homo sapiens, assembly GCF_000001405.40. Lineage (NCBI taxonomy): Eukaryota > Metazoa > Chordata > Mammalia > Primates > Hominidae > Homo > Homo sapiens. Next base: position 99,015,629 of record NC_000015.10, read on the forward strand.
GAAAGCACGTGAAACAAAACACCCCAAAGCCCACCAGCCCCTGAGGTGCTCGGATAGGAGCAAGAGTAGCGCCCTTGGATGCTGAGAAAGTGCCTCTTTACCTCCTGCCCCTTCCCTTCTCCTTGTGGGGACATGTGGCGGGGCCGGGTGTGAGAATGAGACCCGTTTCCCGAGGGAAGGAGGGCGCGGTGACCGGCTGTTCCGGCCCCTACACGTCCAGTCCGACCCGTTAGGCGCCCTGGCCGCAGGTGGCCCGCCCTCCCCAGCAGCAGCTCAGCCGCAGACTGGCCACTTTCTCCCGCCACACGTCTCGGTAGGGAACAAAAAATCTCATAAAGGCTCCTCTACCTTTTCTTGGAAGGCAACTTTAGAGGCGATTTACGCTCTTTTATGACTTGCTCTAAAAGCTGTGACTTAGAGTTGCTTTTCTGCTGATTTTAGGCGAGTTAAGGAGGGAAGGTAGCGATTAGCCAATTGTATGGATTAGTTACATTTTTCGTGGACGTTTTAGTTGGCCTAGAGATTGAGAAAGGGTTTTTTGTTTATTTGTGTGTTTGTTTTGAGACAGAGTCTCTGTCACCCAGGCTGGAGTGCAAAGGCGCAATCTCATCTCACTGAAACCTCCGCCCCGCCCCCACCCCCTCCCGGGTTGAAGCAATTCTCCTGCCTGAGCCCCTCGAGTAGCTGCTTCTACAGGCGCCCGTCACCATGCCCGGCTAATTTTTGTATTTTTAGTCGAAACGGGGTTTCACCTTGTTGGCCAGGCTGGTTTCGAACTCCTGACCTCAAGTGATCCGCCCGCCTAGGCCTCGCAAAGTGCTGGGATTATGGGCCTGAGCCACCATGCTCGGCCGAGAAAGGTTTTTTGTCTTTCGTTTTGGAAGGGGAGATACTATTTCTTTTTTGATTGTTTTCTCTATGCTTCTTTCTAGAAAGTTGGGTTTCACGGTTGTGGATGGCAAGTACTGTTTCCAGTTTACATGTTGGAGAACTAGGACGAGGAAAAAAAGTGATTTGCTCTTTGAATCTCATCTTCCTCATCTACAAAATAGAGGAGATTCTGCCCACTTAGGGGCTTATTGTAGAGCAGTATTACACCGAGGTGCTCCCAGAAGCTCCTCCCTGCCCCTAGGCCTGTGAGTGATTTCATGAGTCAGAGGGTTCCTTCCAAGGATTGCTTTAGAGATCTGTCTTACTCTACCCAGTCTCCTTGCATTTTAATGGGAAAAGTAATGGTAATTTCATCTGCTGGAAAAGTATAGTTGGCTTAAAACAGTTAAAGGATTTTCCTGTATTTATTTCAACTTTTGCTGTGGCTTTGATGGTTACTGATGGCCAAGATGACACACAGCAGTTGCACATTAATCATTTCAACATGTGCTACGTCCTAATGGACTGGAGTTTTACATAGCTGAACCATTGCCTGAACTTTGGTAGCCTCTTTCCAAAAAGAGCTTGAGCAAATCATGTCTACTTGGGAATCTGATTTCCTGTAGCAAGGAAGCAGGAAACTAAGAATTAGGCTTTCCGGTAAGGCTGTATCCCAGGTCCCGCGGCGCTCTAGTGCTGAAACACAGCGAAAGGCGCACGACATCCCCTGGGAGCTGTGCTGTCTGTATAGGGCTCCTCACTGTTGGTGTGTCTGGTTTCCAGGAGGCAGGCGTGCTGTCTGAAGAGGCTTTGGAAGTACCCCAAATAATTCAGTTCTTGACCTGCCCCAGGGCCACACACATGCATATGCTCTCTCTGTCTCTCTGTCTGTCTGTCTCTCTCTCTCTCTGTCTCTGGATTTCTCAGAGTGTGTATGTGTTTTTAATTTCCCCGATGCTGCAGACCTTCTTAGGTTCCACCAGACCATCTGTTGCTGTCATTTCAGCTTGGAGTGCAGTGGAAAGAAAAAAGAAAGACACAGCCCGATTCTGTTACCACCCTCATCCTTTACCTTGGCCTTCCAACATCTATAAGAACTTAACCTGCCTTGTAAGGATTAGATGAGACTGTGTGCATAAGAACCGACCGCCAGGCCCGTGGCAAAACTGAGAGTAGATTGTGGAGAAAGCCATTTGTTCTGACCTCCTCCCTTCTGTTTACATACAAAACCAAAGCCTTTGTGAGAATTGTGTATGTTATGACCTTCATTTAGGAAGTCAGTTAAGTGTTTGAATTTGGAAAAGTTGGGTGTTCTGACAATTTACACTGGTAATAAAGCAGAGAGGGGCCAGTGCGGTGGCTCAAGCCTGTAATCCCAGCACTTTGAGAGGCCAAAGTGGATGGATCACCTGACGTTAAGAGCTCGAGACCAGCCTGGACAACATGGTGAAATCCTGTCTCTACTAAAAATACAAAAATTAACCGGGCTTGGTGGCGGGTACCTGTAATCCCAGCTACTTGGGAGGCTGAGGCAGGAGAATCGCTTGAACCTGGGAGGCAGAGGTTGCAGTGAGCCGAGATGGCACCACTGCACTCTAGCCTGGGTGACAGAGCAAGACTCTGTCTCAAAAAAAAAAAAAAACAAAAAAAAACAGGGCTAGTAGACTAGAAAGATAGCAGGTGAGGAGGAAAATTGAGGGTGACTCAGAAGCTTGGGTTTGGGGACGGGGAACAGGGACAGTGGTGACACCCATAGAGGAACTGGCTCTCAGCGGGGGAAATGGTGCAATAGAGACATAGTGATTTCAGAGTGTTTCAGGACGTATACCTCCCATTGCAGATACGAAGAATTGGGCAAAAACTCTAACTCCCGAGCTTAGGGGGAATTTAAGTGCTAATTCTAGAAAAGCCAGTGCCTGCACCTGAGCTCTGAGGGACCCCCTGTTACTTAGTGGAGAGCGAGCAGAGCAGATGGAACCCCGGGAAAGGCTGTCTCATCCTTTGGAGCATGAGAGGAGAAGAGGAGCTGAGGACAGGGGCAGAAAGCTCAGAGAGTGAGAAGTGCTGAGGACCTGGTTTTGAGACAAGGCTCCAAAGGAGGAGAGACCAAAAAGGAAAGAGGCCAGGGGCGGGCCTGATGCTGAGGGAGAGTGAGACATGTGCAGGTTTGGAGAGGCCCAGAAAAAGATCAGGGAGGGGAGAGTTGGTATATCTCGGGACGTTGAACAGGGTTGGGCATAGCTGCCATTTCCAAAGGGTTTGTGGGAATAAGAAAAAGGAGGAGGCTGAGCTTGAAGCATTAGGGAAGGGGGCTTTTCCTTTGTGTTTTTGGGTGGGGGAGGCTTGAATACATTTTTAGTAAACTAACCTTTAGGAACAGTTTACTATATGCCACGTATGGTGCTAAGCCCTTTCCTACATTACCTTAAATGATTTTAACAATAAATAGTAAACATGGATCCAAAAGTTCCCCCTTATCCAGGGGAATATGTTCCAAGACCCCCAGTGGGTGCCTGAAACCGAGGACAGGACCGAACCCTGTATATACTAGGCATGAATTTCTCTTTCTTTCTTCACAGACAGCTTCATGGATAGAAATTTGTTTTTACTGCAGATCTTAGCAAGTTCATTATAGGATTTTTTCTTTCTTTCTTCCCTTACTAAATTGAGAACTTTCACCTTTTCGCTTAAAGAAAACACTTTACTAGCTGGGCATGGTGGCTCATGCCTGTAATCCCAGCACTTTGGGAGCCCGAGGTGGGCAGATCGCTTGAGCCCAGGAGTTCAAAACCAGCCTGGGCAACATGGCGAAACCCTGTCTCTACAAAAAAGTGCAAAAATTGGCCAGGTGTGGTGGTACACACCTGTAGTCCCAGCTACTTGGGAGGCTGAGGTGGGAGAATCACCTGAGCCCAGGGAGGTTGAGGCTGCAGTGATCTGTGATGGTGCCACGGCACTCCAGCCTGGACGACAGAGACTTTGTCTCAAAAAAAAAAAAATATATATATATATATATATACATATACATATATATACACACATATATGAAGGAAGGAAGGAAAGCAAGCAAGCATCACTTCACAGCATCTCTTTGGCATTTCTGAATTGCCAGCATCCCTACTTTTACGCTTTGGGGCAGTGATTAAATAAGAATTACTTGAACACAAGCACTGTGACGCCAGGACAATTAATCTGATCATTGAGATGGCTCCTCACTGACTAATAGACAAGGAGCATTGACAGCGTGGATCCGTTGGACAAAGGGATGATTCATGCCTCCGGTTGGACAGATCCAGATGCCTCGAGATTTCATCATGCTACTCAGAACAACATGCAATTAAAAACTTTCCAACTGTTCATTTCTAGAATTTTCCATTTAATATTTTCAGACTATGGCGGTCTGCAAATAATTGAAGCCTCGGAAAGCAAAACTGAGGATAAGGGGGGACTACTGTATTGTTATGATTCTCATTTCACTGGTGAGGAAGCTGAGGCACAGAGACGAAGTAACTTGCCTAAGGTCACCTGGATAGTAAGTGGCAGTGTGGCCATGGGGTTGGTGGCGGTTTGACTCCACCCAGAGAAAGGAATCTGTCATGAGGGTGAGGTTCAAAGTGGATGCTCCCTCCCCTCCAAAAAGTGGGGGTCCCCTCCAAAAAATTAGAGGCCCAGAAAGTAAATAATTTATGATTCAGTTTCTAAGGGGACTCCTTCAGAGATGACCTCATGTAGACATAAAATTTTAAAAAACCAGAGGCGGGTGGATCACTTGAGGCCAAGAGTTCGAGACCAGTCTGGCCAACATGGTGAAACTCCATCTCTACCAAAAAAAATACAAAATATAGCCGGGCACAGTGGCTCATACCTGTAATCTCACCTACTCGGGAGGCTGAGGCACGAGAATTGCTTGAACCTGGGAAGTGGAGGTTGTAGTGAGGCAAGATTGCACCACTGCACTCCAGCCTGGGTGACAGAGTGAGACCCCATCTCAAAAAATAACAAAAAAACTCTCCCAAACCAAATAGTCTTCAGCCATTTTGGATCTTCTCTAGTCCATGGTGTGTAAGTGTCTGTAGGGGAACGTGGACCCAGCACGTCTGGGATTTCAGTTCTTGGGGAGCAGGGTCTCGCTGGGGACCATGGGCAGGGACTGGGCTGGATATTTGGACTCATAACACTGCCACAGACTATTCCCATTCCTTCATCAGTGTGAAAGGAAAGGATGAGGTGGCCTCTGAAAGTCTACCTGGCCATGGAGGTTGTCAGTTACTTCTCACCCAAGCAGATAGTATAGTCTATCTGCTGTAGGAAAGTTTGCTAGGAGGGATTTTTTTGTGATTGGGTGTATCGACGAGCTGGCTTGCCACCACCTGGCCAGGGCTCTGGGCAGCCCATCCCCTAGAATGTCTTTCCAGGGGTCCTGTTCTTCCTGGGAGGGCCGGGTCCACAGTGAGTTCCCCTGATGGCCAAGGCGTCTGTATTTCCATCTTCTGTTGTGATTCCTTGCCATGTAGTGGCATCTACACTAGAGATGGCTCTTATCACCCCCTTTCTACACATCAGGGGCTGTAGGATATCTGTATGAAATGGGATCTCCACAGCATAAGATGGCTGGTGTCCTGTCCCTCTCCACATGGGTCCTGCCATGGCCTGGCAGGACAGAGTGAATGACCAGACTTGGATAGGGTGGTGGCAGGGCAGTGGATGCTGAGTGTTGTCGTTTTGAACTTTGAAGCCCTAGTCTGGCGGCCAGCTGACCGGCCTTTGCTGGGCTCCTGACATTGGCTGGCTGCTGGTTCCTCTGGTATTCAGATTTACAGCTCAGCCCTGGGAAATTCAGAGGACTGTAGAAAATGGCTGTTTTGTGGTATAGAAAGAAACTTTAGGGAAAAATGTAAATGCTTGGTCAGATGCCCCGGGGGTCACATGACTTTTAAAGTCAGGGTTGCTGGAAGGCTGGGGAGCAGTTGCAGGTCAGTGACACCTGCTGGACCTGAAGGTCTGGGACTTTGGCACACAACAGTGGTGGTTTAGAAATGCCATGCCTTCTAGTGTGCCCACCTGTGGTTGTTGGTTTGCTTTTCCTAGGCCAGTAGTCAGCAGGCTTGGGCAGAGGTGGGGCACACAGGCTGCGTGAATCCAAAGGCCACTGTTGAAATCCAGCCATGTCCCTCCACCCACCACTGCTCTTCTCCTTGTCTTTCTTTCCTGTCCCATTCTCTGGTCCACTCTGTGCCTTCTCACTTCAAACCTTTTGCATTCTATATCCCCAGGCAATGGCTTCATTTCCCTCCTAAGAGGAACCTGCTCAAACCAATGCCTATTAACTCTCAAGGCACAGAAAACTTTCCATGCTTCTTTGCTCTTCCAAAGCAGGGCAGCCACAGAACCACCAGGAACTGCCCTGAGGCTGAGGCCTGGGAGTGCCTGGGGAGGGCAAGAGGGGAACTCCTTGTGATGTGTGTGTGTGTGTGTGTATGTGTGTGTGGAGGAGAGGCTCCCATGGCCCAAACCCTCATAGACCACTTGGTTTCCTTTACTTGCAGAAATTAAGATAAATGTGTTTTTTTTGGAAACCGAGTCTGTAACCACAATTGGTAAATTCCATTAACATAGAGAAAGCTGCATTCATTTCTTCATTGCATTTTGCAATGAAGTTGATTTTGCGGAGTCTTCATTGCATAAAGCTCCTCCCAATACTGCCCCCCGTCCAGCTGTATTCTATTAGATGGGTACTTAGCAGATTATTTTTGTGTGTGCATGTATGTGGCAGAGTTGTATAATATTCAAACAGCGAATTATGGTTGGTTATTCATTTTGACCTTTATGTTTCCCAACAAGTGATTTGTGTGATACACGTATACTGCCCACATTTGACCTGCTGGAACATCTTGAAAAAAAAATTTTTTAAGCTATGCAGGAGGAAAGATATTGCTTTGTTTTTTCATAATATATGAATACTAAATTAAAATATTATTAAAATATTTAAAAATACTTGGGGTAAAAAAAAAATCTCTCCTCCAAAAGAAAAGTCTAGTTATTTGTTGATGAATATCTGCTTTTAAGAATAACACTTAAATATGGTTATTGGCAGATCATCTTCTCTTCATTTCTTGCCTTCTTTTATTTGTTTATTTATTTGACGGAGTCTTGCTCTGTCACCCAGGCTGGAGTGCATTGGTGCAATCTCGGCTCACTGCAACATCCGCCTCCCGGGTTTAAGTGATTTTTGTGCCTCAACCTCCCAAGCAGCTGGGATTACAGGTGCCCACCATGATGCCCAGCTAATACTTGTATTTTTAGTAGAGACAGAGTTTCACCATGTTGGCCAGGCTGGTCTTGAACTCTTGACCTCAAGCGATCCTCCTGCCTTGGCCTCCCAAAATGCTGGGATTACAGGCGTGAGCCACGGCGCCCTGCCTGTTTCTTGCCTTTTAAATGAGTTGAGATTCCCTTCACCTCTGCCCCAGTCCCATTTTTTTCTCTCTCCTTTGAAATTTAATATCTATGTTTCTATTCTTTTAGAAGCTAACTTAGAAATCTTAATATGCATGTTTCACTTTATTTTGAAATCAATGATTTTTAAAGCTTTTTCTGGAAAAATATAATGTTCTTAGAATGCTTATACTCCAATTACTCCTTCTCACCTTGTGTACTACTGTTTGTAGCACCTTAGTTCTGTTATGACTTTTTTAGCTCCTCAGATTAGATGCTTGTGTTCTGTATTCTCAGCATTTTAACTTAGATTTATTCACATGTTGATTTTGTTGTTGTTCCCATTTCTTCTTGACTGTCACCTCTTTTTTGTTGTTGTTGTTCGTTTAAATTCTTTTTTTTTTTTTTCTGAGATAGAGTCTCACTCTGTCACCCAGGCTGGAGTACAGTGACGTGATCCCGGCTCACTGCAACCTCCGCCTCCAGGGTTCAAGCAATTGTCTGCCTCAGCCTCCCTAGTAGCTGGAATTACAGGCACGCACCACCATGCCTGGCTAATGTTTGTATTTTTAGTAGAGATGGGGTTTCACCATGTTGGCCAGGCTGGTCTTGAACTCCTGACCTCGTGATCCACCTGCCTCAGCCTCCCAAAGTGCTGAGATTACAGGCATGAGCCACCGCACCTGGCCTTAAATTCTTTTTTCTTTATTTTTGTCTGACCAAGTTAACCCAAAGAACCCATCTTTGAGTTCTGAGATTGTTTCCTCAGCTTGGTGTTCTGCTGTTAATACTTCTGAGTGTATTATGAAATTCTTGCAGTGAGCTTTTTTTTTTTTTTTCAGCTCAATCAGTTTAGTTTGGTTTTCTTTCTTTCTTTCTTTCCTTTCTTTCTTCCTTTCTTGATGGAGTCTTACTCTGTCACCCAGGCTGGAATGCAGTGGTGCAACCTCGGCTTACTGCAACCTCCATCTCCTGGGTTCAAGCAATTCTCTGGCTTCAGCCTCTGGAGTAGCTGGGACTACAGGCACCTGCCACCACGCCTGGCTAATTTTTTGTATTTTTGGTAGAGACGGGGTTTCATGGTGTTAGCCAGGATGGTCTCTATCTCCTGACCTCATGATCCGCTCACCTCGGCCTCCCAAAGTGCTGGGATCACAGGCATGAGCCACCGCGCCCCCTTCCCTCCCCTCCCCTCCCTTCCCTTCCCCTTCCCTTCTCTTCCCTTCCCCTCCTTTCCTTTTTCTTTCTTTTATTTTCTAGTGTGGGTCCTAGGACTAAAGATCACATGTTGTCATGACTCCTGGAACTGCAAACTTGAAGGGGCACTGGGAGCCCAGGTGGGGGCAAACCAGGGAGGTACAGGCACCTGCCCAGACAGAAGGCCTCTCACTGCTCTCTGAAGCCTGGGCCAGCCAGGAGGGGAACCTGTGACCCACCCATAGTTCCATTACCAGGCTACAGCTCCTGGGCCATCCTCCTGGGGCTCCCTCTGCTTTCCACCCTCCCTGGAGGCTGATGCTGAAAGAGGGGGCCAGAGGCCTGGGTACTGATCTCCCTCACTCATGCACACGCCCTCAGCGGAGGGAGTGGGGCCGATAGGGACGATGATGTCCTCTGGATGCCGCCTTCCTGGATTGTTCATTTGGAACTTCTCTTCTATTTCTAGTTTCCCTGTGATGCTCATTTTAACCAGATGGCACTTGCTTAGCAGTTTGGAGGAGAAGACCTGTTCCCCTGCAGGTATGGGCCTTTGGGATCATTACCCTCTCCAGATCTGGCAGCTCCATCAGGTGGTGGCTCTTTCTCCAAACGTCCTTGACAGCTTTAGTGCTCCTCCTTCTACTGTGCCCTCTGGTGAGCAGGGGTTTTCTGCATCTGTGGTGACCATATTTCTGAACCCAGATGAATCATGGGTATGAGAATTCTTGGGGTGTTCAAGGGAACAAATATTTATTTATTTATTTATTGAGATAGGGTTGTACTCGGTCTGAACTCACCCAGGAGTTCAGTGGCATGATCGTGGCTCACTGCAGCCTCAACCCCTGGGCTCCAGCTATCCTCCCACCTCAGCCTCCCTAGTAGCTGGGACTAAAGGTACATACCACTATACCCAGCTAAATTTTTGTACTTTTTTTTTTTTAAGAGATGGGGTTTCACCATGTTGCCCAGGCTGGTCTCAAACACCAGGTCACAAACGATCTTGTGACCTTGGTGCCTGCCTTGGCCTCCCAGAGTGCTGGGACTGCAGTGGGAGCGGATCTTTGAAATTGTGGCTGCCCTGAGAAGCCAGGGGCACATGGCAGTTGTACCTCTGCTGGGGCATCCTGGGAGCTTTCCAGCAATGGGACTTCCCTTTTGGATATGGTCAGACTAGTTGCATGCCTTTTTATTTTGCTTGTTACCTAGGTTTCTCCCTCATGAAATTCACTTATTTCAGTTACCAAAAAGTACTTTGTAGATAATGATGGGGGCTTCTTACATTGATGGCCCAGAAAGGCTGGAAGATGTAGGTTAACCAGACGGCCCAGGCACAAAAGCCATATCCACACATTCTAAACAGGGAGAGTGCTGAGAGCCCACCCTTTGCTTTGTTTCTGGGAAAAAATATTGCCTCCTTCCCCTAAGAAACTGATCTGATTTTTCAGTGTGACCGTCAATGTTCATCTACCCTAAGGATACTCAACTCTATTTCATGTTGTTGTGCAAATAAAGCCTAAGGGTTGGTGAGAGGTTCTGGCTTCCCCTAAAATACTCACTCACTGGTTGTGAACTCTTTTGTGAGAGGTGGATTCTGAAAGTGAATGTGTGGCTCTTGAATACGGGGATCAACACCAGCTGTGTTGGCAGCAGAACTTGCAGGGTTTTAGGGAAAGAGATCTGGGGCAACAAAGGGAGGGTAGCTGGGCAGAGTGGGGGTGAGTGGGGTGGAGCTGGAATGGGGAAGGCCAAGGTAAAGATGGACCAAGAGCTGAGACTAGCTGAGGAGCCCTGGTCTGCATGGCTGGGGCAAGGCTGGCTCAATCTCAGCTCACTGCAACTTCCATCTCCTGGGTTCAAGCAATTCTCCTGCCTCATCCTCCTGAGTAGCTGGGACTACAGGTGCCTGCCCCCATGCCCCGCTAATTTTCGTATTTTTAGTAGAGACAGGTTTTCACCTCATTGGCCAGGATGGCCTTGATCACTTGGCATTAAGTGATCCACCCACCTCGGCCTCCCAAAGTGTTAGGATTACAGGCATGAGCCACCATGCCCAGCCCCTTGAACACAGGTCTTTAAATGGTTTATTTAACAAATTCTTACAAGAGTCTACAATGGGCTTGACTTACGTGGAGGAAAGATGCCTATTGTGGAGGAACCCTTACAGTGGACTTTTTTTTTTTTTTTGAGTCAGGGTCTCACTCTGTCACCCAGGGTGGAGTGCACTGGTGTGATCATGACTCACTGCAGCCTCGACCTCCTGGCTCAGGTGATCCTCCCACCTCAGCCTCCCAAGTAGCTGAGACCACAGGTGCACACCACCACGCCCAGCTAGTTTTTTTATTTTTTGTAGAAATGGGGTTTCTCCATGTTGCCTGGTCTGGTCTTGAACTCCTGGGCTCAAACGATCTGTCCATCTTGGCTTCCCAAAACCTGAAGCCAGGCCAGGTATGTTAATTTCCTCGGGCCCCCATGTCAAAATACCACAAACTGGGTGGCTTAAATGTTGATCATTTTATTGTCTCACCTTTCTTGAGTCAGAAGTCTGAGATTAATGTGTCAGTAGGGTTGGTTCCAGGCATTTGGAGGTGGGGCACTCATATTTCCTTCTGAGGGCTGTGCAGGAGAATCTGTTCCATGCCCCTCTCCTAACTGCTGTTTTGTTTTGTTTTGTTTTGTTTTGTTTCTCTTTCCTCCATCTTGTGGATGCAAAAATATAAACTGACCCAAGAGATTCATTATTTAGAAAGTGATGCCTTATACCCAGGATTTAATCAGTGGCTCTTCAGGTTGCCATGTAGAAAGCAGCTTTGCTGGCTGCCACTTTCGATCAAGGGCTAAACTCTGAGGGTGACATGCCACTAAGGAGCTGAACGGAGCCTGAGTCCTTGTAGCAGAGGCTGGTCTCCAGTCCTGTCTGTTCTTCTTCTTGGGCACACAGCTAGGCTACATTCCCTAGCCTTCCTTGGAGCTTAGAATAATTCCTAGCCAATAGCATTTGAGTATAATTGAGTGGGCCACCTCCAGATGTGGCCCATTACAAGTCACATTCTCTGCCTCCAACCCAGGTTACTTCAGGTAATAATCCTTCTGCCTAGAAAGGTTGGGCACCCTGATATGCACAAATCTGCATTAACTTCACAGATGACTCAATTAGCAGGTGATGACTTACTGGCAGTGTTCATTACGGTGGCCTTTCTAGTTGTCATCTTCCCAGATGACATTTTTAGAATTTCATCTCTACACTTTCCAAAAACACTACTTGACACCTGTGGGTTTTAAAATGAAATAACCTCAGATATGAAATAACCTTTCCCCAATCCATTCATTGTAGTTGGAAGCTGGTCTTACTAATGGCAGGGTGACCGTAACACTTGGTTATGAACCAGGGTATTGCCTCCAACCAAGCCTTAACAATCTCATCCTCCCTTTAGCCTTCCATGATTAGACCTCAACTCATGAGAACTCTTGCCTTGCTCACAAGTGGGAGTAAATGCTCATAGCTCTAGAAATCTCCCAGGAACCAGACATCACGGAAACTAGAAAGGCTAAGGGAGTCCAATCTTCCTCTAAATTGGCCAACAGTAGAGTGGTGGAAAGAGAACAAGCTGCAAACCAGACAGACCCAAGCTTGAATCTCACCTCTGCCAAGCTACCAGGTACGTGAGTTTTTCCAAGTTATATCACTCCCCTGATACTCAGGCGCCTCATTTGAAAGATGAAGCCTCTTCCTATCTTACAAGGATGAAGCATATGGAATGGAAAGCCCTCTGTCAATGTGGTTATCTTTGGAAGTGATTGCAGCTCTCTTGCTTCATTCTCGCACACCTCTGGAGCCCTTGGTCTCAGTTAGAATCCCAGCCCTGACACTTAATGAGGTGTGTAACTTGTCCAAATAATCTAACTTCTTTGTACTGTTTCCTCATCTTTAAAAAGAGGACAATAATAGCACTACCTACACAGCACTGTTGCAAGGATTTAGTGAGTTAAAGTGTGCGTAGTACATACAGCAGAGCGTGTAGAAGTATCCAGTGAACTGTTATTATCATATGAAGAGACTATTTGGTTGATCTCGTCAAGGACAGAAAGCTCCTTGGGGCTTGAAACCTTGCCTGTATACCAGTTACAGACTCCCTTTTGCTGTTAAACCCAGTCCTTAGGATGCTCAGTCAAATCCTGTGGACTTACTGGCTGTTCTGCTGACGTGGAAACAAGGTGGGGTGTGACCCATCTCCGGGCGAGTAAACTTTTGGGCACCTGACAGTGTCAGAGCCTCGGGTACCACCTGTAAATGGATGGAACCCTGTGTCTGTGCCCATAGCATTGGTCTGGTCTGTCATCAGAAAGGAATCTTGCTGTCAGATGATCACACATCCTCCCATAGTCTAGTTTAGTTTAGTTTAGTTTAGTTTAGTTTAGTTTAGTTTAGTTTAGTTTAGTTTAGTTTAGTTTTTTAAGACAGGGTCTCGCTCTGTCACCCAGGCTGGAGTGCAATGGCATGTTCATGGCTCACTGCAACCTTGACGTCCCAGGTTCAAGCGATTCTCTCACTTTTGTCTCCCAAGTAGCTGGAACTACAGGCATGCACCACCATGCCTGGCTAATTTAAACATTTTTTGTAGAGAAGGGGTTTACCAGTGTGGCCCACGCTGGTCTTGAACTCCTGGGCTCAAGCGATCCTCCTGCTTTGGCCTCCCAAATTGTTGGGATTATAGGCGTGAGCCACTGCACCTGGTCCCCCAGAAGCTAAAGGATGGTGCAGGTTCTGTTTTTAAATGTACCTGTTAAGTATGTATTAGCTCAAACAGAGTTTACCTGAGATGTGCATCTGGGGTCCACCCTCTTTGGCACTGTCCCTCATTTTCCTCCTCCAACATTCTCCCAATCTCTCTCTGTTAACCCCAACAACCTGCCACCCCTCCCTAACAAAGGATTCCCAGCTCAAGGCCAATTCCAATTGGATCGAGTTTTTCTTCTGCAGAAATTGTGGGGAGGTGGCTTCAGAGGCTCACAAGCAGAACCCCACCCAGACACATAAACTTTTCTTTGGCTGGTACCAACTCCTCTATTGCAGGGTATGGTCCAAGTAGGTTATACAAGTCTCTACCTCTTCTAGCTGAAGCCAACCTCCCAGGAAAAGGATGAGAGGAGAAAGCCATCCTGCCTGGTGTGTGGATAATACCACCACCAGAGTCTCCTGTAATTTTGATTCGATGGCATGCAGCTGCGTGACCTAAGGCACGTATCTCCATTCACAGGGTGTGGTCAGTACTCTGTGAATATCAGGTGTTCTGTCTGCCCTGTCTCCTGTCTTCCTGGAGCCTGCCCTTACCCAGTGAGTCCCTGGAGGGAACATTCTGGCATCTGGCTGTGAGCTGTCACAGACATGGGTTTCTTTCGGTTCCCAGAATGATGGGATGCCAGCCGCTGGCTGCCCCCAAGAAACTTGGGAGCAGGACAGGCTTGGCTGTCCCAGAGGAAGAGCCTGGCATTGGGCCAGGAGGCTCAGGAGGGAAGATGAGCTCATTCTGCCCAGCTCGGTTCTCCCGTATGCAGACCAGGTCATCACAGGGACCTGCCTCCACATTTGCATCCCCCACGGCATATTTTCCCAGCACATGCAGCATTGGGAACTTGAACGTCCCTCTGCTTTTCCTTGGTGAGACCCACCAGCCCCGCCTTAGGAAGGAGGCTGAACATTTGACGGAGCTTTCCTGTCACCTGTGAGCGACGTGCACGCTGCTTCCGAAGAAAGAGACATCCCCCTACTGTTTTCTCACAGTGGGATGATTCAACTTTTTCTTTCTCACAATCCCAGATAATCATATCTTCCCAGGTTTTGTCATCTTTGAGGACTACTCACTATCTAGTTATGAGTCAAACAAAACCCAATTTAACTGATAACTAACCAGCCATCACGTATCCCTGAAGATAAACCTGGTTTATCCTTTTTATACCCTCTGGCAGAGCAAAGGAACAAGGAGTTTGGGAGAGAAAAAAAAACACAACACTAGAAACAGCACTGACACAGGTCGTTAAATACAGATGTGACCAGCCTTGATTACAAGTGTTGTCATCCTCTTTTAACAGGGACCTACCCCGAACTTTCATGAACCCCTGGTAGCTGAATAGCAGCTTGTCTAAGCGAGGTGCAGGGATTTTGTCAAAGTCGGCCTCGGTGTTAAAGGCAGGGCCACCTACCATGAACTTCTCTCTGTGACTTTATTCTTTAGCAGTGCTCAAGTGTAAATAAACTTGTTTACCAGGATCAGAATGGCCATGTTAATGAAGTCTTATTTGTGTCACCACAATGACAAGTAATTTGTGCACAGCTGGACTCGGAGAGGGGACAAAACCAGAGAAATTGTATTTCTGTTCTGAAGTTTCCATACAGATGCCTTAGGCCAAAGTTAGTACAGCCAATATTTGCCTGTTTCTTTGGATTGTGTGTCCATGCTGGAGAAAAGCCTTGTTACTGTGCCCAGTGTGGTAAACGAAATTATATGTACGCAGTGAGAAGAAAAATGAAATAAGAAGCACTGATGAATGTACCCACGGGTGTGACCTTGGGGGCCAGTGTGTGGTTTTTATGAAATGAACGCATGAATACGAGGACCCTAATTATTGCTTTCAACGGACAAAGTATGGTGAATATATAGAGAACGTTGCTGTACAACACTGGCTGTGTCTCAAAGCGGCTTTAGAAGTAAATATAGAAATTCTTTGGTACATGGTATTGCATAGAAAAGTCATTAAGAAAAAAGCAAGACAATTTGTTAAGACCTTGTTAAGTGGAGCTGGGGGATGATTAATTTTGTTTGTTTGTTTTTGTTGTTCCCTGGTAGAGCTCAACAAACTACAGACCACGGGCCAAATCTGACCCACCGCTGCTTTTGTAAATAAAACTTTATTGGAAAAAAGCCACATTTGTGTATGTGTTGTCTGTGGCTGCTTTTGTGCTACCGAGACAGAGGTGAGTAGTCGCAACAGAGACCATATGGATCCACAAGACCTAAATTATTTTATTTATGTATTTATTTATTTTGTATTTATTTATTTATTTTTTTGAGACAGAGTCTCACTCTTGTCACCCAAGCTGGAGTGCAGTGGCATGATCTCAGCCCACTGCAACCTCTGCCTCCCAGGTTCAAGCGATTCTCCTCCCTCAGCCTCCTGAGGAGCTGGGATTACAGGCTCCGGACATCACGCCCAATTAATTTGTGTATTTTTCTAGGAGAGATGGCTTGTCACCATGTTGGCCAGGCTGGTCTCGAACTCCTGACCTCAGGTGATCCACCTGCCTCGGCCTCGCAAAGTGCTGGGATTGCAGGCGTGAGCTACCACGCCCGGCCCAAGATGTAAATTATTTACTATTTGGCCTTTTACGGAAAAAGTTCACCAGCACCTGTTCTTTTGGAAATAGTTATTTCAGAGAAGGTTTGCTCATGTGGAGTTAGTGTGGTGATGGCCAGATGGAGTAGAGAAAGAAAAAGTCACAAGATAATGGGAAGGAAGGCACAGTATTAGAGTATGTGCGGAGGAAATTGAGGCCTTCAATTAGGAGGTGAACAGGGAGAAGAGAGGGCTACGTGGGTTGTGATTCCATTCTCTAATAAGCAGTCTATGTGGAGTAAAAGTCTAAATGGAAATGCTCAGGTACAAAGGGAAATTACCATGTAGGTTTTCATAGAGGTATTAAACATTTTATCAGCTCATGGGATCTCTGACTCACAAATAAATCACGTCAAAATCAGAACTACAGTAGAGCAAAACATTTCTTTGGAAGCTCAACCGTGGAAGGGAAGGGTCCTGACCTCCTCTTGCAGTTGGGTTCTCTGGCTTTTAAAGCTTTGTCTGAAGGCCATCACCCACATTTGCACTGTTGCTGCAAACCGAGAGAAAAGAAGCATGGAGAATTTTTCTCCTGCCACAGGGATCTATTGCTCAATAGAGTTTATGACATTAGGCCTGTGCCTACCTGTTTAATAATTCTGAGTCTGGGTTCAGTAGCCCAGTGGGTTATAAGGAAGGTACTGGCTGTGGATTTTACTGGAGATGGGGATCTTTCAATCCCAAAGGTAGGGCTGTGAGATTGCTCTGAGTAGACACTAAATTATTAGACTATTAATACAATAATAGCTCATTAGCCCAGATAGCCCAATGTCTGGGCCTTTTTTTTTTTTTTTTTTTTTTGAGACAGAGTTTTGCTCTTGTCGCCCAGGCTGTAGTGCAGTGGCGCAGTCTCGACTCACTGCAACCTCCACCTCCCAGGTTCAAGCGATTCTCCTGCCTCAGCCTCCCGAGCAGCTGGGATTACAGGCGACCACCACCAGGCCCAGCTAATTTTTTGTATTTTTAGTAGAGATGGGGTTTTGCCATGTTGGGCAGGCTGGTCTCGAACTCCTGACCTCAGGTGATCTGCCCGCCTCAGCCTCCCAAAGTGCTGGGATTACAGGCGTGAGCCACCACACCCGACCTGTCTCATCCCTTTTAGTCATGCAAAAGGTGACTTCCAGTTCAAAAAGTCCTAGCAGAACTTTTCTTGCTGCCTTGCCTTTCTGCTGTCTTGGTGAGAATAGGGCCTGTGTACACAGCCAGGCAGTGTGGCTCCAGAGTCTATGCTTTGAAAACTTTTTTTTAGTGGATCTCAGATTCATAGAATTAGATTAATTACAATCTTCTCATGCATGGGCTCTCTTTTACTTAGTGAAGTTACAAATCATTTAATATACACACACACACATACACACACATAATCTTAGTTTAGGCTTCCACAGAAGCAGACTCTGAGACAGGGATTTGAGTGCAGATGGTTTACTTGGGAGGTGAAGGGAAATCAGCAAGAAAGGGGGGAAGTGAGACGCTAAAAAGAAGGCAGCAAATACAGAGTACCTTCCTCAGGAGCAGCCACAGGGGGCAACCAGAACTCAGTCCTGTTGGCAAACTCTGGGAAACATCTGCTTCAGAATTGCCCAGTGCAGCCCAGGTGCGAGGGAGTTGGGGTATTTATACACCAACCCCAGTCTCTTGCTGGTTGACAGATTCTGGGGAATGAAGGGAAAACCTTCATGGACAAAGATACAGATCCCAGTAGTTTGGGATCATCTGGGGTACATGAAAAAGTGGAATCCAAAGCACTCTTTCTTTCTTTTTTTTTTCGAGACAGAGTTTTGCTCTTGTTGCCCAGGCTGGAGTGCAATGGCACGATCTTGGCTCACCACAACCTCCGCCTCCCAGGTTCAAGCAATTCTCCTGCCTCAGCTTCCCAAGTAGCTGGGATTACAGGCATGCACCACTACGCCTGGCTAATTTTGTATTTTTAGTAGAGATGGGGTTTCTCCACGTTCGTCAGGCTTGAACTCCCAACCTCAGGTGATCTGCCCACCTTGGCCTTCCAAAGTACTGGGATTACAGGCGTGATCCACCACGCCTAGCCCAGCACTATTTCTTGATCTTTTTAATTAAATCATTGCCACCCCTAAGTAGCTTTTTTTTTTTTTTTTTTTTTTTTTGAGATGGAGTCTCACTCTGTCACCCAGGCTGGAGTGCAGTGGCACTATCTCAGCTCGCTGCAACATCTGCCTCCTGGGTTAAAGCGATTCTCCTGCTTCAGACTCCCAGGTAGCTGGGATTACAGGCACTATCTGCTAAATTCTTTTGTATATTCAGTTCATCCTCTATCAGCCCTGGGAGGTCTACATTATTTATTAGCTTCACTTTACACAGAAGGAATTAGCACTTAAGAGGTCATGTGATCACTCCCCCAAAATCTCACAGAGACTTAATTCTGGGCCCAAGTCATTCATCTTTTCATGAATCAAGTAGCAACTGAGTATTAGTAGGTGCCAGGCAGGGTGCTGGTGCCTGTGAATTAAGTGAAGAACAGAACAGACTGGACTTTGCTCTCAAGAAGTTTAGAATCTACTGGAGAGACAGACATTAAAAGAACAATTGTAATGCTTTTTTTTGTTCTTGTTTTGTTTTTTTTTTCTTGAGACGGAGTCTTACTCTGTTGCCCAGGCTGGAGTGCAGAGGCATGATCTCGGCTCACTGCAACCTCCGCCTCCCAGATTTTAGGCGATTCTCCTTCCTCAGTCTCCTGAGAAGCTGGGACTACAGCCACACACCATCACGCCTGGCTAATTTTTTTATTTTTAGTAGGGACAGGGTTTCACCACGTTGGCCAGGCTGGTCTTGAACTCCTGACCTCAGGTGATCCACATGCCTCAGCCTCCGAAAGTGCTAGGATTACAGGCATGAGCCACTGCACCCAGCCCCTAAGTAGCTTTTTTGAACATTTTCTTTCTAATTGCTTCTCCACTCCCCATGAAATTTTAGTACCACAGATATACTGTAGATCTGTTTATGTTCTGTGTCCCTTTGGAGGGACCCAAACCATTAAAATATGCAAATTTTTTTGTCCCCACCGTCCCACCCCGGATCGATTTTTTTTTTACCTGTTAGCAGTGTTGCCCCTGTTGAGGAGGTATGGCCCTAGTGCCATGGGCAGGACAGTACCTGATGCATGTGTATAGCAGGCTCCAAACCACCCTGCCCTTATCTCTCTATACCTGTTATTTGGGGCAACTCATTGGTGCTGGAGTGGTGACTCCACAGGAACAGAAAGAAAAACACACTGCATCAGTTCATTCTTCTAGTCTGTGGAGTGTTGGGAGTAGGAGAAGAGAGAGGTGGGGCAGATGGAAACAAATGGTTATCTTTGATCATCTATCACAGCAGAAATGAAGCTGTGGTTTTCATTATTTTCATGGATTCCTATGCAGTTCTGATTTCCCCAAAAGGAGCCCCAGCATAAAGCAATGAGGCCCCGCTTGCTTGGTATTTCGCTGCTGTTGAAATCAGATGCTAGAGAGGATGTGAACATCCCTCTCTGCGCCTGAGTCCCACCACAATCTCGCACCAATGTCAAGCTAGCTTCTCATGTTCCCGAGTTGAAAACAGATGGTGGCTGACACCTTTCTCAAGAATCCTGGAAACCCACCAGTCTACCCACTGAGGCACGAAAAAAAAAAGGGATCCGAAAATGTGGTGTAGAAAGAAAAATGACTGAAGTAGGATGAGCCCAAGAGAAGCCTGTCCTGCTCAGTGTGATGGAGCAGTGTTCTCTAAGCGTTCTCACAAGCCAGAAATTTGGGAGCAGGGGCAGGTGACTTGCAACCCCTTACGTGAGATGTTGCTGCAGCCAGGAGTCTAGGACCAAAGAGCATTCCGACCCAGCCTGGGCACTGGGAAACTCTTTTGCCCAAAGACTCTGGAGATGAGTTAGAGCAATGCATTCCAAATTTTTATGCTTGCCTTAAAGCAACAGAATTCCTTCCAGGTTCTAAATGGAAGCTTGAGTTGTGAAAACTAGATCATAGAAAAAGTGAAGAGAAGAAAAGGAAAATCAATGCAATATGGCATACCTACATTTTCCTTGAGAAAGCAAAGCACACCACAAACCCATGTCCACTCTTAAGCACTGAAGATCAAGCAAGGACATTTTCCAGGCTTGTTAGGATAAGAAAAAAAAGTCTTGTTTCCTTGTTAGGATAATAAAAAAGTCTAAGCAAAGAATGTCTTTGAGGGGAAAGGAAAATCTCAGCTTTAATCCCGAAGTAACACCTTGGTAAGATGTATATGCCTGCCTTTATGCTTAATGATTTCAGATTTTTTTAAATAAATAGGGCAGTAAGTGTAGCATATAATCCAGAACCTATGCCAAATTCCTTCCCTCTTTTATTTAACTTGAGACATAATAGCTATATTACATTTGTCCTGTAACAAACTCATCTTTCAGCCTCAGTAAGAATTTTGTGGCTGGCCACCTAAAAATTACTAGAAATGAAACAACTGTAGCAGAGTTGCTCTAATTTGTTTTTTTCTTTTTAGACGCAGACTCGCTCTGTCACCAGGCTGGAGTGCAATGGCGCCATCTGGGCTCACTGCAACCTCCAACTCCCTGGTTCAAACAGTTCTCCTTCCTCAGCCTCCTGAGTAGCTGGAATTACAGGCACATGCCACCATGCCCAGCTAATTTTTGTATTTTTAGTAGAGATGAGGTTTCATCATGTTGGCCAGGATGGTCTCGAACTCCCGACCTCAGGTGATCCACCCGCCTTGGCCTCCCAAAGTGCTGGGATTACAGGCATGAGCCACTGAGCCCAGCCCAAAGAAAGGAAGTTTAAATGAGCTGACCAGGATCTCCTGCAGTCAAGGAAAGAGCTGGGATCAGGAACTACTAAACATTTCTGACAGCATATCTGTTTACTGGAGCAGGTTTTAATAGAATCATAGGATCCCTCAGTTAACAGAACCCAATTTCAGAAAGGGACGCATGAGATGATCTTTTCGGATTTGGAAGAAAATATTACATTTTTTGTTTTGATTTTAAGTAAAATATGAAGAAGAAATTCATTTTTACTACTATCTAATACGTAGGTAATGTCATTGCTCTCCTTTGGTCAAACGTCTCTGGTGTGTAAGGTACCAGGAATCCTGGGGAAAGAGAGGGAGGTCTCATCATAATACATTGCTGTCTGAGTGTATGAAATAAAGCAGCTTCACAAATTATAGTACTTAGTTTTAAGTAAACTAACTCTAACAAAATGGACAAGTGGAACCTTTGGTGTACAAGTGATGAACTAGGTTACTCAGAGTAACTCTCTGCTGAAAACATATAGAAATGCTGGACACAATATATTTTTTAAACTTTTCTTAAAATATCAAGAAATTGGCAACATAGTTAGGAATTCCTAGGTAATTGAAAATTGATGGAAAATTGAGAAGCTTAAGAACCTTTGTTCTCAGGGCACTTGCTGATCTAGGCACATAGGAACATTAGATTTTCCAGGGTCATGGGGAAAGAGGAATAGAAATCAAAACCATAAGAAGCCATCTCCCAAATAAGCTGGGACCTCAAAGGGATACGCTCTCCAGGTATAGGTGATCCAGAAGTGAACCAATGGGTTGAATGAATTTGAAGCTCAAAGTATCACCTTTTGAGAGCACTAAACCCCTGCTAGCTGTGAACCTCATTTGAAAGAAACTCAGACTGTAGTGATTTGAGATACTCAACAGAAACAAACACAAATCCTCTTGTGAGAGTACTTCCTTCTAGATCTCAAATTATTCCTACAAATAGTTTTTAGTGACAAAAAGCAGCATACACTAAAAATAATCAAGCACATAGGAAAATAGACATTGTGAATGAGAAAATAAGAAACAATACAAAATAGAAACATTTAAAGACTTCATATTTCAGAACTTCATATTTCAGATCTGTCAAACACAGATCATAAACAAATATGCTTCCTACATTTAAAGATTAAAGACAGCTTTAAAAATGTATATAGGGAATAGGAAACTATAGAGTATGATAGAAGATTTGAAAAAGAACTAAATAAAATTTCTACAAATGAAAAGTTCAAGAATTGAAATGAAGAACTCAATAGATGCATGTAAAAACATTCTAGACATAGCCAAAGAAAGAATTTAATAAGATGGAAGATATGCTGGAAGACATTTTCCAGGATGCAGAACAAAAAGATGAACATACAGAACAGAAGTTACAAGACATGGAAGATAAACAGAGAAGATCTAACATACGTTTAAGCAGAGTCCCTGAAGAGAGAAGGGAGAGAATGATACAGAGGCATTATTTTAAAAGATTATGGCTGATAATTCAATAATGAATCATTCCATAATGAATTTAACAATGAATTCAAAGCAAGATAAGTAAATGAAAATCTAGATACATTGTAGTGAAACATCAGCACACCTAAAATAAATAGAAAGTCATAAAGGAGTCAGAGTAAAAAGATGTACTTCCTTTAGTGGAGTGACAGACTGACAACTAACTTATCAGCTGTAAGAATGGAAGTCATAAGATAGTGGAATGATATCTTCAGTAGAATGAAAAAAATGGCTGCCAACCAAGGATTCTATACTTAAAGACAACATTTTTCAAGTATAAGAGCAAAACAAACAAACAAAAATCTGCTTTCAGAAACAAAAACTGTGACTTCACCACTGGTGGACTTTTATTAAAAAAAAAATTCTAAAGGCAGAAAGAAATTTGTCCCAGAAAGAAGATAAAGAAGGAATGAAGAAGCAAGAAAGAATATATAGCCAATTCTAAATAAACATTGACTGTATAAAATAATCATAGTTTCTTGTGAGGTTAAAAGAAGAGAGAGAGATGAGGGGAATTGTAGTGGTGACAGCTCTTTTCTTGCACTGAATCTCCACATATTAGCAAACAACAATTACAAAAAACTGTGACAAGATATCTTCAAAAACCCTAAAATACAAGTGGATATGTGGACAAACCACCAATAACCTCAAGATCTTTATGATTTTGGAATCTGTGTGGAAAGGGGAAAAAAGAAGCAACAGAGTGGCATTTGATATACCTGAGAATAGCAGAACCCCAGTAGGAATTTGCTGGAAAACATTGAGAACAGCAGTTGAATCTAGGAGGGGCAAATACTGGGCAATGATATATATGGATCATGAACCCTAAAAGCTAGCTGTCTAGGGCTTCCTTCTGAGACACAGTCCCAATGAGGAGAAAGTGCTGGAAGTAGAGTTAAAACTGAGCAGGATGAAGACAATATAGATGAAGGAAAGAGAAGGTCCAGTTCAAAATAGGAGAAGGAACCAGAGACGGGAAATCTCAGAAAGTAAGCCATTATATTTTTAATGTACATTGCACAAAAACAACAGAAGAAGACACTTTATGTTAGAAAATTTTCCTGAACCCCACTTCATTCTAAAGTCAAGAATATGAATTTCACCTAAAACTAAGGTCAAATTCTGTACAAAGTTAGAATTTTTTAAAAAGAGAATAAGGATCAAAAATAACAAAACACACAAAAGTCATGCCCACAAAATAGACCAAAAAATGTAATTTACTATTTCAAAACAATTAAAAACATTAAGAAAATTATAAAAGACATGGAAATACATCAGCGTTATAAACACTTAGAAATGAAGTGAGAGAAATAATTAAGAAGCAAAAGACAAATTCACTTCAGAAATGAAAACTAAACTAGATGGAACATGGGAAAGAATAAACAACAAATAATGCCTTAAGAGGAATATAAGATTTTTAAAAAGTTTTCAAACAAAAAAGAAATGAAGAAAGGGATAAAGAGGATTTAGGAGAAAGTAACAGTTGCAAATGATAGCCAAGGATTATATGCCTTCTTCAAGAAAACCTGAGAAAGCAAACCAAGAGAAGGACCAAAAGAAATATTAATACTATAATTAACCCAAGAAAACGTGCCTAAAATTGTAATTAAAGGATTTGAAATTACATGTTCAGGAGGACACTATGTACTTATGAATATTGACAAAAAGTTATTAACACCTGGAGATATTCTAGTATAACTACTGTACTTTAGAGATGTTACTTGGTTGGGAGGCTGAGGCAGGAGAATCACTTGAAGCCAGGAGTTCGAGACCAGCCTGGGCAATATAGCAAGACCCAATCTCTAAAATAAATAAATAATAAAAATAAAAGTTATTTGGGCATAAAAAGAGAGAGAGAATGGAACTTGAATAGAAAAGAATAATAGATCATCATTAGACTTTTTGAAAGCAGTACTTTATGCCAGAAAAAAAAAATAGTCACATATTTAAGAAAAGGTGCATCCAGGATTTTATATTGCAGAAAAATTGGATTTCAAATATTAAAAACAAACTATTATCAACAAGAAAGATCTAAGGGAATATTGTTTCCATGAGTCTAAGAAGTTTAGCAGAGAACAAAACTTCAGACAACCAAAATGACCCTTACCGATGTGAAGGCAGATGGCAAGGATTAAATTTAACTTGTAGAATTAAGACTGAATAGTGGCTAAAAAGGATTGTGTATAGACTGTCCTGACTATATATTCTGATAATACATAGCACAGCTTTTGAAAAATGGAGAGAGGGCTGGCGCGGTGGCTCACGCCTGTAATCCCAGCACTTTGAGAGGCCAAGGGGGGGGCAGATCACAAGGTCAGGAGATCGAGACCATCCCGGCCAACATGGTGAAACTCCCGTCTCTACTAAAAATACAAAAATTAGCCGGGTGTGGTGGCACATGCCTGTAATCCCAGCTATTTGGGAGGCTGAGGCAGGAGAATCGCTTGAACCAGGGAGTCGTAGGCTGCGGTGAGCCAAGATCACGCCACTGCATTCCAGCCTGGCAACAGAGCGAGACTCTGTCTCAAAAAGAGAAAAAAAAAGAAAAAAAGAAAAATGGAGAGAGAATGGGAGAACATATGAAAAAGATTTATTTTAATGTTTTAAATAATCATATTGATAGTAAATTAGTATTTTAGTATTTTTATTCCATGTCTGTTGTGTGTGTACTATGGGATTCAGGAAATTATTAATTATGAGAAATTCTAATTATATAATTCCCTGTATTCTTGAGAACCAGGATTTGTGATAGAGAAGAAAGGAGTTACAGGTGTAATACAGAAGAAGTTAAATAAAATTGGGGTAGTTTTGAATTAGAAGTATCAGTATTGACTCATGAGCTATTTTGTTTTTAAATATATAATTCTGGCCAGGCAAAATGGCTCATGCCTGTAATCCCAGCACTTTAGGAGGCTGAGGAGGACAGAACACTTGATGTCAAGAGTTCAAGACCAGCCTGACCAACATGGTGAAACCCCATCTTCACTAAAAATACAAAAAATTAGCTGGGCGTTGTGGCACGTGTCTGTAGTCTCAGCTCCTTAGGAGGCTGAAGCAGGAGATTCCCCTGAACCCAGGAGGTGGAGGTTGCAGTAAGCAGAGATCATGCCACTGCACTCCAGCCTGGGTGACAGAGCAAGACTCAGTCTCAAAAAAATTGTGCATATGTGTACAACATATTTGAATATGTGTTCTAATACATCAGAATTAGAAACACTCAGAAGTGTGTGTGTATGTGAGTGTGTGTGTGTGTGTGTGTGTGTGAGAGAGAGAGAGTATTTAGCGCCACAGAAAAGAAACAATGACCTGTCTAGAGAAATGAGCTTTCCTAGTGCTGGTATTATGTATTCAAGTTCCACATCACACGACAAAGGACCAGGACTTCTTGCAGAAATGACTGAATGCAGGTCTGGTCCTGGAACATCTTGTCATATCAGAAAGCAGCAATGTTAAAGACTTCTAGCATCATGTCCAAAGGACTCAAGAACTAACCTAAAGAGGTTCGCACTAGCCAAAGTCAGAATAATTTGAAGCTACAGTAAAGATAATGTTTAAATTCGTGAGTACATAATAATATTGAAACAATAAAAAAGAACTAGTCACCCTCAGAGGATGACAGGAAACCAATTCATTATCTTGGAAACTGATGAATAAAGGAAGAATCTAGCATCTATCCCCGTTTCTATATGAACTGTACTGCTGGGTAACCAGATAGCAGTTGGAGAAGGATCTCCTTAGAACAGTATTACAACCATTAAATAACAAAACAATAAAAAAGATAGAATGTCACCATTTTGCATCCCCAGTGAATTATTAGATGTAGGCACTAAGCATCAACAACTGCTAACATCAATAAAAGAGACAACAGGGCTTTATATGCCTCCTATTGTCTTGCCAAACCAAGGGATCAAATCTGAATCTGATACAGTTTCTGGATCCAGCTGCCCAAATTTCTGGAAATACAGAAGGCAGAGAAATGCAGTGTACTGTGAGGATGTGAGCAGCAAACTCTAAGCTGAAGGAAGCTAAACCACTCAGGGAGAGCCCAGGTTCCCCAAGAGATTATCTCTACGGAAAAGAAAAGGATGAGAGGGAATTTACAGATTAAAAGAGACTTGAAGTCTTAAATTCTTTAACTCGGCAAAGCAATGCTGTAGTTTTATGGATACACCATTTGGTTGATAAAATTATTATTATTATTATTATTATTATTTTGAGATGGAGTCTTGCTCTGTTGCCCAGGCTGGAGTGCTGTGGTGCAATCTCAGCTCACTGCAACCTCCGCCTCCTGGGTTCAAGTGATTCTCCTGCCCCAGCCTCCCGAGTAGCTGGGATTACAGGTGCATGCCACCACACCTGGCTAATTTTTGTATTTTTAGTAGAGACAGGGTTTTACCATGTTGGCCAGGCTGGTCTCAAACTCCTGACTTCAGGTGATCTGCCCTCCTCAGCCTCCCAAAGTGCTGGGATTACAGGTGTGAGCCACCACACCTGGCCAAATAAAATTATTTTTAAAGGAACTAATAAGTATAGAAACCAGCACAGTGGTTACTTAAGAGATAAAAGAGGGTTTGTGATTGGGAAGAAGCAGACAGAGGTGCTTCTGGGAAGACTGGCAAAATTTTATTTCTGACTTGAATGATGTTTATCTTAAAATCATTCAGTAAGCCACACATTTGATTCATGTGGCTTTCTGTCTCTGGGCTTTCTTCACAATAAGAAGATTATTTTAAAACATAGATTTGAATACATGGCAATAATGCTACATAAGGTTGGAAGAAGGGCAAGTGGAATTAAAGTGGTCTAAAACCTTTCTATTGTCCTGGGAGAGGGCAAATGTACTGATTACCTTTAAATATACTTCATTGTAATGTGCATATTGTATACATGCAAATATATATAATTTCTAGAATAGCAACTAAAAGAATAGAAATAGAATATATAACTCTCAATGCAGTAGAAAAAATAAATGAAATAATAAAACTTATCCCACATTTTTAGGCAAGAAAGGAGAGAAAAAGAGGCATGGAGCAGGTATATTACGGGTTGAATTGAGTTCACCAAAAAGATATGTTGAAATCCAAAGCCCCAGTGTCTGTGAAAGTTACCTTATTTGGAAATAAGGTCTTTGCCAATGTAAAGATAAAGTCATGCTGAATTAAGGTGAGCCCTAACCTAATATGGCTGGTGTCCTTATAAGAAGAGAAGAGACAGACAAAGGGAAGGAGTCCATGTGACCACAGGGCCAGTGGAAGTGATGCAACTGCCTGCCAAGTGCACCAAGGATGGGTGGCCACCAGCAGAAGCTCGGAAGATGCAAGGAAGGATTCTATCCAGAGTTACAGAGGGAGCATGGCCCAGCTGACACCTTGATTTCAAACCTGTAGCCTCAAGAAATGTGGATAATGACCTTCTGTCATTTTAAGCCACCCCGTCTGCAACACTTTCTTATGGCAATGTGATGGGTAAGCTTATGTGTCAATGTGACTGAGCCCCAGGATGCTTAGATACTTGATGAAACATTATTCTGAATGTATCTGGGAAGGGATTTTTGGAAGAGATTAAATTTGATTTGGTAGACTGGGTAAAGCAGATTGCCTTCCTCATAGGAGTGAACCTCATCCAAGCCACTGAAGGCCTGAATGGAATGAAAAGATGAGTAGGAAAGAATGAGCTGGGACATTGGTTTTCTCCTGCCTTCAGACTGGAACTGACATCATCAGCTCTCCTGGGTCTCCAGTTTGCTGGAGTTTGGACTTCTCAGCCTTCATAATCACATGAGCCAATTTCTTATAGCAAATATCTTTGTCTATTATCTATCTATCCATCATCTATCTATCAATCAATCATTTACCTAATTGTCCTATTGGCATATGTATCCTATTGGTTCTGTTTCTCTGGAGACCCCAGGCTAATACAGCCATACCCGGGAAACTAATACAAGGTAGAACAATTGGAAAGCACAAAATAAAGTGCCAAATGTAACCAAATACAGGTGGTGGCTCATGCCTGTAATCCCTGCACTTTGGGAGGCCGAGGTGGGTGGATTAATTGAGGTCAGGAGTTCGAGACCAGCCTGGCCAACATGGTGAAACCCCATCTCTACTAAAAATATAAAAATTAGCCAGGCGTGGTGGTGCACGCCTGTAGTCCCAGCTACTCAGGAGGCTGAGACAGAAGAATTGCTTGAACCAGGAAGGCAGAGGTTTCAGTGAGCTGAGATAGTGCCACTGCACTTCAGGCTGGGTGACAGAGCCCTGTCTCAAAAACAAAAACAAAACAAAACAAAACAAACAAATGTAACCAAATATATCACAAAATGTAAATGGTTAAATGTTCCAGTTAAATGACAATGACAGGGTGATTTTTCAAAATTTCAACTATATGCTGTTTTCAAGAAAAACATCTAAAATAAAAGCCCACAAAAATTAAAATTAAAAGATTGAAGAAATCACAAAATGAAGCTGATGTGGCCACATTAGTATCAAACAACATATGCTTTATGGACAATAGTTTTAGCAGAGATAAGACAATCACTTCATGATAAAAGATTGAATTCAACAGGACTATATAATAATTTAAAATGTATATGTACCTAGTATCATTTCCTCAAAATACATCAAGTAAAAAATGACAAAATTAGGCCAGGTGCGGTGGCTCACGGCTGTAATCCCAGCACTTTGGGAGGCCGAGGTGGGTGGATCACCTGAGGTAAGGAGTTTGAGACGAGCTTGGCCAACATGGTGAAACCCTGTCACTACTAAAAGTGCAAAAATTAGCCTGGCATGATTGCGCATGCCTGAAATCCCAGCTGCTTGGGAGGCTGAGGCAGGAGAATCACTTGAACCCAGGAGGCAGAGGCTGCAGTGAGACGAGATTGCACCACTGCACTCCAGCCTAGGCGACAGAGCGAGAATCAGTCTCAAAAAAATAAAAGACAAAATTATACAGAGAAAGAGACAAACCCTCATCAATGTGGAGATTTTTAACAAAATCAATGAGTAGCTTAAAAAGATGTGGAATATTATCACATACTAAAAGGTTACACTATATAATATGTATGTTATATCCTATAATAATGCAAACATAAGGAAACCAAACAAATCTGTAGAACTGGCCCTTCTCTTACTCCTACTATAAGCTCTTAGCTGCATTGAAAGATAAAAACAATGATGAACTAATCAGATTAGAAGTGAAGTCCAAACAGTGTTATAATTGCCAAGTATAGTCTTTTAAATAAGGGTTCATATGAACTGTCCTTAATGATGAATGTTGCCCTAAGCGTGCACTGCACCTAGAGACACTTGCTGATAGTAAGATACAGTCACCAGGATTGCTTTGACACTTGAAAGCTAACCTTCACTTTTCAGGAAGGGACACTGGAGCCACTGGATATCCCCATTGTGGGAACTGGGGAGAACTGTGTTCCCCACCTAAAAAAATAATGCAAGATGGATACCAAACTTACATGTAATTTTTTTTTTTTTTTTTGAGACGGAGTCTCGCTCTGTCGCCCAGGCTGGAGTGCGGTGGCGCCATCTCGGCTCACTGCAAGCTCCACCTCCCCGGTTCACGCCATTCTCCTACCTCAGCCTCCCGAGTAGCTGGGACCACAGGTGCCCACCACCACACCTGGCTAATTTTTTGTATTTTTAGTAGAGATGGGGTTTCACCGTGTTAGCCAGGATGGTCTCGATCTCCTGACCTTGTGATCCACCCACCTTGGCCTCCCAAAGTGTTGGGATTACAGGCGTGAGCCACTGCGCCCGGCCAATCTCTCCAATTTTTCTAGCAATCTTGAAAGTAATGAAATATTCAGTCCATACCTTAAAACATTTCATTAAATGCAATGGTAAACATTTAGAAACCTCTTCTAAGGTTTTTGGCACAAAAGACCAAAACTCACATATCATTTGTGGATATTTGATCTTTTTTTCATGTAAAAATAGTATAAATAATGTATGGAAAAATAAAGACAAAATTAAAGAGAAAGTGAAATGCATTCATTTGTCCGAAGATACTGCTGAAGATTTGAAAATAAAAGTACTAGAAAAATAATGAGACATTTACGGTGTAGTTGTATAAAAGTACAGTGAGCTTTTCACACATATTAGTCTATGGTATTTGCTTGATTTTGTTTCACTGATAAAAAACAAATAATTTGATTGTTTGGAAGCTACTAAGGAAAAGATGTAGCAGAGAAGATATATTCTCAATAGTATATACTTTATCAAAGACAATGTTTGGTGGGAAAACAGTGTAAATGTAACTAACCACAGCACGGATGGCTGGGGTTTTTTGTTTTGTTTTGAGATGGAGTCTCACTCTGTCGCCCCAGGCTGGAGTGCAATGGCATGATCTTGGCTCACTACAACCTCCACCTCCCAGGTTCAAGCGATTCTTGTGCCTCAGCCTCCAGAGTAGCTGGGATTACAGGTGCCCACCACCACGCCCGGCTAATTTTTGTATTTTTAGTAGAGACTGGGTTTCACAAAACATGGTGGCCATACTGACCTCAAGTGATCCACCCGCCTCAGGCTCCCAAAGTGCTGGGACTACAGGTGTGAGCCACCACGGCCAGCCAGATGACTGTTTTGATTGCAATTTTCTTTTTATAAAAGGTCTGAGGTAGGCCAGGCGCGGTGGCTCACGCCTGTAATCCCAGCACTTTGGGAGGCCGAGGCAGGTGGATCACAAGGTCAGGAGATCAAGACCATCCTGGCTAACACGGTGAAATCCCATCTATACTAAAAAATACAAAAAGATTAGCCGGGCGTGCTGGCGGGCGCCTGTAGTCCCAGCTACTTGGGAGGCTGAGGCAGGAGAATGGCGTGAACCCGGGAGGCAGAGCTTGCAGTGAGCCAAGATCGCGCCCCTGCACTCCAGCCTGGGCAACTGAGAGAGACTCCACCTCAAAAAAAAAAAGAGGTCTGAGGTCAGATTTCAATCAAGACGATTCACTACATCATCCAGACGCAAAGTATTGCATAAGAGAACTGGAAGCCAAAAGCACACAAAGTGATGGAAGAAGTCATCAATGTGATTAATTTTATGAAAACAAGGTGTTTAAAATACAGTTAAATCTATATAGACTGTCATAATGCCAGGTGCTTAAACTAATGTCTTCTTTGACCAAAAAAAAAAAAAAAAAAAAAAAACAACAGCAGCAACAACAAAAACAACTGCTCTCGATTTCCTGACCTTTCCTGAGATGACAAGTGTTTTGTTTTTTTTTTCTTTTGTTTGTTTATGTGGGTGTGTGTGTGATGGAGTTTTACTCTTGTTGCCCAGGCTGGAGTGCAATGGCGGGATCTCGGTTCACCTCAACTTCCACCTCCCGGGTTCAAGCGATTCTCCTGCCTCAGTCTCCTGAGTAGCTGGGATCATAGGCGTGCGCCACCACGCCCGGTTAATTTTGTATTTTTAGTAGAGATGGGGTTTCTCCATGTTGGTCAGGCTGGTCTCGAACTCCTGACCTCAGGTGATCTGCTCGCCTCAGCCTTCCAAAGTGCTGGGATTACAGGCGTGAGCCACTGCACCCGGCCGACAAGTGGCTTTCAATAATACACATATATAGCAGGTAAAATAGAAGGAAGAAATGGGTTTCCTCTCTACCTTCAAGTAAAAGTGCTGCTTTGAATAATAAATTAGAAATGAACTACTTTTTAAAGAAACATGCTACAGAGAGATCATTGTGAAACAGATGTTTTTAGATGTTTCCAATATGTTGTTCTTTATTTTCTTACCAAAAAACAATGTGGGGCCACAATAAACTCTTCTATGTACCTATTTTAAAATTTAGAAACAAATTTTTTATTTTCCAAGTGAAAAAGGAAATATGTAGTTGAGGTGTGAACCCAATTATTAAAAGTATAAAACTGCATTGTTGTTGAATGGGGAGAGTTTTAGTTTTGCAAAAGATGAACAAGTTCTGAAGACTGATTGCACAGCAGTGAGAATGTACTTAACACTACTGAAGTGTGCACTTAAAAATGGTTAAGATGGGCCGGGCACGGGGGCTCACGCCTGTCATCCCAGCACTGTGGGAGGCAGAGGCGGGCGGATCACGAGGTCAGGAGATCGAGACCATCCTGGCTAACACGGTGAAACCCCGTCTCTACTGAAAATACAAAAAAATTAGCCGGGCGTGGTCGTGGGCGCCTGTAGTCCCAGCTACTCGGGAGGCTGAGGCAGGAAAAGGGCATGAACCCGGGAGGCGGAGCTTGCAGTGAGCCGAGATCGCACCACTGCACTCCAGCCTGGGTGGCAAAGCGAGACTCTGTCTCAAAAGAAAAAAAAAGTTAAGATGGTAAATTTTATGTTATGTGTACTTTACCAGACCTAAAACAATATAAAACTCTAATATGTTCCAAATTAGTTTTCAAGAGTAACTGATTAACATGAAAGGAAATGGAGAATCACTAACCAATCTCATTTAAAATTTTTTTTGATCAGTTGATGGCTGGAACCAAAAAAACAAAAAAAAGTCATGATTCACTAACTATGGCCAGTGATGCCTGTCTGCCAATTGGAATCAGGCATCTTTGAAAATTATATTATACAGCTCAACAGTTATTAAAACCAAGTATTCAAGGAAACTAAATTTAGACCAGGCTTCCACATTACACTATTACAGAGTGGCAAATCCATGAGACAATAATAAAATATTTTCAATCATATGGCCCTAAAATACCAATAATTAATCTAATACTTGTGATAAAGAATTTTTAGCTGGGCGAGGTGGCTCACGCCTGTAATCCCAGCACTTTGCGAGGCCAAGGTGGGCGGATCACAAGGTCAGGAGTTCGAGACCAGCCTGGCCAATATGGTGAAACCCCGTGTCTACTAAAAATACAAAAATATTAGCCAGGGTAGGGGGTGGTGGGCATCCGTAGTCCCAGCTACTAGGGAAGCTGAGGCAGGAGAATCACTTGAACCCAGGTGGCAGAGGTTGCAGTGGGCCGAGATTGCACCACTGCACTCCAGCCAGGTGACAGAGCGAGACTCCGTCTCAAAAAAAAAAAGAGAGAATTTTTAGTGTTAATTAATAAAATAAAAATTAACTCAAAATAGATTTATTTCATTTATTGCTCATTCTTTTAAAAGTCTATTTTGTGATGGTCTTTTATAGGCATATGTATTATTATTATGGTAGAATGTGATATACATTTGCATAAACACACACACACACACACACACACACACACACACACACAGGCTGCATCCTCAAAATACTCTCCTGATGGGAGTGCTCAGTGCAAACACTTTGAGCCCATCACCTGGTTCAACGGCCCACCATGCTTAGCTTGCTTCTTCTACATCCCAAGTGCTTGACCAGCTGATGCTCAAATGTATCCTATACCCAGGAATGGCTGCATCCCAGTGGCCTAGGGCTCTTAGAAGGAGCTGGGAGTTTCTGCCATGTACAAAATCAAAACCCACTTCCCTGGATGTTCTGCTCATTGCCTCCAGCCCCAGCCCTGCCCTTACAGCCCATGGTCCACACTGGTTCCTGCTTGACCCAGCTGCTCTTCAACACATTTGCAGATCATCCAAGTCTCAGACTTACCCTCTACTCTCACTCATTTTTTGGTCCTCTAACATCCCACTTCATTTTTAACAATACACTGAATTTCATCTGGGGCATTCCCTGAGAAGCCTTGTCCTGAGACGGGGCAGCCTGTGCCCAGGGGCTTGGTCTCTGTCCAGCCTCAGCGCCCCTAGGAAACTTGCATGTAATGTCCCAGGACTTCGGATCTTAAGCAAGGGACACAAAGATGTGGGATAGTTGGAGCTTATATTTTCCTCAGGGATCCTTCTAAAGGTCTTGTGTGTCTTAGTGTGACCCCCAAACACAAATAAATCTCCCGATTTCCTAGCCACCCGCATCTCCGTAACTGGCATCTCATTGGGCCAAGAACCTGGGAGTTCTTAAATTTCTCTCTTTCCCTTCATACTTTATCTAATCCACTAGTACTGTCAGTTCCACCTCCAAAGAATATCTAGGGTCTAGTTATTTCTTATTCCCTACTGGAACAGCTCCCTCAACCCCTATCACCTGTTGCTGAGACCCCCACCTGGGTGCCTCCTACCTGGGCTCTCTCCTGGGTGCTTCTCCACTTCATGTTCCACACGTGGACGTCAGAGAGATTCTTCCAGCATGTTGGCTGGGTGTAGTGGCTCATGCCTGTAGTCCCAGCACTTTGGGAGGCTGAGGTGGGCAGATTGCTTGAGCCCAGGAATTCAAGTCCAGCCTGGGCGATATGGTGAAACACCATGTCTACAAAAATGCAAAAATTAGCCAGACGTGATGGTGTGCACCTGTAGTTCCAGTTACTCAGGAGGCTGAGGTTGGAGGATGGCTTGAGCCCAGGGAGACAGAGATTGCAGTGAGCCATGATTGAGCCACTGCACTCCAATCTGGGCAACAGAGCCAGACCCTGTTTGGAAAAAAAAAAAAAGAAGGATTCTTTCAGCTTGTAAATCAAATCGGGTTAGGGTTATTCCCCTGTTCAAATCCTTCCAGTGGCTCACCATTTCACTCAAAATCCACAGCCCTCACTGTGGCCTGCTCAGTCGGCAGTAGCCACATGGATCTAACTGTTCCCATGACAGACAGAGCTTGTTCTAGCCCCCATTCTTTTGCTGGGGATGCTCGCCCCACAGAGATTCGCAAGGCTGCACCTTCTCTGCATTCAGGTATCTTTTCTGATCGCATCACTGGAAAGGACTTCCTGTCCCCTGCATCTGAAACAGAACCCCCCCCCCCCACCCATGCCCTGTGTGGCTCTGGGGCCCTCTTTCACCTTCATACATTCTTATCCCGCCTGCTGTTCTGTTACCTGTGGATGGGCTGTTGCTTGGCACCTAGTAGGCACACAGTAAATGTTTGGGGAAGGAAAGAACAGGGGATTCCTGCTGCCTGACCATCTGGAGCCATCTTGGTTCCTGTCCATTTCCTAAGCCATCAGGTTTGGTGAGTTCTGTTAGCCTCCCAATGAATGCCTTTCTTATGTAAGCTTGCCTGAGTCCATTTTTGACACTACTTTCCAGGAGCTCAAATTGATGCACCTCTTACAAACACACACGCTCCTTTCTTTCAGGTGTTCCTTATATTATCTCATCCTCTCTTGAGATGAGGGATCCATAGGAGTGGATCCAGCGACGAGCCACCACACCCTCGACAAAGATGTGGCAGGGTATGAGGCAAGGCAGACAAAGAGTGGCAATCCCGCTGACTTTAACTCCTACCCCCCACAACTCAACCACCAGCTCCTCTGGCCCAGCTAGCGTCATCTCTCATCTGGACCCCAGCAAGAACCTCCTACCCAATCAATCTCTTCTCATAATTCGGATCCTCTCTGGATCACTGTCCACACTGCAGCCAGAGGGGTGCTTCTATCCCTCTGTGAGCTGTGAGCCCTGTCACAGCAGTTCACATGGTTCTCGGCATGGTTCAAGTTCCGCCTGGCCCCCTCAGCCCCCCTGCTCCCCCTCCCCCCGGCACACACACCTCAGAGGAGCATGTCAGCTCCTCTGATCCCTCCTGGTTCTCAGACCCCTGCCCAATTTCTGCACCTTTGCCCCACCCTGGGATAGTGGGGCAGACACTGTGAGTGCCCTGGGACCTTGGTGGACAGCTCCGTGGTCCCAGCTGACAGCTCCGTCCCTCCAACACCTGCCTCTCTGCCTGAGAGTCCTCTGTGGCTACAGCCAGGCAGCCAGCTGGCTCAGGGTGCAAGTTGGAAGAGCTGTGGGATCAGTGTTCTCCTAAGAGCATCGGAATTTGGAGATAAGCACCTAGCTCCTCGCTTTGTGGGTGGGACGGTCCTTAATGCGTTTCACATGGTCCCTCAGGAGATCTCCAGCAGGCCTGAGCTTCCATTGCCCATGGCAGAGAGCCTCCCACTGATATTCCTTGCACTGACTCCCTTCCCTGTCTCCCTTCCCCATCCCCTGTCTGAGTTTACCTCCCAGATGAATTCCTCACACACAAACTCTGTCTCAGGGTAAGCTTTCCAGCAAAAGCTTTTTTTTTTTTTTTTTTTTTTTTTTTTTTTTGAGACAGGGTCTTGCTCTGTCACCCAGGCTGGAGTGTGGTGGCACGATCACCTCTCACTCTAGCCTTTACCTCCTGGGCTCAAGTGATCCTTCCACCTCAGCCTCCTGAGTAGCTGGGACCACAGGCACGTGCCACCATGCCCTGGCTAATTTTTTGTAGAGACAGGGACTTCCTCTGTTGCCTAGGCTGGTCTTGAACTCCTGGCCTCAAGTGATCCTCCCACCTTAGCCTCCCAAAGTGTTGGGATTACAGGCATCAGCCACAGCACCTGGCCAGCACCTCTCCTTCACAGCATTAAATATACTTTGTAATAATAAGCATTATAATTGCTTTTCAAATATCTGTCTCTCCAGTAGATTCTAAACTCCCTGAGAACAAAGTCCAGTCTTCTGCTCTTCGCTAAATTAATAGGCCCCAGCACCCTGCCTGGCACCTACTAACACTCAGTCACTACTTGATTCATGAAAAGTTGAATGACTTGAGCCGAGAACTAAGGCTGCTTTTATCTACTTCCTCTCTGTGAGATTTGCGGTGAGTGATCACATGACTTCTTTAAGCACCAATTCCTTCCGTGTAAAGTGAAGCTAATAAATAATGTTGACCACCCAGGGCTGACACAGGATTAAATGAAATCGTATACAAAAGAATTTAGTAGATGGTGAATGCTCAATACAGTCACGTGCTACATAACTTGTTAGTCAAGGATGGACTGCCTACAGGACGGTGACCCCATAAGATTATAATACATGCAGGCCAGGCGCGGCGGCTCACGCCTGTAATCCCAACACTTTGGGAGGCCCAGGAGGGCAGATCACTTGAGGTCAGGAGTTCAAGACCAGCCTGGACAATATGGTGAAACCCTGTCTCTACTGAAAATACAAAATTTAGCTGGGCATGGTGGCTGGCGCCTGTAATCCCAGCTAGTCGGGAGGCTGAGGTAGGAGAATCGCTTGAACTTGGGAGCAGAGGTTGCATGAGCCAAGATCACACCATTGCACTTCAGCCTGTGTGACAAGAGTGAAGTTGCATGAGCCAAGATCACACCATTGCACTTCACTGCAGCCTGTGTGACAAGAGTGAAACTCGGTCTCAACAACAAAAAAGATTATAATACATGTTATTATGCACTTGTCAAAACCCACGGAACTATATGACACAAAGAGTGAACCTCAGTGTAAATTCTGGGTTATAGTTGACAACAATGTATCAGTGTTGGCTCACTGATTGTAAGAAATGTACCACATGTAAGAATTTCATAGGATAAACCACGGTGGGGCGGGTGAGAGAGCAGTGGATGGGTGTATGGAATTCTATGTCTTTTTGCTCAATTATTCTGTAAATCTAAAACCGTACTATAATAAAGCTTATTAATTGTTTTTAGAAAGATTATAATGCTGTATTTTTACTCCGCCTTTTCTATGTTTGTTTAGATATACAAACACTTACCACTGTATTACAATTACCTACAGCATTCGGGACAGTAACATGCTGTACGGGTTTGTAGCTTCAGAGCAATGGGCTATATCATACAGCCTAGGGGTGTACTAGGCTATGTAGGTTTGTGTAAGTAGACTTTATAATCTTCATACGACAATGAAATCACCTTATGACAAATTTCTCAGAGCGTATCCCTGTTGTTAAGCAATGCATGACTGTAGCTGGTAACTGTCGTTACCATCCTCAGGTCCAAAATAGACCTGCACAGCAGGGCACCCGAGGAGCACACGGATAATGCCTGGAGGCAGAGAATCAGGAGACAAGTGGGAGGAGGTTGACACATTCCGGAGATGCAGACATCTGTGTAGGGTCAGTTTTTACCTGCCCTCTGTTCATGTGTGGGACGTGACATTGAAGTGTTCCTGGACAAATGGACAGCCGGCATTGACATCAAGGGCAACTGCACCGTGACTGCTCTCTGAATGGGGATGCAGAGTCTCCATCCCGGAGACTGGGATAGTGCAGGATGGGGCGTGGCATGTAAAAGGCTCAGAGGGGAGACCCAAGTGTTGGGAGACTCCCCAGGCACAAGGTGGGAGGCTTGCCCACTTTCCAACACCCTCAGCCTTGCAATGTGGAGTGTGCCTCAGTAGCCTCTCCCTCAGCTCAGGGCACGTTTAATGGCAGGAAAGCAGCACCTTAGTGTTTGTCCAGTGACTGTTCTCAAGCTTAACTATTAGAGAAGTGACCAAAGGTCCGTGACATCTAATAATTTGCCAATTTGCTCAGGCACTGGTTTAAATTGCATCAGATTGCTGTGAGGAACAGGTCATCACGCAGCTTGTGACCAAACCTAGTCAACAGCCCGGCATCCACCCTCAGTGTGGATTCGTAATGTTTTATTTATAGTTGTGTGCCCTGACTCTCATTAAGGGTCTACCGGGATCTTTAGTTCAGTAGGTTCAGTCAGACTTTACTGCATTTTTACATTTATTTATTATCATTATATAAAATATCACATATGTACAAACATGTACATTTATACTTATTTGTAATATTTACATTGTTAATGCACTTTGTTATGTATTCTGTTTATATTATTATGAATCATATTGTTAAAGCATTCTGCTACACTAGGACATTGAAGATTTCTAAAGTCCTTCACACCCAGTCTTTACGGATTTCAAGGTTTTTCTCTGTTATTTATTTATTTTTGAGACAGAGTCTCCCTCTGTCACCCAGACTGGAGTACAGTGGCTCCATCTCGGCTCACTGCAACCTCCACCTCCCAGGTTCGAGCAATTCTCCTGCCTCAGCCTCCTGAGTAGCTGGGATTACAGATGCCCGCCACCACGCCTGTCTAATTTTTGTATTTTTAGTAGAGATGGGGTTTCAACATGTTGGCCAGGCTGGTCTCGACCTCCTGACTTCAAGTGATCGGCCCACCTCGGCCTCCCAAAGTACTGGGATTACAGGCGTGAGGCACCACACCTGGCCCTTCTCTACTATTTAAAATGGGCTAGCCTGACCCAAAATGGGAGGAGTATGGGTCTCCTGTATAACCCAAAACGCTTCTAGTTACCCCTCCCCTGCCTGCTTGGTTTGTGAGTGCCGTTAGCAGCGGAATTGATCACTGATATAGTCTGGCTTTGTGTCCCCAGCCAAATCTCATGTCGAATTGTAATCCCCAATGTTGGAGGTGGGAGTCTGGTGGGAGGTGATTGCATCATGGGGGCGGATTTCCCTGTTGGTACTGTCATGGAGATAGTGAGTTCTTGTGAGATCTGGTTGTTGAAAAGCGTGTGGCGCCTCCCCTGCTCCTCTCTTCCTCATGATCTGGCCATGTGAGATGTTGGCTCCGCCTTTGCCTTCCACCATGATTGTAGGTTCCCTGAGGCCTCCCCAGAATCTGATGCCATGCTTCCTGTATAGCCTGCAGAACTGTGAGCCAATTAAACCCCTTTTCTTTATAAATCACCCAGTCTCAGGTATTTCTTTATAGCAATGAGAGAATGGACTAATAAATTCACCATTAAAGTTTTTTCTCTATTATCTTTTTTTTTTTTTTTTTTTTTTTCCTGAGGCAAGTCTCTGTCACCCAGGTTGGAGTGCAGTGGTGCAATCTGCAACTTCCGCCTCCTGGGTTCAAGCAATTCTCTCATCTCAGCCTCCCAAGTAGCTGGGATTACAGCCATGCACCACTATGCCCTGCTAATATTTGTATTTTAGTAGAGATGGGGTTTCACCACGTAGGCCAGGCTGGTCTCGAACTCCTGACCTTAAGTGACCCACCCACCTAAGCCTCACAAAGTGCTGGGATTACAGGCGTGAGCCACCTGTGCCTGGCGTTTTCTCTACTATCTTTCTGATCCATGGTGTACTTGGTAGGGTGTAGTGGACATCTGTCATATTTGCCTGCTCAGCATCCCTGACCTCTTTTAATAAAAGGAACCATGATTTCTTTTAGAGACCCAAGTCTCTAAGTTTTCTTAGGCCTGGCCAACAAGGGACAAAAAAAGGGTCACTGAAAGAGCCAACCTGAGAATAAAGCCAACAGGGAGGAAAACAGGGCTGAGATATGGAGAGGGCCAGTCCATATAATGTTGTTAATCTCCTGGATCAAGCTATGCCTGAAGCTGGACCTTTCCATTATCAGTTTCATGAGCCAATTAAACTTCTTTTTTGCTTAAATCAATCTGGGTTGGATGTCTGTCTTTTCCAGAAAACAGAAAGAGTCCTGACAAGCCTGGGCTTAAAAGGGCTGCCGTGGATTTAAGAAGACAATAGTTAGGCGACCCAAAGGTAGCTGCCGTCCACTGACATTATATCCACATGTGTAATTAGCCTTCTGTCACTGGCTTCTACATCTGGTTCAAAGACACATGGCTAACTGCCAGTTATTCACACTGAGGAGTCAGTTTTAATTCCTCTCCATGAAGACCCTGCAGCTCACTTTACAGGACTGTGTATTTATTCTTTCTTCCTAGGTTGCCCGTAACTGCAAAGCCACACACTTCGGAGCCAGATGGATCCTGGCCCTGCTGTATACTAACGGTGTGACATTGGATAATTTACTTAGCCTGATTCTGAGTTCCTTGTATATGCAATAATTTTGTCTACATTCTAGGTTTCCATAAAGATTCAAATGTATATGTAAAGAGCCTTAGTTTGTAGCATATAGCTGACCCATCAAAAGAAGTGGCTGATTATACTACTGGCCACATGACTGAGCCCTCTCTTAAGTGCTAGGCCCTGTGCTAAGGGCTTTACAGGCATTATTTCATGTAACCCTCTGAACTGCCCTGGGAGGTATGCCCTCCTGTGCTCCTCAGGGGGCAGGTACTGTGTTAAGTCCTTCGCATATGAAGATATCATTAAATTCTCACAACAGTGGGAGCACAAAGATTTTAAGGAGTGTGACCAAGGCTGTGCAGCTCTGTTCCCTATGACTTTGCTCCATTGCTGGGCACCACTGCCCCTCCAAACAGGGCAGTCCCTGAGATGATGGTGGGACAGTGTGACATTCCTTTGGCTCCATCTGCCTCAAGGCATAAATGGAGAGCAGAATCCAGGCAATGGAATGGAACCATATCTCCATTTGGGAGTAGTTTCATGGTGAGGAGAACCTCAGGAAGAAGTGAAGAGCCAAGGCAGGCGTTAGGGACCCCCGGGCTCCAGCCTGCCAGAGCATCTGGAAGGGAAAAGGCAGCAGCCATGCTGCTACATTCCTGATCCTGCTAAGGACTCTTACTGGCTCCTGGGATGGGGACCTGGGCTCTGGGATGTCAGGGCAAACCCGGATGGGGTTGCCCCCAACTGGAAGTGACTGCTGGTTCTCATGGAAGCTGGTGCCTGGGATCAGCACCAAGGAGAGTGAGCCTACCTCCTGGCCTGTCAGCTAGGAAGTGCCAAGCAAGGGACCAGCAACAAAAGGTGCAGTCCTGAGCAAGACACGAGAGCGGTGGGAAAGGCCTGGGTTTTTCCACTAGGGGATAGGAGGCCTTACTGGAGCTGATCAACTGGTTCATACTGTGGAGTTGACTGTAACCAGTACAACAATGCTGGAAAGTAAAAGCTACAAGATATTCTCGCTGTCCTTTTCCCACAGAAATATACTATGTATCAAGCTAAGTAAATGTCTGGAAACCTGGAAACCCCCCAAAACTGGTAGAAGCAGTTTCTTTTCTTTATTCTTTTTCTTTTTTTTTTTTTTTAACTATTTCACACGCACACAAAAAAAAAAGAGCTAGAGAAAAACCATGTTTCTTGGATTTAATTTTGTTCACACAAATTTTCTTTT
This sequence comes from Homo sapiens, assembly GCF_000001405.40. Classification (NCBI taxonomy): domain Eukaryota; kingdom Metazoa; phylum Chordata; class Mammalia; order Primates; family Hominidae; genus Homo; species Homo sapiens. The sequence continues at coordinate 99,057,625 of NC_000015.10, forward strand.
TTAAAAAAGAATAAACTGGAACCATCTAATCTAAGGTAAGCATGAAACTGTCTCAGTGACTCTTTTAAAAGTTGTCTGTAATTGTGTGACTTGGAAAATTAATTTCCTTCCAGATGAAGAAACCCGAGGCAGGTCTTATGAGTGACAATTATTAGTAACCACCTCAGGAAGCAGCTGGAACAATGAGAAGGGGCGGAGGACCGTGTGAGACCTGCAGGCAAACACAAGGGCTGCTTGCAACTTGCCTAAAATAGAAAATAGAAGTTAGCAACAGCTTCCCCGCCTGCCAGGCCCCTCTTTGGAAGGCTCTGTGCGGTAACAAGTACCATGGCAGGATGCTACCCAAGAGCCTCTCTGGAGATGGACAAGAACCCCTGGGGCAGTTGAGGCGAAACGAATGCCCCCTGGCTTCCTTCCCACCTCTGGGGCGCAGGTTCCCCACTAGAGTCACCTCCAGGTGCTGACGCCCTTTTGCTTCCTTCTGCTGAAAAAGTCAAACCAGTTACTGTTTTGATTCTTTTTTAAAGGTTTTAGAAGAATGACACATATTACACAAGCTTTATTTGGAGGAGTCATTGGCGAGGTAATGTGCTCTTAACCGTGGAACAAGCCTTGGCGCTGAAGCGTGAAGGACGCGGTTCGAATCCCAGCTTGGTCACCTTCGCCTTTTTGAGCTGCCCAGGATAATAAGAAGGTTGGGCAAGGCTCAGCCTGCACGTGGCTAGAAACATAATCCCAGCACTTTGGGAGGCCTAGGCGGGAGGATCACGAGGTCAAGAGATGGAGACCATCCTAGCCAACATGGGAAACCCCGTCTCTACGAAAAATACAAAAATGAGCTGGGCGTGGTGGCGCGTGCCTGTAGTCCCGGCCACTCGGGAGGCTAATCGGTTGAACCCGGGAGGCGGAGGTTGCAGTGAGCCGAGATCGCACCACCGCACTCCAGCCTGGGGGTCAGAGCGAGACTCCGCTACACATCACCAGGCTCACCTGAGAGGCTGGAAAAGCAGGGGCGGAGGGAGGAGTGGGGAAGAGAGGGAAGGGGGTGGGGAGCAAAGTACCCGAGCCGACACCGATCCCCAAACTGTACCTTTTCAATTATCTTAGTAACTTTCACCCCAATGGCACGGCTTATCTTAACACTGATTACCGCACCCCGCACCCCCCGCTATTCTCCCCCACTCCGCGCACTCCCAGATGCTTCACATGAAATCGACATGGCAAAGTCACAGCCTCGAACTGAAACGGTTTTCCAATTTTGGAAGCTTGACTGGCCATAAAAAGGTTTTGTTTTTTTCTTTTCTCTCTTCTTCCCTGCCCGTGACGCCGCCCCCTCCCCCGCCCTCCCTCCGCCCCCACCCCCACCCCCACCCCCTCCCCACGCTCAAGAGCGGATCCGCGCCGGCCGCGGCGGAACCTACGCGCCTGTTTTCCAGCGGCCGCTCCCCGGCGCTGCCCGGCGCCGCCCCCTGCCGGCGGGAGTCGGAGCTGCTCCCGCGTGCGCGCCGGCCGCGGCGGGCTGATGACCCAACGCCGCAGGCATCCGAGGATAACCTTTCCCTTTTCTTTCCAAGACCAAATAAGGGGGCTCTTCCCTCTGCGCGCCAGGCCCGCGGCAGTTAGGCCAAGGGGCGTGGAAAGGAGGATCCGGGAACGAGGCTGACAGTCGGCAACAACCGAGCACATTGTTCCCGCGGCGCCCGGCCTCCCCCTCCTCCCGCGGGCCCGGCCCGTGCCCACCCTGCAGCCCCAGGCGCGGGGAGCCAGGCGGGATCGGCGCGACCCCGGACCCCGTCGGCAGCTCCGCCAAGCCCTCCGGCCCCTCCCCCGAGAAGAAGTGAAGGGCGGGGTGCCCGCGGGCCCTCGCCCCGGTGCAGACCCTCCAGGCTCGCGGGGCAGCCGACCGGGGACCCCGGCGGGGGCCAGGCCCGACTGCCCAGCCTCGGAACCCTGGCATCGCCCCCGAGGGAGGGAGTCACTGGTGGCTGACAGTGTTTGGTAACCACAGAAACCGAGATCTGACCTATATTTTCGAACACGGCCTCAACTCTAGCTTTCCTTCTAGAAATCAAAGTGAGAGAATCTGACTTGCTGCTAATTTTCCTCCTGCTTTATATTCCAAAATGCCACCCGGAAGGCTAGGCAAGTCAGGAAACCTCGCTGGCGGTGTGGATGGCTGGTGAGGGTCCCCGGTGCTCCAGTTAGGAGGCAGGGGCTGTCCCCTCTGCAGCCTCCTGCCGGCCACAGCGTCCTCCTGCCCACCAGCGGCTGGTGCATTTCTGGAGGGCAATTGGATGATATTGATCAGGATTTAAAATAAGTGCATTGTTTGACGATTTCATTCCACTTCTCGGTGTTTATCCTAAGTAGGTGCTGGGAAGGGTGCACAAAGACAGACCTTCTAAGCACAGAGGATGGCCACAGTCCTGCTTAACAGTAACAGTAGTTGGCCTTAACTGAGCATTTACTAAGTGCTAGAAACTGTTCTAAACATTTTACAAATAGCTACTCACAACATCCCTATGCTGCGGGAACTGTATTATTTTTTATTTTTATTTTCTGTCGCCCAGGCTGGAGTGCAGTGGCGCCATCTCAGCTCACTGCAACCTCTGCCTCCCGAGTTCAAGCGATTCTCCTGATTCAGCCTCCCGAGTAGCTGGGACTACAGATGTGCGCCACCACGCCCGGTTAATTTTTTGTATTATTAGTAGAGACAGGGTTTCGCCATATTGGCCAGGCTGGTCTCGAACTCCTGACCTCATGATCCACCCGCCGCGGTCTCCCAAAGGGCTGGGATTCCAGGCGTGAGCCACCGTGCCTGGCCAGGGACTGTATTATTAATACAGCCAACCCTCCATATCTGTGGATTCAACCAACCATGCATGGAAAATATTCCAGAAAAAAAAATTCCGCCAAGTTCCAAAAAGCAAAACCCGAATTTGCCATGCGCCAATTACTACTACATTGAATCCACAAGAATGAAATGAAGTGTTGGCATTGTATGGGGTATTATAAGTAATCCAGAGAGATTTAAAGTGTACAGGAGGATGTGTGCAGGTTATATACAAATATCACACCATTTTATATAAGGAACTTGAGCATCTGTGGATTTTGGTATGGGGCTCCTGGAACCAATTCCCCACGCATACCGAGGGACAACCGCACCTCCATTTAATACATGAGGAAACTTCTCAGAGATGCTAGGTTTCTGCTGACCATCACCCAGCTGGGGAGTTGCACAGCCAGGAATGATGCCACGCTCTGAGGCTCCAGAGTCTGTGCCCTTGACCGCAACACTAAATGTTTATCAATGGGGATTTGATTAATTTAGAATACATCCGTATAATGGAGTATTTGCCGGCCGCTTAAATGGTGATGTAGATTGGGAATAATTGGCATGGAAAAATGTCCATGACATATTGTTGAGTGAAAACAGCTGGTTATACAAGAGTGTGCCTAACGGGATCCCGCGGTTGTGCAGAAGGGCGCTCATGGCTATGCTAACCATGGTCACCTTTGGGCAGTAGAATTTCAGGTGGCTAATTTTACAAGTATGTCGTCTTTGTTGTTGAACTCTTTTTTTTTCTTATTGTTAATCACAGTCCAGGCTGTGCTCAAATCCCACTTTCTTCACGTAAGCCTTTCCTGATCCCCAAAGTTGGAAGCTGCAGCTCCCCATGATTCTGACAAGTGGGAACTTGTATTGGAAGGTTATTCAGTGGCATGAGTGTGTACCTGTGTTGTCAGCTAAACTGTGAACTCGGAAGGGAGGCACAGACTGTTTCATCTTTTTCGGTATGCCCATTGTACATTGCATGGTACTTTACCCACTGCAGGATTCAAATATTTATCAGTAATTTGGTATAACCCAATGATGATGGAGCAATCCACAGAAAAATTAATTGCATAATTAGTTGTTTGAGAGCTGCTTCCATTAGCTAGGTGGTAAGTTCCTTGGGGACAGAGATGTACCTGTTCCTTTCCTGTCCTGGCACTAGGGCAGTGCCTGCACACAGTAGGTGCTCCATAAATGTTCGCTAAGTGACTAAGTCCAGGCTGCTCTGCCCCAAGCAGCCTTCCTTCTTGAGGAATCAAAATGAGAGCTTATTTGCTTTTCTCAGGGACCTCTGTCTGTCAAATGATTAGTCACCTATATGGACCAGACCCCTCAGCAGGAATTAGCTCTGATTAACATAGCAGAAAAGGGAAGCTCTTGGAATGGATGGGAAGGCAGGAGAAGAAGGCTTAGAAATTGGGCAGGAAATGAAGGAAGGAAGGCAAGAGGAAGACTTGGCCAAAGTCATGCCAGGGAGAGGCAGCTGACGCTGGCACCCTTGGGCACTGCCACCACCCGCACTAGATTCCCCCCTGCCCTGCCATGGCCAGCTGCCCCTGCAGTACATGGATTCTGTCTTGTTCCTGTGTCTTGGATCACTTGATTGAGAGTCAAGGCCTCAGAGGGAGGATCAGGTGGCTAAACCCAAGTGCTGTGCTGGGTGTTGGGCTGGGAAACGTTTAGCAGCTTGCTCACCAGTGGGAAAAGCCCGGATTTGCAGCATTTGCTGACTTCCATGGAGACATTCCCACCATGACTGATTTTTATTTGCCAACCATTTAACAACCAGCTCGAAGGATTCCTGAGAATGTAAAAGTTGGTGCTGGTGGGCTGGTGAGCTGTGCTCCAGCATACTCCTGTGTGTGCCCCATTGTCTGAGATTCCCACAGTAGGGAAAATCCCCTGGAAAGGAAGTGGGAAGGTTGCCAGGTAGCCCCGCAACACCAGTACATGTCCATATCTCAAAGCAATCCAGGGTATTGTGGCAGGGGCGCTATAACCCAAAGTGTGCTAGCCCTTCTACTTGTTAACAGGAGCTTTCAGAGATAATACCCAAAGGAAGGTGAACGATGAAATTTACGATTGTGGGGCAGGCCAGTGGGGCAGATGTTTGAAGGCAGAGGGGGATGAGGGAAAGATGTTTAGATCTGTACCCTTCAGATCTCAGTCAGTGTCCCTCCTATACTTGTAGCTCTCCAAGAACAAGGACCCAGCCCTGAATTATCCAATAAGTTGTCGGGAAACAGAGAAGCCTTCTCTAGGAGGGATTTACCTCGTTTCCCAGGTTTCAAGTCCAAGGACAAGAATAATTACAACAGTGGCTACTATTGTGTATAAAGAGCTTCCTGCATGTGCCAGGCATGTGTGAAGCACAGTCCTTCACCTAGGTAGCTTTTCTAAGGATAGGTCACTCATGGATAATCCCCCTGGGATTTGAGCCCAGGCTGTCTAATGGCCAAGCCATGTTCCTGATCACAAAGCCATCCTGACTTGGCCCATCTGTTGGTTGTCTCTGAATGAACCACAAGGCATGCCCACATTTTGGAAAATGGAAACCCATTCAAAACCCTGGAGCTCCCAGACACACATTAGATTAAAGAGACTGCAGAGACAATGTGGTCAAACTGATCCACACTGCCATCTGAGGTCTGCCCCTTGGCAGCTTCCTTCTATGTAAAAATGGATCCAGGGATGCCCAATGCCAGGGCTATGGTGGAGCCATGTTGGAGCACAGGACATCCGACACATCATAGGCTGTGAGTGTCATTATGCATTTTTAGAAGATTGTTTACTTAAGTCGAAATTACTACGGACATTTACTATTTTTGTTTTTAAAATCGTCTCTCAGACATCGCTTAGAGATATTCACACATCGATTTTAGAGTAAAGACGTCAAAATGTGGGAGACTGGCTTATTGAGCAGGCAGTACTCCTGGGATGTCATCATGAAAGTAACTGATTTTTGTCTCACGTTTTCCCTTGAAATGTCCCTCAGAATTGCCTTTTCTGGTTCTGGATGAAGTCTCAGGTCAGTTCCATGTCTTTCCTGGTCACTCTTAGGGGCATAGGATGTTGGAGGTGACAACAGAGACAGCCTCCTCTCCAGAGACTGGTTACATGCAGTGCCGGCTGATAACCAGAGTCTCTGCCTTCCTTCACAGTGACAGCTGCTGCCCCTCCACTGTAGGACCTACTGCAGGCAAGAGCCTGCTGCACAGGAATGGGGGAAGAGAAATGGTCATTGTCTCCCTTTCCAGTCCTCTTCCACAGCTTGAAGACGACAGACAAATTCAGACTCTTCTGGCTGAGTGAAAGTCACATCTTTTTTTTTTTTTTTTTGAGACGGACTTTAGCTCTTGGCTGGAGTGCAATGGCGCAATCTCGGCTCACTGTAACCTCTGCCTCCCGGGTTCAAGCAATTCTCCTGCCTCAGCCTCCCAAGTAGCTGGGATTACAAGCGTGCACCATCACACCTGGCTAATCTTGTATTTTTAGTAGAGACGGGGTTTCACCATGTTGTTCAGGCTGTCTCAAACTCCTGACCTCAAGTGATCCACCCGCCTCAGCCTCCCAAAGTACTGAGATTATAGGCATGAGCCACTGCGCCCGGCTGAAAGTTACATCATTTAAGAACCACTTAAGCAATGACCCATCTGAAGGGACACCTGGCCTTGGCCCTGCCTCTGCTGCTGCAGCGGGAAATGGGGTGGGGAAGAGGGGAGCAGGAAAGGGGGCAACAAAGCACATCATTCCTCGCTCAGCCGTGTCATAAGAGGTTTCCTGCTTGTGGGGCCTGGCAAGGGGCTTCCATGGGTTCTTTGGCCGGCCCCAGTGGAAATATTTGACTGCATATGTTATGACAAAGGCGGTGCATTTCCCCCAGGCAGGCTCACACCCCTGGTAGTCTACGCCACACGAGTTCTTTCTGTTGGGATTCTATTGCCCAACAGGGTCACACCTGCTCCACGGAGAAAGGTCACACATTTTCTGTTCCATCAAATTGTGGGAGTAGAGACCCATTCCGTGCAGTAGCCCCTCAACAAGTCAGCTTCTCCCTTGTCCTCAAGGTTTCCTGATCAGTCATCAGATACCAGTTCACTGGGTCCCCCTTGATGACAAGGGACACATGTCAAGCTCTCCATGTGGTCCCTTAAAACCCCATTCTCCTGATTGAGGGAAGGACGTAGGCAGCTTCACTCCACCCTTCCTGGATTGGTTCTCTCAGCTCAGGCATCTGCAGAGCCGTACCCTTTATAAATCTTCTCTAACACCTAATGACCCAGTCCCTCAAGGGGTCTAGGCTTGGAGAGTCATAGGACTGGCTTCATGCCCACCGCTTTGGAATGCTCACCACTCCAGCACCTAAAGTTCCAATTTGGCATCCTGCAAGAATTTACCAACTGAGTGATGATTACAGGGGTCTTGGCCTGATGATATTTTGATACATCCTACACTTAGGATTTAGGCATTTCATTCTCTGTGAATGAAAGAACAGACAAAAATTCTTAAAAAGGTATACACTGACCGAGGCCAGACGTGGTGGCTCATGCCTGTAATCCCAGCATTTTGGGAGGCTGAGGCAGGAGGATCACCAGGTCAAGAGATCAAGACCATCCTGGCCAACATGGTGAAACCCCGTCTCTACTTTTTAGTACAAAAAAGTAATTTAGTAATACAAAAATTAGCCAGGCATGGTGGCACATGCCTGTAATCTCAGCTGCTTGGCAGGCTAAGGCAGGAGAATTGCTTGAACCCGGGAGGCGGAGGTTGCAGTCAGCCGAGATCCTGCAACCTCCATCCTGGTGACAGAGCAAGACTGTCCAAAAAAAAAAAAAAAAAAAAAATGTATCCACTGACCACCATGTGAGATGGGAAAGAACCGGTAGAAAGGAAAATGGGCTGGTTCTTGGACAGACTGCAAGACGTGCCTGTGCTCATTTTCATCATGATCTGGAATCTTAAGAGATGTAAGAACATACTAGGAAGTGGAGTGTGATGTGAATCTAGAAGGGAACCCCAAGGGTGAGGGATCTAAGACAATGGCTGCTGGGAAGGTAAGACTAGAAGAAACCATACTCTGTGTCCTGTTCTCTCTTGCAGATTAACCATGTTCAGTCGTGGGTTCTACACTGAGTCCTCTCATGTCTTCCCATCAGAGTAGTAGCAGTGACTAAAAAGGCCCCCTGTGGAAATTGTGCCTCCCTGGCCCTCCACCTCTGCATCTGTGTTCTGGTATCCTGGAGGAGAATGCCAGTCATCAGCCATCAGCCATGGCCAGTAAGTGTCACCTAACAGCCTCCCATCTCTCTAGACCCTATGCAGTCCGAGCCAGTCAGTTTAGTCATGCTTTGTAACAAACAACCCCCAAATCTTGGTGGCTTAAAACAATGATCAGCTGGGCTCGGTGGCTCATACCCGTAATTTCAGCACTTTGGAATTACACACCTATAATCCCAGCACTTCTGTTGCCAGGCTGGAGTGCAGCAGCGCTGTCTCAGCTCACTGCAACCTCTGCCTCCTGAGTTCAAGTGATCCTCCTGCCTCAGCCTCCCAAGTAGCTGGATTACAGGAATTTGAGGCTGAGGTCAGGAATTTGAAACCAGCCTGGCCAACATGGTAAAACCCTGTCTCTATTAAAAATACAAAAATTAGCAGGGGGTGGTGGCGCACACCTATAATCCTAGCTACTTAGGAGGCTGAGGCAGGAGAATCGCTTGAACCTGGGAGGCAGAGGTTGCAGTGAGCCGAGATTGCACCACTGCACTCCAGCCTGGGTGACAGAGTGAGACTGTCTCAAAAACAAAAACAAAATAAATCAATGAAGATCTATTTCTTGATCATGTCACATGCCCATTGTTGGGAGACTAGGGGCTTGTCCTGGCACTATCCTCACCCCAGGACCTAGGTGGGCAGAGGAGCTGTGAGCCGGAGTGTTGCCAGGTGCCTGGCAGAGGAAGAGAGAGCTTAGCAAATAGTACACAGGTTCCTGAAGCTTCCACCTGGAAATAACAGCTCATTTTCGTTCACGTTTTATTGGCCAAAGCAAGTCACAGAGCTAACTCCATGTCACATGGCTAACTCCAATCCTATCATTACCCGGAAAAAAAATGAGAACTATTTAATGAACAACACTAAAGATGACCCCTGGGTCCTTCTCTCAGCCCTGTCAGAGGCATTCAGAGGACAGGTGTCTGGGTAAGCAGGAATGGGGCACACACCAGAAATGGGTTAAATAATTTGGGTTAAAAAGAAAGGACCAAGGAGAAGGTTCTACCTGTAAGACAGTGGCGGTAGTGGGCTTGGAGGGTAGGTGGGGGGAGCGGTTTGAGAGAAGCGGCCTGAGTGGCTTGGTGGGAATGGAAGAGAGTCAAGATCCCAGGAGAGTGAGAAGTGAGTGAGGAGGTTTTCATTGTCAGCTCTTGACTTCTCTGGATTCCCAACCATGGGACTTGCTTTGTGAGTGTAGTGGACTCAGCTTGGATCCAGCTGACTTCTGTTAGCTGAGCATTTGATCCACCTCCTGAGCACAGGGAAGAAATATTGACTATTCTCCTCTGCTCTCTGGGCTGTCCTCTCTGACCCTACCAGACCTGCCCTAAGCCCCTAACAGGGCATCTATCTTCCTTCCCCTTAGAAATGGGAAATGCCTCATTGAGTTGCCTGAAGAATCCTTTATTTATTTATTTAATTATTATTATTAATATTTGAGACGGAGTCTCACTCTGTTGCCCAGGCTGGAGTGCAATGGCACGATCTTGGCTCACTGCAACCTCTGCCTCCTAGCAGAGCAATTCTCCTGCTTCAGCCTCCCAAGTAGCTGGGATTGCAGATGTGCACCACCATGCCTGGCTAATTTTTTTGTATTTTAAGTGGAGACGGGGTTTCACCATGTTGGCCAGTCTGGTCTCAAACTCCTGACCTCAGGTGATCTGCTGGCCTCGGCTTCCCAAAGTGCTGGGATTACAGGCATGAGCCATCATGCCTGCCCTATTTATTTATTTGAGATGGAATCTCCCTCTGTCGCCTAGGCTTGTGTGTAGAGGCGCTGTCTTGGCTCACTGCAACCTCCACCTCCTGGGTTCAAGCGATCCTCCTGCCTCAGCCTCCCAAGTAGCTGGATTACAAGTGTGGGCCACCCTCACCGGGCTAATTTTTGTATTTTTAGTAGAGACAGGGTTTCACCATGTTGGCCAGGGTGGTCTCAAGCTCCTGGCCTCAAGTGATCCACCCACCTCGGCCTCCCAAAGTGCTGAGATTACAGGCATGAGTCACCATGCCCAGCCAGAGTCCCTTTATTTTAAAAAATATTATAAAAATTTCCAAATACTGGCCAGGCGCGGTGGCTCACACCTGTAATCTCAGCACTTTGGGAGGCCGAGGCAGGCGGATCATGAGGTCAGGAGATTGAGACCATCCTGGCTAACACGGTGAAACCCCATCTCTACTAAAAATACAAAAAATTAGCCGAGCGTGGTGGTGGGCGCCTGTAATCCCGGCTACTCAGGAGGCTGAGGCAGGAGAATGGCGTGAACCCAGAAGGCGGAGCTTGCGGTGAGCCGAGATCGCGCCACTGCACTCCTGGGCGACAGAGCGAGACTCCATCTGAAAAAAAAAAAAAAAATTCCAAATACTGAGACATAGAGAGACGAGTACAGTGCACCTCCATGTAGACATCGTGAAAGATGTTTTCCGCAGTTGCACTAAGAACAGAATTCTAAGTTGCACCATGCTAAACTCTGCAGAAACTTGGTCCCATCTTATCTGCATGAGAGCCTTATTATTTGTCCCATTTTATAAGTGAGGAACTGGGACCCAGAGAAGCTAAGCGACTTGGCCAAATTTACACAGCTAGTGAGGACAGAGCTGATGGCACATCCACCCCTGGCAGGGCCGCTGGACGGTGCTACAGCCTCAGGGGTAGATAGAGCTTGGCTAGAGGCCATGGCAGGGAAGTGGGCATGTCTGTCTTAACAAGGTGCTAGCCACATGTGAGCCTGGCTCCCCTTCTAGCCTGCTTTGCTCTGAGCCGAGGCATCACTTATCAGGAGCTAGAGGAGGAGGCAAAATCCAAGAAATCAGAAGGACCCTTATCCCCAAAGAGGGATCGTCGTGAAATGCAATAGTGTGGGCGCATAGACATTCATCTGCCATTTACGCTAGCATTTATTCATTCAGTATTTACTGAGCACTGACTCTGCACCAGCTCTGAAAATACAAAAATGAGTGAGCCAGGCCTGGCCCCTTGCCCTGTAGGGGAGACTCCTGCCTTCCTGGGTGACTGACTAGATGATCTCAGACACCTTCATTGGAGTCTCTGTTTCCTCACATGTGAAATGGGAATAATGAGCTACTGAATTATACACTTTAAAGTGGTTAATTTCATGTTCTAGGAAGTTTATTTCAATTTTAAAAATAGGCAGAGTGATAGCCTCTGTACAGCAAGACTGTTGTGAAGATTAAGTCAGCTCATGCACATAGATGAGTGGGAGCTGCTACCTCCTTCCATGCCCATGGGCAGGGGTAGCATTCCAAGTACTGAACAACCCAGAAGGCATAGGCAGCAATCACTGAGAAGGTCAGAGCTGAATATGGGCCTTGGTGTTGCTGTGTTTTCACAGATAGATCCCTAGACGGCTCTGGTTAGTGGGTGCTGTTTGGTCTTATGAATAGGTTTCCGGCTAGGCATGGTGGCTCATGCCTGTAATCCCAGCACTTTGGGAGGCTGAGACAGGCAGATCACTTGAGATCAGGAGTTCGAGACCAGCCTGGTCAACATGGTGAAACCTCATCTCTACTAAAAATACAAAAATTAGCCGGGCATGTTGGCGCACACTTGTAATCCCAGCTACTCGGGAGGCTGAGGCAGGAGGACAGCTTGAACCCAGGAGGTGGAGGTTGCAGTGAGCTGAGATCACACCCCTGCACTCCAGCCTGGGCAACAGAGCAGAGCAAGACTCCATCTCAAAAAAATAAAAATAATAATAATAATGAGTAGGTTTCCCAAAGGTGGCTGGCCTCTCGACCCCAGCTAGGCTGAGGCCCATCCATGCTGCTGGTCTCCAGGGCTGGAAGCACGTGTGGATGGACCCCACTCCTAACCTCCATACCCATCCCTTCTAATACACCTACCCTTGTAAGTGCAGGGCCAAGAATATCTGGAGAGTAACAAAAGATTAGAGACATACCCAGATCCTCCTCTTGTGCTTAAAGCCTGTGTCTTTCACTGCGGTGGGTGTCTGCAAGAGAAAGAACAGTTTGCTACTCTCGCCTTGGTAACGAGCCCTTTCTAAGGACCTGCCATGTCCAAAGTTCCCACAGAAGGATGCATCAGTCCCCGTGTACCTGCTGGAGGGGAAAGGTGTGAGCAAGAGCTTTGCCCGTTGCTGCTATGAATTCACCTGAAATAAATTAATTTGCTCTGTGCTAGTTACAGGCATGTTACAAAGCTTCTTCTTTTAAAGTGGCAGCAAATGTCTCCTGATATTAATGAGGATAATTCTGGGGGAAAAAAAGTCTCTAGAAAGGTTTTTTCTTCTTCCAGAACGTTAGGCTGTCCACATCTCATTACTTGGGGAAGGTTCTCTTTCTCCTGCCTCTTCCACGTTATTAAAAACCAGTTTGTTCCCATGTTCATGTGTGGCTACAGGATTAGACCACATGCAAGAAATTCAACAACAATTGGAACTGGGATTGGAATTGGGGTCAGACTGGGGAGAAAAAGTCTGCCAGCTCTATTTGCAGAAACCCACATGGAAGATAAATTGCAGTGAGAAACTCTGACAGTCGAGTGAAATAATTAATACATCACTGTGAAGTATTTGAAATCACATTCCTCAATATCATTTTCCCCATTTGGCTGCTACCAGTGAATTGAGCTGTGTGATCCTATAGTGTAGTGCTGCTCTCCCCCCAAGAAGCTCACTGGGATTAGGAAATGCTAATGAATTAGGTGGCACATGACTCTGAATATGCTATTATTACACCTACGTTACAGATAAGAGACTGAATCATCAAAAAAATGTAAGTAATCTGCTTGGTGTCAACTTAGAAGTCACGGTGATGGGCTGGGCGTGGTGGCTCATGCCTGTAATCCCAGCACTTTGCGAGGCCAAGGTGGATGGATCACTTGAGGTCAGGAGTTGGAGACCAGCCTGGCCAACATGGCGAAACCCCGTCTCTACTAAAAATACTAAAAAATACCACCGGGCATGGTGATTGGCACCTGTATTCCCAGTTACTCGGGAGGCTGAGGCAGGAGAATAGCTTGAACCTGGGAGGCAGAGGTTGCAGTGAGCCAAGATTGTGTCATTGCACTCTAGCCTGGGACACAAGAGCAAGACTCTGTCTCAAAAAAAAAAAAAAAAAAAAAAGTCATTGGTGATGATTTGGAAGGATCCGCTGCCCTACCCTGGCTGGTATAAATTCATAGCTTCCCCCAGGCCAAGCCTAACAGACAAAAGTGAGGGGGAATATATGTCCTGAAGTCTCTGGCCTTCAGACCTCTCCCCATTGTGTGAGGGGGGGAAAGGGGAGGCTGGGAGGAATCCTGCAGAGACAGGAGGCATCTGGGAGGACCAGTGTGGGGACTGCACACCTGCTGTTGACTGACTGTTGCTAGGAGGACAGGGTCAGATGGATTCCAAATAGAGAAACAGGCACATTGCTCCAGGGCTGCAGCTTCGGGCCCCTCGCTCAAAGTTATCTAGAAGACCTGTATGTCTTTGACATATGGCCCTGAGGGGTGTGGAGCAGGTGAGGAGGCGGGGTGCCTTGCACTTTCCCCAGTCCATTCACCTCCTATTTTGAGGCCAGGAGGATGGGACAAGCTTATGTCTCCCAAAGACTGCTGAGAAGAGACCACTCACATCGCTTTGAGCTCGGTCCAAGAGAGGAACCAGAGCTGGGAAACTTGGAGAGGTCACTGGGTCCTGAAAACGTTGTCATTTCAACCCTGGGTGGGGGGGGCTTTTATGTTTGCAGGAGATGGAGGCCTGCAAGCGTCTTTGGGAAGGTGTTTCCCTAGGTTCTGGAAAAGCCACCCAGACAAGCACACACGTAGGGATGCCATCTGCCCCATGCATGTGCGGGTTCTTGAACAGGGATGCAAACTACCGACTGCATCCACCCTTCTGATGTGATCTGTTTGGCCTAAACAATGTTTTAAAAATAAACAAGTTCACAGTTAAAAATGAGAATCTCCTTACTTCTTTTTTATGTTTGTTTGTTTTACTTTGAGATGGAGTCTCGCTCTGTCACCCAGGCTGGAGTGCAGTGGCACAATCTCAGCTCACTGAAACCTCCGCCTCCCGGGTTCAAGTGATTCCTGTGCCTCAGCCTCCAGAGTAGCTGGGATTACAGGCGCGCGCCACCACACCTGACTGATTTTTGTATTTTTAGTAGAGAGAGGGTTTCACCCTGTTGGCCAGGCTGGTCTCAAACTCCTGACCTCAAGTGATCCACCCACCTCAGCTTCCCAAAGTGATGGGATTACAGGCATAAGCCACCGCGCCCGGCCTTACTTTTTTCTTAAAGCAACAAAATCTGAAAATCTAGCATTGCTCCACCTACATTTGCAGATGGTCCCAACTCCCCTCTGGACAGGGTTTGTCGGCTCCAGTGCACCCCTCCTCCATAGCACCGATATTGCTTGTAGCTCCCCCACCCCACATGGAAGCTGAACACTTATCACTTCATTTGCACCATTGTTTTCATTATAGAAGAGCCTGTGTTTCTTTGTACCTGGGTCTCTATCAAACATAGATCAAAATAATATGGTAAGGTGTCTCTGTGACTCCTCAGAGGCATTTGGGTTTGCATCCCCTGATATAGGAGATTTTCTCTCTTGAAGTCAGAAGTCAGTGAGGTTTCTTCTGGATAATATTTTTCCTAAAAACGGACCTAGACAACCTGCAGCATCCAACTGTTGTTTGTTTTTGAGGAAATATTAATAATAAAGCTAACATTTATTGAACACTTGCTCTGTGCCTGACAATTTTCCAAGCTCTTTACATGAATTTTTTTTTTTTTTTTTTTGAGATGGAGTTTCGTTCTTGTCGCCCTGGCTTGAGTGCAATGGCGCGATCTTGGCTCACTGCAACCTCCACCTCCCGGGTTCAAGCGATTCTCCTGCCTCAGCCTCACAAGTGGCTGGGATTACAGGCATGAGCCACCATGCCAGGCTAATTTTTGTATTTTTAGTAGAGACGGGGTTTTACCATGTTGGTCAGGCTATTCTCGAACTCCTGACCTCAGGTGATCTGCCCGTCTCGGCCTCCCAAAGTGCTGGGATTACAGGTGTGAGCCACGGTGCCCAGCCTACATGAATTAATTTAGGTAATTCTCACAAGGATATGCAGTAAATACAATTATTGCTAATTTATTTTTTTTTAATTTTTTTTGAGACAGGGTCTTGCTCTGTCACCCAGGCTGGACGTACAGCAGTGCGATCATGGCTCACTGTAGCCTTGACCTGGCTCAAACGATCCTCCCGACTCGGTCTCATGATTAGCTGAAACTATAGGCACGTGTCACCATGACCAGCTAATTTATCTTGTTTTGTTTTTTTGTTGTGATGGGGTCTTGCTTTGTTGCCCAAACTGTACATTACTGCCATTTAATAGGTGACGAGACAGAGGCATAAAAAACTTGAGTAATTTTCCCAGCGTCTCTCAGGGAGGAAGTGGCAGAGCCAGAATTCAAATGCAAGTATCACAAGCCATGGGGCCCCAGAGATGGGGCAGTTACCTGCTATGCTATCCTGTCTGTGTGGGGCTTTCCTGGACCAGTTTTCACAGGTTCATCAGTCAGGATGGGCTACTAGACCATGCTACATACAGAAGTAACCCTCAAATCTCAGTGGCTTAAAACAACAAAAGCTTATTTCTTGCTTATGCCACATAATTACTGAGGGTCAGCTGATGTGTCATCGTGGTCCTGGACAGACAGAGCTAACCCATCTGGAACACTGCCAGTTGCCATGGCAAAGAGGAAAGAGAGCATAGCCCCTATGTATCAGCTCTTAAAGGCTTTTCCCCTAGAAAGTGGAGCTCATCACTTCTGCTCCAGTTTCACTGGCCAAAGCAAGTCACATGGCCAAGCCCAACTGCAAGAGGCTGGGACAGTGCAACCCTCCTGCAGAGAGAAGGGCTGATGAGCAGTTTGCAGAAGAGGAGATGAAGCTGACTTGCAAGATGCGCATTTGTGAGCCTCAGGAAATAAGTAGAGCTGTTTGGGGGCCCAGAGGACAAAGTTTGCACAGAGTTAGGAAGATGGCTTTCCTCCCTACCTCTGCTGCAGCTCCTTAGACAGCACTGGTGGCTTCAGAAAACTCAGGATGCCCACTTATCAGGACTATTGGCATGCAAAGGGGCACATTTCTGTACCCATTGCTTTGCATATGCTGTTTCCTCTGCCTGGGTCTCTTCCCCACCCCACCTCCTCACCTACTTAGTTCCTTCATCCTTCATATCTCATCAATAAGTTCAGTTCCTCTGGGAAGTCTCTCTTATAGCTTCCACTGGATTAGATGCCCTGCTATACTGCATAGCACCCTTTGGTTTTAATTGCCTGCACTTATTAAAGATTATCCTTGCATGTGGATCTGCATGATAATGGGATTGTGCTTATTTTCCCAAAAAGCCTGGAAGCTTCATGAAGGCAGGCTCCAAGACTGTCTCACTCACCTTGCACCCCCAGCACCTGGCACAGTATGAGGCACATCACCAAGTCTCTCCTTAGTGCCAATGAATGCCAGTGAAGACAGGCCATGCAGTGGGGGACTGCAGCTGATAAACAGGACTGTGGGAACATGGGAGGTTCCCCTTCTAGGACTTCAAGAAATAATTTAGGGGAAATTTCCAGGGGTTCAGAGGTCCTGTAGCTGAGGTAGAGTCAAGACAGGAGAGAGTTCATAGGAACGATAAGCAATATTTTATCAGAGGCCCCCCAGAACCCCTGATCCTGAGTCAAGGATCAGGAGGCAAGCAGTTTATATGAGAGGTGATCTCAAGGCCCACAGGCAGGGGACTAGGGAAGGAGGCAGGAATGGGGAGGAAGCCAGCCATTCTCGTTATCAACGTGGCCACTGGAGCACATCCTACCCAGCACACGCATTCTGGGTGTAGTGTAAAACACATGCCTAGAGTTATCCCATCTAAGCAGTGAGGGAGCTGGGGTATTTATACACCGACTCCAGTTGATCATTGATCCAGGGTTGCTCTCAGGGGGCTGCCAAGTGGACAACGGAGATGGCTTCTGCAGCAAGAGAAAACCTCAGATGGAAATGCAGGTGCTGGCAGTTGCAGAGCAATGGGTATGGGCAGGGCACAGTTGGCATGTGCTTCACTAAGGAAGAGTCCATTTACACCATTCTCACTGTGGCATCTCCTATACTGGTGAGAGCCGAGGTTCTACTCTAAGCTTCTCAACATCCATTTTGCATTTTTTGGCTCTCTGGGAGTGCTCTGGGAAGTCCTTACATAGACTCAGGCTAGTCTGGTGTAGAATTTACGTTTACGGCTTGGCCATATCTCTACTGCTATTTCATTCATCATTCATTATTTCACTTTACAGACCCCTCAAATGCTTACTGAATTTCTCTGTTTGGCAGGCACTGACCTAGAGGCTGGGGTACAACAATCAGATAAAGCACAATCTCTGCTTTGAAGTACTTTATAAAGCAGTATTTCCCAGGATTTAGAGAGGTGCTAAATGCCAAACAAGATATTTTGTTAAATAAGTTTGAAAAGCTTTGCAAAATACAACCTCTTCTTGGATAACTGCAAAGCACATTGACATATTAAAGGCTCTGAGAATGTCTGCAGAAAAGATATCTGTTTATTTTACCTAGGATTTTCCACACTTATTTGGCATTGGAGCCCTTTTCTACCAAATTGCCTTTATTAACATCCCAAGGAACTTGAATTCTGTGGAACATACTTTGACAAAGTTATTGGATTTCCATCCAATCCACTGAAGGCCTTAATAGAGAAAAAAAAGGGCTGAGTAAGCAAAAATTCACTCTCTGGTCTTTGAGCTGGGTCATCAGCTTCACTCTCTGGTCTTTGAGCTGGGTCATCAGCTTCACTCTCTGGTCTTTGAGCTGGGTCATCAGCTTCACTCTCTGGTCTTTGAGCTGGGTCATCAGCTTCACTCTCTGGTCTTTGAGCTGGGTCATCAGCTTCACTCTCTGGTCTTTGAGCTGGGTCATCAGTCCTTTGCCTTTGGAATTGGACTTGAACTGGAACTTACATTATTGCCTCTCCTGGTCTCAGGTCTTTGGCCTCAAGACTGGAACAATACCATCAGCTTTCTTGTGTGTCCAGCTTGCCAACAGCAGATCTGGGGACTTCTCAGCCTCCATTATCATGTGAGTTGCTTCTTCATCATATATGATATATCCTGTTGCTTCTGGTTCTCGGAGAACCCTAACTGATACAAATTTTGGCTGAGATTTTTGATGGGATGGTCCGCAGGGCCTCATGGCTCACAGGCTGCTTTATAGATGAATAGCTACAAAGGAAATCTCGAATCCTTCACATTAATTACCTGCCCTGGGATACAGACACTATCTGTCTCCTCATGGAGTCAGAGTTCTTGGTTCTCAGAAACATATAATTTGTATATTCATTAAAAACACTATTTATACATTCTGATGGGAAAAAGTCCAAATAATAGAAACACTGACAGTAATTACACTTAGTTTTGGAGCTAATTTTATTGAAAAATTGTCCTTAAATTGTTTCTTGACTTTGCCCTTAATCATGACGTGTTAAACACTCACAGGAAATCAGCATATGGCTCTTTAATGAACCAGCAGTGCATGACCAAGAAGTGTGGAGGTTGGTGTTTATTTTGAGATCAAAGGGAGAAAAATGAAGCCCAGAGGTATTTGTTTTCAGAAAAAAAAATCACACTCTTGTGTGTGAGGGTGACGGGAATCTTCTTAATTTAAGTTTTCTCCTGACTGTCCTATTTACTCCCACCACTAATCTGAATCTATAAATAGGGTTTAAATATTGCCCCTCTGGCTGTTTACTACACAGTCAATTATTTACTTTTAATTAAGAGATTTCCAAAGAGCATCCTTCCATTTCACCCTTGCAGCCAAACAACAGAGGGTGTGGCCTTTCCACAAAGAATGACTTTCTGTAACTCACATCCAAGAAAAGACACTGAAACAGGAAGAGACTAAGGAGCAGCTCCTCTCTGACTTGAAGGAAAGTCAGGCTTAATGATGATAATTTTTTCCCCCAGAACTTAAAAAAAAGCTGTATGCTCACTACGTGATGCAGGATGAGGCCCGAATCTGGCACAATTCCTGGTCCCAGGTCTGTTCCGTTCGATCCTTGGTTGCTTCCTGCTTGCCTCCGTCCTTCACCTCCCCAAGAGTTCGGCAAAACCCTGGTTGTCGAAATGCTGTAGTGTGGATAACACGCCATCTAGTGGTTAACAGGACAATTGCAAAAATAGCTTCACAGGTCATATGTCAAACTATTCCAAAATTGGGCTTCAGACCTCAGTTATCTATGCCACTGGTCCTCAGGGTTTGCTTCACATGAAAATCACCTGAGGAGCCTTTAAAAATCTGATGTCCAGGCCGTACCCCATCACAATTAAATCAGAATCTCTGGATGTAGGGCCCAGACATCAGCGTTTTTAAAAATCCCCAGGTGATTCCAAAGGGCAGCCAAGCTTGAGAACTGGTGACCTTTGCAACCAAAACAATGGATTAAAAGGTAGAAACACTTTATGCAGTGATTATAAATCACATGTATCATAAAAAACATTTCCTGTATAAAGCATATATAGAGGTTGCTTTTTTCCTTCTTCTTCATACTTGGATTTTATTGATTTTGTTTAGACAGGGTCTCACTCTGTCCCCCAGGCTGGAGTGCAGTGGTGAGATCTCGGCTCACTGCAACCTCTGCTTCCTGGGTCCAAGCGATTCTTGTGCCTCAGCCTCCCGAGTAACTGGGACTACAGGCGTGTGCCACCACGCTCGGCTAATTTTTGTATTTTTAGTACAGATGGGGTTTTGCCATGTTGGCCAGGCTGTCTTGAACTCCTGACCTCAAGTGATCCACCTACCTCAGCCTCCCAAAGTATTGGGATTACAGGCATGAGCCACCATGCCTGGCTTACAGTAGTACTTTAACATTGCTTTTTCAACTTAATATGTTATGGATATCTCATATAGTCAATACGCTAGATCTAACTCATTTTCTTTTTAAAAAACTTTTATTTTAGGTTCAGGGGTATATGCGCAGGTTTGTTATATAGGTAAACTCATGTTATGGAGGTTTGACGTACAGACTATTTTGTCACCCCAGTATGAAGCGTAGTTCCCAATAGTTATTTTTTTCTGATCTTCTTCCTCCTTCCTCCCTCCACCCTTAGGTGGTCCTCAGTGTCTGTTCTCTTTTTTGTGTCCATGTCTTCTCATCGTTGGACTCCCACTTATAAGTGAGAACATGCAGTATTTGGTTTTCTATTCCTGTGTTAGTTTGCTAAGGATAATGGCCTCCAGCTCCATCCATGTTTCTGCAAATGGCATGATCTTGTTCTTTTTTATGGCTGTATGGTATTTCATGGTGTATATGTACCATATCTTCTTTATAAAGTCTACTATTGATGGGCATTTAGGTTGATTCCATGTTTTTGCTATTGTGAATAGTGCTTCAGTGAACATAATGTGCATGTATCTTTATAATAGAATGATTTATATTCCTTTGGGTATATACCCAGTAATGGGATTGCTGGGTCGAATGGTGGTTCTGTTTTTAGCTCTTTTGGGAATCGCCACTCTGCTTTTCACAATGGTTGAACCAATTTACACTCCCATCAACAGTGTATAAGCATTCCCTTTTCTCCACAACCTCACCAGCATCTGTTATTTTTTCACTTTTTAATAGTAGCCATTCTGACTGGTGTGAGATGGTATCTCACTGCAGTTTTTATTTGCATTTCTCAAATGATCAGTGATCTTGAGCTTTTTTTCTTACGCTTGTTGGCCACATATGTCTTCTTTTGAAAAGTGTCTATTCATGTTCTTTGCCCACTCTTTAATTAGGTTGTTTTCTCCTTATAGATGCTGAATATTAGACCTTGCAAATATTTTCTGCCATTCTGTAGGTTGTCTGTTTACTTTGTTGATAGTTTCTTTTGCTGTGCAGAAGCTCCCACATTTTATTAGATCCCATTTGTCAATTTTTGCTTTTGTGGAAATTGCTTTTGGTGTCTTCACCATGAAATCTTTGCCAGTCCCTATATCCAGAATGGTGTTGCTTAGGTTGTCTTCCAAGGCTTTTATAGTTTTGGGTTTTACATTTAAGCCTTGAATTCATCTTGAGTTGATTTTTGCATATGGTGTAAGGAAGGGGTCTAATTTCAATCTTCTGCATATGACTAGACAGTTATCCCAGCACCACTTATCAAACAGGGAGCTCTTTCCCCATTGCTTGTTTTTGTCAGCTTTGCCAGAGATCAGATGGTTGTAGGTATGTGGCCTTATTCAATGCTATTCCTATCAAACTACCAAGGACATTCTTCAGAGATCTAGAAAAAACTATTTAAAAATTCATATGGAACCAAAAAAGAGCGCAAATAGCTAAGGCAATCCTAACCAAAAAGAACAAAGCTGGAGGCATTACCTTACTCGACTTCACATTTTACTACAGGGCTACAGTAATCAAAACAGCATGGTACTGGTACAAAAACAGACATTTAGACCAGTGGAACAGAGCAGAGAGCCCAGAAATAAGGCCTGATTTTCAATAGCTGTGAAAAATGAAAAAGCATCCGTAAATATGTGTCCTTTGAGGTATAACATCCACCAGTGGATTTCTTTGGTTAGATGGTGTATATGTTTGACATTTAACCAAAGCTTCTGGCCAGCGTTCTTCATCCAAAGGACAGCAATTCACTCTCCCACTAACACTGTATGAACTGTTCCATCTACACCTTCATAAGCACTGAATGCTATCAAGCTTTTTAATTCTTGCCAATATGATTTGTGAGAAATGCTATCATGTTACCTTATAAAATACATTGCATTTCCCTGTCTAGTGAGTCTGGGGATCTTTCATTTATTGACCATTTTCATTTCCCTTCCTATGTATTGCCCAGTCACGTCCTTTCTGCATATTTCTATTGGGTAAGTTTTTTTCCTTATCAGTTCCAAGAGCTCCTTATATATTACAGATATTAACTCAGAAATCAAGAATGTTGCAGATATTTTCCCCAATCTGTTCTTGTGTTTTAACTTTTATTACTTTTTATTTATTTATTTATTTGAGACAAGGTCTTGCTCTGTTGCCCAGGCTGGAGTGCAGTGGCCCAATCACGAACTCCTGGGCTCAGACAATTCTCCCACTTCTGCCTCCATGCCTGGCTAATTTATAAATTTTTTTTGTAAAGACAGGGTCTCCCTAGGTTGCCCTGGCTTCTCTTGGCGTCCTCAAGTGATCCTCCCACCTTGGCCTGGCAAAGTGTTGGGATTACAGTCATGAGTCACTGCACCTGGCCATGTTTTAACTTTTTATAGTCAAGCTTGTCTTTTCTCTTCTGGATTCTAGATTTCCTGTTATGCATAAGCAATACCCCCCACCCATGCCATGCTCCAATCTTGAAATTATACACATTTTCTCCTAAATTTATTCCATTTTTTTATTTTTCATTTAGGGTTAATTCATTCATAATGATTTTATTCATGGCTGGAGGTGTTATTTTCCAGATCAATAACCAATTATGTTAGCAGTATTAATTAAATAAATCATCTTCTCTCCCACTGAACTAAAATGCCATCTTTATCATGTATTAAATTTGAATATATACTCAGATTTTTTTTGACTTTCTGGTCTTCTGATCTGTACACTTATTTATAAGCTAAAGTCATACAGTTTTAAAATTATTATATTAGTTTTCTAGAAAGTTTTAATAGCTGGTAAGGGAATCCCACCCACTGTCTTTTCACAATTAAATATTTTTGTTGTCAGTTCTAAAACATTTAGAATTTCTCCAATATAAATGCTAAGTACTTTTTGTATAGCCCCAGGAAAACACCATTGATATTCTGATTGGAATTAATTTAAGGTACATATTTATTTGGAAATCACTGACATTTATGATGATTAATTCTTCCCATTCAAGGACATCCTGTGTCTCACAATTAGTTGAAATATTGTTTTTACACCCTGTAACAAAATGTATAGCTTTCTTCATGGAGGTCTCATAATTTTTGGTAAATTTTAACAGTTAATTTTTCTAAGTAAATAATATAATGGCTATACAGCACTTAACCCAAAAATCCAGTGTGTAGTAACTATTACAAATGTTAGGTATTAAAATTATTGTTGTTATTTTGATTATTAGCTTTACTTATTCTCATTGAGTAAAATCATAGAAAATATAAAGCTTGAAAAAGCTCTTTGCTGGTTAACTCACATGGACCCTCGATATTGTAAAAATGTAATTTCTCCCCCAAAATTGATCTATAGAATCAATACAATTCCAATAAAAATTCTAGGAGATTGTATGTGTGTGTGTAAATTCACAAGTTGCTTGTAAAATTTATATAGAAAGACAAAGAGCCAAAAATAACCAAGCCAATCTTGAAGGAAAATAAGAGGACTTATACTAGAGGATATTGAGACTTCTTATGAAGCTCAATAATTAAGACAATGTGGTATTTGGAGCAAGATTAGACAAATGACGAATAGAACAGAATAGTCTAGAGGTACACACACATGCTCAATTTATGACAAAAGTGACAAGTCGGAGCAATGGGAAGGTATGATCTTTTCAATAAACAGTGCTGGGTCAATTAGAAATCAATGTTTATGTTAATCTCTATAAACATTTTACACTAAAATCAGTTCCAGATGGATTATAAATCAAAATATAAAAGGTAAAACAAGAAAACATATAAAAGACAATATAGGAGAATGCCTTCATGACCTTGGGATAGACAAAGATTTCTTTCACAGGATACAAAAAAACAAAAGAAAGTAAAATATTGGCTGGGCATGGTGGCTTATGCCTGTAATCCCAGCACTTTGGGAGGCTGAGGTGGATGGATCACTTGAGTTCAAGAGTTCAAGACCAGCCTGGCCAACTTGGTGAAACTCTGTCTCTACTAGAAATACAAAAATTAGCCAGGCATGGTGGTGGGCAACTGTAATCCCAGCTACTCAGGAGGCTGAGGCAGGAGAATAGTGTGAACCCAGGAGGTGGAGGTTGCAGTGAGCTGAGATCACAGCACTGCACTCCAGCCTGGTTGACAGAGCAAGACTCCATCTCAAAAAAGAAAAAAAAGTAAGTAAAGCATTAATAAATTGACCTATATTAAGATTAAGAACTGTTTATTGAAAGGCACCATTATTTGGCTCAGCATAAGAAAATCAATCAATGCAATATACCATATTATTGGAATAAAAGAGAAAAAACAACATGACCATCTCAATATATGCAGAAAAAGCATTTGACAAAATCCACCGCCCTTTCATAATAAAAACACTCAACAAACTAGGAATAGAAAGGAACTCCCTTAACCTGATGAAAGGCATCTATGAAAACCCCACAACTAACATCATTCTTAATAAAGAAAGACCTAATGGTGAAAAGGCAAAAGATCTAAGATTCTCCTAAGATCAAGAACAAGGCAAAGATGTCCATTTTCATTATTTCTATTCATCATTGTCCCAAAGGCTCTAGCCAGGGCAATTTGGAAAGAAAGTAAACTAAAAGGCATCCAGACTTGAAAGGAAGAAGACTATCTCTATTTGCAGATGAGATGATCTTGTATATAGAAAATTCAAAGGGATACATACCAAAGAAACTTATTAGAATAAATGAGTTTAGCAAGGTTGCAGAATACAAGATCAATATACAAAAATCCATTGTATTTCTATATATGAGCAATGAGGAATCTGAAAATGAAATTAAAGAAATAATTCCATTTATAGTAGCATCATACGGAGTAACACAGGAGTAAATTTAACAAAAGATGTGCAAGATTTGTAAACTGAAAAGTACAACACATTGTTGAAAGAAGATTTAAAGAAATGAAAAGACATCCATGTTCATGGATTGGAACACTTAATATTTTTAAGATGGCAATACTCTCCAAATTGATCAACAGATCCAATTCAATTCCAAGCAAAATCCCAGCTGCTTGTTTTGCAGAAGTTGAAAGCTGATCCTAAAATTCATATAAAATTTTCTGATTCAAGGGACCCAGAATAGTCAGAACAATCTTGAAAAAAAAGAATGAAGTTAGAAGACTCAAACTTCCTTGATTTCAAAACTTACTACAGAGCTACAGCAATCAAGGCTTTGTGGTATTGGGATAAGGATAGCCATATAGATCAATGAAATAGAATTGAAAATCCAGAAATAAACCCTTGTACTAATGGTCAATTGATTTTTGACAAGCATGCTGAGGCAATTTAATGGTGGGAAGGAATATTCTTTCCAATAAATAGTGCTGAACAACTGAAGATCCACGTGCAAGGTGTGAAATTGGATCCCTACCTCACACCATACCCCAAAATTAACTTAAAATGGTGGATCATACACTAAAGCTAAAACTATCAAACTTAGAAGGAAACATAGGTGCAAATCTTTATGATTTTGGATTAGGCAATGATTCTTTAGACATGATACCAAAAGTACAAGTAACCAAAGAAGAAATAGATAAATTTGACTTCTTCAAAATTAAAAACTTTTGTACTTCAAAGGATGCCATCAAGAAAATGGAAGACAGCCCATAGAATGATAGAAACTATTTGCAAATCATATATGTGATAAGGGACTTGTAGTCAGATATAACTCTTACAACTCAACAAAAAGAAACAAATAATACAATTTAAAAATGAGCTAAGGATTTGAATAGACATTTCTTTCTCTTTTTTTTTTTTTTAAAAAAAAAACAGAGTCTCACTCTGGCAACCAGGTTGGAATGCAGTGGCATGACTTTGACTCACTGAAACCTTTGCCTTCTGGGTTCAAGTGATTCTCCTGCCTCAGCTTCCTGAATAGCTGGGATTACAGGCATGTGCCGCCATGTCTGGCTAATTTTTGTATTTTTAGTAGAGATGGGGTTTCACCATGTTGGCCAGGCTGGTCTTGAACTCCTGGCCTCAAGTGATCCTCCTGCCTTGGCCTCCCAAAGTGCTGGGATTACAGGCATGAGCCATCGCACCAGGTTGAACAGACATTTCTTCAAAGAAGATATACAAATTGCCAATAAGTAGATGAAAAGATGCTGAACATCATTAATCAGGAAAATGCAAATCAAAACCACAATTAAATACCACTTTCTATTCTCTAGGATAGCTATAATAAAAAAGATAGACAATAGCAAGTGCTGTCAAGGATGTAGAGAAATTGAACCCTCATACCTTGCTGATGGGAATGTAAAATGATGAGGTTGCTTTTAAGAACAGTTTGGTCATTCCTCAAAAGGTTAAACAGAGTTACATATGACCCAACAATTTCACTCCCAGCAATAAATTCAAAAGAATTGACATCATATGTTCACAAAAAATTTTGTACACCAGTGTTCATAGCAGCATGATTTATAATGGCCAAAAAGCAAAAAAAAATTCAAATGTCCATCAGCTGATAAACTGATAAACAAAATGTATTATATGTATACAATGGAATACACATGTCACAACATGGATGAACTTTGAAAACACTTTGCTAACTAAGCCAGACACAAACGGTCACACATATTGTATGATTCTATTTATATGAAGTGTCCAAAAAAGGCAAATACAGAGAGACAAAGTTTAGGTTAGTGGTTGCCAAGGATGAGAGGAGAAGGGAATGGGAAGTGATAGTTAAACGGAATGGAGTTTTTTGGGGGATGATGGAAGTGTTCTGGAATTGGATAGTGGTGATGAATGAACAACCTTGTGGATATACCAAAAACCACTGAAACATACATTTTAAACATGTGTATTTTATGGTATGTAAATTAGATCTCAATTTTTAAAAGATCTCATTAAGAAAAAGAAAAGTCAAGACTCAGTGTGCGAGGAAATATTTGCAATGTGTAACCATAGAGGTACAAACCAGAGATACAAGAAAGTACCTGTGGCCTGGCGCGGTGGCTCACGCCTGTCATCCCAGCACTTTGGGAGGCCGAGGCGGGTGGATCACGAGGTCAGGAGATTGAGACCATCCTGGCTAACACGGTGAAACCCCGTCTCTACTAAAAATACACAAAAAATTAGCCGGGCGTGGGGGTGGGCGCTTGTAGTCCCAGCTACTCGGGAGGCTGAGGCAGGAGAATGGCGTGAACCCGGGAGGCGGAGCTTGCAGTGAGCCGAGATTGCGCCACTGCCCTCCAGCCTGGGTGACAGAGCAAGACTCCGTCTCAAAAAAAAAAAAAAAAAAAGAAGAAAGTACTTGTATTTCACACATATAAAGAACAAAGCAGGCAGGACGTGGTGGCTCACGCCTGTAATCCCAGCACTTTGGGAAGCCAAGGTGGGCAGATTGCTTGTGCCCAGGAGTTCGAGACCAGCCTGGGCAACATGGGGAAACCGAACTCTACAAAAAAATACAATAATTAGCTGGGTGTGGTGGTGCGCGCTTGTAGTCCCAGCTACTCAGGGGACTGAGGTGGGATGATCACTTGAGTCCAGGAGGTCGAGTGATGGCACTGCCGCACTGCACTCCAGCCTGGTGACGCTACCGCATCCCAGCCTGGTGATGTCACCGCACTAGTGACAGCCTAGTGACAGAGTGAGACCTTTTCTCAAAAGAAAACAAAACAAAGAAACAGAAAAGCAACTCAATGAGCAAAAGACACACAGGCCTGCAGAAAAATGAGCAAAAGACGTGGACACTTCATAAAAGAGGTTATTAACATAGCCAATAAATATATGAAAATAAATGTTCAGTTTCATTAGTAATCAGAAAACTGTAAGACCCTAATCCTAACCCGACTACTACTCCTAACCCTAATCTGAAACCTTAACTCTAAATCCTACCATAATGGCTATAATTTAAAATTTAAAACTCTTGGGACATTACCCTTCCTCTCCTCCCCAGAGGGAACCACAGCTCTTGCTGCTACTGGCTGGTTGTGTTTTGAGTTTGAATGGTATATTCTTTTGAATCTGGCTTCTTTCACTCAATGTTCTGTTTGTGAGATTCACCCACACTGCTATGTCTCGCACCAGGTCATTCATTTTGGTTACTGTGTTGTATCCCATTGTAGAATAGATTATGGTTTACTTATTCATTATTTCTGTTGCTGAGCATTTGGGTTGTTTCCAGTTCTGGTCTATTACAAATAACACTGCTATGTGGAGTGAAAGAAGTCAGATACATAAAAATGCATACAGTGTGCTTCCATTCCACTGGCTCACTCAGTCTATTGGGGTGTGTGTGTGTGTGTGTGTGTGTGTGTGTGTATGTGTGTGTGTTCTGAGACAAGGCCTGGCTCTGTTGCCCAGGCTGGGGGGCAGTGGCACAATCTCACCTCACTGCAACCTCCACAGCCCAGGCTCAAACATCCTCCCACCTCAGCCTTCCAAGTAGCTGGGACCACAGGTACATGCCACCACACCCAGTTCATTTTTGTATTTTTGGTAGAGATGGGTTTTTTCCACGTTGGCCAGGCTGATCTTGAGCTCATGAGCTCAAGTGATCCACCCGTCGCGGCCTCCCAAAGTGCTGGGATTATAGGCGTGAGGCACCATGCCCAGCTTCCAGTCTACGGTTTTAAAGGGAAAGGATGGTACCTGGCAGAGGACATGAGGGAGGCTCTTCTGTTTCTGGATCCTGGTGATGGCACAAGGGTGGGCTCACTCTGTGATTCTGTGAGTGGTACACTTAGGATTTGCACCATTCCACACTTCAATCAAAACCGACTTAGGAAACTCAAAACTCACTTGAGACCAAATTGGGCAATGTATTTCTTTTGCTATCCACAAGCTACTAAAGCCACTTTCTGAAGACAGGCAAGCTGGAGCTACTCCAGATGGAGGCTGGCCATGGGGCATTTGTCATGGGTATTATTTACAGGCTTGAGTATTCCTCCTAGGCTGCCCTGCTTTTTGGTTTACTTCTCAGACATCCTTGATTCATGGGCTCTATATAGTACCTCCTTGGGTCTTCACCCCATCCTCACAGTTGCTGGCGATGGCTTTTCCATTCTTGACTGTAAGTAATAAGAGCTGATAGTATCAATGACAATAGAATCCATTCACTCTTTTAGGGACTTCCTTTACTGTAAGTAAATTACTAACAATGATGGACAATTGGGTAAAATGATCGTAAGAAAAGATATTTCCGGCTGGATGCGGTGGCTCACAACTGTAATCCCAGCACTCTGGGAGGCCAAGGTGGGTAGATCACTTGAGGTCAGGAGTTCGAGACCAGCCTGGCCAACATGGCAAAACCCTGTCTCTATTAAACATACAATACCAAAAATTAGCCAGGTGTGGTGGCTCACGCCTGTAGTCCCAGCTACTCGGGAGGCTGAGGCAGGAGGATCACTTGAACCTGGGAGGTGGAGGTTGCAGTGAGCTGAGATCACACCACTGCACTCCAGCCTGGGCGACTGAGTGAGACTTCCTCTCAAAAAAAGAAAAAAAAAAAAAGAAGGAAAAGATATTTCCTAACTATCCTAAATTCTGTTACATTGACACAAACAAAGATACTTGTTCCATTATAAGTTTCTGGAGAAATCAGAATGAAAAGCTCCATGCCAGTATTATTTCAACAGTCCCTGAAACACGGCTTTGGTGAAGCACTTGAAGAGCTAATGCTTTATACATGGGCATCTCCACTCGGCATCTGGAGTGTTAGTTGCACTTGCTATATTTTAATTTATTAGAATATGTATTTTAAAACAGTAGGCTGGAAATCTGACATATATCCTGATTTTTTTTATCACATTGTCATATAAGGGTGTTTCTAAATTCATTGCCTTTCAGAAGAGAATAGAGCTCCTTGAAAATCGATTAAGTATATTTAATCACGCAATCCAGTCTCTCAGAGGCACCGGAAACATTCTGCTGCTCCCTTGACAGGATGGGCTGTGAGTCTGGCCAGGCCTTTCTGCCTAGCCTTACTGCACAGTCATACTTCTCCTCCGGAATCCTGCCACCCTCCCAGGTGCCACGGCCTCCCTGGTTGTTCCTCTGCCCAGGGTAGAGCCCAAGGGAACAGGTCACAGGCGCCCTTCCCTGGGAAGCACCAGTCCACTCCCGGCCTTCTCGACAACTCTTCCACTCTGCCAAGGGGGAAAAATCTTTCCTGGCCTGGGGGTTCAGGGTGGAGGGTAGAAAGCTGTGTTCTTTCTCCAGGGTAGTTCTCCCAGGTGCCGCATACACGAGGTTTCTTCCATCACCCCAAGACTGAGGCATTGGAAAAGCGAAGGCCAGTGTCTGAATCTTTGCCCTTCCCTACTTTCTGCTGATCATCCTTCCCTAAGTGACCTAGAAAGCTGACAACATGGGGAAGGGGAATCTGGCTATTATTTCAAATATTACCCACCCTCTCCCATACTAGCAGCCCTGGGTCTCTCGTGCCTCCTGTCTAATCAAATCCCAGAAAATGACTGAGCCTCCACCTGACTCAGTATTCATGTCTGCCCAGGTATTCTAACCTTGTGTCCTGCTGTACAAAGTTCAACAGGAATTACTTCCAGGTTTGAGTGTGGTCTGGGGTTGTCTTCACACCATGGCCTTCTACTAACTTGCCAGGTAAAGACTTGACTGTTTGGGATCTGCTGCCTCCCCGCCCCCCACCCCCACCAGCCAAGATCCCTGTGTCAAAATCCAGTGTGATCTCAGTGGAAAAAGCGTATCTAGGACCCAAGATCTGGTACTTGTCACCCCATGACCCACTCCGACTCGTCCTGTCACACTGAGCAAATTGTTCAAAACTCTGTGGCTTGGTGTTGTTGCAAAGTATCAATGACATTTGCTTCCTCCCTTCCTGACAGTTACGTGGGGAGAGCCAGTGAAACACTGTACTACCGTCACTAGCAAACAACAGCTTATTGGACTTGAGACACTTTCACATCTATTATCGCATCTATCCAAATACTTGGCTTCAGAAAAAATAATCCTCATGGGGTATACAAATATAAAGGAGGAGAAATTGCTCTTTAATACACCAAAAAATACCGAGTTCCTTTATCTTCCGGAATTCCGTTCCCTAGCACAGTATTTCCATTTTGATGGGTTTTTCTGCTATTCACTCCTCAAGCATGTCTTTATTTCATTCACAAAGGGAAAACTCACATGGTGGAGCAGCAGTGCGTTCAGCTCTGTGTGGTCCAGCAATTGGAAAGGGATCTCTTGGAAGGAGCAAGGAAGCTACCGCAGTGATCTTGGTGAAGTAGCCAGGTTTGCTGAAATCAATAGGAGGTTTGCAGCCAAACGACTCTCTGGTCTTGGCCGGGCGTGGTGGCTCACACCTGTAATCCCAGCACTTTGGGAGGCCGAGGTAGGCAGATCATGAGGTCAAGAGCTCAAGACCATCCTGGCCAACATGGTGAAACCTCGTCTCTACTAAAAATACAAAAAATTAGCTGGGTGTGGTGGCACGTGCCTGTCGTCCCAGCTACTCGGGAGGCTGAGGCAGGAGAATTGCTTGAACCTGGGAGGTGAAGGTTTCAGTGAGCCGAGATTGCACCACTGCACTCCAGCCTGGTGACACAGCAAGACTCTGTCTAAAACAATAATAATAAAAAAAGAACTCTCTGGTCTTAAGTCCCGTAAAAGACTTGACTCTCAGACTGGGCATCCCATCAGCTTCTCCCTCTTCCCTCCAGCCTCACACATCTTGTTTCTTACCCATACTTCTCCTTTATTCCACAGCAACACCAAAAAGTCCAAAGCTCCCCAACCAGTTAAGACTATTTAGATCTTTTTTTTTTTTTTTGAGATGGGGTCTTGCTATGTTGCCCAGGCTGGCCTTGAACTCCTGGGCCCAAGTGATCCTCCTGCCTCAGCCTTCTGAGTAGCCAGGAATATGGGCATGGCGGCTTCAATCTTTTTGATTCAAGAGGCAATTATTAAGTTCAAGATGGGGTTTATCTAAATGACCACATTACTTAAATAAGAAAATACTGCAACAAAAGCCCATTTGATAAAGCAAATGCTTTCAGAGCAACACACTTTTAATCTTCCAGAGTCATCTCCCACCCATCCACACCTCTTTTCTTATTTTTCCTAATTTCTTTTCTTTTTTTTTGAGACGTAGTCTCACTGTGTCACCCAGGCTGCAGAACAGTGGCATGGTCTCGGCTCACTGCAAACTCTGCCTCCCTGGTTCAAGTGATCCTCCTGTCTCAGCCTCCCAGGCAGCTGGGATTACAGGCATGCGCCACCACGCCCAGCTAATTTTTGTATTTTCAGTAGAGACAGGGTTTTGCCATGTTGGCCAGGCTGGTCTCAAACTCCTGACATCGGGTGATCTGCCCGCCTCAGCCTCCCGAAGTGCTGGGATTACAGGTGTGAGCCACCGTGCCCCTTTTCCTAATTTCATTTTCACATGCACTCCCATCCTTTCAACAAACCTATGTTGAGGGTCTCTTCCATGGAACACCAAATCTAGAGACCCATAGTGGGCAGAACAGACCCTTGCCCTCCAAATGTGCTTTATCACCCTCAGCATTCTCTTTCCTCTTCCAGCCCCTTCTTACCATCTTTCCAAACTCATCCTTGCACTTGTCATCAGCCTTTGTCATCAGCTGATGAGGCCATCAGCTGCTTGTTTTCATCTGGGGGAACCACCAGGGCTCAAACCACAGCCAGAGAAGACACATGCCTCCTGAACCCACCCTCCATGCTCTTAATTTCCTTCCCAGCCCCCTGTTTATCATGGATGGTCTCCATTTTAAACAGAAAATCACTTCTTGTCACCTGTCCTGTCAAAAGTCTTCTGTTAATCCAGTCTGACCTGGTAGCCCCATTGCCCAGCTGTCTGTTTCCAACCTTCAGCTATTTTTCTGGAGGTGACTTAGCAAGCTGCACTCACTCTTCTCCCCTGAGAGTTCCCCGGGCCCATGGCTGCCTGGGGAGACATGTGCAAGTATTACCACCGCTCAAGATGCATTTCTCATGATGAGGCAGAAGTGAAACAAAGCAAGCCTGTACCTCATTTTCATTCACCACCGAGGAATTGCAAATGTTGTGAAAGTGAAACACATTTGCATTCTTCCAATCACCTAATTTATCTGGATTTCCACCTTCATTTGTTAAATAAAGGATTCAGTGAAGCAAAATCAACAAGGCTTTGGGAACTCTTATAAAAACAAATAAAATAAATATTGTGATTCTACAATATGTTTTGACATATTTTGTATTATCTCTTTATGATTCTGGCTGGGGGCAGGAGGGGAAGGATTGACAATTGCTGTAAATCAGGCTTTTCCTGAATGCAATAGCTGTATTTCAGGGACTTCACGCTTATAGAATTTTAGAGCCAGAAACAATTTGTATGAGTTATCTATTGCTGTGTAACAAAGGACCTCAAATCAGCAAATATTTATTATCTCACAGCTTCTGAGGGTCTGGAATCCAAGAGTGGCTTAGCTGGGTTGCTTGGGCTCCGATTCTCACATGGAGCTGCAGTCAAGCTGGGCCACAGCTGCAGTTGTCTCAGGGATTGGCTGGGGCTGGTGAATCCACTTCCAGGCTCACTTGCATGGTTGCTGGCAGCTCTTGGTTCCTCACAGGCTGTGGGCCAGAGGCTTCAGTTACTCACTGGCTACATCTCCAAAGGGTGCCAATGACATGGCATCTAACTTCTCCCAGAGTGAGGGATCCAAAGCAGAGAGAGAATGACCAAGAAGGAAGCCATAGTACCTTTTTTTTTTTTGAGAGGGAATCTCACTCTGTCACCCAGGCTGGAGTACAGTGCCACAATCTCGGCTCACTGCAACCTTCGCCTCCTGGGTTCAAGTGATTCTCCTGCCTCAGCCTCCTGAGTAGCTGTGATTACAGGCATGCACCACCACGCCCAGCTGATTTTTGTATTTTTAGCAGAGACGGGATTTCACCATGTTGGTCAGGCTGGTCTCAAACTCTTGATCTGCCCACCTCGGCCCCCAAAAGTGCTGAGATTACAGGCATAAGCCACTGCGCCTGGCCCATAGTACCTTTTATAATCCACTATCAGAAGTGACATACCAACCACCCTAGGTACAATGACGAAGTAACGGCAGGAGATGGGGATCACTGGGCACTGTCTTGGAGGCTGGCTACCCCAGAATCTTAGAAATAGTGGCATCTTGTTCCCTTAATGACAGCTAAGGAAGCTAAGGTCCGAGAGTTATAACCTCTGAGTGAGTTGGCCAACATCACACCAGAAGTTAATCACCAAACCAGAACTTGAACCCAGACTTTCTATATTTTAAAACATTGCAATTTAGCAGCCACATATTTTACTCATTCAGTGCTTACCAAAAGCAAGAACTGGACTAGGCAGCATGGAGATTCCAGGATAAAGAATACAATCATGGTCCCTAACCACAAGGTCACAGGAGTGGTGTGGAGTGGGATATACCGAATGAGATTACCCAGTAGAATGGAGCACACTTCATCAGAAAGTTACAACTGAACACCCTTGACAGTTCAAAGGCAGGCCTGATTTCCACCGCCACCCTCAGGGCAGGCTTTGCGGAGGAGGTAACATCTGAGTTGGGCCTTGAAGTATAGATGGATTTAGGCAGATGGGGATGAATGGGGTGGGGCTAGGCTGAGAGTCCACGATTTAACCCCGATGTCTCCAAATCTAACTCTGTGAGCTTCAACTATGGCAGTATTAATCAAAGGCTCCAGCTCTGAGTTACCCTTTTGGCTGCTGATGACTAAACTTCGGGGCTATCTGGAAGGAGGGCCTTGGTAGCTTTTGTAAGAACTTCAGTTGCCTTGGCTGCCACTGACATTTTTATTGATGATGCTGACACTTTGTGATCGAGAAATTGAAACCAGCTTCCTGACCATAGCTATCGACGTCATCCAGACAATCCCCCAATACAGTGCAAAAACAATTTCAAGTAGTTTGTGAGTCCATAAATTATCCTTGCCTGCTGATTTAGCCGCTTGCGAGTTGATGTAGGAAATTTACTATTGAGGAGGTGGTAAGAGGTTAGAAAGGGTGGGCTTGAGTTGAGGGCAGCATTTCCCCAACCACAGGCCAGGAGTCTTCAGGAAGGTGGGAGTGGAGGGGTGGCCAGCGGAGGCCCATTACAGAAATGTGTTCAATCAGACTCATTGTCCACCACATTTAGAAAGCCCACAGGTGGGCCGGGTATGGCGGCTCATGCCTATAATCTCGTACTTTGGGAGGCTGAGGTGGGCGGATCACCTGAGGTCAGGAGTTCTGGACCAGCCTGGCCAACTTGGTGAAACCCCGTCTCTACTAATCACACAAAAATGAGCCGGGTGTGGTGGCAGGCGCCTGTAATCCCAGATTCTCAGGAGGCTGAGGCAAGATAATTGCTTGAACCTGGTAGGTGGAGGCTGCAGTGAGCCAAGATCACGCCACTGCACTCCAGGCTGGGCTGGGCGACAGGGTGAGATCCGTCTCAAAAAAAATAAAGAAAAGAAAACCCACAGGTGTTGATGAATGCCAGGCCCATGTAATTGACTAACGTGTAGACGGCATCATTTGAATGAAGGGTTTTGAAATTATAAAGCAAGATCCATTAATGAGTCATGATATTAAATTTGTGGCACCAATCCAGCACTAAAAAGGAGATTAAAACATTGGAGGGATAAGTAATGCTTTGTAGAATTTTTGTTTCAGTTGCTTGCATGTGTGTGCAATGAAAAATGTATTTCCTTTTGATGTGGTCACTGACAAAACAGTTTGTGTTTTATCTACTTTATTTTTTTTTAAATATTTTATTTTTGGAAACAGGGTCTTGCTTGTCACCCAGGCTGGAGTGCAGTGGTGATCACAGCTCCCTGCATCTTCAAACTCCTGGGCTCAAGCGATCCTCCTGCCTCAGCCTTCTGAGTAGCTGGGACTACAGGCACACCACCACGCCTAGCCAAGTTTTTTATGTTTAGTAAGAGATGAGGCCTCACTATGTTGCCCAGGCTGGTCTTGAACTCCTGGCCTCAAGTGATCCTCCTGCCTCAGCCTCCCAAAGTACTTCAAAGTACTTTAGAAACATAAAACTAACATTTCAAATGATACTGTAGATAGCACTTCTTGGGATAAATGTCTCTTTTTTTTTTCCTTCGAGATAGAGTCTTGCTCTGTCACCCAGTCTGGAGTGAAGTGGTGCCATCTCGGCTCACTGCAACCTCCGTCTCCTGGGTTCAAGCAATTCTCCTATCTTAGCCTCCCAAGTAGCTGGGATTACAGGTGCATGCCACCATGCCTGGCTAATTTCTATATTTAGTAGAGATGGCATTTCACCATGTTGGCCAGGCTGGTCTTGAACTCTGGACCTCAGGTGATCCACCTGCCTTGGCCTCACAAAGAGCTGAGATTACAGCCGTGAGCCACCCCGCCTGGCCGAGATAAACGTCTCTTTAAAAAAATCAACTTTATTGTAGCATATGTAACTAAAATTTACTATTTTTTTTTTGAGATGGAGTCTTGCTCTGTCACCCAGGCTGGAGTGCAGTGGCACGATCTTGGCTCACTGCAAGCTCCGCCTCCCGGGTTCACACCATTGTCCTGCCTCAGCCTCCCAAGTAGCTGGGACTACAGGCGCCCGCCACCATGCCCGGCTAATTTTTTGTATTTTTAGTAGAGACAGGGTTTCCCCGTGTTAGCCAGGATGGTCTCGATCTCCTGACCTCGTGATTCGCCTGCCTTGGCCTCCCAAAGTGTTGGGATTATAGGCGTGAGCCACCGCGCCCGGCCAAAATTTACTAATTTTTAGTGTGCAGCTTAAGGAACTAGAATGTATAGTTGTGTTACCACCACGCAAGTCAAGATGTGGAAGAGTTCTGTTTTACCAAGAAGGTTCCTGTTCCCCTTCTCAGTCAGTCCCCTTCCATCACCTAGCCTGTCATGTACAAGGGGGGCCAACGAATCTAGGGCAGAAGCAGAAGGAGGGGTGAGTTGATCAATATGTATTGAGGATCCACAGCACGTAGGGCTTTGTAGGTCAGATGTCCAGGGCTTTGGGTTTACTCTAAAAGAAATGGGGAGGCACGGGAGGGTTTTGAGCGAAGGACTGATCCGATTTAGGTTTTGAAAAGACTATGGAGAAACTACTTTACATATACACAAGGGGTGAACAAATAAAAAACTATACTACAGGTAATGAGAGCCAGGCTTCTCACTGCTGGAGAAAGAAGTTACAAATGAGAAATAAGGGAAGGAAGGCTAGAACAATCCTTGTGGATGGGAGTTGGAGGCATCAGTATGAACTTGTGTGTGGACAGCCAGCTAGATACATAGAGAAATAAATATAGACATGCCTGTAGACACGGATTACATGTGTGTGCATGTGTGTATGTGTGTGTATGTATGTGTGTTGCTATCTTAACAATAGTAAATCTTCTAATCCATGAACACAGGCTGTCTTTCCATCAGTTTAGGTCTCTTTAAAAATGTATCTTAAGAATGTTTGGTCATTTTCAGGGTGCAAGTCTTGAATTTCTTTTGTTAAATTTATTCCTAAGTAATTTTTTTATATTATGAATGAAACTTCTTTTTTTGTTTGTTTTTTGTTTTTTGAGATGGAGTCTTGCTCTGTCGCCCAGGCTGGAGTGCAGTGGCACCATCTCAGCTCACTGCAAGCTCCGTCTCCCGGGTTCAGGTGATTCTTCTGCCTCAGCCTCCCTAGTAGCTGGGATTATAGGCGCCTGCCACCACGCCCAGCTAATTTTTGGCTATTTTTTTTTTTTTTTTGTATTTTTAGTGGAGATGAGGTTTCACCAGGTTGGCCAGTCTAGTCTCAAACTCCTGACCTCAAATGATCTGCCCACCTCAGGCTCCCAAAGTGCTGGGATTACAGGCATGAGGCACTACACCCAGCCATGGATGGAACTTCTAAATTAAAGTTCCATTTACACAAAAATAAAAACAGTAAATGAATATTAACTGAATTTTTGGATTGTTTATTGCTAATGGGTAGAGGAGTATTGAGAGTTCCCGGTATGCTGTCGAGGTGTGGCTGCTGAGACCTTCACACTTAACGAACTGGGACAAGATACAGCAGAAGCGGAGGCAGGTGAAAGGGTAAAATCCCACGGGCTCTTGAGAGGTTTGGAGGAAACTGTAATAGAAGGACCGTAAAATCAAGTGACTTTTGCTAAGTGCCACTAACTCATTAAGAGAGAAAATGTCAGTCTCAGATCTGTTGCTCAGTGATTTACAGCCAATTGTGAGAGTCACAGGGCCTACTTGGCTGCCTTTAAAGAGACCCTCACCCCCTGCAGGCAGAAGGCAAAGAGAATGGAAGAGCAGGCACAGCTTCTAATTGTAAGAGAGGCTGAGTTCTCATTCTAGGCAAGTCTCTAATGTCAAAGCCAGGGCTCTGAAGGGAAAGGAGTGGGACTGTGAGACTTGGGATGGGGGTATTTGGGGACTGCAGGTAAGAACCAAGGATCTCCAGATTCCCCTGCAGAAGTGACCCACTCCCCCTTTCAGGAATATAGGCCCCTGCCCCCAACCACCAACTTCTGCCAGAAGACTACGCAGAGGCCACAAATGTTAGGCAGGGGCTTTACAAGGCAATGCCTTCCCTTCATGGTCCACCAGCACCTCTCTCCTGGCCACCAGATCTGTATCTAACGTCAAACCTCAGCAAGCCCAGCTGGGAAGTACTGGGCCAGCTCAGGAAGGAGGGGAATTATACAGCAAAGGTGCTACACAACCTGATTCATGCATGTCAGCAGGGACTGGAGCGGAAAGCCTGGGAATGGGAGGATAGGTGGTCTGTAAGGTGCTGGGTCAAGGTGGGCTTGTGGGTCAAGGCTATATGGCTGGAGTATGAGAGAGTTGTTGGTGTGCGGGCAGTGTCCTGCGACAAGGATTCACTCCCTGGCAAGGGCCTTGGGCAGCTGCTAGTGTGCTGCTGGGGTAGCCCTGGGAAGCCTGGGAAAGGGATAGTACACATTAAATGAATGAAGTAGAGATGCCAGGACACACAATGCAGGAGGGAAGGAACAAATATCAGAGAAGTGGGCGTAAGACCAGAAAACCCACCAGGCTAGCTACGTTCCTTGGGCGGCCTGGAGGATCCTCCATCTATCACAGTGATAAGGAAGCAGCTGGTGAGGGGCACCACCCCACTGAGAAGCTGAGTGGTACCTGTCCTCTGGAGGGGAGGGACTGACAGAAGAGACGCTGTTACAGAGCTGGCCTCTCTGGTGGGCATGAGAAGACGCAGCAGTGGCTCTCAAACTAGCATGCATTCAAATCAACTGGAGGCTTGTCAAAACACACAAGGTTTCATCCGCAGGTCTGGGCCGGGGCTAGAGAGTGTACATTTCTAAAACGTTCCCAGGTGATGCTGCTGTTGCTCATCCAGATACTAGACTTTGAGAGCCACTGGCTACAGGCCTAGCAGAGGGCGGATGGCAGCCCATAAGTCTCATAAAAAAGGTGAGTATAATTACTGTTATGAGCTGCAAAGTTGGAATGGCCATGGGGGTGGGGAGTGAACTAAGGGTTCTACAGACTCAGGGATCTGAGGGATCTGTGAATCATAGAACACGGTGTTCCTAGGGGAAAGATAAATGGGCTGCCGGCAGAAACATCCCCAAGTATATATATAATCAAAAACACTTCTAAGCCAAGTTATGATCCAGTTTTCTGACCCTGAGCCACCAGAACACACTGGCTGAAAGGACCCGACAACCTCTATGGCAAGTGAGAGCCTTGGTCCTTCCCCAGAGCGACTGCAGCCAGTTAGGACGCGAGCACTCATTTCTTTTCAGGATGGTTGGTTCCTACTGTGGCGTCCAAATTGATGCGGATACCCAGGGACCCATAGCACCACCATGGCCCCCGTGTTAGAGTAGGGATCTATGGGGGTCATGTCATCCACAGAGCCCTGCCCAAGACACAGCGGGGTCAGAACAGCAGTCTGGGCTGCAGCGACACATCCGAGGATCACTGGCATGTTACTGTATTTAAAGCCATGAGATTGGATTGGAGCAGCAGCAGGTAGATAGAGAAGAGGTGAGTGGCTAAACGACTGGTGGGTGGCAATTAGGGAGAAGCAGGCACTTGTGACAGCGTTGGGGGAAGAGAGGAACTTCCCCAAGCTCTCTGGCCTCCCCAGGCCCCGGGTCTATGAGGAAGACGGCTGTGTCTTTCTCCTTTCTGTGTTCCCAGGGCCCAGCCCAGCACCAGGCACACAGAGGGGACTCAAAAACTAGCTTTCGAGTTACCCTATCATGAACACCACCAACAAACTCCACAGAAAATGTGCTTCTAAGGGCAGGGAGAGCAAATATGCTGTTCTTTGACGGCAAATTATTCTTTTTTTAGTTCTTCAGTGGAAGTGAGAAGTCTTGTCCCTGTTGGGAAGATTAAACAGGGGATGTTTCTTTGTCACTTGGGGCTCTTCCCAAGTTCATTTGTAATGATTATGACATGACTTTCCAAATTAAGAGAGGGAAGTTGTGCAGCTTAGATTACTGCATTTTTTTTATGTGACAAATGCTATTTTTGTACCTTTTGAAAAGGCAGCCTATACCCCAACAAACACCTGCTGTGCTCCTATGAAACAGTGACAAATGATCTACCCACCCAAAATAGCCAGAAGAGCTGTGACAGAGTGGGGACACTGTGGGCTCTGAGCAAGAGTGGCTGGATTCGGATTTTGGAGTGAGACGGAGCATGAAGACGCTGTGTCCTGAGGCCTTTACATTCTCATCTTACTTATCCCTTGTAGCGATCCTATGAGGGAGGGGTTATCCTTACTTTACAGATGAGGAAACTGAGTCTGGGAGGCTCAAGGACCAGCTCGTCCCTGTCCTCCTGCTCCCTAGACCCAGCTGGTCTCAGACCCTGCGGAGCTGCCATCATCTGCATCTGTGCCCTGACTCTTCAGCCTCTCTCCCTGGCCTTCTGGAGACAGACCTCTGACCGGTGGGCTCCATGTGATTCTGGGCTCCAGGACCTCTCCCATGAAGATGACCAGCACTTGCTGAGTGCGGTGTGCCAAGTCTTGTGCAACACGTCTCACACAGCGTAACGGGCAGTGTGGCAAAGTGGGTAAGGTAAGGGTTCAAATCCTGGTTCTGCCACTTTTTACTTGCACGGGCTCGGGCAAGCTGACCACCCTGTGGCTCAGCCTCCACATCATTCACCTCGAGCTGATGGTACCCGCTGCACGGGCTGCTGTACTGCTTGTGAGTTCATCCACATGAAGAGCTCAGAACAGTGCCTGGCGTGGCAAGACTATACAAGGACTAACTCTGATGGTGGGAGCCAGGAGGTTTCCTTGTGGTCCTTGCCTGGCAGCATCTTCCTCACCTGGGAATGGACTAATGCTTAGCCCACTCCAGGCTACTGACTCTGAAACTCTGTGTGTGGGGCCCAGGGATCTGCATTTTAACAAGCTCTCCATTGAGGCCAATGGACGTGAAAGCTTAGTCTTTCTAACACCTCTATAAGAAGGTCTATTTTGTTCTCATTATTACTATTATATGGATAAGGAGGTGGGCTCAGAGGGGTTGTCATGCCTAAGCTTATGCTGGTACTAAGTGCCAGGATGCAAAGTGGGTCAGTCCACTCCACACCACTGTGCCTGGCCCAGCCCTTCCCGCCAGCTCGACGCACTTCCCTTTCCCACTGGCTTCATTTCCTACCTGGCCAAGCCTGTCGGGGGCAAGCATGCCTCTCGGTCCACAAACTTAGGGAGGCAGGGAATAAGCACAGGGTGATGAAAACTCAATCCCCATCCATTCAAGGGGTTAGAGACCTGATCCCCTTCCCTAGATTGCACCAGAACTGTTGAGGACTTACACAGTGCTAAGGCACCAGGGTGGGGGGCCCACCTGGTCCTCATGCCACCCATCAGTGCTGGCATCCACTAGCCTTCCAAGAGAGCCCTAGATCTTCATCCCTACAGGCAGAGGCTGGGACAGTGGACCACTTTGGATAGTTAACCAGCTTGTTCACTGCACAAACATATCCGGATGGGGTGATCAGTGGGACTGAAATCCCACCTGTGCTGTCCTTGCTGAGCTATGGAAGTGGGTGCAGGACAGCCTCCACCCTGAGGCAGGGCATCTCTTCCTTAGCACCAAGGAACCATCCACGGACCAGGTCATGCACCCAGTGGGCTCATCCATCTTCCCACAAAGGGTGCCTTTTCCCAATTTGCACAAAGGAACCTTAGAGACGGATGTGGCCCTGCTGGTGTGGCCCCATGCTGGTGGAGTGGCTCCCACAGGTCTGCGGTCCTCTGCCACTTCCAGGTGGTGCTCAGGCCCCTGGCCTCACTCAGGCTGGGGGAGATGGGGTGCAGGGCGAGGGCATGGAGGAAGGCTATCCTGGGCCATGCTGTGGCCCTTCCGCTCAGGCCCACAACTTCCCCAAGGCTACCTCTGGGAAGTAGGGCACAAGGGGCCCGTGGGATCGTTGCTTGGATCCCACAACATAACTGGGGTTTTGCTGTCTCCTGGGGCTCTGCCCAGGAAGGGGTGCAAATCTCCCTTCACTATGACCCAGGGCTGTGCTTCCATTCCACTCCATCACCCCTCCTTCAATATTTTCTTGCCTCTGCGGAAACCCAACGCTACTCAGCCTTCCTTCAGGATTTTCTCCCCAACTTTTTTCCAGCTAGAAGTCTTCCCCGAGTTCCTAAAATCTTGGATTTTGGAGACCAGTCAGGCCTTTTCTTTTCGTCTAGGGCATAGGCTTCCCTTCAGGCAGTGAGCAGAAGGAATGAGCTGGGGTAGGGGGAGAGGGAAGAGCAGATCTATTAATCGCCCCACCCCACAATAACTGCACATGCCTGGGAGCCCCGTGGAGCGCAGGCCACACCGTGCCAGGTCCTCCGAGTCGGGAAAGACTCGCTATTCCCGCTTCCCCAGCCCGGAGCAGGGGCTAATGGAAAAGGCTGCAGCCCCCGGCGCGCGCAGCCTCCTGCTTCTTGGACTTTGGTGAAATTGTGGCTGCGGGCCCGCGCTGCTTCCGATCCACGGCGCCGCTCAAGCGAAGGCTCAGG
This sequence comes from Homo sapiens, assembly GCF_000001405.40. Taxonomy (NCBI): domain Eukaryota; kingdom Metazoa; phylum Chordata; class Mammalia; order Primates; family Hominidae; genus Homo; species Homo sapiens. The sequence goes on from NC_000015.10 coordinate 99,100,593, forward strand.
GGGTCCCCCGCCCGAGGCGGCCCCAGAGCCGCCCCTCTGGTCTCCATCCCGGAGCAGCGCCCTTCCACCCTCCTTGGGCGGCGCTGCCCCAGCGGCCGGGTGTTTTCACCGCCGACCGCGAGCTTCCTACCGTTCATCCATCCGCCGCAGGAAGGGGGCGCACGCGTCACTCGCTTCTCTCCAATCCGGCTACATCCCGGAGTTCGGTTTTCACTGGAAACGACACCACCGGGGGTTGATGGTCCCTAAGGTGTTCAGCCTGCGAAAGAGGGCTGTGGTTAAAAAGATAAAAATACACTAGTGCCTTACCGGGTCCTGAGCAATTTGTTTTGTATTAGGTCAATTCTAGAAAAAAAAATTTACAGGTCATTTTTTTTCATTCAAAGTAAAAACTGTTTTACTGAATCCCATGATCTATCTATCCAGATATCACCTGTGTAATCTAAGCTGGAAGACTATATATATATATTCTATTGAATAGAAAAATGTCAATAAGAAGTGAAGATTGCAGGACTTTTATTTTTGCCATTAAGCTATTAATAGAAATGCATAGTTGTTAATATGTTAGCAATGTGGCTTTCAAATTTTTATTGCAAAAAATAATAAAGTATACACTGCTCCTTATCATAAATTCCAAATAGCAAATTGATTCTGGCAGAATGGTTTTATCGATTTTTGCAGAACTCTGGTGTTCCTAGTGCATTTATGATTACAGTTGACAAATGAATGCAGCACCATGAATATTGATTGATATTTTTGTTTACCTTAGCAAGAAAGACAAAGGTGAAATAACTGAGAAATTTCATTTATTCTTCATCATGATGTAACTTCTTTTTAAATTTTTTTTGTATTTTTAAATTTTGTTAAGACAGGATCTCACTCTGCTACCCAGGCTGGAGTGCAACGGCTCAATCATGGCTCACCAAAACCTCGATCTCCTGGGCTCAAGGAATCCTCTCACTTCAGCCTCCCAAGTAGCTGGGATTACAGGTGCATGCCACCATGCCCAGTTAATTTTTGTATTTTTTGTAGAGAGGGGGTTTTGCCATGTCCAGGCTGGTCTCGAACTCCTGAGCTCAAGTGCTCTGCATGCCTTGGCCTCCCAAAGTCTTGGTATTACGAGTGTAAGCCACCACGCCCAGCTATGAAGCAACTTCTTTCCTGATCTGGATACAAGTTTCGAGACACCGGACAAACATTTCCTCACGTTTTTGTGCTGTTCACAATTCAATAGCTAGACACACAACATACCACTAAATTTAATCTGCACTATTAACATACTCTCCACTGCTTTTAAAGGCTAGACAATCAACAAAACATCAAATCCACAAAAACAAGTCATTGGCTGATTTCTGTGTTGTAAATACTCAAGCTACCAACATGATGTCAGTGAATATGGAGTAGGGTAGTACACATTAAATGGCATTTCTATGGTGCAGGCACACTGCTCATTCATAACTTCAAGAGCAGATCATAGGAAAATGCAGTGAAATACTGAGGAAGTGATACGTTTTGAATATGTGTTTGCTCTTTTTGTATAATTAGTTGTAAGCTTCTATAATTAATTTTTAATAATGGCTGTGTTTAACAAGTGGTTCATAAAATTCTAAAAATTTAACAGTTGGCACTCACAAACCTGTGGGAGCCAACCGCAGTGCACCACTGCCAGGCTCCTGTGACTTCTGGCTTCCACAGCGGGAAGTATTGGCAAGAGAAGGGAGGCTTGGATGAAGGAAGAACTGGGTTTTCCTCCTCTTGCTCCCTCCTGGGATCCATTCTGCTCCTCTTTTCCAGCGCTCTGGGCTTCTCCAGGCTCAGCCAACACCCTAAGGCGCTAACGGCTTCTTAGCTTCTTGCTCTTGCTGGTCCCTGGTGCTTCCTCATCCCATCCATCCCCATCCCATCAATCATTCCCTTCCCTCTGAGTTTGCCTCTGCTTCCTGGCCAGACCCTGCCTGCTCAAGTCTGCTCTTGTGGTCACAACTCTAATACTTCTAGTCACTTCACCCCTCCGAGCTTCAGTGTTGTGAGGATTCAGTATGAAGCAGCAGGATATTATCCTGAAAGAGTAGCTGGGGGTACTTCCCCCCTCCCACCTCCCGGCCCTGCTAGTTCCTGATCCCCTATAACTCTTTCCCTACCGGGGCAGCTGCATGCTGGAGCAGTCAATTCCTCAGGGACAGGATTTACAGCAGAAATGGGGGAAAGGGTTTTGAGTTTCAAAGTCCAAGACCCTGAAGGGCACTGGGCAAAGAAAGACTAATGAGTCACTGCAAAGTGTCCTGCTGGGACTCACTGGTCCCTGAGAAGGCTCTCCCACCCTGCAGGGCTGCCCCCTGCCCAGCCAGGGGATGTGGGACAGCAGAACCCGTTAGCGTGGGGAGTCAAAGAGCTGAGAACAAACAGCTGCAGCGGAGTCCAGGCAACTGTGAGAGCCGCCCCCCCGCACCCCAATGTCCCAGAGGGGCCCAGGACCGGCAGGGTCTCCACATAGGTTTGGGCGATGACACCACAGCAGCTCTGGTGTTTGACAAGCAAAGGCCAGGTGTCAGTGTGCACCTGGGGGAATGGGAGGATGGACAATGATGGGGTGATGGGGGTCCAAATCCCCCTGTCCCACACCAAGGTGAATGAACCCAAGCACTGAATAAACCCACTTTCCACCCCCACTTAGTTTTAGCAGAAAAGGACAGGGAATTATTCATTGAAAGATATTAATTTCTACCACCTACAGAATGGGATCTCCAACATAGGGTCTCTAGAAAAAGGAAGGGCCACTTTCTGCCTTGCTTGTGATTGGAGGCTCATGGCTGTGACAAGGAGAGCACTAGAAGCTTTGTCAGAGGCCCTGGACCAGCTTGCTGAGTAGTCCACCTTTCCATGCCATCTGTAAAATACACTAACTGCTGGCCCTGCCATGAGGAGCCCTCTGGCCAGTGGATGACCGTCCAGGTCTCGCCCTGGGCACTTGTGTTGCCACAAGTTCAAGGGCACCCCAACCAAGGGTCAGCTGGTTTGTCCCTGTGAGCCTTAATGACACTTATACTGAGAACTGTCATTCATAAATAACTGCCATGAAAACTAATGAAATGCAAGTGTACAAAAAAGAGCTGTGGTTTCCATGGCAATTAAACTGAATACTTTCTTAGGGAAATGCTGGAAAGAAACAGCTGTCACATTAGGGGTGTGTGTGTGAGATTTGTAAAAGTTCGGGGAGATGTTAGATGTCTAGAAAGTTCTGTACTTGGAGCACTTTATGGTCTCTAAGTTTTCACTCCAAATGAAAGAAATTCGTTTTGGAAAATGTAATGTACTATGAGGGTAGCTTGTATAAGAAGGGCAACTGGGACTCCTGTCAACTGACATCAAGAGAAGTATTTTGCACATTAAAATACTGGTAAATGGATATATATTTATGTTTTAAGTTAAAAAGATTATTTAGGCTGGGCACGGTAGCTCACGCCAGTAATCCCAGGACTTTGGGAGGCCGAGGTGGGCGGATCACCTGAGGTCGTGAGTTCGAGACCAGCCTGACCAACATGGAGAAACCCCGTCTCTACCAAAAATACAAAAAAAAAAAAAAAAAAAAAAAAAAAAAATTAGCCAGGCGTGGTGGCGCTGGCCTGTAATCCCGGTTACTCGGGAGGCTGAGGCAGGAGAATCGCTTGAACCCGGGAGGCGGAGGCTGTGGTGAGCCGAGATCGTGCCATTGCACTCCAGCCTGGGCAACAAGAGCGACACTCTGTCTCAAAAAAAAAAAAAAAAAAATTAATGCACATGTATGTGTAATGTATATATATGAGATGAGGCCTCTCTCTGTTGCCCAGGCTGGAGCGCAGTGCCACAATCAGGTTCACTGCAGCCCTGAACTCCTGGGTTCGAGTAATCCTCCCGCCTCAGCCTCCCAAGCAGCGCGTGTGACACCACCACGCCAGGCTCCATATATATATATATATATATATATTTTTTTTTTTTTTTTTTTTTTGGTAGAGACAGGGTCTCTCTATGTTGCTCAGGCTGGTCTCGAACTCCTGGGCTCAAGCGAGCCTCCCACCTCGGCTTCCCAAAATGCTGGGATTATAGGCCTGAGCCACCGCGCCCGGCCCATATCGTTTTTTTAAAAATAGAAAAGCCACCAATCTCCAGGGCCTCGGGTAAGAAGTCGCTCCAAAATCGCCAGCACCACAGCAACTCAATAGGCTTCTATTTCCATCCACCAAGGCCAGGACACTCGTATGCTCCCGGACGCCCTCTCCGGCGTCCCTTCGCTGAGCCCGGCCTGGCTAGCCCGCCACCCCGCCCGCTGTTACCCGACTGCCCGCACCGACCACCTGCGGCCGCCAAGGTGCGGCAGGGGGCGCTGTGCGGCCGCAGAGGCCGCGCCGGGCCGCGCTCTGATTGGCTGGAGGCCGCGGCCCTCGCCCAGGCCGCCCGCCCAGTCTGCCCGCCCCGTCCGCTAAGTGCCTGGGCTCTCCCGCTCGCGTCCCAGTCTGCGGGCCTCCGGGGCAGCGGCGAGGCCGGAGCGTCGCGGCGGAGAGGACGAGACCGGGACAAGACCAGGGCAGGAGGGAGCCGGCCAGCCGCGAGAACCCCGCACGCCCGGCAAGATGCTGTCCTGGCGGCTGCAGACGGGCCCCGAGAAGGCCGAGCTCCAGGAGCTCAACGCCCGGCTCTATGACTACGTGTGTCGGGTGCGGGAGCTGGAGCGCGAAAACCTACTCCTGGAGGAGGAGCTGCGCGGCCGGCGCGGGCGAGAGGGCCTGTGGGCCGAGGGGCAGGCCCGCTGCGCCGAGGAGGCGCGCAGCTTGCGGCAGCAGCTGGACGAGCTGAGCTGGGCCACTGCGCTGGCGGAGGGCGAGCGGGACGCTCTGCGGCGCGAGCTGCGGGAGCTGCAGCGCCTGGATGCGGAGGAGCGCGCCGCCCGCGGCCGCCTGGACGCCGAGCTGGGTGCGCAGCAGCGCGAGCTGCAGGAGGCGCTGGGCGCGCGCGCCGCCCTCGAGGCGCTGCTGGGCCGGCTGCAGGCCGAGCGCCGAGGCCTCGACGCGGCCCACGAACGCGACGTGAGGGAGCTGCGCGCGCGCGCCGCCAGCCTTACCATGCATTTCCGCGCCCGCGCCACCGGCCCCGCCGCGCCGCCGCCACGCCTGCGGGAGGTGCACGACAGCTACGCACTGCTGGTGGCCGAGTCGTGGCGGGAGACGGTGCAGCTGTACGAGGACGAGGTGCGCGAGCTGGAGGAGGCGCTGCGGCGCGGCCAGGAGAGCAGACTCCAGGCGGAGGAAGAGACGCGGCTGTGCGCGCAGGAGGCAGAGGCGCTGCGGCGCGAGGCGCTCGGGTTGGAGCAGCTGCGCGCGCGGCTGGAGGACGCGCTGCTGCGGATGCGCGAGGAGTACGGGATACAGGCCGAGGAGCGGCAGGTCCGTGCGCGGGGATGGCGCGCTGACCCCATACCCGCTGCCGTCGCCCCAGCACCCTGCCCTTGACGGCGTGGGGCAGCGGCCCCTTCACCAGGGGCGCGGCGTCGCGGACCGGTAGGGCCCGCCCAGAGGGTGCCCGAATGGCATGGGGACCCGGACTCGGTCCGCTGGTCCATCGACTCAGCGGGCGAGCGCGGGGCGGCAGGTCCTAGCGGATAGCCCCGTCCTCGTCATGGGGTTAGGTGGCAGCTGCTTTAACTCTTGACAAGCGTGACTGGGCGCATCCTGATAGGCCACCCTGTTAGCTCTAGGTTTTCCTTCCATTTTCCGTGCTCCGTAGACTCAGTAGACCCAGATCTAAGAGTCAACCGAGAAACCTCTCTCACTTGCAGAAGTGACGGCTTATGGTAGCCCCGCTGTCTATAGCGCTCCTCAGGGGAAAACTCAAATTAATTTCCAAAACGGTTTTTATTTTGCCAATATGATTTCCCAGTTGGAAGCCGCAGTTGTGGCTCTCTGGGCGGCTGCCTTGTTTGATCTTGGGAGGGGCAGCAACCCTCATGCAGAACAGAGCTTGATCGAAGATGTTTTGCTCACAGCACACGCTGACGTCAGATCTCTGCGTAGTGTAAAAGTTGTGGGAAAGTGGGGCCCTTTGGCAGGATGTTATTACAAGTGCAGAGTGATATAAACAGTTACTATTTCAGGGAAGCAAACCCTCTGACACCGGCGGGGTGACACCTGTGGCTGATGTAAACTATGCCCAGTCCAGCCCTAGCGTTTGGCCCTCGCCCTGCCCTGCCTCAGCCAGAATTGGAAATATTCCCAAATCACACTATCAGTAGTTCTCAAAAGGACAGATGGAAATAACATCTGCACAATTTCACAAATATTTTAAGAGTACAGTTTGCAGCTGTGAGTTAAAGATTTGAGACTGACTTTTAAAAATTAGAAGTGAGAGGAACATGGGGGTTGTCATATGGAATGACTGCGGTGATGTGACAGGTATCCACAGGTGATGAGTAAATACCTGTTGATTCTCCCTGGGTCCCCAGCACTGCCCTAGACTTTCAGTATGCAAAGAGCTACAGGCTAGATGGGAAATCATAGAATGCAATATGGTACTACATTGGGATTTAATCTTTTGAGTTGTGGGTTTTGTTTGGCTTCCGCCTCATAACTTTTCAAAGTGTTCTCTTGGGGCTTTGCCATAGCTAGAGCAGGGACAGGGACTGACCCAGTGTGTACCGATTTCCACTTGTGAGCACTTGTGTCCCTTTGCAATGACAGTGGCCAGGGGTCTGAGTTCCACAGGTCCTATACTCGTTGTTGAGTGAAAGTTAAAAAGTGCCTTAATGTGGCATTCATGGAGATTTGACCAGTGGTTATTTTGACTCTCCAAAAAGGAGTATCTGTCAAACCTACTGCCCAGGGAACCCCTTTGTAGGGAACCCTCGCTACCAACTCAGGGGTCTGTGCTGTGCAGGCAGGTTTAGAAAATGCTGCTTTGAGCCACGCTGTGTGGACCAAATCGTCACCATGCGTTCACAGCCACAGCTCACTTGGCACATTTCAGACCTTCAAATTCTGGTTCCAGTGTTCTTTCTTAGCGGCAAAGCCCTTTTCCCCACTAATGAAACCTTCAGTGGAACTCGTAATGTGAGCCATATGAAAGCAGAGTTCCCCTGACTGGAGGAGACATGGGGACTTGAAGTGCAGTTAGAATCCTGTGCAGCCCTCCTTTGACACAGGGACTCCAGGGCCCACCGGGGAAGTGCTTTTCCTGAGGTCATACCTGCCCTCAGAGTGAGGCTGGGACCCCACTCTCCGTTTGCCATCCAGTGATACTTCTCTCTTGTTGGAATTTGCTGCTTTTTCCTAAAAGCAAAGAGCGAGGAAAATGTCAATAAGGACCTGGTTTTTTTTTTTGTTTTTTGTTTTGTTTTTTTTTTGGTTTTGGTTTTGGTTTTGGTTTTGGTTTTTTGAGACGGAGTCTTGCTCTGTCGCCCAGGCTGGAGTGCAGTGGCTGATCTCGGCACACCGCAACATCCGCTTCCTGGGCTCAAGTGATTCTCGTGCCTCAGCCTCCCGAGTAGCTGGGAGTACAGGATCCCACCACCCCGCCTGGCTAATTTTTGTATTTTTAGTAGATACAGGGTTTCACCATGTTGGCCAGCCTGGTCTCAAACTCCTGACCTCAAGTGATCCACCGGCCGTGGCCTCCCACAGTGCTGAAATTACAGGTGTGAGCCATGTGCCCGGCCATTTTTTTTTTCCAGTTCCAATTTGCAGAGGTTTTACTGCACTAAGTGTTACCAGTCACTACCTTGTCCATATACTGAATCTTCCCTCAGTTAACTTAAGTCAACTCCATTTCAAATTGCATTCCAGAAGATTCAGCACCAATCACAGAGATGCTAGGAAGTATGTGAAAGAGGGAGTATGGATGATTTAACCCCAAGCCTGTAATTTTTTTCGGGTTCTGTAGAAGCTTACTATGGGGAGAGTGAAAAAATCCTAAAAATGGGTTGAATTAGTATATGGTAATAAATATCTTATTACTAAGAGCCTTTAGCAAGTGCTTCGTGTGTGCCAGGTACCACAGATGCCCTTCACAAATATTCACTCTCAGTGCCCACACCAGTGTTACGAAGTGGGTACTAATATAAGCTCCATTTTACAGAGGAGGAAGCTGAGGCACATAAGTCACCTGATTAGTAAGTAGTTAAGCCAGGATTCAACTCAGGCTCTAGTGCCTGAGCAACTGACCGCTGGGCGTCCGTTTCTCTCTTCTGTCTGTTTGATCAGAGAGAAACCTTTAACCAGTATTCTTGCATTCATAGCATAATGATAATTGCTCTTCCTAAGGGCTAGCCCGAGGTACTCTGCTGATTTCAAGTCCTAAAATGCTTTTAGACCCCTCCAGCTGGCTGAATAGTTTTGGCATTAAAACTATTTTCTTTCATTTCTTTTTTTCTGTGTTCCATGTGCTTTAATGCCCCCCTCCCCTGGAGGCAGGAGCTGGAGGCAGCAGAGGGTGCTGCCACATTGTGCCCAGCTCTCCCTGCCTCTGGCTATAGCTTCTGTGGCTCAAGGGGGAAGATGCTTGCTAGGATTCTACTTGAGGGGAAACTGGTCCTTCCCAGATGGCCCATGCGCCTTCACTGTATGAGGCGGTAGTCATTGGCCTGCCCCAGGCCTGGCCTCAGATTTGCCCGAGAAGAGTTTGCTGAACTGACATCCAAGTTCCCAAATGTGATCTAGATCACTTGAAGCCTGAGTGACACACCCAGGCTGCAGGAGGGGGCTTCAGAAAACACTTGAAGACATTTGCGATAAAGTGGAGACCAGCTTCACCCTGCAAACACGGAGATTTTTGCTTATGAAAGTGAGCCCTTAGCTGCTGAGGCTGACTGGAAAAGGCTTCCAAGCCCCCAAAACATGATTGAATGAAAGCTTTTTGTAGATGGGAAGGTGGGGTGGGATTAGGATGGGATTAGCTAAGGGTCAGTGCTCTGCAGCTGTCCTACCTGGCCCTGAATTCTGACTCTGCCGCTCTTTGGGCAGGTTACGTTCCTTAACCTGTCTGCAATTCAGTTTCCCCATTTGTGAAACGAGGTACTGGAAGTAGCTCCCAGGGTGTGTACAACTGGTTCATTCGTTCAGCTAACAGCCGTTGAGCATTTAGTGTGCCAAGCTCAGTTCTTCATGGTTGCAGATTCAGCAGTGAAAAATGCCACGTAAAACAAAGAAAGTCCCTTGACCTGAGAGGCCTTCAGGTGGAAACAGCGTGTGGTTTTTCGGGGATGCCTCAGCCAGGCTGCCGGTGTGGCTAGGGCACAGTGAACAGGGGGTAGAGTGGCCACTGCAGGACTTGGGCATTTACTTTGAGTGCCATGGGAAGCCACTGGAGGTTCTGAGCCGAGGAGAGTTGGGGCCTGGCTGTGGCTTAGTGGAATCACTGTTGCTGCTGTTTTAAAAATAGACTGAGTGGACTCAGGGATGCCTTCAGAGATTGTTGCAGTAACCCAGGCAGGAAGTGCTCGAGGCTTGGACCAGGGGTCTCAGAGGGGCCCCTGCGTTCAAGTTGAAGCCAACGGCATTTGCTGCCAGATTGAATGTGATGGGAGAGGGAGAAATCACAGTGGACTTCAGGCGTTGTGGCCTGAGCAACTGGAAGAAGGGACTTTCCTTGTTTTACGTGGCATTTTTCACTGCTGAATCCGCAGCCATGAAGAACTGCGCTTGGCACACTAAATGCTCAACGGCTGGTAGTTGAACGAATGAACCAATTGTATACACCCTGGGAGCTACTTCCGGTACCTCTTATACGCTTTACTGCGGGGCATTGGTTAGGAGGACGGGCCTGGGTGGGAGATTCAAGTTCCATGTACGTGTGTTCAGTTTGAGATGCTTCTTACACACCCACCTGGAATTGTAAAATATAACTTGAGTTCAGGGTGCTGTCTGGGCTAAGCTATAAATACTTCGTCGGCATCCAGTTCGTGCTTATTGTTATGAATACATTTAATTTTTGTGTGTAGCTGAAGTTATCACAGTATTTAAATCCCCTGGAGCTCTACCTTTCAAGGTTGCAAATGACAGTGATATTTGTGAACTGTCCCACAGGCTTGCTCAGTGAGCGGTAGCTCAAGTTTGGCTAAGAGAAAATTAATTCTTTTGATACTGACAGCAGCATGCCTTTCCTGGTGTGGAGCAAGATTTCATCATCGGTTGTGATGCTGCCCAAAAGTTCTCTAAATAGCAAAAAGGTGACCTCTCTCCCAAGCTTTTGCAGCATTAGGTGAAACTGCCTCTGCTCGGGTGAGATGTAGCGTCCCGTGTCTGGGGCTCCAGTGCCTCTGTCCTGACCCACAGCTTGCTGACTGGCCAAGCAGAGCCCAAGTCTGAAGTTTTATTCCACAGCAGGATTTGTTGTGATTTCTGCAGAGACCACTGGGAGCCAGTTAAGTCTTATATTCCTGCTTCCAAACGTCAACTAATTTTCCTTTGACAATTTAGGAGGAGCTGACTCACATGGAAATGTGACTGAAACTGTACTTATTCCAACTTCAACACAGTTTGATTTTCCTCTTTGTATTTTGTGGGTGCAGAACTATTCTGTGTGCTCTGGGAGGAGTATCTTCCTGCACACCCCTTCCACGTGACTAGGCTTTCTTGACCTGCTCAGGAGGTTTGTGGTTGGAGAGCTTTCATCGTATTTTTTTTCTAAGCAGTTTAACAACATTTGAACTTCTTTGTAAGGAATAAATTACTATAAATTTTTAATTTGTAATAGTTATGTCAAATTTCCTGTAGTAGGAAGGACACACATACATACATACATGCATACCTACAGCCCATCTTGTATGAGAACCTTGTACCTGAATTGTATTCCCTCTAAAACAGGGGAATGTAGGATTTTGACATTGAGATTTAACTCTAGAATGTGTGAATATTGTGGCTAAATTGTGGCAGTGCTGTCACTTACATCAAGACTGGCAGTTGCTCTTTGGTGAGCTTCTCTGTTTGTAATGCCAGCTGTGGGATCTGTTATCGTTTTTCCACCCTGGGACATAAGCCAGTGATTTTTAAGTTTACTTCTTTGCTTTAAAAGCTAAGGGGTTTTAAACTACTTCAGGACCCTTTATATTCAGGGAACCTAACAGCCATCATTGGCATAGAAATAGAACTGTTATGAGAAGTGGGAATATTTATTGGCTGATCATGCATTTTAAAAAATGATAAATTCTGGCTGGGTGCAGTGGCTTGTGCCTATAATCCCAGCACTTTGCAAGGCTGAGGCGGGAGGATCACCTGAGGTCAGGAGTTCAAGACCATCCTGGCCAACGTGGTGAAACCCCGTCTCTACTAACAATACAAAAATCAGTTGGGCGTGATGGCAGGCGCCTGTATACAGTCCCAGCTACTTGGGAGGCTGAAGCTGGAGAATCACTTGAACCTGGGAGGTGGAGGCTGCAGTGAGCCGAGATTGTGCCATTGCACTCCAGCCTCGGTGACAGAGCGAGACTGTCTCCAAAAACAAACAAAACAACCAAAAAGATAAATTCCATGTGCAATCTTGTAGAGTTCATTCCTTGGTTTCACAGACATATTTATTATGGACCCTCAGCATCTTGCCGGGTGCCTTTGGTGAAGGGATTCCAGCAGCAATGAACATAATATTCCCTCTCCCAGTAGTCTTACCGTTTTTGAATTCTACAAAGATAAATGTTTATAGGTCTAGCTTAGTTTAGTTAATGATGTTCAGAAATAATGCTACTTCCCATTACAAACCAGAAGTTAAAAGTACATGGACTTATTTCAATGTTTAAATACTTGCTTGGTTAATTGTTCCCCAGAGTAACTAACAACTAGGAATAAAACAAAACTGGAAATCGGTGCAGCTGAAGCCCATATGTTTGTTTGAGAAGATACTGTCGACTTCAAATAGTACATTTTGAGGAGGGTGATATGATCTTGATCATTTCATTTTAAATTTAATTGAGCAGCTATGTGCTGTGTGACTTGTATGTGGTGGGCACTGGTCTAGGTCTGGGATTCAGAAGGCCGCAGTATCTCCCTGCCAGGTAGAGAGGCAGGTCGGGGACCCGGCCAGGGGTGAGGGGAGCTGCGAGGAGCACCCAGGACGCCCTTACTAGCTGCACTGTGCAATTACGGTTCATAAAGCAGTTTTATTTATTTTTATTTTATTTTTTGAGGTGGAGTCTCGCTCTGTCGCTCAGGCTGGAGTGCAGTGGCATGATCTTGGCTCACTGCAACCTCCGCCTACTGAGTTCAAGTGATTCCTGTTCCTCAGCCTCCTGAGTAGCTGGGATTACAGGTCTGCGCCACCATGCCCAGCTATTTTTTGTATTTTCAGTAGAGACAGGGTTTTGCCATATTGGCCAGGCTGGTCTCGAACTCCCGACCTCAAGTGATCCGCCCGCTTCGGCCTCCCAAAGTGTTGGGATTATAGGTGTGAGCCACCACGCTAGGCCCAAAAAGAAGTTTTATATCTGAGTCTGTAGTTTGTCATTTATGCCCAGAATGCATTTCTCCCCAGATGATCTTAAAGTAGCTTTTCTAAGTGAAACAAAACTCTGTATCAGTTTACCTGCTTATTGTTGGAGAAATCATGACTTTGGGGAGTACATTTCAGTTCAATTCTGAGTGACTTATGTTTTGAATATTGTAAAACCCCTGATTTCTAGTCTTGGCTTATTTTCCATAGCGTCTTAGTGACTGGTTTGAAGCACTGGCTCTCCTAAGCAGCCTGATGTCTAAACGGTAGAGATGATTTGAATAAACTCCTAAGCATTCATTATTAATAGAGAGTCTGAACAGAGAAGCCAGTGTCCTATCAAAATGTTCCACATGCAATAAAAAACTTCCATATGGAAGAGATACAACATTGGAAACCATCCTGCAAGTGACTGCATGTTTAATAACGCCGGGTGTTTTTCTGGTCTGCTAATAACCCTGGTCTGTTTTTCAATTCGATCCTGAATTGTTGGTACCTTCAGTTCGACCCAGTAAAGCTCCAGTTCTCTGATATAAAAGTCTGTCTATTCTCTTTAGAGAGTGATTGACTGCCTGGAGGATGAGAAGGCAACCCTCACCTTGGCCATGGCTGACTGGCTGCGGGACTATCAGGACCTCCTGCAGGTGAAGACCGGCCTCAGTCTGGAGGTGGCGACCTACCGGTAAGGAGACTGTGCTGAGTTGGCCTTGACGAAGCCATGGGGGTGTAACTTGCACATGAAGGAAACTGGTCTAGGGACCGTAGCCTTTGTGGAGTCACTGTGGCTTTGTGACAAGCAGAGAGCAGCCCTTGGCATGGCCAGGCAAGGAGTCCGAGGCCAAAAGGAAGAGGAAGAGTAGGGCTTGCTTAGGTCACTGAGCAGGTGTCTCCAGCAAGGGAGTAGCTGAGCCGTGCCCCCTTACCTAGTGTTTGTATGTTCTGGGGACTGCTGAAGAGCTTCACACATGTCAACGTGTTGGATCCTAGGAACTGGAGACTGTGTTTACAGATGAACAGACTTTGCTCAGAGAAGTTACAGAACTGGAAAGTGGAGGGCCAGGATGTGTTAGTGTGTTTTCACACCGCTATAAAGATCCTACCTGAGCCTGGGTAATTTACAAAGGAAAGAGGTTTAATTGACTCACAGTTATTCCGCAGGGCTGGGGAGGCCTCAGGAAACTTACAATCGTGGCGGAAGGCAAAGGAGAAGCAAGAACCTTCTTCAGAAGGTGGCAGGAGAGAGAGAGAGCTCAGGGGAAACTGCCACTTTTAAAGCATCAGATCTCATGAGAACTCACTCCCTATCATGAGAACAGCGTGGGGAAAATTGCTCCCATGATCCAGTCACCTCCCACCAGGTCCCTCCCTCAACACGTGGGGGTTACAAATCGAGATGAGGTTTGGGTGGGGACCCAGAGCCAAACCGTGTCACAGGATTTGGACCCAGGAAGTCTGTGTCTATCTGCTTGATTGTTGCTTTGAATCTCAGGGCTCTGATGCCACCCTGTGTGGGTTTGGCCCTGAACTGAATCTCTTCCAAGAGATTAGCATGGTGCATGCTAATGTAGGCCAACTGGCTTTATGTATCAAGATGTTGACTTGAGTTCAAGGTAACCAACTCTGATGAAAAGGTCACAAAGCGCTCAAAGGGGCTGGGTGCTGGGTGGGGCAGAGAATGCAGTCCAGTCCCCCTGGGTGTGGCCTGCAGGCCGGCGGAACAGTGCTCCTCCCCTCCTTGGCATCACCCTCCTTTCCCCTGGGTGCCAGTGCGTCTTTGATTGAGGTGGTGCCCCTTGTTTCCTGGCAGCTCTCATGCTCAGGGCAGCTATGAAGGAGCCAGGGTCTGTGACGCTTACAGTGGAAGGAATTTTAGAGACCCAGTTGCCCAACTTCAGGAACACTAACAATAGCCAGCTTTATGGCGTCCTTACTGCCTGCCAGACGTGGTGCTGAGTTCTTTGCCACTATTCTCTGCTCCGAGTCAACTCTGAGGTGGGCACCACTCTCCCCTCTTAGAGGTGAGAGAGAGAGGCCGGGAGGTTGGGGCTGCAGGCTGGTGAGGGGCAGAGCCAGCCAGGTCTGGTGCCAAAGCTGTGCCATCCCCACCAAGCCGTGTAAAAAGGGCACAGTGCCTGCTCCGTTCCCAGGATTGTGGAACATGTGGCAGTGGAGGGTGTGAGCAAGCTGTGGAAACCGCTTTGGCAGAAGAGTCAAAGTCTGGTCATCTCCAGTGGTGTCTCCTTCACAGGTGGCAGATTAAACCTGGAGAGGTTAAGAAGGGGACCAACTCCCCTGGTGAGGGGTAGAGCAGGGACCATCCCCAGGCCTAGTTCAGCACATCTTGTAGGCTGCCTGTGTAATCTTCTGATCATGATTTTTTTTTTCATTTTTTTTATTATTTTTTATTTTAATTTTAATTTTATTTATTTTATTCTATTTTTTTTTTTTTGAGATGGAGTCTTGCTCCATCTCCTAGGCTGGCATGCAGTGGCACGAGCTCAGCTCACTGCAACCTCCGCCTCCTGGGTTCAAGCAATTCTGTTTCAGCCTCCTGAGTAGCTGGGACTACAGGCCCCTGCCACCATTCCTGGCTGATTTTTGTATTTTTAGTAGAGACAGGGTTTCACCTTGTTGGTCAGGCTGGTCTCGAACTCCTGACCTCAGGTGATCCACCCACCTCGCCGCCACAAAGTGCTGAGATTACAGGTGTGAGCCACTGCGCCCGGCCCTGATCAGGATTTTTTGCTCTAAGAATATCAAGGTGACCTGAATTGCTTTGATGTCTATTAAAAGGGTATCTGGCTGATACGTTGCTTGTAGTTTACATTGCAGCCTGGGCCGGCCTCACTGTCTTTATTTTCTGGAAGACTTACATCAGCCAGGGTTCATCTGAGCCCTCACTCCCATCAGTGAAGAGGGAGCAGCTCTATCAGGCAGCCCCTGGCCTGGGCCCCAGGAGGCTGCTAAGGGGTGAGGCCTTCCCAGGGACATGGAGTCCATGGAGGAGCCACGGCTTCACCAAGGGATGAATTGAGGGGTGGTCCTGGGGCTAAGGCCATGAGGGCCTTTCTGGATCCCCCATTTGAGAGCCTTGCTGCCACTGAGGGGCTGGTGGCCGGGGCTCAGAGAAAGGGGAAAAGATGTTGCCAGACTGGACTTCCCAAAGCCCATTGTTGGCATTCTCCTTGGAAATCTTGTGGGGTGAACAGTTGCACAATTAAATTGGTAGGGCATTGAAACACACGTTGAGTTAGATGATCTAAACTTTAATATGGAAAACTTGAAAACACTCGGGCTTTATTTGGGGGAAGAAAGCATTAATCAGGAATTTTTCATTTGTGAGTGACAGAAACTCTCCTCAGACTGCCCCAAGTCAGAAAAAGAATTTATTACTCATATACCTGAAAGTCTTGTGCTGGTCTACTCTGTGTTATGAAGGAATAACTGAGACTGGATAATTTGCAAAGAAAAGAGGTTTATTTTGGCCCACAGTTGTGCAGGCTGTACCGGAATCGTGGTGCTGGCATCTGCTCCTGGTGAAGCCTCAGGAAGCATACAGTCATGGTGGAAGGTGAAAGGGCAGCAGGCATGTCACATGGCAAGAGAGCGAGCAAGAGAGTGGGGAGGTGTCAGGTTCTTTTTTTTTCTTTTTGACATGGAGTCTCACTCTGTCACCCAGGCTGGAGTGTGGTGGTGCGATCTTGGCTCACTGCAACCTCTACCTCACGGGTTCAAGCAATTCTCCTGATTCTCCTGCCTCAGCCTCCCGAGTAGCTGGGACTACAGGCACCTGCCACCATGCCTGGCTAATTCTTGTATTTTTAGTAAAGACGGGGTTTCACCATATTGGCCAGGCTGGTATTGAACTCCTGACCTTGTGATCCACCCGCCTCAGCCTCTCAAAGTGCTGGGATTACAGGCATGAGCCCCTGTGCCTAGCCGGTGCTGGGTTCTTTTAAACAACCAGATCTCATGTGGACTCATAGAGTGAGAACTCACTCATTACTGAGAGGACAGCACGAAGCCATTGATGAGCGATCCCCCCCATAACCCAAACACCTTCCTCTAGGCCCCACCTTCAACACGGAGGTCACATTTCAACATGAGATTAGGAGAAGACACACATCCAAACCGTATCAAATCCTTAGTTTCAGGTACAGCTGGTCCACATGGCGGGATGGTCTCTCTCTTCTGGACTCTTCCCACCACGTGGCTGGGTGGGGCCCGAACAGCTCCAGGCTTAGGGCCACCCAGTCTCGTGCCCGTGGTCATCCTCTCGGCCTCTCCATCTCTGCTGGGTCATGTTCCTGCCTCTGAGCCCATCACTGGCCAGAGGAATGTAGGGCTCTAGAGCTTTGGGTTGGGGTCCCAGCCTCTTATGAGTCACATGGACTGAGACTGGGGTGGTGGGAGTTACCCCAAATCAGGCACTGTTCTAGGGCAGATGCCAGGCAGGCCTGGAAAACTGACTTCTGTGTGTTAGGTAATGCCCCATGCCAGATGAATCTTTTCCCTGCAGGGCAGTTGGATTTTTCTATTTTCTTTCTGTAATAGTTCTCTGAGTTAGAATCAGGAAACTTATTTTGTGCCTTGCCTTTGGAATTTTGAGCTCTTTTCTTCCCTACTTCGTCCTGCCCCCTGTTCTCCATCCTGAAAAGCCAGTGTAAACATGGGCATCCTGCCTCAGAGTCCGGGGCCTGCCTTTTTGGTAGGGTATTCACAAGCCACGGGGCCTGCCTTTTTGGTAGGGTATTCACAAGCCACGGGCCCAGCTTTTCAGGGCATCGATCGCGAGCCGTTTCTGCTCACTGTCAGCAGTCTGTCAGCCAGGACAGAGTTTATTTTGTCTGTCTATGGCTGGCGTTTCCCTAACCCGATTATGGATTGATGTGGCCATCTCCTAGGAATTTAGGAGCTACTCGTGCTTTCAGGGGAGCAAGCGATGGATTTCACTGTACCTCTTTCTGCTGTCCAAGTTTGCATGGGGAAAATGAGGACCCTGCCAGGAGCTTGCCTGACAGGCCCTGCCCCGCTGCAGACTCCCAGCCCTGCTGGGTAGGATCGCTGCAGGCCTCCCGCCTCTGTGCTCCGGTATAGTCTCGGAGATGCCCGTTGACGAAGAAGACATACAGATGGTTGAATAGAACCCATTCTTTTGTATAAGCCAAAAACTTACCATTTTTGAAAATCACCAGTGCATGTCTGGAAGACAAACCCTCGTCATCCTCGATGTGAGTCTTGCTCAGTAGTCTGCACTGCTCCGATTCGGAGGACAGGTGTGAAGTTCCTGTTTGTGTTCGTGGACTTGCGCTCTTCTGACCCTTATTCTTTAACTAAAGTGCTCATTTGATCTCTGCAAACCTTGACCCACCTGTGGTGGCCGTTGCCCCAGAATTGCTGAGTTGACTGTCATCATCCTGTGGCTTATTGGTTCTCATTCACATGCAAGGGAAGGGACTGTGGCTCTTTAATGCTTAAAGCACGTTTTGCTGGGATTTGTCCATTGTCCCAAGGACTCTCAAATGTACTGAACACCTCCCAACCCAGATCTTTGGCCCTTCTAGGTGACTGTCACAGGGAAGGAGCAACATTAAAGTAATCATAAAATAATATAATTGTATACTTGTAATTTCCAGAGAGACTTGCAATTTATAAATAAATATATAATTTAATAAAATAAACATAAGATAATAAAATTAAAACAAAGCAAACCTCCAAGAGTCTAAGACTGGGGTTTTGCCTTTGGCCAGTGCATGGCCAGGGAAGCTGCTGGCAGCTCGCCTGGCAGGTGAAGATGAGATCGAGACCTCTGAGCATCCTAAGACGTGCAGCACCATCCCTCCCTTTCCTCCTGCATTGCGGGTGGCAGTGAGCGGGAGCTGTGGGGCTGGGCGTGGGGCCATGGATACTGAGAAGAGAGGAGACACACCCTGCCTGCAGCTGGCACCAGGCTGTACTGGCTCTTGTCTCCTGTCAAGAGTAGCGGCAGTTGTGTGGGGCTCGAGGTACTGATCCATTTGCTGTATGATCACAGGGTCTTGCCTGGAGTGTGCGTTTTATTGCACTAGCAGCAGAATGGTAAGGGAAACATGCTCGGGGACAGGGAGGGACTGCACCTGCGAATCTCCCGGCCCTCAAGATTCTGATGAGGTTAGTGACAGGTGGAACCGGCACAGTGGTTTCAAACCTCCCTGGATGATTGTCAGGTACCACCAGGGTGGAGAATCCCCGGTCCAGGGCCTCACAGCTCACAGGGCGGCAGCATGCGCATTGTGAGGCATTGCAAGTTTGTTGGGAATGCAGAATCTTGGGCCCACCCAGACATACTGGACCGAAGTTGGCCTCGTAACAAAATCCCAGGTGATTCGTGCGCACACTGCTGTTGGCAGAGTGGCCCAGGCGCAGGTAAGTGCTAGGTCTTCTCACAGCAGCCTGGAAGACAAGATGAAGGATGGGTTGATGGAGGAGAGGGGAAGCAGTCACAGTGGGAGGCGGGGCTTGCACCAGGACCCACGCGCCAGTCTGGGCTGCTTGCAGTTGCATGCGGCAGTCCCCTTAGAGCTGCCCTGGGCCTGTCCGAGGTCACAGAATCCTGTGGAGCCATATGGAGAGGCCACACTTTAGAGAAGGTGATGACTTGGATTGGACAGAATCTGAAGCTCTGAACACCCGAGATGAGCAACACAACTCATTCCTCTTAAGTCTTGTTTTGCAGAGTCATGTCAAAATGAATACTTTATCTAGTTTTCCCAACATTTTGTTATGAGAATTTCCAAAGATAAGAAAAGTTGGAAGAATAACGAATGCTCCATTTGAGTTCTCCAGTGAACATGCGACTACATTTGCTTTATCTCATGACTGTCCACCCCGTGTCATCATCCATCTTACTTTCTGATGCATTCCAAAGTAGGTGCCATTATCTCTGACCATGAATGGGTGACAGGGAGTGACAGCTGCCTTCTGTTTAGTACCTACCATGTGCTAAGCGCTTTGTAGACTGTATCTGCAATTTTTATAGCTTCACCAAAGAAGCTTTTTTTCCATGTGATGACACCCACGTTCAAGGAGGTTACTTAAAACGTTACACAACTCGTAATTGGAGAGCCTGAGATTTTAACTTCAGGCCTTCACCCAAGGCTGTTCCCTCCATGCCCTGTTGAACGTGGAATTAGAAAGGAGCTGGATGTACTGGGATGCTGGGCAGATGATGGTGTGGACCTAGTCCCTGTCCTCAGTGGTAGGATGATGATGTGTCGGGTGCAGTGGGAGGGAGGCTGATGAGGCACGCAGGGAGGGCTTCCTGAAGAGGCAATGCTTGATTCTTGTAGGAAGAGAAGCTGGAAATGACTTTTTGGAAAGGGTTTTCCAGGCAGAGGGAATGGCCAGGGGGAGGCCCTGAGGACTGTGCTAGTGTGGTATTTATGACAGTGCCCGTCTCTGGGCAGCTGGGCTTTGGGGGCGTGTCATGGAGGGCCACGTGTGATGGATGGGTAAGAGCCACACCTGCCCTCAGCCTTCTCTGGAGACAATTGATATGCAGGATACGATGCTGGGTGGGGGCCTGCAAAGACACTGCCAGTGTGGGCTTCACGTCAAGGAACATGGGCTGTAGATGAGGCAGCATGGATCTGGGGAGCCTGCTACACAGCAGGGAACCTGAAGAGCTGCAAAAGACTCCAGCACGAGGCTTCTGGTGATGGGGAGGGAGTTGTGAGAATCAGGGGAGGCTTCTAGAGGGATTGAAGATTGATGAAGGTCTTGAAAGACGGGGAAGTGTGAGCAGACACAGAGGAGAGAGGGAGAGGGACTATAGGGGGTAGTGTGGCAGGAGGGACACAGTATGTTGAGGTAGAAAGTCAAGCATATTCCAGTAATGGAATGCACATTCCTAGGGGGTAGTGTCGATGGTTCACTGCCCCCTAACAGGGAAAGCTATCCATGGGTCACTGCCGGATGGAGCACTTCAGACTGAGGTGATGAGAAGAGATTTGCAAAGGGATGTGGGGTTTGGGCCTTTGGGTGGTGGGGGAAGTGGGGAGATGGGAATTGGACTGGCAGAAAGGAATCAGGAAGGAGCTCCGGGTGGGCAAGTTTGAATAAGAGAATAAGTTGAGGGAGGAACTTGCAAGGGGAGTGAGGAGAGGTCTGGGAATGAGGCAGAGTGCAGGGGCCTTGAACGCTGGGAAGCTGCAGTGGGGCTTTCTGTGGCATGCAGGGGCAGTCCCAGGGCCAGCACTGTGGAGGGGGTAGGCAGTGCTGGGGAGGCAGCTGCAGGCAGAGTGCAGGAGGCCTGCAGTGCTGGGGTGGATGGGGTGTCTGGGTGGCTGCAGGGAGGCTTCCAGAGTTTCCTGCAGTCGCTAGCGCCCAGGCGTGCAGACCTGATGGAGGTGGCTGTGGTAGGAGGGAGGAGCCTGAGGAGCTGAGAGGTAAGGAAGTATGAGAGACACGTGCCGCTGTCACTCGCTGCAGGCTAGCACAGAGTCGGTAAAGCAGGTGCTTGTGAATAATCGGATGATAATTGATGATGAGATGGTGAAAACCCTAGCAATGTCCAGAACCTGCAGCGCCCCAAACCCTCTCACTGCCGATGTGAAGACCTGGTCCAGATCCTACAGAGTGAGGACGTGCAGAAGCACAGATAGAAAAGAAACAGCTTCCCCATACACACACTCAGCATAGAGCCCAATGATCAGCAAGAAGCTGTTAGAAAACAGAACCTTTCAGAAAAGATACTCAATATTGAAACAACAAATGCAAGAATACCCAGGGGTAGACAGTGCAGAAACCACAGAACAGAAGGATGCAGAAACAGTGTGCGTGACATGAGGCCCATCCTAGGTTTCTGGTCTGGAAGACAGACAACGCGGTCTCTGTAAGAATCCAGAAAGAGGCTTTTGTGTTCTATGTTTTGGGGATGAAAGATATGATAATTGTTCTAAATTTCACCTGAAAGAAAAAATGGAAAGCTGGGTCAAAATGATTTTTCAGTAGAAAAATCGAAGGAGGCCTTACCTCGGCAGATAGGAAAATGCAATGCAGAGATTTATTTACTGCCTGGGGCCTTTCAGGCAAAAGTCCTTTTAAAAGGTTAGGTTAGAAACAACAACATCAAAAAATATTGTGTGTGCTGGGAAGGGCATGGGAAGCTTCCTGTTTCTTCTTTCTGATCCCAGTTGGCAGAAGCAGCGTGTTTTAATGGAGAAAAATATGATGTCTCTGGTCTCCATGTAGACTGCTAATGTAGCAACACAGAGGACTCCTAATGTTTACATCTCATCATTCTAGTGATATTTCTGATTGCTCCATTATTTTTTAGGCCACCTGTACCTTTTCACGTGTCTATTCAAAGGAAAACGTTTCTTAGGGGTTTCCTCAAGGTTTTGCAGAAGTACATTTTGTTTTTTTAAGTTAGTTCCCACCTTTTTTTGGAAGACTTATAAAAATGTGTGAACACTGAGACTTATCTAGTTACTAGATAAAATACTTGAAGTGAATAAAAATCTTGTAGTTGTAAGAATAGAGTTGGGCATGGTGGCTCACGCCTGTAATCCTAGCACTTTGGGAGGCTGAGGCAGGTGGATCGTTTGAGCCCAGGAGTTGGAGACCAGCCTGGGCAACATGGTGAAACCCCATCTCTACAAACGATACAAAAACAACTATTTGGGTGTGGTGGCACGTGCCTGTAGTCCCAGCTACTTGGGAGGCTGAGGTGGGAGGATCACCTAAGCCCAGGAGGCAGAGATTGCCGTGAGCTGAGATGGCACCACTGCACTCCAGCCTGGGCGACAGAGCAAGATCCTGTCTCTACATAAATAAATAAATAGAATATATAATTGAAAGGATCGACCAGTACCTTTGGTTGCTGGTCAAATAAATGAGTTAACATTCAGTTAACTATAAAATACAGATGGTCCACAGTCCCTTCCCTTGTTGACTCATTTTAGTTAGCTGGAAATCAGTTTTCTTTGGAGGATGTAGAAGGAGGTGGGGACGACGTGATCGCTGATGTTTAGTGAGCTCTTACTCTGTGACAGCCATGGTTCTGAGAACTTTCTGCTTCTTGATTAATTCCTACTGCAAACCTGTGAGTTCTCTCCATTTCAGAAATAGGGAAACTGAGTCACAGTGGGTTTGAGCGGCCTGCCAGGGTCACAGAACTAGGAAGTGGCAGGTCTCAGATCTGAATCCAGACATCCTGACTCCAGAACTTTGTCCTGCGCTTGCTTCCTCTCTGTTTTATGAGTGATGTTTGTCTCTGTTGATTATCTGGTTTTTTTTTTTTTCAGTCTCTAGTATTGACCTAGAGATGGCTCTGGGATGTGGTTGAATACTGACCCCAGAAGCGATGCCCGGAAATGGCCCAGCACTGCCACGTTACCTCCTGTTATCCTTCCTGTGAAGCCGGTGGTCTCACCTTTCCCGTTCAGGTGGCGTTGCTGGTCATGGGAATGGAACTCCCCTCTGCCCCCTCCCTTCTGTTCCCTGGTCTTCCCGGTGACTGACCAGCCACGGGCCCGCATCTGGGGTGACCCAGGCAGTGCGTCCACTCTGTGTGGAGCTTGGCTTCCTCTGTCGCAGTGAGGAGTCGAGGGAGGCGGCTCTGCGGCTCCTTCTCCAGCTCCGGAGCCTCCCTTTCTTCTCTGCACTTCTCCACCTGCTGTTTGCTAGGAAGCACCCCGTGAATCACCCACAGGCCCCGGCCCCGGCCCCAGCAGGCTCCCGCACAGACACGGCTTCTGGGAACATCCTGACAGTGCCTCATTTATGGGGCTGCACAGAGCAGTGGCCTTGTGCCCACGGTGCTGAGTCACGGCGGATTGTTCAGCAATTCCATTAGGATAATCTATCCCAGACAGAGAGCCTTGCCTTGGAGCCTGCTCAGGACGCCGGGTGGCCCATTAGGGCCTGGCGCCTGGCCAGAGGCCACATGACAGCCGGCTTCTGCACTGTGGGTTTGTCCTGGGCTCCTTAATGAGGCCAGGGACTTGAGTTTTCTTGCACTTTTGCTTATTTTCCTGCATAAGGGGCCACCAACCTGTGGAGCTGTGTGAAATGCCCACAATAGCCCATGACTCAGGGGATTGGCATTTCTCACAGTCCCCGAGGCTTGGGGGCAGATTTCCTCCACCGCTCTCAAAATAACCAGGTTTGATTGCAGCCTCAGAGAACATGCTACCCATTTCTTAAAGTGGTACGAACCTATTCCTTAAAAATGTCCCTTGCAGAGCTTTAGAGGAAGTCGTGGTTTCTGGCTTCTCCTCAGAGTCTTGTTGATGCTTTCGCCGTGTAGTCCTGGGGCTGTGCGGAAGGAGGGTGGCTGCCATTGGGCTGGATGTGCTACCCAAAGCATGAACTCAATGGCCAGTGCCCAGCCGGGTGCTCACAGATAGTAAAGGTGACATGTGTCGCTGCCTGCTAGGATCCGGCCATTGAGAAGGGACACAGATGAGGGATAGCTCCTTCTCCAGCAGGAGCTTCTTAC
This sequence comes from Homo sapiens, assembly GCF_000001405.40. NCBI lineage: Eukaryota > Metazoa > Chordata > Mammalia > Primates > Hominidae > Homo > Homo sapiens. The sequence goes on from NC_000015.10 coordinate 99,124,516, forward strand.
TTATAGGAGAGCTCTGCAGGGCCATTTTGGATGAAATCACCAAGAGAATTTATTTTCATTAATATGGCCCGGAGGGTCTATCTGTAGGATTTGTGCTTTCTGAAATTTGTGTGCAATACCATGGTCTCTGGCCTCACTGGGAGGCCTAGTGGTATCGCAGGGGAGGGGGCTGAGAGCTCAGGCTGCCTGGGTTTGCATTTTTCTCTTTACTGGTGAGCCGTATGCCCTTGACCAAGACGCTGTCTCTGCACCCCAGTCTTCTCACCTCTAGAGCGAGGATGCAGCCACAGGCCCTGTGTTGGGGGTGGCTTCGACGGTGTAAGTACATGAGTGACCACAATGCCTGGTGCTCAGTGTCAGCCAGGGATGGTAAAGGCCTAGAAAGGGGAAGCTGTGGGGCTGTATCTTGTCCCCTGAACCCAGCCAGAAGCCCCACGCAGGGCTGGTGCCTGTTTCGTGTGGGTCCTGAACTCTATGAAGGTTTGGTGATGCTTTGGAATTCTGGAAGAGGAGCAGATGCATTCCCTTTGGAGGGTGGGGAAGACGTATTTTTCCCTGGACAGCAACATACCTTCCGTTCTAACTTGGGCAGCTCAAGGGAGAGGCCCCGTGGTACCCGAGGTTCACAGCTGAGCCAGGCCGGGAGGATCTGAACTAGAACCTAGTCTTTCTCCCCACGCCCTGCCCTGGCTCCTCAGCTGCAGGACGCCACCCCTTCTGCTGCCGTCATCCTGGGGTGCAGAGCCTTGGGGCCTGGCTTTTACCCCGAATGTTCCTCTGATTATATAGACCTCAGAACTTTCTCAGCAGTGAAAGCTGTTTGCGTTCCTGGAACCTACAATGCTTGGTCATGAGGGCGTGGGATTAATGGGTTGGTGTCCTGTTTCCTGGCCTCTGCCCTGAGCGAAGGGCTGGGGCTCTGGACTCGGGCCTCTGCACATGCCCCGTCCACACACAAGCATCCCGCAGTCACTGCGCCGGGGCAGGCCCGCTGTGTGCGCCTTCGCGAGAGTGCCTCATGCCTCCTTTGCTTTCTTCCAGCTGCTCACAGGGCTCTCGTGTTCATGGGGCTCACCATGTTTCAACAGATGGAAATACAACTCAGTGCAGTTTGTCCAAGCTGCCAAGTCCCTGCTCGGGTGTGGGCACCCTGCTCCGTTTTTGTGCCCAGCTCTCAGCCATAAGATTGGCATTTCTCAGTGGGCTCTTGTTCTGGATGCCTTTTGCCGTGTGCAGTGTATTTCTTGGAACCGGAGTTAGTGACTTCACATGTTGCTCTAGCAACTGAGAAACTGTTGCACCCAGAGCTGCCAGCAGCCCAAGGGGTCTTCGCGAGTGACTGGCTGACAGGCATCCCGGTGCTAAGCCCCTCGCCAGCAGGCTGGGTCTGCTGGGACCACTCTCCTCAGCTCTGGGATCTGAAGCAGTAGACGTGAACAACCTAATGAAACTTCTATAATTTTAGAACTTTGGCGCAGACATAGTCAAAGAAATCACCTTGTTGGGTACTTCTCACCATTTTATTAAAGGAGATAACAGGATGCCAATTTGGATGAAGTGAGGCCCCTGGGGGTGGCATGGGGAGGGGCTACTGACGGGGGGCGCTTTAGCACTACCTTTTCCGTCTGCCTGCCTTCTACTTCTTTTTGTCGTCTCCAAGGTGACCCCCTGGAATGCAGTTTGAAACCACAGATGCAGTCTGGCTGCCTTATAAGTGTCAGTCCCTGCCGTCTCCTGGTCAGCCCTCTGCAAGCTGCCCCCACCAGCTGTGACTCCAGGAAGAACCCAGTGGGGGGTGTAGCTGCTCTGGGGCCCTCTAGCCTGGGGCCCACATCTCTCCAGTGCCCCCTTGCTCCTGCTCCTCTTCACCCTGGACTGAGAAAGCTTTCTAGAAGGGCTTGGCTCGCCAGTACTGCCGAAGCCCTGGCCTGGTCATTTTGTTCACTGGGCTAGTAGGGGTTGAGCGCCATGCTGGCTGCCAGGGATGTGGCGGTGAGCAGAGCAGGTGGCCTGGCCCAGGTCTGCTGAGGCTGGTGGGTGGGCTTGCCAGCCCTATGGTGCAGCCCTGCCCAAGTCTCCTCTTCAGGTAGAAGTCCTAAAACAGGTGACACTATGGTCATTGGCCGCATACCACGATACGTTTTATTAGAGGCACTTCTTACTCTTTCGTTTCCTAATGAATTATGTTTGTAAATTATTTTTACAGGGCCTTATTGGAAGGAGAAAGTAATCCAGAGATAGTGATCTGGGCTGAGCACGTTGAAAACATGCCGTCAGGTAAGTAAAAGCTAATGACTTGACTTAGCTTTAGGCATCTGAACTGTTTATTCTGTGGCTAGATAGTAAAGCACCATCATCGGGAAGAACGGGTTAGATATGGTGTTTAGATAACAGGAGTTCATCTCTCATTTAAGTACCAAATAGATTTTAGTTTAGTGTGACATAATTTCAATTATGTGAATGAGAATGTTTGGGAAGGTGCTTGATAAACTTGGTCCCTCTCTCGACAGGATGCAGGAGCGGAAGGGGCTAATGGCACTGGGCAGTGTGAGGGCGAGCAGGAGTGCACCTGAACTTGTGTTTCACACCCCTGGAAGGGACACTCCTTCCATTTCCAGACCAAGGGGTTATGGTTGTTACACCTGTAGAGGGAGGTATGGCCTTGGATGGCAGGCAGGCAGCACTCTGGAACCTGCTACCCTAACAGGAAGAGAGATGGGAATAGTTACATTGTTTACACCACCCTAGGTTGTTGTGAGCAGCTCAGGAAAATGTGTCCTGGTGCCTTGAAGACTACCTTATTGAGGCCAAGAGCCTCAGGACAGGGCCCATCCTTCCTATGGCTGCAGAACTGACATAAGATCATTAATGTTCATTAGAAAGATCCTAAGAAACTGAGGGATAACTTGTTTTTTAACCTTTTAAAGCCCTATAGAATCTTGAAGAGCTCTGGCTAAGCAAGTGTCGATTAAATTACGTATAGAATGTTGAGTTCACACCTTAGGCAGCAGCATGGTTTTAGTCTTCATTGTTTCTTTTAGGCAACTCATGGATTTGACATGTCACTGGGTTGAGAAGAATATTTGGGTTCTAGTCATCTATAACTGGAAGGGATCTGGTCTTAGACAACATGCAGCAAATTTTCTTTCTAATTTTGAGAGTAAGTTTGAAAAAAGCAAAGGTGTTCATGGAAGGGTAGGCATTGGTCAACCTGCCTGGCATCAGTTAACGTGTGACATCTATAAAACAAGAATTAACTCCCCAGATTTCAAGGTTTACTTAGTTACCTACATTTTTAACCTGTGGATACCTAAGTTTGGACATCCATCATGTAACCTAGAGAGAGGGGAGAAGGAAGAAAAGGGCCCAGGAGCTCCGAGGAAGACCAACAGTCTAAGCCAGGGCCTTGCTCAAATTTTCCCAGTTGTGATTTTGGGGCCGAGGGAGAGCACACAGAGGGGCTAACAGCTGTTGCTGTTAACTTGCTTCATTCATTCATTCATTCATTCATTCATTCATTATTTTTCAAGCTTCTTGAAGGAAATAGAGACTTAATATTTGTAAACTAAATTTATTCTGGCAATTACATATTATGCCAAAAGCTTTAGAATAAAAATTACTAGTTGGGAATTTTTATTAGACGTTGAGCTTCTAGATAGTTCTGTTCTGTTGAGTAAATATACAGATAAGTTCCTAAGTAGTGAACTTATCAATACTTGTTAGTGTGCTTGTGTTTCTTTTATAATATTGCATAAAATAATGTTGGCCGCTTGCCCGCTAGCCGGTGGACCTAAACCCAGTCTGTAATCTTCCATGTTTCTTGTTGAATCTTAACTGTAAATGAGATGGTCCCTGCACTATTGCCTGGGGGTTCATCTTCTGGGACTTCTCAGTTGGATCAGTAGGATCAGTTGACCTGAAAAGAGGAGTCTTGTAGAAAATGTCCTGGCCTGGTCTCTTTCCTGTATCTTGGGATCTGTGCAAAGGAGGCCTCTGGCCTTGGCTCCATAAGGGAGAGAGAAAGCCCTGTCCCCGCTGAGCCAGCTGGGGTGTGGGTAGACACCAGGGGCACTCTCGGGGTGGACGGTGCTCCTGGCTGCGTTCTAACCACCAGCTGCCATTCCTAAAGAGCGGTTTCCCCTGCTGGGGTGTGGACACCCCAAAGGGTAGCACTGTCTGCAAACAGCCTGGAGCAAAGCTGGAAGCCCTGAGGACTGCCTCCCAACTTCAGGATCATGACACTAAGACAGACCGGGGTGTTTCTGCACTGGCTCCTTTTCAGATAAGTGTTAAATGTAAAATAAAAGATCAGAAAGCTTAAAGAAGTTAAATTCTTTAATACTTGTTGGCCCAATATGGAAATCAGTGAAACAGAAGAGTATATTAAATAGTGGAGGATAATGCTATTTGGTGTTTAATAATGACACACTTTGTAATTACAGAGCTCTTCTCTGCTACAGTAAATTAAACTTACCTCAAAAAGCAGAAATTAATGATTTCAAAATATAAGATTGTGAAATTTCAGCCACAAAAACGAGCACCTCTGACCTCTCTGGGATATGCATTGTGCTTTATGATTAATGTTAAGATGAGTGAGTATTTTAATATCAGTAACTGGAGAAACGTGTTAGGCTGAAGTATTTGTAGTGCTACATTTTATTGTAACAGGATTTTGTAAACTGCCAAAAAATAATTTGGGCACCAAATATAACTTATCTTTATAATGAGCTTTCTGTGGTAACAGTGTATATTTATTATGATGGAATGGGATTTGGCCTGCAACAATGCTTGTAGATGGAAAAGGGTAATGATGACTGTCATTTTAATGAATGCTTTGTTCAATTTCTACAGAATTCAGAAACAAATCCTATCACTATACCGACTCACTACTACAGAGGGAAAATGAAAGGAATCTATTTTCAAGGCAGAAAGCACCTTTGGCAAGTTTCAATCACAGCTCGGCACTGTATTCTAACCTGTCAGGGCACCGTGGATCTCAGACGGGCACATCTATTGGAGGTGATGCCAGAAGAGGCTTCTTGGGCTCGGGATATTCTTCCTCGGCCACTACCCAGCAGGAAAACTCATACGGAAAAGCCGTCAGCAGTCAAACCAACGTCAGAACTTTCTCTCCAACCTATGGCCTTTTAAGAAATACTGAGGCTCAAGTGAAAACATTCCCTGACAGACCAAAAGCCGGAGATACAAGGGAGGTCCCCGTTTACATAGGTGAAGATTCCACAATTGCCCGCGAGTCGTACCGGGATCGCCGAGACAAGGTGGCAGCAGGTGCTTCGGAAAGCACACGGTCAAATGAGAGGACCGTCATTCTGGGAAAGAAAACAGAAGTGAAAGCCACGAGGGAGCAAGAAAGAAACAGACCAGAAACCATCCGAACAAAGCCAGAAGAGAAAATGTTCGATTCTAAAGAGAAGGCTTCCGAGGAGAGAAACCTAAGATGGGAAGAATTGACAAAGTTAGATAAGGAAGCGAGACAGAGAGAAAGCCAGCAGATGAAGGAGAAGGCTAAGGAGAAGGACTCACCGAAGGAGAAGAGCGTGCGAGAGAGAGAGGTGCCGATTAGTCTAGAAGTATCCCAGGACAGAAGAGCAGAGGTGTCCCCGAAAGGTTTGCAGACGCCTGTGAAGGATGCTGGTGGTGGGACCGGTAGAGAGGCAGAAGCAAGAGAGCTACGGTTCAGGTTGGGCACCAGTGATGCCACTGGTTCTCTGCAAGGCGATTCCATGACAGAAACCGTAGCAGAAAACATCGTTACCAGTATCCTGAAGCAGTTCACTCAGTCTCCAGAGACAGAAGCATCTGCTGATTCTTTTCCAGACACAAAAGTCACTTACGTGGACAGGAAAGAGCTTCCTGGGGAAAGGAAAACAAAGACTGAAATAGTTGTGGAGTCTAAACTGACTGAGGATGTTGATGTTTCCGATGAAGCTGGCCTGGACTACCTTTTAAGCAAGGATATTAAGGAAGTGGGGCTGAAAGGCAAGTCAGCCGAGCAGATGATAGGAGACATCATCAACCTCGGCCTGAAAGGGAGGGAGGGGAGAGCAAAGGTCGTCAACGTGGAGATCGTGGAGGAGCCCGTGAGTTATGTCAGCGGGGAGAAGCCGGAGGAGTTTTCCGTCCCATTCAAAGTGGAGGAGGTCGAAGATGTGTCGCCAGGCCCCTGGGGGTTGGTTAAGGAGGAGGAAGGTTATGGAGAAAGCGATGTCACATTCTCAGTTAATCAGCATCGAAGGACCAAGCAGCCTCAGGAGAACACGACTCACGTGGAAGAAGTGACAGAGGCAGGTGATTCAGAGGGCGAGCAGAGTTATTTTGTGTCCACTCCAGATGAACACCCCGGGGGGCACGACAGAGATGACGGCTCGGTGTACGGGCAGATCCACATCGAGGAGGAATCCACCATCAGGTACTCTTGGCAGGATGAAATCGTGCAGGGGACTCGAAGGAGGACACAGAAGGACGGTGCAGTGGGCGAGAAGGTTGTGAAGCCCTTGGATGTCCCAGCGCCCTCTCTGGAGGGGGACCTGGGTTCCACTCACTGGAAAGAACAAGCTAGAAGCGGTGAATTTCATGCCGAACCCACAGTCATTGAAAAAGAAATTAAAATACCCCACGAATTCCACACCTCCATGAAGGGCATCTCCTCCAAGGAGCCCCGGCAGCAGCTGGTGGAGGTCATCGGGCAGCTGGAGGAAACCCTTCCCGAGCGCATGAGGGAGGAGCTGTCCGCCCTCACCAGAGAGGGGCAGGGTGGGCCGGGGAGCGTTTCCGTGGATGTCAAGAAGGTCCAGGGTGCTGGTGGCAGTTCCGTGACCCTGGTTGCTGAAGTCAACGTCTCACAAACTGTGGATGCCGATCGGTTAGACCTGGAGGAGCTGAGCAAAGATGAGGCCAGTGAGATGGAGAAGGCTGTGGAGTCGGTGGTTCGGGAGAGCCTGAGCAGGCAACGCAGCCCAGCGCCTGGCAGCCCAGATGAGGAAGGTGGAGCGGAGGCCCCGGCTGCTGGCATTCGCTTTAGGCGTTGGGCCACCCGGGAGCTGTACATCCCTTCAGGCGAGAGCGAGGTTGCTGGTGGGGCCTCTCACAGCTCGGGACAGCGCACTCCCCAGGGCCCAGTGTCGGCCACTGTGGAGGTCAGCAGCCCCACAGGCTTTGCCCAGTCACAGGTGCTGGAGGATGTGAGCCAGGCTGCAAGGCACATAAAACTCGGCCCCTCTGAAGTCTGGAGGACTGAGCGAATGTCATATGAAGGACCCACTGCAGAAGTGGTGGAGGTAAGTGCGGGAGGTGACCTAAGTCAGGCAGCGAGCCCGACCGGAGCCAGCCGGTCTGTGAGGCATGTCACGCTGGGTCCCGGTCAAAGTCCACTGTCCAGAGAAGTCATCTTCCTAGGCCCTGCCCCTGCCTGTCCAGAGGCATGGGGCTCGCCAGAACCTGGCCCAGCAGAGTCTTCTGCAGATATGGACGGATCAGGGAGGCACAGCACATTTGGCTGCAGACAATTTCATGCTGAAAAGGAGATTATTTTTCAGGGCCCCATTTCTGCTGCAGGGAAGGTTGGTGATTATTTTGCAACAGAAGAGTCAGTGGGTACCCAGACTTCTGTCAGGCAACTCCAGTTAGGCCCTAAAGAAGGGTTCAGTGGGCAAATCCAGTTCACAGCTCCACTTTCAGACAAGGTGGAGTTGGGTGTCATAGGAGATTCTGTACACATGGAAGGGTTGCCAGGGAGCAGCACATCCATCAGGCACATCAGCATTGGGCCTCAGAGGCATCAGACCACCCAGCAGATAGTTTACCATGGGCTGGTTCCCCAACTGGGGGAATCTGGTGACTCAGAGAGCACTGTGCACGGAGAGGGCTCAGCAGATGTGCACCAGGCCACTCACAGTCATACCTCGGGTAGACAAACCGTTATGACTGAAAAGAGCACCTTCCAAAGTGTCGTTTCTGAATCTCCCCAGGAGGATAGTGCAGAGGACACATCAGGGGCAGAAATGACATCGGGTGTTAGCAGATCCTTTAGGCACATTCGACTAGGTCCTACAGAAACGGAAACCTCTGAACACATTGCCATCCGTGGACCCGTGTCCAGAACATTTGTGCTTGCTGGTTCAGCGGACTCCCCTGAGCTAGGCAAGTTAGCAGACAGCAGCAGAACGCTAAGGCACATTGCACCAGGGCCCAAAGAAACTTCGTTTACCTTTCAGATGGATGTGAGTAACGTAGAGGCGATCCGCAGCCGGACACAGGAAGCGGGAGCTCTCGGTGTGTCTGACCGTGGTTCCTGGAGAGACGCGGACAGTAGGAATGACCAGGCAGTTGGTGTGAGCTTTAAGGCCTCTGCTGGGGAAGGAGACCAGGCCCACAGAGAACAGGGCAAGGAGCAGGCCATGTTTGATAAGAAGGTGCAGCTCCAGAGAATGGTAGACCAAAGGTCGGTGATTTCAGATGAAAAGAAAGTTGCCCTCCTCTATCTAGACAATGAGGAGGAGGAGAATGATGGGCATTGGTTTTAATAAGCAGAAACATTTTGTTTTAATGGCAGCCTGTTGGCGACGTGCCAACATCCAAAGGCCTTAACTTATTTTAAGAGGCCGAGGGAGTCTATGAAAATCTCCCCTTTTTTACTTTTTTAAAGAGTACTCCCGGCATGGTCAATTTCCTTTATAGTTAATCCGTAAAGGTTTCCAGTTAATTCATGCCTTAAAAGGCACTGCAATTTTATTTTTGAGTTGGGACTTTTACAAAACACTTTTTTCCCTGGAGTCTTCTCTCCACTTCTGGAGATGAATTTCTATGTTTTGCACCTGGTCACAGACATGGCTTGCATCTGTTTGAAACTACAATTAATTATAGATGTCAAAACATTAACCAGATTAAAGTAATATATTTAAGAGTAAATTTTGCTTGCATGTGCTAATATGAAATAACAGACTAACATTTTAGGGGAAAAATAAATACAATTTAGACTCTAAAAAGTCTTTTCAAAAAGAAATGGGAAATAGGCAGACTGTTTATGTTAAAAAAATTCTTGCTAAATGATTTCATCTTTAGGAAAAAATTACTTGCCATATAGAGCTAAATTCATCTTAAGACTTGAATGAATTGCTTTCTATGTACAGAACTTTAAACAATATAGTATTTATGGCGAGGACAGCTGTAGTCTGTTGTGATATTTCACATTCTATTTGCACAGGTTCCCTGGCACTGGTAGGGTAGATGATTATTGGGAATCGCTTACAGTACCATTTCATTTTTTGGCACTAGGTCATTAAGTAGCACACAGTCTGAATGCCCTTTTCTGGAGTGGCCAGTTCCTATCAGACTGTGCAGACTTGCGCTTCTCTGCACCTTATCCCTTAGCACCCAAACATTTAATTTCACTGGTGGGAGGTAGACCTTGAAGACAATGAAGAGAATGCCGATACTCAGACTGCAGCTGGACCGGCAAGCTGGCTGTGTACAGGAAAATTGGAAGCACACAGTGGACTGTGCCTCTTAAAGATGCCTTTCCCAACCCTCCATTCATGGGATGCAGGTCTTTCTGAGCTCAAGGGTGAAAGATGAATACAATAACAACCATGAACCCACCTCACGGAAGCTTTTTTTGCACTTTGAACAGAAGTCATTGCAGTTGGGGTGTTTTGTCCAGGGAAACAGTTTATTAAATAGAAGGATGTTTTGGGGAAGGAACTGGATATCTCTCCTGCAGCCCAGCACCGAGATACCCAGGACGGGCCTGGGGGGCGAGAAAGGCCCCCATGCTCATGGGCCGCGGAGTGTGGACCTGTAGATAGGCACCACCGAGTTTAAGATACTGGGATGAGCATGCTTCATTGGATTCATTTTATTTTACACGTCAGTATTGTTTTAAAGTTTCTGTCTGTAAAGTGTAGCATCATATATAAAAAGAGTTTCGCTAGCAGCGCATTTTTTTTAGTTCAGGCTAGCTTCTTTCACATAATGCTGTCTCAGCTGTATTTCCAGTAACACAGCATCATCGCACTGACTGTGGCGCACTGGGGAATAACAGTCTGAGCTAGCACCACCCTCAGCCAGGCTACAACGACAGCACTGGAGGGTCTTCCCTCTCAGATTCACCTGGAGGCCCTCAGACCCCCAGGGTGCACGTCTCCCCAGGTCCTGGGAGTGGCTACCGCAGGTAGTTTCTGGAGAGCACGTTTTCTTCATTGATAAGTGGAGGAGAAATGCAGCACAGCTTTCAAGATACTATTTTAAAAACACCATGAATCAGATAGGGAAAGAAAGTTGATTGGAATAGCAAGTTTAAACCTTTGTTGTCCATCTGCCAAATGAACTAGTGATTGTCAGACTGGTATGGAGGTGACTGCTTTGTAAGGTTTTGTCGTTTCTAATACAGACAGAGATGTGCTGATTTTGTTTTAGCTGTAACAGGTAATGGTTTTTGGATAGATGATTGACTGGTGAGAATTTGGTCAAGGTGACAGCCTCCTGTCTGATGACAGGACAGACTGGTGGTGAGGAGTCTAAGTGGGCTCAGTTTGATGTCAGTGTCTGGGCTCATGACTTGTAAATGGAAGCTGATGTGAACAGGTAATTAATATTATGACCCACTTCTATTTACTTTGGGAAATATCTTGGATCTTAATTATCATCTGCAAGTTTCAAGAAGTATTCTGCCAAAAGTATTTACAAGTATGGACTCATGAGCTATTGTTGGTTGCTAAATGTGAATCACGCGGGAGTGAGTGTGCCCTTCACACTGTGACATTGTGACATTGTGACAAGCTCCATGTCCTTTAAAATCAGTCACTCTGCACACAAGAGAAATCAACTTCGTGGTTGGATGGGGCCGGAACACAACCAGTCTTTTTGTATTTATTGTTACTGAGACAAAACAGTACTCACTGAGTGTTTTTCAGTTTCCTACTGGTGGTTTTGATATTGTTTGTTTAAGATGTATATTTAGAATGACATCATCTAAGAAGCTGATTTTGCTAAACTCCTGTTCCCTACAATGGGAAATGTCACAAGAATGTGCAAAAATAAAAATCTGAGGAAAAAACCCACATTGTTCCTAAAGAGAATGAATATTTTCAGTAGATTTTGATGTTTCCTTTAAACTCTAAGTAAAGAATCTGTGTGTTTACATGCATGTTTTTAGGGTAGCAGAGAATTACTGGGCAGAATATATATGAAAAGTTCCAGTTCTCTAATTCCTCACCTGAATCGGAACTCAATATTGGGAGCACAGAGCTAGAAAGCCTGGCAGACAGAGCATAAGCCAATTGGCTTGTAATCAAATATACACTGGACAATTTGTGGTAAAAATGTCATCATCACAGCCTGAATGACTAGTGGCAGTAGGACACCACCAACCATCCCATTTGGGATGGAGAGGTTTCTTGGGATGTGGTACTTTGAGTGCTAAAACCAGGACTGTCCTGGGCATACCAGGACAGTTGGTTACCTTATAAGTGCAAATTGGAGGGTTAACCCTAAGGCATGGCCATTTCTTAGGGGCTTGAAAAAACTGAGGTAGTTTGAGACAAAGGAATAGCTAGATATCTTTACCCGTTTGTAACCTTGTAGCCCTTTACCAAAAATAGAAAAACACAAGTAGCTATAGTCTTCCTCTCGTTGAAGTCAACAGAATTAACAGATGGGAGACATTGGAGGGAACATTCCTAAATTCATTGCTTCCTGGGGTGGGGTGGGGTGGGGGCGCTAAATTTTAAAAATGTGTTTTAGTTTTTGTGATTCCAAGCTACGCTTCAAGAAGTACAGAAAGGAAGAAGTAACATCAGAATTCACATTTATTTCAAAAACTCGGCATGGACTCTCAGTTCAGGCTGCTGTAACAGAAAGCCGTAGCCTGAAAGGCTTAAACAACAAACATTTATTTCTTACAGTTCTGGAAGCTGGGAAGTCTCAAGGTGCCAACAGTTTCATTTCCTGGTGAGGGCTCTCTTCCGGGCCTGCAGACGGCTGTCTTCTCACTGTGTCCTCACATGGTGGAGAGAGAGATCATCTCTCTGGTGTCTCTCCTTATAAAGCACTAATCCCATTCATCAGGGCTCCACCCTCATAACCTAATCACCTCTCCAAGACCCCACCCCCAATACCATCCCTTTGGGGATTAGGGCTTCAACGTGAATTGGGAGCATATGAACATTCACCCCTTAGCTGACTCCACCCATGTCAACTAGATAGGACACACGGTGAGTAGTGACATCTTACACGTTTTTAGCACACTGCTGATGTCCGACAGGCCTGGGTCTGGGACCAGTGTGTACCAGCAAGCATGGTCTGTGGGGTCAGCTGTCACGCTCCTGAGGAAGACAATGGTCCCTGCTTCTCTCCACCCTGTCGTGGCTCTACTGAGTTTATTTTCCCCATCAATACTGGAGGTGGTGCCCTGCACAAATGGCCCCAGGGTGGTTTTGATGTCCCACTGGGGGCTGGAGGGGAGGGCCCTGTGCTGCAATCTGCTGTCATAGCACCAGCCTGCAGCCTCATGGCCACAGTCTGTGGGACCAGGGGAGGGAGGGGAAGGGACATCACTGCCCACACCTGCACCCCTACCCCTGGGTGTTCCATCCACCTCGATCTGGCACTGGATCTCCTCGTTGACATCGTGGAGGAAGGCACTCAAAGCTTCCTGTTCGACTTTGCCATCCTCACACGACTATGGCCTCCTTCCAGGGGGCTGAAGACTGCTGTGTACACGATAGTGTGCCAACTCAGGAAGCAGCTCCAGGTGGCATCCAGGTTTGTCCTGCCTGCAGTGGAGGCCACAGGAGGGATGCGAAGCAGCAGGGAGTCTGCGGTCTTCCCCCCGCAGCCTCCGGCTAGCCTTTCTTTTCACTCCCTTACACCTGCCTCCTGGGCCCCAGGCCAAGTCAGGTGTGTCGGCCTCCTGCCCCTCCTACTGGGCTCTTTCTCAAACCCCTTTTCAGGCTCCGAAGAACTCTGAGGCAGGCTGCACTTTGAAAACACATGCTGACAGCAGCGTGTTCAGGTTTCCCTTTATTAGCGTTTTCTTCTCATGTTATTCTCAATCCCTATTAGCCTCCTATAAGAAAGGACTTCCTGAAGTTCACTGTCCAGATCTAACTCCACACCTATGCAAGGAGCTGTGTGTACAAGCAGATGCCGGGCTGACTCCTGCACAGGGCGCACTGAACTGTTGAAGAGAAGTTTTTCAGCCACAGTAGTGCTGATGGGTAAAAATTCTTGTTGGCAAGAAAAACCACTTAGGTGATAGAAAACTGCTTTATAGCATATATCACCCTGAAGGGCATCCACTGTCAAAATGTGGCCCACGGGAGGCTTATGGTCTCACTGTTGCATGTTGGGGCCAACAGTTGGCCTTGGAAATCTGTATCCTGACTGTTGAATTCCATTTTCTAGGCGGAGGTGATTTGTACAGCACCCTAAATGACAGTGCCCAGGAATGTCCTAGGCTTTTTCAGGGTGGGGGCCTCAGTCTGCTGTTGTGCCGGGCCGGGCCTTCCCCAGCAGGGTGTCCTGAGGGATGCTGGTGCAGAAGGCCACTTTGGCTTTTGATGCCTGCCTTGGCTTCGAAGCAACCTTGGGGGCCCTGCAGACAAGCAGAGGGTGGGGTGAGTGTGGTGCCCCTCAGCCCCCCACACCGTTCCCATCCAGCCTTTGCTGCCCAGCAGGTGCCCAGACCCATTTATGAGAAGACTTGGTAGGGGCTATAAATGAGAGGAGAATTGTAGCACAGAGCATAAAACATGAGATGTTTTCCTCCCATCTTTTATTTTTTTAATTTTTTTTTTTTCAGACAGAGTCTCACTCTGTCACCCAGGCTGGAGTGCAGTGGCCCCATCTCGGCTCCCTGCAACTTCCGCCTCCCAGGTTCAAGCAACTCTCATGCCTCAGTCTCCCGAGTAGCCAGGATTACAGGCACATGCCACCACGCCCAGCTAATTTTTGTATTTTTAGTAGAGACGAAGTTTTGCCATGTTGGCCAGTCTGGTCTCAAACTCCTGGCCTCAAGTGATCCACCGCCTCGGCCTCCCAAGGTGCTGGGATTATAGGCATGAGTCACCTCGCCTGGCCCCTCCCATCTTTTAAAATCACCTGTGACCATCCTCACTGAGCTGAGGCCCTCAACCCTTAGCTGGCTTGGTGAGCAGGACATGGGTGAGGAGGATGGTCAGGGTTGCACTGGAGGCCTCCCTGGCTCGCCTTCCCTGCCCTCAAAGGGGATGGCGCCCTGCTGGCCAGGTTGTGTCTGCTCCGGGCTGTGGCCCTGTTTCCCTGAGCAGACTCAGGCAGCCCTGGGGCTGCTCTCTGCGGACCAGGCTCTGTGAGGTAGGCCCTCCACGGCAGAGCGCTGGGCCTCTGCTCGGGCTGAGAAAGGACGTAGGGGCCAGCCTTTAAGGTCAGTCAGTGAACCTTCCGGCTCCAGTCCTGACGGGCATCCGAGGGCAGAGGGAAGCCGGAAGCAGGGCTGCAGGAGGCCACAGGGATTCCCGGGGCCCTCCCCCTGCAGCAGGTGCCTTAGCCTGCAGGGGCTGGTCTGCAGGAAGACAACATCCAGCATATATTTCTGACTTAAAGGATGAATTATTTTTAAATACCTGGGCAAGGAAGATCTTTTACAACTCGGGTTTCAAAGGAACTTGTCCTTTATGCAAGTTATGGGAAGTCAGCAAAACATTCCAGAGAAGGTTACACAGAACCTTCTAGAACCAGCTTTCTCTTGAGATTCTGAATGGAAAGGGAATGAGATAGAGAAAGTGTGAGGGACGCCAACTCACGTGGACAGCATGCCCATGGCCTGCTGGGTGGCCAGAGTCCTTTTGTCCTGCGGTCCATATAAGAGGGTCTGGATCTGGAGACACTGTAGAACACCAAGCAGCTATCATGAGGCTATGGAAGTGTCGCTGAGAGCAGGAAACTAAGGTCTCCCTTGAATGAGAGAAAGATGACCTCATTCTTAGGCCCTGCTGTGATGGAATTAGCATGCTCCTGGGATGTCTCCTAGTGACTGACCTTTGGTTTGGATGTTCTGAGGGATCTAGGCAAAAGTGAACAGTTTTAGCACTATTTCACAAAACTCTCTGTGACTATCTGTATGCAAAAAATAGATTTAAAAGTAGTATTTTTAAAAATAAAGGCAAGAACCTTGGTACTGACCAGAGGATGGGCTCCAGTTTCTATTTTTAAATGTGGCCCTTGTTATAGCCTGGAAAAGATTTAAAAAAATAGTTTTGTTTTTTTTGTAAACACATACTCTACTTTTATTAATATATAGGCTGTCTATACTCTTGACTACACAGCAATGTCTTAGTTATTAGGAACCAAATATTCAGCTTATGGACTACCCAGGGCTGGCTTTGGCTTGATTTCTCCCTTCTGCTTACTTTAAGTCTTGCCATTTGATTGCTTGTAGTAGGCTAGGGCAAATCAAGGAGAGGAGAAAGATTAAAGTTGTGCCCAAAATGGCCAAAATAATTTTGAGAAAGAATGAGGTGGAGAGGTGGAGGAACTTGCTTTACTGAATGCCAAAGACCCTTTTATTTTTTTAAATAAAGTAATTAAGACAGCATGTTTGTCACCCGGGGTAGACAAAAAGACCAGTGGAACAGGGCAGAGAGCCCAAGCCTTGACAGATGACAGAAATGGCCTTGCGGGATTGGTGAGGAAGAGGTGGGCTAGTCAATAAATGGGTACTGGGACCGCTGGTTTTCCAAATGGAAGAAAATGGATCACTACCCCAAATCAAACACAAATATTAAGCTCAAGAAAGATTTGAAGGACTAAGTGTGAAATGCAAAACTTGGAGCTTTTAGATGAAAATACTGGAAAATATATATATATATATTTTTTGATGGAGTCTCACTCTGTCGCCCAGACTGGAGTGCAAGTGGGGTGATTTTGGCTCACTGCAACCTCCACCTCCTGGGTTCATGTGATTTTCCTGCCTCAGCCTCCCGAGTAGCTGAGATTACAGGTGCCCGCCACCACACTCAGCTAATTTTTGCATTTTTAGTAGAGATGAGGTTTCACCATGTTGGCCAGGCTGGTCTCAAACTCCTGACTGCAGGTGATCCACCTGCCTTGGCCTCCCAAAGTGCGGGGATTATAGGAGTGAGCCACCATGCCTGACCGGAAAATACGATCTTGAGGTAGGGAAGTATTTCTTAGACAAGATCTAGACAAAGCAAAAGTGAAAGACTGATAAAATGTAACTATGTGAAAACCTAAAATATTTGTGCACCAAAATTCACCATAAGCAAAGTAGAAAGACAAGCCACGCTGAGGAAAGATTCTTGCAGTGCACAGAAATGAGAAAGGTTTAACATTCAGAATACATGAAGAATTCCTATAAGGTAATGAGAAATACCAAACCAAACCAAAACCTCTCAATAGAATAACACTCAAAAGATATAAACAGATTATTCAAAGAGTTGAAATCTGATGAAATAAACATGCTTAATCTCATTAACAACCAGAAATACAAACTAAAACCTCAATGAGGTAGGTACCATTTCACCCACCAGACTGCAAAAACTACCAAGTTTTGTTAAAGATACAAAGCAACAAGAATTCTTTTATATATTGATAGTGGGTATTCAAACTGGTATAGCCCCTTTGTAAAACAATTTAGCAATATTTAGTAATGAATATGTAAACTGTGATATGTATATATTATATATGTATGTGATATATAAATGTTTGATATATGTATGTGTATATATAACCACATAGATGAATCTCATGATTACAAAGTCAAGGGGAAAAAGAAAACGACAGATGAATGCATATAATATGTATTATAATTTAATATGAAGTTTTAAAACATGCAAAACAAAACCATAGTAAAATAAGAAGAGCATGGGAATGATATCAAATTTAAAAAAGTAGTTATCTGGGGATGGGGTAGGTATAGAGGGGACTTCAACTGGATGGGTCATGTTTTATTTCTTATACTGAATGGTGAGTTCAAAGGTCTTTGTTATGTTATCCATACTTTTCTGCATAACAAATGTTTCATAATATATTTTTTAAAAATCGGATGAATTGTGCTACATAAATAGCTTGAGTAAAAAAAAGTGTGAGGGTTTGGGGACTTACTACTGAAGCCTGTTTATTCATTCTGATCTGCCAACCATTTTTAGGTCTTCAAGAAAATTAAAATGCAAGCAGCCAAATGCCTTTGTCTTTATAAGCTGTGGAAACTATAAAAACTGAATGTTTCAGTCTGAGGAATTGAGAATGTGGTTGTCCTTTGAAAAAAGTAACTATCAGATGAGAATATGACAGGATTTTTTAAATAACAGAAAATATTCACTATTTCTTAGTCATTTGACTAAGAAATATACAATATCAAGAAGTAGTAAACTCTTCTTGTTCTTTTATTTAATGCATAATTCAAATTCTACAAAGGCAAGGATCCCTGTCCCTCTGTCCAACAAGCCCTTGACTTTCTAAATCTGCACGGGGACCTTGGCCTGGCCTAGGCAATGGGCTGAGCTGCTCATTCCATGGGGTTGAGCCAGCATTGCTTTAATGCTTTAGGCTGTTGCGACCCTAGAAATTTAGGAACTTTGACTAAGCTCCGTTGCTCTGAGGGGAGGGGATGCGGACATGTTTTTGACAGCCATGGTACCTGATGAAAACCCTTCCAGCACCCTGCTTGGGTTACAGCTATTGGAAGCCTGGGCACACTGGGCCTGGCAGAGGAGGTGGTGCTCAGAAAGGGCCACAGAGCAAGAGAGGCAAGATGCTTCCCCCACTGCCACCCATCAGTGAGAGGCCCCTCTCTCCAGGGTTAACACTTCTTACCAGAATAGACTCTATTTTGCCCAGAAATACCTTCACTCAGTGTAAAAGATCAGGGCTAATTTTAAAGCCACCCAAACTTCCCTGTGTTTATATATTTATGAGTGCCTCTGATGCAGCTCATTTTGAGAGGTGATGTTGTCACTGCTTGTTGTTAATTCATTCACTGTGGCATTAGAGTTTTACTGACACTGTAACAGTTAGTTGAGACAGTCTGAGGTCTCAGTTCACTCTGCCTTAACAGATTGCCTTCAAAATCTAATACTCAGAGGAATTTCCATCCTACCCCTTTGGTGACTGAAGCTGCTGCTCCTTGGCCCCTCATTCTCTAGGGAAAGACATACAGCATTGGTGAATATGCACGAATCCCCGGGAAGAATGAGAAGGCAACTGACAGTGCTTATGCAAATTCTCAGTGTCTACTAACCATCCCCACCTGTTACAAACCCGTGTGCTCACCATTTTCCCTGGGAGCATTTTCACTACTGTGTTCGTAGAGAAGAGTGGAGTTAGGAGAGAAGATTCTGGTTGGGTCAAGAGATCCTTTTCAGTAATCAAGCCCTGAAGAGGGGCGCCCCATCCTTACCCTACCCCTAGACCTTTGTCAAAACTCAACTCTTCCTGGTATTAATATATTTGTTTCCCCTAAGGTTACTTATCCTTACTAAGGAGATTTGTCCAAAATTCCAGCTGAAGTGAAAAGAGATGCAAAGGGGTGTCAGCTAGGAGACAGAAACAAATCCTCAGCCCCTCACTAATCCCTTGTGTGATTACAGTGTAAGAGCAGGCACCAAGGCTGGAAAGAATGGTCATCCATTAAATGACTACTCTTCCAAAGATAGCTTTTTAAAACAGCAAAATAACCCATTATGGACTTCTACTAGAAAATGTTTTATATAGCTATATATTTATCTAAGAAACATAAATTGAATTTTTCAGCATTCTGCTCTTCTTAGCTAAATTTACTTAAGCATTTTTGTGTGAAGTAGGTGTTTTGATTCTTTTGTTAAAAACACAGGCATTGACAGAGAGGAAGTCAATAAATGTTAATTGAACCTGCTGGAGCCAGGCATTGTAAACATGTCGCTGAGCTAAGTAAAGAACTCGCCAAACCTTGACAGTAGAACATTCTCCACCATAAATAAAGATATTCTGTGCTCCCCAGATTCTTCTGAGAGGCAGATATGCTGCTCCTTGTAATCAGCCACTAAGGGGTGTTTCTCACTTTTCTTTAAAGTGAACAATAAACTGAACTCCGGAGTGTCCAGATGAATTTTAGGAGCCATTCATTACATTGCTCTTATTCTCTTTGATTTTATATGCAGGGTTGTGAGAAGTCACTTGTGTTTCTACTATTCCTTAAATACCAAACAGGGAGCTTTTCTTTCCCTTGCAGGAAGACAAAAGGGAATGTCTGCTTTTATACCAGCCTGCAGGCTGTCCCTAAATGGGGCCATGTTTGTCTTGCTCACCACTGTGTTCCAGGGCCTTGCACAACCCCTGGCACACAAGCCGATGCAGCAGTTGCTAAGTGAGTGATTAAATAGGACAAACATGTAAGCTGGGGAGATTCTTACATGGAGCCTGTAGACTCCTTAAGACACAGTTGGACCCTAGGGCTCCAGTGGCTCATCAGTTACTAAAACCTCTGCTAGGGAAGTTCCACTGGGTGTGTGGTGTGAAAAGCCCTCGAAATTCCAGTCCAGCCTTCAACAGGAGAAAGACTGCCGTTCACTATTTGCTGCTTACTCTTAGGACTCATTCGGAAAGCTGGGGTAGTTGAGAGACAATCTTAAGCATTTGATGCAAACTTTCAGAATTCTTTTTGACATGACCTTGAGGTTTGAAAGCTAGGAGTCTAAGGAGCCCAGGAGCCAAGAAACCTGGGATAGGTGCCGTCAGTTAGCCATCCTCCTAGCTGTGGTGGCTTTGCGCTAACACCCTTCCCAGTGTGGACAGAGGGGTGGCTCAGTGGCAGCTATGGGATCAGGGTTAGGTGACTCGGTATACTCTCATTTAAAAACCCACAGTAATTCAATACCCAAACTCAGGAAGAATATTTTCTGTTTCAGGGGGATCTGTGAAAATGTGCAGCTGTTACTCAGGGCCATTTTCATAGCAGCATCCTGCAGAAGTAGATTGGTGGTGTCTCCCTTCCTCCCTTAACCTCCTGCCTAAGGTCCCAGAATTGCATCATAACATCTATTGAGGAATTTCAGATGATGAAGGTACTGATGGAACACATCCTATTTATTCATGGAGACAGTGCAGCAAGGACTGCAACTAGAGGGTCATTTAAGTTACAAGGCTACGTGACTCCATAATAGAAAATTGAGAAAAGCATACTATTCATTTCTGGTAAGGTTCCAAGCCAGGCTCGTCAAGCTATTACTTGTATTTTGTACTTACATGAAATGAAAAAGCTAAAGAAAGGTAAATTTTAAAAAATTGCTCTAATGCTGAGGATCTGAAATCACTACTCTTCTTTATACACATTATCCAATGCCAGATTACGTCCACGGGGGAGAAATTACTCAGAAACTTGAAAATTGTGCTTCTGTTTTCATGTCAATTCTCAAGGCTGATACTAAGAGAAAAGGTGACTTCGGAAGCCTTACTACGTGGAAGCGTGAAATGTGATAAATCTTTCAAGAAATACAAGTACGCTTTCATTTACCAACCATTACAAGGCAGGCAGAAATGACTAACTTGGGGGAATTGAAGGAATAAACCAAAACGTAATTCATCAGACAGGCTTCCCCTACAGAAACACAGTCAGGGGTAGTGGGTGGTTTTTCTGAGCCACCCAGATACCAGCCTCATCCTGGCTGGACCCACGTCTTTGTCCACATTCGCCACTTCCTGAAGCAGCTGTCTGCTGAACACCAGCAACACGCCAACCCTGTGGCTACTTCGGGGATGGAGTGGAGAATGGGCAGAAGTGAGCCTTGCTCTCAGGGGGCTTCTAATGGAGTAGCGGAGAAAGATATTTTTAAAATACATAAATAAACGTGTCAACAACTTGTGATAAGAGCTACAAAAGAAAAAAGAAGACGACGGGGCTATGAATGAATACCGGAGGGCCTTGGTGGTGGTCGATCCAGGGTAGCTGGGCCAGCAGAGGCCTATGTGAGGAGGTGACACTGGAGTGACACCTGAGGACTGGGGAGTCGGCAGGTGAAAAACAAACAGGGCAGGATGGGGATGGAGGGAGGTGGTGGGGATGGGGGGAGGTGGTGGTGGTGGTGGTGGGCTCACAGGGAGAAGGAATTCCGAGTGTTTGTTTGAGAGACCACACCCCTGCATCCTCTTTCTCTCAGTCTATGTCTCTCTCTCTGTCTCTGTCTCTCTCTCTTTCTTTCTCTGTCTGTCCCTCTCACCCAGCCCTGCAGCTCCCTTACTTGAAGGGACACTGATCCTATGACCAGAGGACTGAGGCACTGGTGGGTGGGTAGGGAGCCTCTCATGAGAGAAACACAGGGAAGGTGGGAAGGGAGATCCTGGGCTTTGCAGGGAAATGGGAGATGAAGGAGAAAGGGGGTGAGGTCCAGCCACTGCCACCCGCACAACTCCTCAGAGCGGACTCTTTCAGAAAGCTCGCCCTGAGTATCTCCTGGGTGCCAGCCCTGGGGGCATGGATGTCATCCTTGCTGTCTCCCTCACTCCTCACCTCCAGGTTGCCAAGTCCCATGGGTTCTAATGTCCTTATCGACATCCCTTGACTCCCCCACGACTTTGTTCCATCCCTTGGCTACTGTACTGGAGCAGGTACCACCATCCTTCTCCACAACGACTGCAATACAAATATTTAGAAAATAAATGCATTGGCAGGACTTGCTATTGAGAGAAATCCTGCTGTGTACCCACATAGAAATTATGGTTTCTTTTTCAAGTGGAGCCGGCTTTTTGTATAAAAGCTGGATCTGCCTATTTCTAAGCCAGCCAAGGCAAGGGATGCAGACTCCTAAAGCTGGGCCTTCTGAGCTGCCTTCTCTTGGCAAATTTCCCTATTACATGCAGCTCAGCGATCTGGTTTAGTCCTTCCCGAGTCTGTGCTATCCACACCAGCCATCCCTGACCATTGGTCTTTCAACTTGTTTAAAGTTACACTAGATTTATGTAATAGGAGCTTTTGCTTTTCCCTCCATCCCTGGCCATGTACCCATAAACTCACTGTTTCCAGCGAAGCTCCGAAAAACCGCTAGAGAGCCTCAGGCCAGGATGGTCTGTCCAGACCCACAGTTCTGCACCTCTCCAGACCTTGTGGGACAATTGATGACCCTCTGAGGCACTGTACACTCACTAAGCCATGGTCAGAGTTCTGATGTTTGAGGAGCTTTTCCACAGCAAATGTAGCCTTGTCAGTGGGCAGTCTGTGTACACTACAAATCAAGTGTTTTTCCAAGGGATAGCAAACATGGAGGGGCACTGTGCCTGGGTGCCATAGCTGGGCGGGCCCAACCTCAGGAGGGTGCCTTTTCCCCACAGCTGATGATGCCAGGGAGGCCTGTGGTCAGGAGAACTGGAATTCTTATTACCACACAGCCTATAGTGGGCAAGGGGGGCTCCACATTCATTCTTGTTTTTTGAGACGGAGTCTCGCTCTGTTTCCCAGGCTGGAGTGCAGCGGTGTGGTCACGGCTCACTGCAACCTCTGCCTCCCAGGTTCAAGCAATTCTCCTGCCTCAGCCTCCCAAGTAGCTGAGATTACAGGCACACGCCACCACACCTGGCTAATTTTTGTATTTTTAGTAGAGATGGGGTTTCACCATGTTGGCCAGTCTAGTCCTGAACTCTTGACAGGTGGTCCACCCACCTCGGCCTCTCAAAGTGTTGGGATTATAGGTGTGAGCCACAGCGCTGGGCCTCCAAATTCATTCCTTTTTTTTTTTTTTTTTTGAGACAGAGTCTCGCTCTGTCACCCAGGCTGGAGTGCAGCGGCGCGATCTCAGCTCACTGCAAGCTCCGCCTCCCAGGTTCACGCCATTCTCCTGCCTCAGCCTCCCGAGTAGCTGGGACTACAGGCGCCCGCCACCACACCCGGCTAATTTTTTGTATTTTTAGTAGAGATGGAGTTTCACTTTGTTAGCCAGGATGGTCTCGATCTCCTGACCTCGTGATCCTCCTGCCTCAGCCTCCCAAAGTGCTGGGATTACAGGCGTGAGCCACCGCGCCCAGCCTCCAAATTCATTCTTAACCAAAATAAGAATGAATGACCATGACCCCTTTAACAATTGGCTCTCATTCTCATATAAACTGATTTACAAACATCTTCAAGTCACGAGTGCTTGAAGAGTCTTTAAGCACACTTCTCAACCCAAGAACAAGACTTTTTATATGCAATTAATGTCATTATGACCCTCTCTTTAAAAAAGGTGGGCTGTTGCAGTCCAACAATGGGTTAGTCAAAGATGATTATAAAAATCAGGATCAAGGACAAATGAGGCTCTACACATGAAAACAATGTGGCGTGGCGTGGTGGCTCTGTGGGAACTCCAAATTTGGCTTGGAATTCCTGGTATATGCAGGACAACAAGGAAAACACCAAATATGCTAAAGGGAAAGTAAAACAAAGGGGGCCACTGATGGAATTACAGGGAACGGATTCTAACATAAGGTATGGCCTTCCCTAGGAAGGCTGTGTGTATTGGCCTGCTTGGAGGAATGGCTGGAATATAGCAGGGACTCAATAGCCTATTCTCCAGTCTTGACTTATGACCACATAAGACCTTCCTAGGCCGGGCATGGTGGCTCATGCCTGTAAGCCTAGCACTTTGGGAGGCCGAGGCAGGTGGATCATGAGGTCAGGAGTTTGAGACCAGCCTGGCCAGCATGGTGAAACCCCATCTCAACTAAAAATACACAAGTTAGCCAGGCATGGTGGCACATGCCTGTAGTCCAAACTACTCAGGAGGCTGAGGCAGGGGAATCGCTTGAACCCGGGAGGTGGAGGTTGCAGTGAGCCGAGATCGCGACACTGCACTCCAGCCTGGGTGACAGAGTGAGACTCTGTACCAAAAAAAAAAAAAAAAAAAAAAAAAAAGACCTTCTTAGCGTTGGCTTTCTTGCCTACAGCCTCTGAATAAAAACTACGTTCCAACTCCTTTCATAAAAAGATTCATTTTAGTGGGCTTTGAGTTTTTGAAGAAAGGGGTCACATACAATTTTTTGTGTGTGGAAATGTTTAATGCCCACAGCTAAAGTAGTGAGGCAGTGGACTGAACCCTGCTGAAGATAGTACCTAATACGGAGGCCAGATGATGACTGGACCCAAATCCGACTTCAGTGTTCTTGGGCTCAGTATACTCCTGAGATGTTCCTGATCCATGAAGCCGCCTTCAGGAATTCTTTCTGCAGCCTTTCACCTGAGGAAAACGTTGGTGACGATGACCATTCTAGAATACAATCAGGTTTCTATGTTGTACAAGTAGGTGAACTTTTGCTGTGGAAATTTCCACCTGGAGCCAAGAGAATTCTGTGATTTTCCCCTGCAGGCAGATGCCTTTAAAAGGCAGATCAA
Organism: Homo sapiens; assembly: GCF_000001405.40. Classification (NCBI taxonomy): domain Eukaryota; kingdom Metazoa; phylum Chordata; class Mammalia; order Primates; family Hominidae; genus Homo; species Homo sapiens. The sequence continues at coordinate 99,148,865 of NC_000015.10, forward strand.
TAATACGGTTTCCTTTTCGGTGATTTAATCCTGCTGTGTGTGTGCCTTGTTTCCCAGGCCTTCCTGTTTTTTGTTTTTCAGGCCTGTGGGTCCATGCCTGGACCATTCAGTGCAGGAGGGTACATCTGGAAAAGCCACTGTTCAGTGGGTTCCTGCTGCTGAGTTGAAAACTTAGGGGAGGCAGCTGCTGCTGTGATAAACACGAGAGCCACCGTCGCCGGGTGGTGCTTAGCTCTAGGAACTGCTGGCTTCACAGAGCTGAATGCTAAATATGGCATTTGAGAAACTCCAGTCAGCAGCAGATGTGAAAAGCATGTTTCAAGTCCCCATTTGTGCCCTGGTATTCACAGAGCAGTCAGCCTGTCCTCACATAGGTACATGTGGAGGAGTGGAGATCAGAACTGCACGCACCACAGTGCACAACCTTCAGAAATACGAGTGCCCATCATTTCTCTTGGAGCCTGGCAAACAGGTGTCTTTAAGATGCCAATGCCATTGTTTTCAGGACTGATGGTAAACAAGGCCAAACCAAAGGAAAAAGGGGTCACCAGCTTCTACCACAGGCTTTGGGGTGATGCACCCTTAGAGTTTCTTGAAGCCGAGCTGATTTTTAGCCTCTAGGGTGGCAGTGTGGCCCAGAGCAGTGATTCTCAGCCTCCGCCTGGGAAACTGGCCAACATGCAGAACCCTGGGCACCTGGCCCCTGCCCCAGAGACTCTGGTTCAGAAGGTGACCCTGATGCAGGGGCTTAAGATGCACACTTGGTGAGCCACTGGCATAGAGTAAAGAGTCGGGCCTTATATAAGAACAACCTGCCCACAGACCACTGGCTTACTTCTGGGAGCCTCAGGCCCCTTCTCTGTTTAACAGAGCTATGCAGGTCTGACCTGCGGAGTTGCTGTGAAGATGAGGAATGATGTATGAGCCACACCTGGCAGCAGTGAGTGTACGGTGGGGCACATGGTACCAGTTCAGTCCCACTGGGAGCCAGCAGTGACAGTGTGAAGGTCTGTGTGGTCCTGTTCAGCCCTGCTCAAGTTTCTGTGTATCTCTCTTATCATTTGCCACCCCCCTCTATTCTGAGGTCCTTCCCCTGCCTGGGGTGCAGTGGCTGGGCTGAACCCTAGGAAGAGTTTTTCCAGATGTCATCTACCTTCTTCATGGGATAAGTGAGGAGGGGGAAGGAAAGCAGGTATTCCCAGTGGCAGGCAATGCCTTGGCTCTGCGTTTTCCTCTCTCCTGCAGAGGTGCTGATGGTTGGAAAAGCTTCCCAGCGGCCTGCAAGGCCTGCACGTAGGCAGTCTCCAGTGCTCATTAGAACAGCCTCACTCAGTTCATCTCATTCGATCCCTAAAACTGTGGGATGGAAGGAGGACAAAGAAAACTGAGTCCTCTTGTCTCCATTCTTGGTCCACTCCATTCCATCCTCAACACTATCCTCATAGTGATTTAAAAAAAAATTCCAAAGGACAACTCTAGACCCGTTGTGCCCTGCTTATTAGCATTCCCTCCAAGCTCCCAGCTGCTTAGAGCAAGGCTCAAAAAATTTTCTGCAAAGGGCCATATGGTAAATATTGTAGACGTAATAGTCCAAGAGACAAAGTTGAGGCTACTAGGTAGGTGCAGCACTTATATAACAAGAGAGAAGACAAATTTCCACAAATTTCTTCTGATGAAATTCAAGATACAATAATAAGCACATTTTTTGGGGCAATATAGTTCTATATAGTTCTACTAACAAGAAAAATAGATTCATTTTGGGGGGAGGATAACCTTTCACTTACTTGAAGTTCAAAGTTAGTGTTCCCTATCATCAAATGGGTTGCAAATGATCATGTGTAAAAAACGTTTAACTTGAGGGCCACACAAAAGCAGGTGGAGGGCTGCATTTGGCCTGTGGGCCATAGTTTGGGACCCTTGCTTAAAGGATCAGGTCTCAGCCCCTTCACCTGGCAAACCTGGTCTTAGGCATTTGCCCTGCACCTCTCCCACCAGCAACCCTACAGCCAGCCAGCTCCAACTGCTTTTTGTTCCTTAGATGTACTTTGCTGTCTTGCCTCTGAGCGTCCTTCTTCCAACCCACCAGCCTGGGAATTCCTGTTTCTCTTAGCCTATACTGTTTTTTTTTCAGGGCTACTTATCTGGACACTTTCCCTAAATCTCTTCACTCCCGTAGATCCCAGTATGGACCTGCCGCATGGAACTGAGCACTTGGGAGGTTACCGTCTGTAACTCCCTCATTGGTCTGGGACATTTTTAAGGGAAGGGGCTACTTCATTCCTGTTGTATTCATTGCACATGTGCCAAAAACAGGGAGGGATGCTGGCAACCCTGTCCCAGGTCTTCTGACTATAGGATAGTGTTTCCTGTGCCACCTCCACCCCAGGCCACCCAGTTACCTTGGAAGCACCATGTTTTTATAGCTTACCACTCTCCTGGCCTTGGCTGACTGAGCCAGGGGTGGGCCCTGGATTCAAGCCAGGCCCGTCAGTCTTTCCCTGAGGTCTTTGAGGTCTTTCAAGCTGAGAAAAGAAAAGGCACAGGGACAGAAAGTAAAACTCTGGAGTGTTGCCAGCCTTGATCTTCACCTTGAGGGAAGACATTGCCATGAGAGATGAGGAAGATGTGCAGAGAGGAGCAAGGAGAAGTCCTGGACAGAGAGCGCCCTCCTGGCATGAGAGTCTAGCTGAGGCTCAGCTGCATCCTGCCGGCGAATCACTGGCTGTTGGCCCTTATTTGGAAACCACAAGACAATAGATGCCCCTTTATACCTGAGCTAGTTTCAACTGTATTCTGTCAGTGACAACCCAAAGACTCCTACTGTCCCAATCTTGGCATTCTCCCCACTGTGCCATTCGCTTCCAAACATTTTTTAAGCTCAGGGACCCCTTGTTCAAAAACAAGTCTTGGAATTCCACGATGTGAAATAGATGGCCCTGTAGTATACACTGTGCGATGCCGACCACCTGGCCAACATGGCGAAACCATCTCTACTAAAAATACAAAATATCTCCACTCCAACAACTCTGAGCCACGAGATCAAGGCCAAGACACGTCTCTCTCAGCCTCAGTTTCCCTCTTTATAAAATACAGAGTACAGGTACCCAAGTGATATAGTTTGTATATTTGTCCCCACCCCAATCTCATGTTGAATTATAATCCCCAATATTGGAGGTGGGGCCTGGTGGGAGGTGACTGGATCCTACAGGTGGGGATTTCTCATGAATGTTTAAGCACTATCCTCTTAGTGCTGTCCTCACGATAGTGAGTGAGTTCTCATGAGATCTGGCTGTTTAAAAGTATGTGGCACTTCCCCATTCTCTCTTGCTCCTGCTTTCCCCATGCGACGTGCCTTCTCCCACTTTGCCTTCTGCCGTAAGTAAAAGCTCCCTGAGGCCTTCCCAGAAGCTGAGCAGATACCAGCATCATGCTTGCACAGCCTGCAGAATCGTAATCCAATTAAACCTCTTTTCTTTATAAATTACTCCATCTCAAGTATTTCTTTTTCTTTTTTTCTTTTTCTTTTGAGATGGAGTCTTTCTTGCTCTGTGCCCCAGGCTGGAGTGCAGTGGCATGATCTCGGCTCACTGCAACCTCTGCCTCCCGAGTTCAAGCGACTCTCCTGCCTCAGCCTCCCCACATAGCTGAGATTACAGGTATGCGCCAGCAGCTAATTTTTGTATTTTTAGTAGAGACGGGGTTTCGCCATGTTGGCCAGGCTGGTCTCTAACTCCTGACCTCAGGTGATCTGCCCAGCTCAGCCTCCAAAGTGCTGGGATTACAGGCATGAACCACCACGCCTGGCCTCAGGTATTTCTTTATAGCAATGCAAGAATGGCCTAATACACCACCTCTTAGGGTTACTGTAGGGGTTAAATGAGTTAATATACACGAATCACTTAACATGGTGCCACCGGTGTAACAACCACTCAAAAAGCACTGGATCTTTTTTTTACAGGGTCTCACTTTGTCACTCAGGGTGGAGTGCAGTGGCATGATCTCAGCTCTCTACAACCTCTGCCTCCTAGGTTCAAGCGATCCTCCCACCTCAGCCTCCTGAGTAGCTGGGATTACAGGCGTGTGCCACCATGCCCAGCTAATTATTTGTATTTTTAGTAGAGACAGGGTTTCGCTGTGTTGGCCAAGCTGGTCTCGAACTCCTGGTCTCAAGTGGTCTGCCTTCCTTGGCCTCCCAAAGTTCTAGGATTACAGGCATGAGCCACCGTGCCTGGCCAGCACTGGCTCTTACTATATGGAGGTGACACATGGGCAAACGCAGGGAACCTGCCACCCTCAGCTTCCGTCTCACCTCTCCCTCACTAAAATGTCTTTGGCATATGGGTAATGTTTAAATTATTAAAAATGATTGATTTAATATATTTCTTCCTGGCTAGACTGGGAACTCACAAAGACAAGGTTCATATTTGTCTTGGTCACAGTTTTCCCCCAGGTCTGGCTAGCACATGACTGGCCTATTGAAGGTGCCAAGTAACTATTTACTACCTAACTGATAGCAGATACGTGTCATCTCATTAACAAAGAGGTGTCACACGTGTTACCAAATCTACTGTCTTTTGCAGCAGAATCAGAAAAATCATAAGAGAAAAATACTCGATTTATAGGATAGCCCCTCAGAACTAGTTAATTCTTTTGGTTTGATTAATTATGTTACTTACTTAGGGTTTCCCAGGTTTTCCCCATTTTGAAACTAATTAATGTAATGAAAACATATGATGTAACTTATGAGATACATTTAGAACAATAAGAGAAAATTTCATATTCATAAACAGATTAATAAAATGAAAACAAATGAATTAAATTCCCAACTCATAAACACAGAAAAAAATTTCAACAGAGCAAAACAAAATAAGGTACAAGGACAGAAATAATAAAGATAAAATCAGAAATTAAGGAAGTAGAGAATAGGATTTATGGGATTAAAGTCCTGGCTCTTTGAAAAAATTAACACAATAGACAAACTAAGTCAAGGAAAAAGAGAGAAAACCCAAATATAAAACTAAGAAATTATAATGGGAAGATAACTGTTAAAAAGTAGAAAGATTTAAAATTCACGAGACCACTTTTCAAATCTCCATGCAAATAAATCTGAAAATATAAGTGAAATGGATAATTATCTAGAAAAATACGGTTTGCCAAAATGACCCCATTAGGGACAGAAAGCTTCAACAGATCACTTTTTGTAAAAGAAATAGAGAAAATTGTCAAGGAATTTCCCTACAAAAGAAGCAGCAGGTCTAAAGGATGTCACAGAAGACATAAACCTCCAAAGAATGCGGAGTTTCAATGCTGCATAAATTCTTTCAGTGCATGAAAGATAAGGTGAACTTCCAAATTATTTTTATAAGCAAATATAACATTGATCCTTAAACAAATAATACATACAAATATTGGCACAAAAATCCTAAAATAAATGTTAGCATACAGAATCAACATCTGCTATGGTTTGAATGTGCCTCCCAAAAAGCATGTGTTGGAAACTTAATCCAAAATGCAACACCGTTGAGAGATGCAGCCTAATGAGAGTGGATTAGGCCATGAGGACTCTGCCCTCATGCATAGATTAATGCTGTTATCTTGGGAGTGGTTTGGTTATGAAAGGCTGAGTTTGGCCTCCTTTTCTCTCTCTCATTTCCTTTTGCTTTCTGCCAAGGGATGATGCAGCAGGAAGGCCCCTGCCAAATGCCAGTCCCTGGATCTTGGACTTCCCAGGCTCCAGAATTAAAATAAATAAATTTATTTTCTTTATAAATTACCTAATCTCCGGTAGTGTGAAATAAGTTTATTTATTGTGATTTATTTAAATGATCTAAGAAGAACCATCTGATAATCTCCACTGATGCTGAAAAAGCCTTTGGTAAAATTCCACATTTAGTTCTAATTAAAAAAGCACTCACGGTAATAGAAATTGATGGATACTTTCTTAACATGATAAAATATATAAACCTTAGTTCTAAAACCAGCATCTATTAAATAAAGAATCACTAGAGGCATTTACACTAAGATCAGGAACATGGCAAGGATGCCCATTATCTCCACTACTGTTTATTATTATATTGGAGGTATAAGTCAATGCAGTTAGACAAAAGAAATAAATTGGAGGCATAAGAACTGGAAAGCATAAAGTAAAACTAAGTGTATTTGCAGATAATGTAATAGAATACCCCCAAAACCTGGGAGACTCAATGATTGAATTAACTCAAGCAATGAAAGAATTAAGCAATTAGCAGGATATAAAATTTACACAGAGAAACCAACTGGGTTCATATATTAAAAAAATCAAAAGATATAACAGTAGATAAATCTCCATTTATAATAGTAATAACGAAGATCAAATGGTTAGAATTAAACTTAATAAGAAATATACAAAACCTATATGAAGAACGCTTTTGGATGTGCCTGAAAGATACAAAAGTAGGAATGAAGAAATGGAAAGATATCCCTTGTTCTTGGATAGAAAAACTCAATATCACAAAGTTGTCAATTCTCACAAGATTTATTTATAAATAATGCAATAAAAATACTAGTAAGCTCTTTATGGAGTTAGACAAATTGATACAAAAATTCATGTAGAAAAATAAACACGGAAGAATAGCTAGAACACCTGATATTCTAGTAAAAGAAAAGCCATAAGGGGTGTCTACTCCTATCACATATTAAATCATTCTATAAAATCTCTGTAATTAAAACTGAAATATTGACACATGAATAAACAGAAAGACTAGTGGAAGAGAAGAGAAATCTAGAAATAGACTTAAGTCCATAAGGAAAATCAGTATATGATGAAGGTGTTATCTGAAGTCACTGGAGCATAGATGGGCTCTCTAATTAAATGGTGCTGGACAACTGGGTGGCCATTTGGAAAAAAGGTAAGATTAGATCCATTCCTCATGCCATCCACACAAATAAACTCCAAATTTAAAGAAGAATGACAATTGAAGAAAGTGTAAGAGAATTCCTCTATAAACTCAGTATAGAGAGAGCACCGCAAACATAAAGGACTGATCAATTGTACTACGTAAAAAATTAAAAATATTTGCATAGTAAAAACTGATAATTCATTTAAAAAATATGTATGTCTAAGAGGCTTACTATGTCTTTTACCCAAAAAGTATCAGGTTAGATCTACCACAAAAGTGATGTCATCCTATCTAAACAAGCCACTTCTAAAGTTTCATTTAAAAGAACCACCACAAGGGAGAGAAATTGACCTTGGAGAGGGGAGGGAGAGCCTAGTCTCGTGTTAGTACTGGTTCCAGCTTTACCTTCTTCAGTTTCTTGCGGGCCCCACTGTGGTTCCCCTGCGCCAGGTCTGCTCCTCCCAGGAGCCGGTATGTCTCTGCCACCTCGGGACTGAAATCGCCAAATGCTTCCACTTTGGCTTCCAGGGACTCTCTCAGGATCGAGGTTGCTCTCTGTGAAAGGAACAAAAAGCTATCTGGTTAACAAGCTCAAAGGCTGATTAGGATCATTACGCAACTTGTAACATTTTCACATGGGTGTGGTAGTCTCACGAGCTGAGCCTGTTCTCCTCTTGTATTAGTCCATTCTCATGCTGCTATGAAGAGATACCTGAGACTGGGTAATTTATAAAGCCAAGAAGTTTAATTGACTCACAGTTCCACATGGGTGGGGAGGCCTCAGAAAACTTACAATCATGGCAGAGGGCACCTCTTTCATAGGGCAGCAGGAGAGATAAGTGCTGAGCAAAGGGGGCAAAGCCCCTTATAAAACCATCAGATCTTGTGAGAATTCAGTCACTATCGCAAGAACGGCATGGGGGTAACCGCACCCATGGTTCAATCACCTCCCACAGGGTCCCTACCATGACACATGGGTATTATAGGAACTATAATTCAAGACGAGATTTGGGTGGGGACACAGCCAAATCATATCACCTCTGGTTGAACAAGAGTCAGGAAACAACACGAATGTGAGGAAAGGTGTAAACTATGAAGAGAGAGGACACCTGGCAAAATAAACCCACTCAGCCATTACAGGAATCCATTTCAGTTGAGTAGTAAGAACAAAAGCTGACATGGATCAGTCCTCACATGTCACTAATTGTGCTGAACACACACAATTGTGTGGGTCTCATTTAATTTTTGCTGTCTTCTTTAGATGGGTAAAATTTTAATCCTCATTAGGCAGAGGAGGAAACAGGCACGGCAGTTAAGAAACTTGCTCAGAGTCAGAGGGCTCAGCTGTGGTGGTGCTAGGATCTGAATCCAGCCAGTGATCTTCATACCTTTTTTTTTTTTTTTTTTTAAATCCGTCTCACCGTCTCAGCAGATCTTCCATTTTACAACAGCAGGTGGAAATCTGGAGGTTTTTTTTTTTTTTTTTTTAGACAGAGTCTCTCTTTGTCTACCAGCCTGGAGTGCAGTGGCATGATCTCAGCTCTCTGCAACCTCTGCCTCCCAGGTTCAAGCGATTCTCCTGCCTCATCCTCCCAAGTAGCTGGGATTGCAGGCGCCCACCACCATACCCAGCTAATTTTTGTATTTTTAGTAGAGACAGGGTTTCACCATGTTGGCCAGACTGGTCTTGAACTCCTGACCTCAAGTGATCCACCCACCTTGGCATCCCAAAGTGCTGGGATTACAGGCGCGAGCCACAATGCCCAGTCTAATTTTCATACATTTTAGTCCCATGCTTTTCTCCCTCTGTCCACAATGCTATTCTTACAGAAGTGAAAATATAGCATTCCTGGGCAAATTATCTATGTATAGAACATCCTGAACACACTCCAGGCTTGGCTATTCTCATAGGAAATCGTTTAGGAAACTGAAAGTAAACATTCCAACATGACATGACATTTTGTTTGGTTTATCCAATTTATTTATACTAACATGGAATAAAAATTATGAATTGGTCAGGACATAGTATTTCCTGATATTAGCTTCTTCAGACACCAAAATATGCAGGGGGAAACCCTGTTAAAGTATGTCAATCCTCCATACTTTCTCCAGAAATTCTTCCACGATCTTCCACATGAAGGCACGACATCAGCTGCAGAGCATGGATGCTGAATTTAACTGGCAAATACAGCAGGGACCATGGGAGCTTCCTCATGACACAGCCCCAAAGGGGTCCCAAAAGTGCTCCACAAACAGAAGGACAAGGAGGGCGTTTAATCCTTTTGTTGGCAATAATACAAGTTAGGGGATAGGGCCGGGGTAGGGGAACCACATTACAGGTGCTGATGAGGCAGAAATAAATTTCTCAGGTGAAAGAGGAATCTCTGTAGAGGCAGAGTGATTGTGTAACTCAGCAGTGAGGCCCCACTGAGGTACATGAGGGACTAGAATTTAAATCTAGACTTGCCTGAGGGTAAAGCCCATCACATCTCCCAAGTTCTGAGAGCAAGGACTTGGACTGCTGAGAGTGCTGGGTTTGGTGATATTTCTGTGGGAAAATATCACTGTCAGACTTAGAGGAGCCAGTGATGGGGAGAAGACCCGGGGAGACTCCCTTTCCCAGATAAAGCTTTGGATGCCGCCTACAGCCTGACTGCGGAAACGGGGAGATGTGAAGGAAGTTAAATGGCACGGGTTTCTAGGAAACTGAGATAGTATCAACCTCTGCTAGGAAAAGCTTAAGAGAGAGGAGTGAAGAGTAAAGAGGACTTAGGTGGGATGAGAAGAGGGTATGGGCCACTGGGAGCACAGGAGGAACACATGGCCTGTTGAGGGCCAGTGAGTGGCCAGGCTGAGGAAGTCACAGAAGATTCTTGAGCAAAAGAGTGGCACAACTAGAAGACAAACCCTCACGGAGTAGCTTAACCTGTGGCAGAGTGACCTTCACTTACATTTTACCTTAAAAGGCATTTCATCCCTCAAATATCATGTTCCACAGTGCCCATGGCCATGTGCTGTGGGAACACCTGGGATGGCCTGAGCACAGCCCCATTCTTGGCTCCGGGACTGTCCCTGGGCCCGGCCCTTGTTGGCCAACACCTGCTAGAACCCACAGTGAGAGGTTTGCAACCAAATGGTGAGAACAGCATGAGACTGCCATGTTTGGCTGGGCAGGTGGTGCCACACACAAGGGTGCCTGGCAGGAGCATGGGGAGGGCTGAAATCCAGCCTATGGTCCTCTCCAACATGGGCGGTATCTACCTGAGGAAGGGGCAGCTTTTTCTATTATGATAAGGGCATTGGATGGGCTGGCAGTGGCCCTAGAATGAAAAGAGCCAGTTTGCTAAAATCTTCGAGGGCAGCTTAGGAGAGTGAGGTGCATCTTTTGATCAACACTGATCTGGGTGACTTGGGCAAGGGCAGTGAGGCATAGCATCAGTGACACTGAGCATTGGCTGACTCAGCAAGACACTATGGTGGGAAGCCAGGCAGTACAGGGGAACTGATGCATGGCCCACAGGAGTCAGAACAGTCAGCTGGCCTGTGGCCAAACATGCATCCACCTCTCTGCTCATCACTCCTCACCACAGGCAAGAGGGTCTCTGCTTTCACAGGTTCGGTCTAGTTGCAAGATAGATGTTAAATATCCACATGAATATATACTTACAAATATTTGATGACATCAAATGGATTCTCTAAGGAAGAATAATGGGGAGTATCTAATGAAGCCTGGGGAGAGGAATCAGAGAAGCTGGTAAGAAATGAAGAATGGGTTAGCATTGGCCTGGAGATGAATGAGGAAGGGCCTTCCAGGAGGAGGAAACAGAAGCTGGCACTGCCCGGAAGTGGGAATTAGAAAAGGCCAGTGTGGCAGGAACATGGATCAGGGAGAGGAGGCAAAAATGAGCCTGGAAATGTCAGTGGAGTCCAGGTCGTGGACGGTACTGTGGGCCATGTCAGGATTCTGGTTTATCCTGAGGGCATCGGGGAGCCAGTGGACTGGCTTTTACAAGTGAGTGTTCAGTGGTCAGATCTGCTTTTTGGAAACATCACCATGGCTTCCTTATTCTGAGTGGATTAGAAGAGGGCAAGCATGGAAAAAGCAGCTGAGAGATAGGAACTTGTTAGAGCGGTCCAGGCAAGAGATGATGAGTGGCAGGACTAAAGATGGAAAACAATGGATGCATTCAAGATCTATTTTGGAGGAAAAAATGGCTGAGGAACTAGATGGAGTGGGGCATGAGGGGGCAAACCTACCCCATTATTCTGACCTGAGCACTCCCCTTGTCTTCTAGAGATGTGAGGGGGGAATGGGGAGGGAGTCTGAGGCCCCTGGAAGGCCCCTCTCTCTCCCTGGGGTTGGGTGACTGAGAAACATCCTGAAACTCCAATTTGTCCTGGTGATTGTGGCCCTACTTTGGCCTGAGAAACATAGGTATATCGGCATAAAAGCCCGTGTTCCCTAGCTGACAGAAGGCGGGGGTGGAGGGGGGATTAAGGATGAGAAAAGAGCTGTGGGGGAGGAGGTCTACAGACGGTAAGGGAAATAAAGTTTTTCATTTCCAAGATTTGCCATGATAGGTTAGAGTTGAAAAAAATACATAGTCAGCCCTCCATATCCATAGATCAAAAATTATATGGGAAAAAACAATAAAAATAACAATACAACAATAAAAACAATACAAATAAAAAATACAGTGTAACAACTACTACCATAGCATTTACATTGTATTAGGTATTATAAGCAATCTAGAGATGATATAAAGTATTCAGGAGGCTTTGTCTAGGTTATATACAAATGTGACACCATTTTGTACAAGGGCTTGAGCATCCTTGGAGTTTGATATCCTTGGGGGCTCTGGAACCAATCCCCCACAGATACTGAGGAACAACTATATATATATGTGTGTGAGTGTGTATATATGTATGTATGTATGGTTTTCTAGGAAATTGAGATGGCGTTAACCTCTGATAAGAAAAGCTTAACAGAGGCCGGGCGCAGTGGCTCACGCCTGTAATCCCAGCACTTTGGGAGGCTGAGGCGGGCGGATCACGGGGTCAGGAGTTCAAGATCAGCCTAGCCAAATGGTGAAACCCCAACTCTACTAAAAATACAAAAAAATTAGCTGGGCATGGTGGCGGGGGCCTGTAATCCCAGCTACTCGGGGGGCTGAGGCAGAAAATTGCTTGAACCCAGGAGGCGGAGGTTGCAGTGAGCTGAGATTGCACCACTGCACTCCAGCTTGGGTGACAGAGCAAGACTCTGTCTCAAAAAAAAAAAAAAAAAAACTTAACGGAGAGGAGTGAAAAGTAAACAGGACTTAGGTGCGCTGAGAAGAGGGTGTGGGCATACATGCACACATACATATATACATATATATGCACACACATATATATAATTGTTCCTATCTGTGGGCGATTGTATATATATATATGTATTAATATGTACACACACACACATATATAAAAACATAAAGCAATGGTATGTTAGGCTTTGCAGGGAATGCATTCCCAAGGGTTTAATTCCCAATGAATATAAGGTCTGGGTCTTGCTCTATTTTCATAAGCCACGTAAATCACGCTTGTACGAATCAATACTAAACAACTGAGCTGTAACTTCTGCACCGTATAGTTTTCCTTAGACATGCAAACTCCATTCATTACCCAAACTGAGGAGAGAGGGATTAGACACACTAACTGCCACACTATTCCAGCCAGATCTGCAGGACTTCAATAAGCAGGGCCTGTCCACTATTTCTTTAGGATCTTTTGTAGGTGGGCATGACAATCTATATTCTCATAAAGTCTCCCAGCTTCTAAGAGCAAGTATCTCTGGAAGCTGCCCCAAAGGAGCCCTAGCCTTATTTATGTGTCCCTCTAGAGACTGGCACATGCTTTGCACACAGTAGATGCTTAATGGATGCTTGCAGAGTAAAGGAGTTGCCCTTTGGATATCAACTGTGAATAACTAGACAATTGTGATCCAAACTCACTTACCTCTTTTTGTCCAGTCATTTGTAGAAAATGGCAAAATTCATCTTGAATTGAAAGAAATTTGGTTCTTCCCATCCCTTCAGAATCCTTAAGATGAGCCATGCTCTCTTGAAAATACTGCTCAGCTACATCTGAAGAAAAGCATTTATCATAACTTTGAAAACTGCTCACAGATTTGAAATGGAAACAGAATAAATATACTGTTAGCAGTGTTGAGCTATTTGGAAAGAGGTATTGGGACAAGAAAAAACAGTTAAGACTGTCCTTTGCCCATTAATCTGCCTGTTTCATTAGAAAGGATTTAGGTCTTGAAGGATACCGTAATTTACTTTCTTTAATTTTCATACATCTAGCTTTCCCGGTGATACATAAAGAAAAGTTACTGCAAAAGAAGAAACTATGCCCCACATCTGAACACACTGGTAAGTTTTCAGGTTGATCAACCACTAATTCTTCCTATAACTTTAGTTATAGGGTAACTATGACTTTACTGAGGGTAGGACTCTGAAAGTTCACTTATTTTGATGGATTTGGAGTATAATCTTGGTACATATTTCTAAAACATGAAAAATCTGGAAAATATTGCTGACATGCCGCTGAGGGAAGAAATCATTCAAAACCCCAATCATTCCAAATACTTCAACATACTGGTTATAATATAACACAAATATTTTTAAATGCATGCCAATCTTGAATGCAAGAAAAAGAAAACCTCAGGTATGGAAAATGACGAGAGAACTAAAAGCCAGAGAAGTGAGCGGGAGCTGAGGTTGAATGGCCCGTAAGCATATTAGAAAAAAGGTCCATCTACTAGTACTGGGGTTTTCTAAGCCTGAGCAGGACTAGGGATGAAGCCTGAGGCTCATTTGTGGTGGAAAGCTGAATAGGACTCCCTGCAAAAAGCTGGTGTGGCCGGCAGAATTCTAAGGTGACCCGTGGCCCTTGCCCTTGTGTAGTCCCTCCCCTGTGGTTATGGATGGAACTTGTGAGTATGAAGATATAGTTCTCCTGAGATGAGCTTATGTTATAGGGTACAGCTGACTTGAAGAAAACGAGATTATGGCCGGGGGTGGTGGCTCACACTTGTAATCCCAGCACTTTGGGAGGCCAAGGTGGGAGGATCGCTTGAGCCTGGAAGTTCAAGACCAGCTTGGTCAACATGGCGAAACAAAAAATAAACAATACCAAAAAAAAAAATTAGCCAGATGTGATGATGTGCACCTGTTGTCCCAGCTACTTGGGAGGCTGAAGTGGGAGGACTGTTTGAGCCCAGGAGGTTGAGGCTTCAGTGAGCTGTGATCATACCACTGTATTCCAGCCTGGGTAACAGAGCCAAGACCCTGTCTCAAAAAACAAACAAACAAACAAACAAAAACAACAACAACAACAAAAAACAAAACCAGAAAGATTATCCCCTGGGCCAGACTTAATCACAGGAGCCCTTTAAAAGCAGAGTTTTCTCTGGCTGGTAGCAGAAAAGGAAGTCATATTTATGGAAAGCATGACAGAGATTTGATGAGAAGGATTTTGCCTGCTGCTGAGATGGAGAGGGATATAGTGGAAGGACCTGAGCAAGAGCAGCCTACGGGAGCTGAGAGGGGTCACTGGCCACCAGCTCTCCAGAAAACAGGGACTTCAGTCCTACAGCTGCAAGGAACTGAACTGTGCTCATAACAGGAACGAACTTCAGAAAGCACCCCAACCTCCAGTTGAGAGTGGAGCTGGCCAACAATGCAATTTCAGTCTGAGCAGAGAAGCACGCCTTACCACACCAGACTTCTAACCTACAGAACTGCAAGGTAATAAATGGGTGAGTAAACAAATTTGTTACGCAGGAAATAAAATGAATACAGCCAGTGCTATAGTCTGAATATTTATGTCCCCCTCAAATTCATGTGTTGAAATCTAACCCCCATGGTGATGATAGTCAGAGGCAGGGCCTTTCAGAGGTAATTAAGTCATGAGGATGGCACCCTCATGAATGGGATTAGTGTCCTTATAAAATACACCATCAGAGAGTTTCCTCACTCCTTCCACCCTGTGAGGACACAGTGAAAAGATAGCTGTCTATGAACCAGGAAGCAGGTCAGGCACCAAATCTACCAGAGCCTTGATCTGGGACTTTCCAGACTTCAGAACTGTGAGAAATACACTTCTGTGGTTTATAAGCCACTTAGTCTATGGTGTTTTGTTACAGCTTCCCAAACACTAAGACAGCCAGGAATCTCTAAAATGAAGATAAGAACAATTGCACTGGTTCCAGGTGTGGAATTAAGGGTGTCTATCCAGAGGTTCTGACTAGAAAAAGAATACCTGAAATAAGCATATATGTAGTCTGAATGTGTACCACCTACTTGGTCTGGAAATCCTGAACCAAGAAACCAGCACAGAAACTAGTCTGAAACTGGAAAAATCACAGGGCTCTAGCACAGGGGTTGGCAAACTTATTCTGTAAAGGACAGGATGGTAAATATTTTAGGCTTTGCAGGCTGTATGATCTCCATTGTTGCTATTCAACTCTGCTGTTGTAGCATGAAAGCAGCCGTAGACAATACATAAATGAATGAGCATAACCATGTTCCAATAAAACTTTATTTACAAAAACAGGTGGTGAGCAAATTTGGCCCATGTGCATAAGTTTGCTGCCCCTACCCTACAAGAGGAAAATGCGAAGGCTTCCTCCCCAAAGAGACATGGGACTCCCACAGAAGCACCTGTTGAAGATAGCTTCAGGGTGACACATGACAAGCACATAAAGTCTGTTGGGGAAGATCATGACCCGTATATACAGTGGTCTACTTGACATTTCCACTTGGAAATATCATATTTATTATGGAGCACTGTACAAACCATTATCTTTTGCTTTTAGAAATTTCCTCAATATTTGGTTATTCCCTTCTATCATTTCTAGTTTTGCATTTGTACTTCCTCTCTGTTTTCTTGATTAGGCCAGCTAGTGTTTTATCTGTTTCATTATCTTTTCCAATGAATTGATTTGGATTTATTTTTCTCATTCTGTGACGGTAATGCCAGGTGCTTCCCAAGTGGCCTCCATGATCTTCAGGTACAGCTCTCTAGAACACACGAGGATCAAAAATCCAATCAGCCCCTGTAAAGTGTGCTGCTTCTTGGAGGCAGCAGGGTGAATGGGAAAGAGAGCAGGCTCTGGGCTTGCATTATCTAGGCCCAGATTCTGGCTCTGCCCCTTACAGCTGTGTGCCTTGCTGTGTTCCCCATCTGGAAAAGGGGACCATTATATTAATAACTCCCTTATAAGGAGGTATAAGGAGTAAACAGATTAATGCATATGAATAAATGATAACAGGACTGACATACAGTTGGTGCTCAATAAATGTTGATGATTTTAATTTTAGGGACAGTTTTGATAATTGTGGCTATGGGTCCCCATACTAGGCTGAAATAGCAGGCACACTGGAAGCAACAAGTGACAGAAATGGACATTGAGAGGACAGAAATGGACATTGAGAGGACAGAAACATGAAAACACACAGAGCAATCAAAAGACACAGAAGTCTAGCATCCTTTGCAGATAAACAGCCCTGTACACCTCAAGAGCTCTGAGAACATGCCTGAAATTCACAATGAGAATCCTGGGTCTTAAGAAATGATCTAATTACATTCCATAGGATCTGTGTTAGAAAGGAGAGACGTAAACACTTTGGAAATATGTCTACCAAATCTAGTCAACCTAAAGAAAGCTTAGGTCTGAAACAAGTTATGTTCATCTGCATGATTTACTCCATGTAGATTCCAGGCAGTTGCCAGACAGGAGCAGGAATTGCACTCAGTGCCAGCTGGCCCTGGGGTCTGCAGTGAGGCAGAAATCAATTGAACTGGATTCTTGTAACCCTCTCTTTCAATGGGGCCTGTCCCCAGCCAGACCAGCAGATGCATTTCTGGAGCACTCCTCAGAAGGTTTTGTCTTGGTGGGAGAAAATCTACCACATGGAAAATGTTACCTCTCTTCCTCATAGCTGCCCATGCGAGAAAACGTTGCAGATTTAATGTGCAAACTGAGTATTAACTTTGGCTACTTTGATAATCTAATGTCAGCAAATGTTGAGGATGAAGTGGCATTAATTTTATTGATTATAAAAGCATTACAGAGATGAACATTCATGTCTAAAATGAATGAAGATAGTCAGGAGTGGAGTACTCTTTCGTTATTTTAATTTTCTGGCTGATTGGGAGTCAACTGAAGAACGTAGCTGAGCAATTCTTTTTAAAAGTAAAGGTCTTTCCGCATCTCAGCCTTGTCCCTAACGATGGGCCCTTATTGTGCTTGCGGTGAAGACCTGCAGATGTATAAGGCATGGGGCAATTCGTGCACTGAGTTTCAGACTCCGGGCTTTGGCTGAAGCAGCACTGCCATGCTCAGGGAAAGGCAGAGGCCAAAAGGGCTAGGGGGCATTTCCCTGCCCTCTCCTGGGGTAGGAGCCGATCTCCCTGGCACGGGTGGACACAGCCGCACCTCACATCTTTCTAGTCCTCTTCTTTGTAATGTTCTCCCACCTCCCAGGATTCCTTCCCCTAACTGCCCCGAAAAGCACCCTGTTTGGGCTGGTCCTCTCAACCCGAGAATGGCATGCTCCTTTCCCTCAGTGCAGCTCAGCTCACAGAGAAGCTTTGAGGGAGGATGCTGCAGGGTTCAGTTCCAACTAATGTGCAGACGGCTCCTAACCTCAGACTTACGGACGCCCAGTCATATTTTCCAAAGAGGATGCTTGTCAGTGTACGTGGACCTCCGGAAGAGGGAACGGGTGTGAGGGAGGAAGGAAGGGAGGAGAGTGCGGAAGGAGTGTATTCCTTACATGAAGGCAACGCGGCTATCAAAGTGACAGAAGGCCAGGCGTTGTGGTGGGCAGACGGAGATGGGCCCTGCCTGGGAATCTGCCTTCTGGGGGCAGCCTCCTCAAGTCGCTGCTCTCTTTCTTCCTTTAAGTCCCTGGCTTCTCTAAGGTTTTGTGCTTTTCCCATTTTTGTTCCTGGTAGGTCTCTAGTCACAGGGGGATAAGGCCAGATAGAGGGTTCCCAGACGGATGTTGTCACATGTAAGCCAGCCACACATCAGGCATCTGTGAACTCAGGTTAGGACCCCTGTATATTAGAATGGCCTAGAGCTTAGGAACAGAGGAAGGTCTAGTGTGTCCACGTGTGCACCTTCCCTGTCTATAGATTTCAAACCACTTTTATCTTTATCTAGGATACAAGAAAGCTCCTTTATTGCAAGATCCTGACTTATTTCCCCCAACCCCCTCACCTCCAAATTAACTTTGAGAACTAAATCCACATGAGCAGCCTTTGACGGGAGGGCAAATTGAGTCCTATTACTACAGCAAAGGGGTCACTTCCTGAGAAGCAGTTTATTCTCCTGGCAATGGACATCCCAGTCTATCTCCACCTGGGACAAGTGACAACAGGATTTCCAGAAGGACAGGAAGTCATAGCCCCTTCAAGTGGCTGCTGCCTCCCGGCCTGAACCTTGTGCCCTGAAACAGGGTGTAGGTTCACAAAGAGCCAGCAGTTTCAGCACTCTCACACAAGGCCACCCCTACCTTTGAAAACCACTTCTAGAATCCTCTGCAATCTGATGCCGAAGGCCTGGGCAGAAGCTGAGGTCATTTTCTAAAACACAGGAGCATGACTTAGCTTGTAAATCTGAGCCCTAATGGCACAGGTGTTCCAAGGCCACGAATCTTCTATTTTCACTCTAACAGAATGTTTAGGTTGTCTGTGAGTTAGAGCAGGGAGAAGGTGTGGCTCGGTGAGCAGGGTGGTTTGATGTCTCTCCAGACGGCTCTGTTTGAGGACTTGGAGCCATGTCATTCCAAAAGACCCTGAAAGATTCTGTGTAGAGATGTACGTATACAGGCAAAAGAAAACAAGGCTTCATCCCAAGAGCAAGAGGAATGCAGGACTGCAATGTGGCCCACTGGAGGGGAGGTCAGGAGGCTTTTAATTAAAATAAATTCCAGTAACCCTGCGTTCATTTTCCTGTGGCTGTCCTAAGGCAGGAGTTGGAACAGTAAGGACAGCTTTCATTAAGAGGGAGGCCTCTCTACAATGTGACGATTGTCTTTTGTAGCAGTCTTAGGAAATAGTCCCTACTCTGTACCAACCGCAAAGGACCCCAGGGAGTTTAAAAATGGAAAGTCCCAAATCATAGCCTGGCGCTAACCTGGAGGAGCTCCCTCACCCAGGAAACACATTGAAGCTACTTAGACCCTGCTGGGGGCTGCTGTTCGAGTCTGCTAGCTTGTGGAGGCCACACGGGAAGCCTGAGAACACATAAAGCCCGGAAGAGACTCCTTCCTCACCCCAGAGCCTTCAGTGGTCCTCACAGGAGACCCTCTTCATGAGGAACACTTTCACAGTGCCATAGACAGGGGCCTGTGACATGGCTTCAGGGAGTGGCAGGGCTGCTACTCACTAGCTGTGTGATACAAGGAAGTCCGTGGCCATCTCTAGGGACAGGTGTGCATCCATAAAGTGAAGTGATCCAATGGCAGCAGACAAGGTGAGGCTCGCAAGGTATAAATATGCAGAGTGCCCACACAGGGCCTGGTCGCCATTGGGATCTGCCTGCCTTAAGTGTCCTCACCACCAGGAAAGTGACCAGCCCCCCTCCATGACCACAACTTGGGGCCACCATGTAGTGAAGGCTTCCAGCAACCTCAAGTTCCTGTTACTTGTCTTGGTGATGTAGATGCGTTTTCCATAAGCTGCCTTAAAAATCCTTTTTGAAGCCAAGTCGGGGTGTAAGTTACATAGGCTTCTCTAAGAAGTTCTGAACGCAAATTACAAACCAGCTCAGAAGTGAAAAACCCGAACCTCATGAACGTGGTCATCATGCTGCTCATGCACTTCAGCCTCCCCAGGAAAGAAATGAAGACAGGCTTTGCTCTCAGACACAATGAAGGGACAGCAGTTGGTGAGTAAGCTTGATGAGGTTTCAGCTCTGCCCCAGCTAGAGGGGTCAACGCACAAACTTGGGTGGGGAACAGGCCTCCTCTCCTCCTCCTCCACTGGCCCCAAGGGCTGCCAACCCCTGCAGCCCCTACCTGCCTCTCCTTTAGGGCTGCTCAGAGCCCTGCACCCTCAGCAGCGTGGGGTGGGGATGGGACAACTCCCTCTCTGGGTCTGGAGTGTGGTAAGTGGGTAGCACCTGGGTTCCATTCTAGGCCTTGCTTGGCCTCTAACTTGCTGAGTGACCCTGGACCCTAATCCCCTAGATGTGACTACTCTAGGGTGACTTCCAGAAGTTTCTGAGAAGGGATCCTCCTAATGCTGGTGAAAACAGAGTATGGGGCATCTCTTTCCTTCTCTGGGCCTCAGCCTCACTCCACTGCACCCTCACTTCCCCTTTCTCCCTCACTCCCTGTGGGGCACAGAGCAGGGATGGATGCCACATGTGCTGCTTGGGGAGCTCAAAGGCAAGGCCAAACTCAGGCTGGTTGGGCATTTTGTAAAAACAAATGGGCCCTGAGAAGGGACAGAGGAAGGCTCTCTCAGAGCGCACAGGGGCCCAGGGCAGTGGGAAGTCTGAAGGGAGACAGGCAACTGGGGCGTGGCCAGCCATGGCTTACTCTCACTTGACTGTACCACCAGGCCCCACTTGGAAGCTGAGGTTGGAGGCATCATGAGAGAGGTAGCAGGGACAGCTAAGAAGGGCATGGGAAGGTAAAGGACACCTCACTGTGGCTATTCCCAGGTGTCCATGTCACCTGTCAGGGGCCCACAAGACCTAGGGCCTGTGTACACCAGGGGTGCCTGATTTCTGGTCTCTCTGGAACACACGGGGCCCAAGGAGCATCAGTAACCCAGTGAGCAGGGAGTGGGGAGGGCCCAGCACTGGGCAAGCTGAAAAGGCAGGCCACAGGGGGAAGAGTTGAGAAAAGGGAGGGTCGTGTAAGGTAAAAAAGAGGAGACCTGGGTGAGATGCAGTGACTAGCTTCCGATACTGACATTTTTCCAGTCTACTGTGTAAAATGTGGCTAGAGGCTAGGACCAGTGGGGGCGGGGGAGATATACATATTCGTGCATAGGAAATTTTATCTTAGGAATCCACTTAGTCAGCCCCTGCTCCCTAAACTCTAACCAGACAGAGCCCATTCCATCTGCTGTCACTGAACGCTGCAGAACTCCCCGGCCTGCAAGAGCCCAGGCCGCAGATGGGGCTACTTCCAAACAAGGCCGCCTGCACTCAGCAGGCTCTGCCCTCTCAAAGGCTGAAATGTTCTTGGCTTTGAACCATTTCATTTTAATATTCTTTAGGAGATGAGTTATAAACACAAAGCCAATGCCCTGAACACTTAGCAGGGCTGGGAAAGCTGTGAATACCAAGTTTGTCTATGCTCCTCTGGGAAGCTGGCCAGGCTCAGGTTAGTGACATTCCAGGAGCCTGAATTGGGAATCTTTGTGCAATCACAAGCCTTCGTGACTTCTTGGGCAGTTTTGTCTGCATAAGGAATACAGGGAAGGCACAGAGCAAAGGGATCAGCTTGTGCGTCGAGACTGAAACACTTGCTTCTTGGCCAGTGGCGTTTTGTTAGAGGGCAATGCCTTCAATGGGCATTTCGCACGCAAGCAGGCAGGCTACAGAGAATCCTCAAGGGAGAAATTTTTCTCATTAATAATTATTTTCTTCAAAAATCAAAACCAAAACCAACTCCCCAAAAGTCTTTGTACCCCGTACAAACAGGTTTAAGCACAGGAGAGCAGAGCTAAGATTCCCCCTTGGTGCTGGGTGGAATGTGCAGATTTGCTCCTGGGATCCAGCCAGGACTTCTGAATTAGAAGTGACCAACGTCCAGGTCAGAAAGTCCTATGCTGTTGAGAGCTGTGAGGGATTTGGTTGCCCCTTAGTTGTTACACAAAGATACGTTGCAAATTGCCCTCTCTTATTTCTCCCTGGTGGAGGCAGCAGAGGCCTGGAGAAACCTAGGCCGCAGTAGATTTCTTTCATTCCTGCTGTGGGGGCATTGGCCACGTGAGGGGACAGCAGAGAGGTGACATAAAAGACACTGGGAATGTACCCACCTGTGCTCCTGCTGCAGCCCCTGGCTGGGTGGTGCCTGTTGCATTTCTGCTTCTAGAGGGAAGCTGATTCCCCACACGTGCAACACGTGCTGGCCTGGGGAGCTCTTTTCCAGCCTTTCCCACATCTGCCACTGTGGGCACAAGGATTTCAATGGCAGCAGTTTTTAAACTATGTTCATGGGGTAGGAATAGTTTGAGGGTTCTTCTTGCTTTTATTGTTCCTGATGTGCCCATTTAGGTGATTCGTTTGAGGCCTTAGGGGCAAAGGTTTGTGCTCCTTTTTGCACCTGTTCCAGGACTTCACGGTGCTGCAGGACACTCAGCATTTGTTTCCAGCCACTGCTTCTCTGCTCTGGCTCTTCGCTTAGCATTGACTCACCTTTAAGGCCTCAGTAAGCTTTCTTCCTAATAGCATCAGGATGATAAACAGTTCAAGTGTCTTCTGGTTGATAGGTGCTGAATCTGACAAGGGCCTGCCTAGGAGCACCATACAGACTGATGGGGACTTGGTCCTTTTGGGGTAGAACAACGAGTAGAGACAGTAGGTCCTTCAGATTCATGGTACTTTCTGGTATGAAGAGGTGGCAGTATGAACTCATCTGTAAAATGGGAGGTCCTGTCCTGCCTCCGAGGGTTGTTAAAAGGATTCAATGAGCATGTCTGTGGAAGTACCAGCACCTGTATACAAGAGGTGCCCAAGTGCTGCTGCTATGGTTGTTACTGTCACTATTATGATTCTTGCTTGCTCCTGAGTCTCTCCGTCTTTTTTTTTTTTTTTTTTTTTTGAGACTGAGTCTCGCTCTGTCGCCAGGCTGTAGTGCAGTGGTACAATCTCGGCTCACGGCAACCTCTGCCTCCAGGGTTCAAGTGATTCTCATGCCTCAGCCTCCCGAGTAGCTGGGACTACAGGTGCGCAACACAACACCCAGCTAATTTTTTGTATTTTTAGTAGAGATGGGGTTTCACCATGTTGGCCAGGATGGTTTGATGGTCTCTATCTCTTGACCTCGTGATCCACCCACCTCGGCCTCCCAAAGTGCTGGGATTACAGGTGTGAGCCACTGGGCCCGGCCTCTCAGTCGTCTTTTGCTTCTGCTTCAAGCAACCAATCCTCCAGGCCTAATGCAGAAGTCACCCCCTTTCCCAATTTGTAAAACTATCAGTCCCAACTCCTTGTGCCTGGGAGAAGTTGTCTTCTTACCCATCTACTTTATGTTTCTCACATTTTTTTTTTTTTTGGAGACAGAGTATTGCTGTGTTGCCCAGGCTGGAGTGCAGTGGCACAATCTTGGCTCACTGTAACCTTTGCCTCCCAGGTTCAAGTGACTCTCATGCCTCAGCCTCCCAAGTAGCTGGGACTACAGGCGCGCACCACCACACCTGGCTAATTTTTGTATTTTCAGTAGAGACGGGGTTTCATTATGCTGGCCAGGCTGGTCTCGAACTCCTGACCTCATGTGATCCACCCATCTTGGCCTCCCAAAGTGGCTCCTCACATATTTCAATTCTGACTGGCAAGTGGGCTTTCTGAGTGCATGTCACCGAATGCCCTCAGCTGCTGCAGGTTGGAGCTGAGATTCTCCGCATGCTCCTGGGCCCCAGGCCTTCCCATTGGCACTCCAAACCCTTTTCTCTGGGCTGCCTTCATTCTTCCTGTGTCCCTTGTCTGCCCACAGATTCTTTTGGTGGGCCTAAGGTGGGAGGAGACATGTGAAGTGCCAGACCCTATAACATGACATGGCATAAAGAGCCTCTGGGGTGGTTGGCTGCCTGGGTTCATATCTTTACCACTCACTGGTTATGGGCCCTTGGAAAAATTACCTAATCTCTGGGTGCCTCAACTTCTCCATCCAACAAATGGGGATAAATGTACCTATCTCATCGAGTTGCAAGGATTTCTGAATTAATAAATGTAGTGTGGTGAGAACCATTGCTGGTATGCCATATATAAGCGGTAGCTATTAATATTATAACTGTGTGAGGTCATTTAATTATCACACATTTATCATCTGTATCAAGTAGGTATTATTATCATTTTCAATTTAAGAGAAGGCAATAGAGTGCTATATTTAGACTGGAAAACTTTTTAAAAATATATAACTAAAATTGGATTGCCTCTGATTCCAAAAGTCATGCAAAGCAGAGTGGCCTAACTTCACAGCTATGGGACAATAGCATTCTAGGGCACAGATTCACTAGGTCCCACTCAATTCATACCTGCAGTGAGTACACTGAGCACTGGGTCAAGTGCTGGAAACCAGAATCCCTCTAGGCAAAAAGATGGTCTTTTGGCCTTAGCCTCCTCTCTGTTTGGTTTGGTATTCATTCAGGAATGGACCCACCTCCCCTTACTCTGCCAGTTTACGCCCCCAAGGAAAACAGGAAAGATCTGACAGCAACCTGTCACTCTTGCTTTCCAGGTCAAAAGTCACGGATCCAGCCTTCGCACTTGTTTTGACTCACTCAGAGCCTTAAACATATTTCAGTTAGTTACCATCAGTTAAAAATTGGGCTGGGTCTGTGGTGGCTCATGCCTGTTATCCCAGAGTTTTGGGAAGCCAAGATGGGAGGGTAGCCTAGGGCCAGGAGTTCAAGACCATCCTTGGCAAGACTCTGTCTTTAAAAAAGAATTTTTTAAATTAGCTGGGTGCAAGCAGTGTGTGCCTGTAGTCCCACCTACTTCGCAGGCTGAGGCAGGAAGACCACTTGAGCCCAGGAGTCTGAGGCTGCAGTGGGCTATAATTGCGCCACTGCATTCCAGCCTGGGTGACAGAGTGAGACCCTGTCTCTAAAAAAATAAAAAATAATTAAAAAAAAATTGAAGATTCTCCAATAAAACTCCAAATTTCCACCTTCTCTTAAAAAAGGAGCTCTGCCAATATAAGCCTCCCTTCCACATGGCTGCCAGGGCTGGAGCTTAAGTAGCAGGTATGGGTTTTAGTTTGCCACAATCCTCACCACTCTGTTTCGTCTCTCTCATACTACAGCCATCAGTTAGCTGCCATTTATAACTATGCTTGCTGCTGCTGCTGGTTTCTGATAACCACCTGCTTCACTCACATTGCTTGCTTGGTTCCTGTAGACATTTAGATTTGTGACTTGCTATTCTAGGAGTTTCCATCAAACATGTATTTTAAGTGTTTTATTAATAGGTATGGAATAGAAAGTACTTTCCTCCTATTACATGAATTTTAGGCACCAACAAGCAAACCTGATGGTTAGTGTGGAATGTTCTAGGGAGCAGGGACAAGAAAGGTCACCTGTCTCCTCTCTCCATCCTTACACAGGCTCCTCCAGATCTAAAAAGGTGCTTCAAGCTCTAGTAGGCCAGAATGAGAGATCTGCAAGGTGTGATGGACAGATGGATAAATGCCGATGCCCCCTTCATCAGTTCCTCTGTGGACCGAAGCTCCCTGCCTGGCCCATGGATCTTTTCAGACCAGGCTGCTCATTGAAGCTTTCCCTTCACCTTCTCCCATGTGCTGGCCTCATTTTAGCCTGACTTCTACTTCCTGAATCAACCCCATGCCTTCCAGATGTTGATTTTATGCTTTTGAGCACAGTGGACCTTATTTTATTCAGTATGTAATTATTTTTATCTGATATCTTGGAATACACCCCTAGGTCTTCTTTATGAATTGTACTCCATTTCTGAATATTATGACCAAAAAAAAAAAAAAATCATTAGTACTATGTGTTTTCTGCCAACGGAGGCACATTGTATGCTCTGTACGTGGATTAAATAATTCCTGAAGCTTGATGCTCTACCTATTACGCGGGGATAAGAAAAACCCTAAGAAAAAGCCATAAATGGCAACTTCCTTTTGGAATCCTGAAGCCGTGTAAGTTCATCCTGATGGAAAGTTCAGCCCTGACAGTGCCTGGAGGCCGGCTGGCCCAGAGGCCAGAGCTGTTGCCACAACAATCTTTAAAAATAGATCACCTTTGAAAGCAGAGCAGATTTACCGTAAGCCCAGTACAGATGCTCTGGGGCTCTTAACAGCTAACATTTGGATAGAGATTGGCTGTATTTAAGAATAAAAGACTAGAAGAAGGCTAGAAGAAGGGGAGAGAAACCAAAGGACTCAGAGGAAAGCAGCAGAGTAGCATAGGGGCAGATGATCAGATAAAACAAGGAAGGCTCTGTGGCGGGCCTGTGTCGCGGCTCTGTCCACCTGTTAACCCATCTAGAAGGCAGCTCGTTTATAGACCCAGATGCCTGTGAGACAGGAAGAGAAAAGGATTCTTCTCACCATGGTGCTCGTGTCTCCCTGAAGCGACAGCAGCATGGGCGACGATGTGTGCCGAGTCTGCTGCCTCCACTTGAGAGGGGCTTCTACTCAGGATGATAAGATGTGCCTGTCACCACAGAAAGAAGAAACATGTTGTTTACATACTTGGCAGCAGCAGCAGGGAATTAACTGTCCTTGCAGAGATAAGCAGAAAGCCAAGGAACTTTCCAGCAAGCTAGAAGAAATGATTTATGTGGAAGTGAAATCAACTCGCAGGAAAGCTGGATTTTAAAAGGTCTGAGTGGTGGAGGGAACACTGGACAATGAATCCAGATGGCTCAATGCTATGGCCAGGGCCTGTCACTAAGCAAATCATTAAACGTCTATGATCCTTTGAGTCCAGTGTCAGCAAAGGAAGGGGAGTTACAAGAAGTAAAGAGATGAATAGAAGGTGTCGATGCTGTGCAGACAGTGGGCAAGCCCAGTGCCCTGCCTACCCGCCAGCCCCAAAAGTGGGACCTACCGGTGGGTGTCAGCAGTCTCCCCACAGATATACAGACCCCTCCTTTGTGCCTGTGCCACCAAGCCCATTTGCCTGCACCCTCTACAAACTTGCTCAGGGGAGCTGCCCAAGCACAGAAAGCAGCTCAGTTCCTTGAAAATAAAGTCCACTAAAATGTTGTTGCCCAGGCGCGGTGGCTCATGTCTGTAATCCCAGCACTTTGGGAGGCCAAG
Organism: Homo sapiens; assembly: GCF_000001405.40. Taxonomy (NCBI): domain Eukaryota; kingdom Metazoa; phylum Chordata; class Mammalia; order Primates; family Hominidae; genus Homo; species Homo sapiens. The sequence continues at coordinate 99,175,764 of NC_000015.10, forward strand.
GCAGGTGGATCACTTGAGGTCAGGAGTTCAAGACCAGCCTGGCCAACATGGTGAAACCTCATCTCTAATAAAAATATAAAAATTAGCCGGGTATGGTGGTGCACGCCTATAGTCCCAGCTATTTGGAAGGCTGAGGCACGAGAACAGCTTGAACCTGGGAGGTGGAGGTTGCAGTGGGCCGAGATTGCACCACTGCACTCTAGCCTGGGTGACAGAGACTCTGTCTCAAAAAATAAAAGTTTTTAAACAACAAACAAAAAACTATGATCTTCTGAACATAAAATCACAATAGTCCTTTCAAATAACATGCAAAATACCTGCTTTCAAATAAAAAGTAACTACTCAACTCCCTGTCAGCATTTGGAGTTTTAAAATACTATTAGTAACATGTTTACATTCATTCACACTTAGGATTGCCTACTATAGGAGAGGCATGGGCTAGAAAGTGTGTGCAGTACAAAAAATAAAATACGGTGAAGTAAGATAATACACTAATGTGAGTCAGTAGGTAGGTAGTTCACAATTAATTGCCAAAAGAGTGACAGAATACTAAAATGCCATGAGTAGGCCAGGCATGGTGGCTCACAACTGTACTCCCAGCAGTTTGGGGGACTGAGGCTGGAGATTGCTAGAGCTCAGGAGTTCAAGATGAGCCTGGGCAACATGGTGAAACCCTGTCTCTACAACAAATACAAAAATTAGCCGGGCATGGTGGCATATGCCTGCAGTCCCAGCTACTCGGGAGGGCTAAAGCGGGTGAATTGCTTTGAGCCCGGGAGGTTGAGGCTGCAATGAGTTATGATTATGCCACTGCACTTCAGCCTGGGTGACAGAGCAAGACCCTGTCATACACAAATACACACAAAAAGATAAAAAAGGAAAACACTAGATTGGGATAGGCAAAACACACTAGCAATTCATAAGATGTAAGCTGCACTTTAATTCTTTTTTATTTGTGATACCAATTTTAATTTTCTTGATAATTGTTATCTTCATTTTATACATGAGAAAACTAAGATTGCTGAATGGGTGATTATGATATCTCACAGCTAATAAGAGATAGAGATAAGAGTCTGACCCTGATCCTCTAACTTCAAATTCTGCTATCTCTATCATGTCCTGAGTGCTGCCATTCCCCCCACCCTAGCCAGTGGTGGGAGACATCACTAATTGATGCCAGCACACTCCTCAGGGAACCCTAATTCAGTCCTCAGGAGCTGTGATTCATCTATGGCAGCTGGCACAGGAGATCAAGTCATCCCAGTTGAGCATTCTAGTCTGGACCATGCAGTACTTCCTCCTCTTATGACCAGCCGAATGCATTTCTGAGACTATAATCAGAGCGGAGATAGAATCTTTGACTCTAGACTGTCACCTTACTTGTCACATGTTAAAATCTGCTAAGCTACTAGCTCTGGACTTTTTATGTTGGGGCTACTCCAAAATAAGACTGCAGGTAATAATTTTTATTGCTGCATTAGAATAGTCAGAATTTCTTATTCATAAGTGCCAACAATATCCTTTGCTTTAAAATGACTTTTCTTATTACAGAATATAAAGAATTGAATATGTGATTTTGGCAACCCCAAATTAGCCACTGTCCTTGATTTGGCATGAAAGGCCCAATCTTAAGGTCTGACTTAAATGTTTTCCAAATAACGGGCACTATGAAATTCAACTTCATGTGTATATAGACAATAGCAGCCACAGGGATAGAGTCAAATTATTGCTTGTGTAGTGTTTGGAGAAAGGAAAAAAGAGGAAATACCCACACCCTCCGAAAAAATACCAAATGCAAATTGAGCCATGTTTACTTTGCTTTTCCCCTACTATCTCTACGATCTGTTATTTGGAGAGAACAATCACTGTGTAATGCCAGAAAAGCTTTAACTCATATGATGCAAAGACATATAGTATTTTAGATTAAAACCAAAACAAGAAAGATTTTATATTTTGTTTCTTCCTATTCAATATTATAAATTCAAGAAAATGTTAATAGATATGTGTCTAACAAAATTATTTTCAAATCAATAATTACATGTTCTGAAAACACTGTAAGTTGTTTTTTTGCCATGGAGACAGAAAGCAAAGTTTTCCAAGAGCAAAATACACACAATATCAAGAAAGTGAGTCAGGCTGGGCATGCTGGCTCATGCCTATAATCTCAGCACCTTGGGAGGCCGAGGCAGGAGGATCACTTGAGCTCAGGAGTTTGAGACTAGCCTGGGCAACATAGTGAGACCCTGTCTGTACTAAAAAATAAAAAAAATTAGCCAGGGGTGGTGGCATACACCTGTAGTCCCAGCTACGCAGGACGCTGAGGTGGGAAGATCACTTGATCCTGGGAGATCAAGACTGCAGTGAGCCGTGATCGTGTACTGCACTCCAGCTTGAGTGACAAAGCAAGACTCTGTCTCAAAAAATAAAAAAAGAAAGTGGGTCCTGAAAGCTTAAAGGGATCTGAATTTATCACAAAATTTTCATGACTTAAACATTTTTCTACATGAAATGCTAACATAAGCAAACATTTATTATTCATTATTCACTTCAGAAACTCAATCCCTAATGTAATTTATTTGATGTTCATGAAGCTTTTATAAACCATATGCTAGAGGGAAGGGGGTTTGACGGGGGAACACCCAGGATGTCTAAAATGTGCAAAATTAGCATCTCATTTATTCAGTAAAATTCAATTTAATTCCATTTAATTTAATTCAGTCCTATTCAACTTATGTTCATTTTTAAATGCTTTCTACATGCCAGATATTGTGCTAACATTAGAAATTCCCCTAAAAATTTAGGCAGGAATTTTAGTTTTAAAGGAGCTCACATGTGAACTACAAAAATGTAGGATAGTTTGTATTTTATGCAGATTTACAGACACTGCCCCTCACTAGGTTTTTGCACCCAGCTAACTGACTTCCTATCTACCCTTACTCTTGTCATCATTTCCCAAGATTTCAGTATGCATGAGATTGGCCTGTACTCAATCAGGCAGGAAAGAGATGGCACATGTAAACAGGTTAATGGAGGAAAAGAGGTCAATAAAATGATCCCTGGCATGGAGGAAACCCAAGATGAGCACGCTGGCTCCCAAGACAAGGTGCTGGGGGCATTTGCTATAACCAGAAAGAAGAATTGTAGGGAAATGAGCGGTGGGTTTCAGTAGAGACACGGCCTACCTGCAGGGACCTTGAGGGGAGGGGCTGGAGGAATGGATGCTCTGTCTCCATGTCTTCCCTGGTCCAGGCTGTGTATCTCTCAGTCTGAGGGAAAGGGCACTGAGATGGTAATTAAAGGTCAGCCTCTGGGGCACAGAGCAGGGCTGAGAAGGATGCACAGTGTAGCTGAAGGACCACACGGAAATGTCCAGCCAACGACCTAGCCAACACCTTGGCCTCTCAGGTTTCTGACAAACTTACTTTCCTCCTTACTCTCAGGTGCCCAGTCCCTGGGTCACACTCCAGACCTCATCATCGCCCACTCTGTGTTACCACTGGATCCTCCAACTCACAGACCCATTTTGGCTCTTGGGGGGCCCTAGATCTATTGCCTCCATGCACATCTACTCCACCGCCCCCTGACATTCTCACTAGTCATCCAACCCTCCTGCTGTCCTTCCCTTCTTGTCCAGCTTAATGGGCACCGCCCATTGCCTGTGTTGAAAATGCCCTCCACTGATGCATTAATTGAGATGGTAAAAAATGGGGAACCACCTAAATATCTATCAGCAGGGGAATGAACATATTGTGGTTTATTCTACAAGTTCTTGATTGAACTCCATCTACATATGTTAACATGGTTGTATTTCAAAAACATACCACTGAGTGAACGAAGCAACTTGTAAAAGGATGCAAACACCATGGCACCATTGATTTTCAAGTTTCTTTTCTGGAGCAGAAGAACCCAAACAAAACCTTCTGTGGTTCTCAATATACACAGCAGGAAAGAGCAGAACAGCCGCTCTCACAGAAGCAGGTGGAGGGGCCTGGAAGTCTGACTACCTGCTCCCAGCTAGCTGCCCCAGAAGAACCTCCATGGAACATGAGGGCTCAGGGTGACACAGATTGAGAACCACAGCACATGCTGGGCAGTGAGGCTTCCTTAGGGAGTGAGTGCAAAGGACGTTGACAATGCTAGTGTTTAGACTACACTGTCTTTCCAAACTCAACCATTGTTCACAATTTTCAAACAATGCTTCATTTGCTGAGGGAATATAAATACCCTGTTACATGCATCTGAGAGCATTTAAGGACTAGGAATCACAGTTAACAGAATTACAGGCATCCTGCTTGCCTCTCCTGGATTTCTGCAAGAGATCAAGTAATGGGCCTCGCTGGGGCTCCATAGTTTGACCACACTCACTCCTTCTCCTCAGGATTTATTAATCTCCCCAGGGCTTGCATTTCCCCTCATGTCTTTTGTTCTTTTCAGTATCTTATGGTTACATTTATCAACTGTCATCTTGAAGCTGAGGAGGAATGTTTAATATCTCCAAATCCCTTGGGGTGCTGGCATGTTGGACTGGGTTAAAAACAAAAAAAAACTTCTAATATTCCACATTGAACAAGGTCATTAATTAAAAAAAAAAAAAACAAAACTCATCCACAAGACCAAGGACCTCAACCCCTGCCAAGGCACAGAGCAGCTGTTCCATCCTGGTGCCTTGTATGTATGTCTGGGGGAAACCACAGATTCCTCAGTGCCAATCAAGCTGTCGACAGACACAGCCAGAGCTGGCAGGCTTTTATCTAACTGGGCCTGTCCCCTTGGATTGGTAAAATGTGTAATATTTCCTAAAGAGAAAGCCTGATGACTAGTGAAAAGGATGAGAGACACTTCTATTTCTGCAGGCAGACCCCATCATCTGAACACTCAACTTCAAACCCTGGAAGGAGTCTGAGTGTGGAATCCCAGCTCTTGGGGATGGGGTGGGTCTTGGGGGTTAGGGAAATATATTTTCCCCCCACTTTGTAATAATTTGGGGTTCAGTGACAGAGCAAAATCTCTCCTACAGCAAAGTAGAGATTAAGTACACAAGAAGATCAAGGTACATTTGTGGACTTAGCCTGAATGTATTTACTCTGGAGATGAGAACACTCAGCGAGGAGACAATAGAAGTCTTCAACTTAGTCACAGCCAGGATCTCTTTGTACAGCTGAGGGTGAGCACTGGAGGGACACAGGGAAGGAGGGAACTAACATCGATTAAGCACCTTCTTCTGCCAGGTGTGGTACTAAATGAATTTTACCACTTACCAGTTCACTCAGTCTCAAAATGACCATTGAAAGTGATGTGAACAGCCCAATTTACAGAAGGGGAAATTAAGCCTCCAGGAGATGAGGTTGAAGGTCACATGGTGCGTCAGCAGCAGAACAGAGACTCAGACTAAGGCCTGTCATTCCAAACTGCATACTTTTCCAGTCTAACACTTGGTTATTGAGAGGGTAGAAGTTACAGAAAGATGATTTTCTAATCAATGTAATGAAGAGATATTTAAGGGTCAGAGAAAGAGGCTGTCAAAGAGTAGACTCTGTCCAGAAATGGACTGGGCTGCCTAGAGGGAAGAGTGAGATGCTAACATGTGGATGCCTGAGCAGCTAGCTTCTAAACACTTTAGAGGGATGCCATAAAGGAGAGAAAAGCGGCAGATGGTGGATAGAGAAGATGTTATGGTGTCGTCGACCGAGAGTCTACGACTCTGCTTTGTTTCAAGTTTGTGCCTTAATTCAAAAGAAGTTCAAGTCCACTTGTCATTGGAGGTGTGAGCTTGCTGTTTCTTTTATAACTGACCAGCTGTGAAGCTGCATAGCTTGCCTTTTCACCCTGCCAAAACTGGTCATTTCACCCTTCAAATCTGAGCTAACACCCTTACGTAAGACAGGGTCACGTTGCAGCCCCGGGTTGCCATTTCCTTCCCTCTCCCATCTCTGCCCAGCAGGGAAGGCTTTCATGGCCACACACCCCTTGGAGGCCTGGGGCAGCTGGTGAACCTTGGCTAAGAAAAAGACGGAGCTGGGAATCCCTGGGGGATTAGATGAACAGGAAGTCACTGGGAGCAGAGAGCATTGGAAAACTGAGTTCTGAGGGCCCTGGACTAAGCCAGTTTCTTTTAATAGTCAGAGAAAGTCCTCAGTGGCAGCTCTCCAGTTGTCAATTTTAGCTCCTCCAAAGAGCTGGGGAGAAAAAGCACTACTCTGTATAAGCATTAGCAACAAAATAGATACCTCAAGGGCTTATATTTTCTTCGTTTGGTTGCAAGTATGTGTTTTCTTAAAACTTAATTAGATTTTTAAATGATAAGAGTATTACCTGCATAGAATCTTAAAAAATCTTAAGTGGTGGAAAAGAATAAACAATTGAAATTAAAAATACTCCTTCCCCCTTCTACCTGCCTTAACCTCTTTTTCTCCCCATTCCCAGGCTTACAGCTAATCAGTTTCCTGTATTGTTCCAGAAATCTCTCTCTCTCTCTCTCTCTCTCTCACACACACACACACACACACACACACACACACACACACACATAATCATAACCCAGCCACGTGCCGCTCTTAGCTTCATCTCCTATGACCCATACTGGGCTCCAGCCACAATGGCCAGACAGCTAAATTGCATTTCTTTAATTACGAGTGAGGCTGAGGATTATTTTTGTATGGTTATTGGTTATTTATGTTTCCTCTTCTGTAAATTGTATGTTCCTGTCTTGTGCATGTTTCTACTGAGTTGTCTTTTTTATCCAGATTTTTAAAGAACTCTTTCTATATTTTCTCCTCTTTGACATTTATGTTTTGACTTTATGATATATTATCACAGAGTAGTTTTTCATTTTTACTCTGTCAAATTTATCACTTTCTTCCTTTCTCTTTTTTTTCTCTTCTGTCTCCTAATGTATACTCATCTGTATATATGCAGAGAAAAATTGTTCAGCAAGTGTCAACACTGGCTATTTCTGGGCAAGGAGGTCTGAGGTGACTGGTGGCATATATTTGACCTTTCCTATATAGCTTGATTTTTAAAAAACAAAGAACATGTATCATTTTTTAAAAAAAGTAGTTATTACTTAAAAAAAAAAACCAGTAATCTTCCCCTTTGTGGCACTTGGATTGATGTCATTCTTAGAAAATTTTTATAGTGAAACAATATGAAACAAAAAGTGAAATAGTATGAAAATGGACTAATGCAGTAAATTGGTACCAGCAGAATGGGGCATTGCTATAAGATACCAGAGAATGTGGAAGTGACTTTGGAACTGGGTAATGGGCAGAGGTTGGAAAAGTTTGGAGAACTCAGAAGACAGGAAGATGTGGGCAAGTTTGGAACTTCCTAAAGACTTGTGGAATGGCTTTGGCCAAAATGCTGATAGTGATAAGGACAATGAAGTCCACGCTGAGGTGGTCTCAGATGGAGATGAGGAATTTGCTGGGAACTGGAGTAAAGGTCATTCTTGCTATGCTTTAGCAAAGAGACTGGTGGCTTTTTGGCCCTACCCTAGATCTGTGGAACTCTGAACTTGAGAGAGAAGATTTAGGGCATCTGGTGGAAGAAATTTCTTTCTTTTCTTTTTTTTTTTTTTGAGACAGAGTCTCGCTCTGTCACCCAGGCTGGAGTGCAGTGGTGCGATCTCGACTCACTGCAACCTCCGCCTCCTGGGTTCAAGCGATTCTCCTGCCTCAGCCTCCCGAGTAGCTGGGACTACAGGCACGTGCCACCACGCCCAGCTGATTTTTTGTATTTTTTTTTTTTTTTTTTTTTTTTAGTAGATAACGGGTTTCACTGCGTTAGCCAGATGGTCTCAATCTCCTGACCTTGTGATCCACCTGCCTCGGCCTCCCAAAGTGCTGGGATTACAAGCATGAGCCATCGCTCCTGGCCTGGTGGAAGAAATTTCTAAGCAGCCGAGCATTCAAGAAGTGACAGAGCATAAAAGTTTGGAAAATTTGTAGCCTGACAATGCAGTAGAAAAGGAAAACCCATTTTCTGGGGAGAAATTCAAGCTGTCTGCAGAAATTTGCATAAGTAACGAGGAGCTGAATGTTAATCACTAAGACAATGGGGCAAATGTCTCCAGGGCATGCCAGAGACCTTCACAGCAGCCCCCCTTATCACAGGCCCTGAGACCTAGGAGGAAAAATGATTTTGTGGGCCCAGGACCCCCCTGCTGTGTGCAGCCTAGGGACTCGGTGCCTTGCTTTTTGCTCCAGCCATGGCTAGAAGGGGCAAAGGTACAGCTTGGGTGTGGCTTAAGAGGGTACAAGCCCCAAGCCTTGGTAGCTTCCATGAGGTGTTGAGCTTGCAGGTACACAGAAGTCAAGAACTGAGGTTTGCGAACCTCTGGCTGGATTTCGGAAGATGGATGGAAATGCCTGGGTGTCCAGGCAGAAGTGTGCTGCAGGGACGAAGCATTCACAGAGAACCTCTGCTAGGGCAGTGTGGAAAGGAAATGTGGGGTGGAAGCCCCTACACAGAGTCTCCACTGGGGCACTGCCTAGTGGAGCTGTGAGAAGAGGGCCACGGTCCTCCAGACCCCAGAATTGCAGGTCCACTGACAGCTTGCACCGTGCTCTGGAAAAGCCATAGACACTCGATGCCAGCCCATGGAAGCAGCCAAGAGGGGGGTTGTACCCTGCAAAGCCACAGGGGCAGAGCTGCTGAAGGCCCTGGAGCTCACCTCTTACATCAGCATGACCTGGATGTGAGACATGGAGTCAAAGGAGATCATTTTAGAACTATAAGGTTTAATTACTACCTTATTGGATTTTGGACTTGCATGGGGTCTGTAGCCCCTTTTGTTTTGGCCAATTTCTCCCATTTTGAACGGGTGTATTTACCCAATATCTGTACCCCCACTGTATCTAGGAAGTAACTAACTTGCTTTTGATTTTACAGGCTCATAGGTGGAGGGGACTTGCCTTGTCTCAGATGAGACTTTGGACTTGGACTTTTGGGTTAACGTTGGAATGAGTTAAGACTCTGGGGGACTGTTGGAAGGGCATGACTATGTTTTGAAATGTGAGGACATGAGATATGGGAGAGGCCACAGGCAAAATGATATGGTTTGGCTTTGTGTCCCCACCCAAATCTCATCTTGCATTGTAATCCCACAATCCCCATATGTCATGGGAGGGACCTGTGGGAGGTAATTAAATCATGGGGGTGGTTTCCCCCATGCTGTTCTCGTGATGGTGAATGAGTTCTCATGAGATCTGACAGTTTTATAAGTGTCTGGCATTTCCCCTGCTGGCTCTGTGAACAGGTGCCTTTTGTCATGATTGTAAGTTTCCTGAGGCCTCCCTAGTCATACAAAACTGTGAGTCAATTAAACCTCTTTTCTTCATAAATTACCCAGTCTCGGGTATTTCCTTACAGCAATGTGAGAATGGACTAATACAACTGCATTCTACATCCTTCCTAATTCTAAACAAAAGGCTAGTATTAATATTTTCAGAGGTGTTTAAAATTAAAAATAGCATTTTCTGATTATTTACAATAAATTGATTGCATATGTATAGCAAATGCACAGCAACTACTAAGAGCCAATAAGAAGCGCGACCATTAGCTGAGAACTCTGCACCTGCCAGGAGCCATGTGGGAGCACTGAGCAGCCATCACCCCAGGCCTGACCAAGGCCAGTAAGTTGTTGAGGCTGAGATCTAAAGCTAGATTTTCTGGCTCCAAAGCTGTCAGTAGAGCAACTGATGAATTTAATGATTTCATTACACTTTGCAAGTCAAAATACCCTAAATTTGGGAACTCTTGAGTGGCAGAGCTACCCTGGAAACTGAAAAAGAGGGATATGCAATTCAAGTGAGAGATGGGAAAAAGCAACCCAAGCTAGCACTGTTATGGGTGTGTTAATTTATACACACCCATAAACATACTCTCACTCACATAAGTAGAACCCTGTGATTTTTCTTTTGGATAGGAAAATAAGGTTTTATTGCCAAAGTCTACCATCAGGAGTTTCAGAAACAATCACATTTGCATGGTTTTCTTCCGGACCCCTGCGGCAGAGGGAGGGATGAGGTAGATGACGGCTCTTTCAGCAGTCCCTGGAACTGCTGCCTTCCTTGTGTTGGCTCTCCAGGACTTGGTTTATTTTTCTTCATTTTAATGAGTTAATCACTAAAATGCTTTGGAACTTTTCTGTATTTTACAGGAAATAAAAGGTCTTTTCTCTCTGGGTATTTCTGTCACTCCAAAGGAATGAAGGGTGAAAAACAACAGGGAAAAATAACAAAACCTCTTTGTGTATACTTAATAGATGGCTTTTATACACGGGTCCCCTTTGAGGGCTGTGGCCTTACTGCACCTTTCTGTATCTTAGGTAAATCTCCTAAAGGAAAGAGAAGGATTGAAAAATGTTTAATAATTACTGTTAAGAAATAAAAGTAGCTTATACTGGCAGAAGGCCTAAGAGTTCACAAAGCACTTTCCATTTTGAACCTTTGAGTAGTTCTATGAAGTGCATGGAATATTTTGTAGGTTATTTTTTTAAGGAGCTAAATGACTTGCCTACAATCAAACAGCTGATAAACAGAATAGTCTGAACTCCAACCCAGATTTTTTGACTTCAAATTCAATATTATTCTCATTTCACCAAGGTATTTCTTTAATAATCTGCAGTTAGTTTTAAAACACTCTCTAATCTTTTTTAACCTCAAGAGTAAACAACAGCAAAAACCGCCTATCAAACTTTATAAGTATTATAAAAATGAGTGAATTCCACTATAACCTGGATACAGGGAAATCCTTCTAACTTAGGGCCACAGCAAAGGTTGGAAATTTGAACACATTTAGAAAACTTGTGTGGCAAAAAGCAGAAATAGCACTAATAAATGAGTTCAGCAAGGTTGCAGGATACAAGATAAACATAAAAAATCATATATTTCTATACATGAATAATTAGAAAATGAAATTTTAAAAACTTCCATTTGTAATAGCATGAAAAATAATAAAATACTTAGGAATAAATTTACCCAAAGAAGTATAAAGATTATACTCTAAAAACTACAAAACATGGTTGAATGACATGAAAGAAGAGCTAAGTAAATAGATATCCCATGTTCAGTGATTGAAAGGCTTAATATTGTTAAGATGTCAATACTTCCCAAATTGAGATACAGATTCAATATAATCCCTACCAAAATCCTGGTTTGTTTTGTTTTGTTTTGTTTTTTGCAGAAATTGACAAGCTGATCCTAAAATTCACATAAAAATTCCAGGGATCCAGAATAGCCAAAAGAATCTTAAAAAAGAAGAACAAAAGTTAGAGATTCACACTGATTTCAAAACTTACAACAAAACAACACTAATTAAGACAATGTGATACTGGTATAAGGATAAACATACAGATCAATGGAACAGAATTGAGAATCTAGAAATAAACCCTTATATTTATGGCCAATTTATTTTGACATGGGTCCCAAAATAATTTGATGGTGAAAGGATAGTCCTTTCAATAAATAGTGCTAGGACAATTGGATAGCCATATGCCCCTCTACCCCGCCAAAAAAGGAAGTTGGACCCCTATACCTCACACTGTATATAAAAATTAACTCAAAATGAATCAAAAACCCATGTGTAAGAGCTAAAAATTATAAAAACTCTTAGAAGAAAACTCAGATGTAAGCCTTCATGACCTTGGATTAGGGAATGATTTCGGAGATGTGATGCCAAAAGCACAAGCAAAAAAAAAAAAAAAACAAAACAAAAGAAACCCAACATAGACAAGTTGGACAATCAAAATGAAAAACTTTTGTGCTTCAAAGGACACATCAAGAAAGTCAAAAGACAACCTACAGATTGGGAAACACCTCACAGATAAGGCTCTAGTATCCAGTATCCAGAATATGTAAATAACTATTATCAGTCAACAATAAAAAGACAAATAACCCTATTAAAAATGTGCAAAGATTTTCAATAGCCATTTCTCCCATGAAGATATATAAATGGCCAATAAGCCTATGAAAAGATGTGCTACATCATTAGTCATTAGGGAAATTCAAATAAAAAGCCACAATGAGATATCACTTCATACTTACTACAATGACTGAAATTAAAAAAGACAGATAGTAAGAAGTGTTGGTGAGGATGTGGAGATATTGGAACTTTCATAAATTGTTGGTGGGAATGTAAAATAGTGAGGCTGCTTTGGAAAATAGCATAGTAGTTCCTTGGAAAGTTAAATATAGAGTTACCATATGATTCAGCAATTCCACTTATAGCCTTATACCCAAGAGAAATAAAAACATATGTCTGTACAAAAAATTGTACATGAATGTTCACAGCAGTATTATTCATAATAGCCCAAAACTGGAAGCAACCCAAATGCCCATCTACTGATGAATGGATAAAAAAATGAGGTGAATCTGTATAATGGAATATTATTCCACCATGAAAAGGAATGAAGAATTGATACATGCTAAACATGGATGAATCTTGAAGAAATTATGCTAAATGAAAGAAGTCAGACACAAAAGACCACATACTGTATGATTCTGTTTATATGGAATGTCTAGAATAGAAAAATCCATAGAGATAGAAAGTAAATTGGTGGTTGCCAGGAGATGGGGGAAGAGGGAGGAATGACTGCCAATGGGTATGGAATTTCTTGAAAATACTCTGGAATTAAATAGTGGTAATGGTTACAAAACTCTGTGAATATAATTAAACCACTACATTGTACACTTTAAATGGGTAAATTTGTGGTATACAAATTTTCTCAAAAAACGCTATGAACAAAATTTTAAAAAATAAATTGGGTGAAGATATTTACAACATATGTCATAAACAAAGGGGCAATATGTATAAGATATGAAGGATTTCTAGCAGTTAAGAAAACTGGACCAAAGCTTCATTTAAAAATGGTGAAATGACAGGAATATTTCACAAAAAAGACAATTGACAAAAAATATATGAAAGTCACTTAAACATATGAAAAGATGTTCAACTCCTTTTTAAAAAATATAAATGCAAATTAAAACTATCCTGAGACGTCATTTCTCATTCATTAGATTGGAATTAACTCAAAAGCTTGACAATGTACTTTGTTGAAACAGGTTGTGGGGAAACTGGCACTATCATACATTGCTAATGGAAATACAAATGATACAAGCTTAATTAAAAGGCAATTTGGCAACGTAGTAGTAGAATTCCAATAAGACAAACTTACCAATTAAGTTTTGTAGTAAATAAAACTACCAATATATACTCCCTTCAACCTAGTGGTCCCATGCCTAGGAATTTTCTCTGAAGATACAACTCCAACAATAAAAAAATAATTTCAAAATATTGAAACCTGTTTAAATGCCCCAAAGTGGAAACTATTTGGAAAAAACCCATAGTACATACATAAAATGTATTATTATACATCTCTACAAGTAAGGGAGATTTCTATGAACTGCTATAAAGTTCATAGTATGAAGGTTTCCAGATATACTGTTATGTGAAAAGAGCAAACATACTAATAACAAATAAATAACTTGGTAGGGAAAAAGAGGGACATTCCTAACAGCAGAATGCCAACTGATAAGTGTGGATAAAATGGTAGAATGGAAAATAATTATTTTACAACCATCACAGTTATGACTGGTTCAGGAAAGATTCATCAATAGATGTGTTAAACCCAGAGGGAAAATTTATGTGAGAAGCAAGATATTTACATAATCTTAAAATGTGTCTTTAAAGATGCTTATTAGCTGCAAGGGGAAAATAGTTACTATACAGTGAAGAAACTGTACACCACCAAGAATGGGTGATAAAAATTAGTATCACCAGAAAAGGACAGATGGATTTCATGTGCCTCTGAATGAAATATCACAAGAAGGTACAATATCCCTTTGTAGTATTCTAGCTCGGCATGCATCACTCATGAGGAAACATTAGACAAACCCAAACTAAGGAACAGTTTATAAAACAGCTGACTTATATTCTTCAAAAATTTCAATGTCATAAGAGACAGACTGAGTGAGAAACTATTCTAGATTAAAGAAGAGAAGAGCCATGACAACTAAATGTAATACATGATCCTGGAGTGGATCTTGCATTGGAGGAAAAAGAATTGCCATAAAGGACCTAATTGGGACAATGGACAAAATGGAATATGACCAATGTTCAAAATTCCCTGAAAAGCCAGGAGTAGTGATTCATGCCTGTAATCCCAGCACTTTGGGAGGCTGAAGTGGGTGGATTGCTTGAGCCCAAGAGTTTGAAACCAGCCTGGGTAACATGGCAAAACCCCGTCTCTACAAAAAAAATATACAAAAATTAGCTGGGTGTGGCAGTGCACGCCTATAGTCCCAGTTACTTAAAGGGCTGAAGCAGGAGGATTGCTTGACCTGGGAGGGCGAGGCTGCAGTGAGCTGTGTTTGCGCCGCTACACTCCAGCCTGGGTGACAAAGCAAGACCTGTCTAAAAAAAGAAAGAAAGAAAGAAAGAAAGAAAATTCCTGGCTTTGATAGCTGTATTGTGGTTACATAAGAAAATATCCTTGTTTTTTTTTTTTGTTTGTTTTTGTTTTTTTTTTTAGATGGAGTCTTGCTCTGTCACCCAGGCTGGAGTGCAGTGATGTGATCTTGGCTCACTGCAACCTCCACCTCCTGGGTTCAAGCGATTCTCCTGCCTCAGCCTCCCAAGTAGCTGGAATTACAGGCGTGCATCACCATGCCTAGCTAATTTCCTTGTTCTTATAAAACATACACTGAAGTATTCAGGGATAAAAAGACATGATATATTGAACATATCTTCAAATGATTAAAAAATATAAACAATTATCTCTGAGTATATGTGGCTGTATATATATGTGTGTATGTTTGTATGTATGTCTATATAGATAGAGAAAACCAATGTGGCAAAATACGTTACAATGGTGGTGAATCAGGGTGCCACAAATGAAAGGCACTACATAACTCACTTCCCATTCCCAAAGTGCTAAGGACTCCTGAGAGTGACAAGACCTACATGCTGCATGCATATTTGAATTCCTTTGCTGATTCCTACTTTTAGACATTTATATGTCTTTTTATTTTTTTTTGAGACAGGGTGAAGTGCAGTGGCGTCCAGGTTGGAGTGCAGTGATGCTATCTTGGCTCACTCTAGCCTCGGCCTCCCAGGCACAAGCAATCCTCCCACCTCAGCCACCCGAGTAGCTGAGACTACAGGTGTGCATCATCACGTGTGGCTAATTTTTGTATTTTTTTTTGTAGAGACAAGGTTTTGCCATGTTGCCCAGGCTGGTCTTGAACTTCTGAGCTCAAGCGATCTGCCTGCCTTGGCCTTCCAAAGTGCTGAGATTACAGGCATGAGCTACCGTGCCTAGTCTACATTTCTTTCTCTAAGCTCAACTGGGACCTGGGGACACTAGTATCTCACAGACTCATTAGATCTACTCTTGATTCATAATCCAAATTGGCATATTTAATGCACTATAAAGCCATAAGTAAATGCGTTTGATTTCAACTTAATACCTTTCAATTTTATTTAACCACAAACACTTTTTTCTAGGAAGACCTATGAACTCTCATGATATGCTAGTACTCTGTGGAACACAGTGTGGGGAATGCTTCTCTAAACCAAACTCAGATCTTTGAATGCATACTGTTGGTGTTGGCTCTTGGAGGCCATCTTTCAGTTCAGTGAATTTTGTCAGGAGAAATGGTCCTTGCTAGATGACTATGTGCATATTATCACTTACATGGTTTGGCTCTGTGTCTTTCCCTGCTGTTCTCGTAATAGTGAATAAGTCTCACAAGACTTGATGGTATCATAAGGAGGAGTTTCCCTGCCCAATCTCTCTTTTTGCCTGCTGCCATCCATGTAAGACATGACTTGCTCCTCCTTGCCTTCTACCATGATTGTGAGGCTTCCCCAGCCACGTGGAACTGTCAGTCCAATTAAAACTCTTTCTTCTGTAAATTGCCCAGTCTCAGGTATGTCTTCATCAGCAGCATGAAAACAGACTAATACAGCAAAACAGCAGAGAGGGGTGCTGCTGAAAAGATACCCAAAAATGTGGAAGTGACTTTGGAACTGGGTAACAGGCAGAGGTTGGAACAGTTTGGAGGGCTCAGAAGACAGGAAAATGTGGGAAAGTTTGGAACTTCCTAGATACTTGTTGAATGGCTTTGACCAAAAGCCTGATAGTGATATGGACAATACAGTCCAGGCTGAGGTGGTCTCAGATGGAGATGAGGAACTTGTTGGGAATTGGAGCAAAGGTGATTCTTGTTACGTTTTAGCAAAGAGACTGGCAGCATTTTGCCCCTGTCCTAGAGATTTGTGGAACTTTGAACTTGAGAGAGATGATTTAGGGTATCTGGTGGAAGAAATTTCTAAGCAGCAAAGCATTCAAGATGTGACTTGGGTGCTATTAAAGGCATTCAGTTTCAAAAGGCAAAGACAGCAAAAATGTTTGGAAAATTTGCAGCCTGACAATGCAATAGAAAAGAAAATCCCATTTTCTGAGGAGAAATTCAAGCCAGCTGCAGGTAATGAGGAGTGAATTTTCATCACCAAGACAATGGGGAAAATGTCTCCAGGGCATGTCAGAGACCTTTGCACAGTCCCTCCCATCACAGGCCTGGAGGCTTAGGAGGAAAAAGTGGTTTCACGGGCTGGGCCCAGGGTCCCCATGCTGTGTGCAGCCTAGGAACTTGATGCCCTGTGTCCCAGCTGCTCCAGCCTTGGCTGAAAGGGGCCATCATAGAGCTTGGGCTGTGGCTTCAGAGGGTGCAAGCCTGAAGACTTGGCAGCTTCCTCATGGTGTTGAGCCTGTGAATGCACAGAAATCATGAATTGAAGTTTGGGAACCTCTGCCTAGATTTCACAAGATGTATGGAAATGCCTGGATGCCCAAGCAGAAGTTTACTGTAGGGGTGGGGTCCTCATGAAGAACTTCTGCTAGGGCAGTACAGAAGGGAAATGTGGGGTGGGAGCCACCACACAGGGTCCCTACTGGGACACTGCCTAGTGGAGCTGTGAGAAGAGGGCCACCGTCCTCCAGACCCCAGAATAGTAGATCCATTGACAGTTTGCACCGTGTGCCTGGAAAAGCTGCAGACACTCATCGTCAATGTGTGAAGGCAGCTGGGAGGGAGGCTGTACCCTGCAAAGCCACAGGGGCGGAGCTGCCCAAGACTATGGGAACCTACTTCTTGCATCAGCATGACCTGGATGTGAGACATGGAGTCACAGGAGATCATTTTGGAGCCTTAAGATTTGACTGCCCTGTTGGATTTCAGACTTGCATAGGGTTTGTAGCCCCTTTGTTTTGGCCAATTTCTCCCATTTGGAATGGCTGCACTTACCTAATACCTGTACCCACTTTGTATCTAGAAACCACTTGCTTTTTGACTTTACAGGCTCATAGGCAGACAGGACTTGCCTTGTCTCTGATAAGACTTTGGACCGTGGACTTCTGAGTTAATGCTGAAATGAGGTGAGACTTTGGAGGACTGTTGGGAAGGCATGATTGGTTTTGAAATGTGAAGATATTAGATTTTGGAGAGGCCGGGGGCAGAATGATATGGTTTGGCTCTGTGACCCCACCCAAATCTCATCTTGTAGTTCCCATAATTCCCACATGTTGTGGGAGGGATCTGGTGGGAGATAACTGAATCATGGGGGTAGGTCTTTCCCATGCTGTTCTTGTGATAGTGAGTAAGTCTCATGAGATCTAACAGGATCATAAGGGGGAGTTTCCCTGACCAATCTGTTTGCCTGCTGCCATCCACATATGACATGACTTGCTCCTCCTTGCCTTCTGCCATGATTGTGAGACTTCCCCAGCCATATGGAACTGTCAGTCCAATTAAACCTCTTTCTTTTGTAAGTTGCCCAGTCTTGGGTATGTCTTTATCAGCAGCGTGACAATGGACTAATACAATCACTGATGTCTTTCCATGAACTTAAGAAACTGGTAGCGAGACCTTTTTTTTTGAACTTTTGAAAGTTTTAAAGTTTGTACTGGGCACGGTGGCTCACACCTATAATCCCAGAACTTTGGGAGGCTAAGGCAGTCATATCACTTGAGGTCAAGAGTTCAAGACCAGCCTGGCTAACATAGTGAAACCCCATCTCTACTCAAAGATACAAAAATTAGTTGGATGTGGTTGTGGGTGCCTGTAATCCCAGCTACTCGGGAGGCTGATGCAGGAGAATTACTTGAACCTGGGAGGTGGAGGTTGCAGTGAGCTGAGATTGTGCCACTGCACTCCAGCCTGGGTGGCAAGAGCAAGACTCTATCTCAAAAAAAAAAAAAAGTTTTAATGTTTGAAACTTTTACTAAAGTTTTGAACTTTAGGAACTCATAGCTGAGACGTTGAGGATAGATCTGGATTTAGTCATGAAAAATTTAGAGAACAACTTTTAGAAATTGGATAGGAAGACTCAATGTTGTCAAGATGTGAATTCTTCCCAACTTGATATCCAGATTCAATGTAATCCTAATAAAAATCTCAGGAAGTTATTTTGTGGATATTGACAAACTGATTCTAAAGTTTGTATGGAGAGGCAAAAGATCCAGAATAGCCAATGAAATATGGAAGGAAAAGAACAAAATTGGAGGACTGATACTACCCAACTTGAAGACTTACAATAAAGCTACAGTAATTAAGACAGTGTGGCAGTGGCAAAAGAAGAGACAAAGAGATCATGGAACAGAATAGAGAGCCCAGAAATAGGCCCACATAAATACAGTCCACTGATCTTTGGCAAAGGAGCAAAGGCAATACAATGAAGAAAAGACAGTTTTTTCAACAAACCGTGCTGGAAAAATTGGACATCACGTGCAAAAAAAAAAAAAAAAAAAAAAAGATTTCAGACACAGACCTTATACCCTTCACAAAAATTGACTAAAAATGTGTTATAGACCTAAATGTAAAATAAAAACTAGCTGAGCGCAGTGGCTCACACCTATAATCCCAGCACTTTGGGAGGCACAGGTAGGCAGATCACCTGAGGTCGGGAGGTCAAGACCAGCCTGACCAACATGGAGAAACCCCGTCTCTACTAAAAATACAAAATGAGCCGGGCATGGTGGCACATGCCTGTAATCCCAGCTACTAGGGAGGCTAAGGCAGGACAATTGCTTGAATCTGGGAGGCAGAGGTTGGTGAGACGAGATTGTACCATTGCACTCTGGCCTGGGCAACAAGAGCAAAACTCCATCTCAAAACCAAAACAAAACAAAACAACACTGCAAAACTATAAAACTCCTAGAACATGACACAGGAGAAAATCTAGATGACCTTGGACTTGGTGATGACTTTTTAGATATATCACCAAAGGCACAATCCATGAATGACAGAAATGATAAGCTGGATTTCATTAAAATTAAAAATTTCTGCTCTGCAAAAGACATTGTCAAGAGAATTAAAAGAAAAGCCGCAGACTGGGAGAAAATCTTACAAAAGACATATTGAATTAAGGACTGTTATCCAAAATATGCAAAGACCTCTTAAAAACTCAACAATAAGAAAATAAACAAATTGATTTTAAAAATGGGCCAGTAACTTTGACACCTCACCAAAGAAGATACACAGATGACAAGCCCATGGAAAGATGCCCCATATCATATATCACCAGGGAAATACAATTTAAAAGAACCATGAGATACCACTACACACCTATTAGACTGCCCTAAATCCAGAATGCTGAAAACATCAAGTACTGGCTTGGATACTTGATGGATATGAAGGATATGGAGTGACAGAAACTCTCGTTCATTGCTGGTGGGAATGTAAATGGTATAGCCATTTTGGAAGGCAGTTTGGTGGTTTCTTACAAAACTAGTGGTTGCCAGAGTTTAGGGGGAAGGAGAGATGAATAGGCAGAGCATGGAGGATTTTTAGGGCAGTGAAGCCACTCTGCGTGATATTATAATGGTAAATACATGATGTTATAAGTTTGTGCAAACCCACAGAATGTACAATGCCAAGAGTGAACCTGAATGTCAACTATGGACTTTAGGTGATAATGATGTGTCAATGTAGGCTCATCAATTATAACAAATGTATGACTCTGGTGAGGGAGGCTATGCATGGTGGGGGGCAGGGGCTATATCTTTGTACATGCCACTCAATTTTGCTGTGAACCTAAAACTGCTAAAAAAAAAAAAAAAGAAAAGAAAAGCCTATTAAAAAGTTTGTTGGGAGGCTGAGGCAGGGGGATCTCTTGAGTTCAGGAGTTCAAGACCAGCCTGGCCAACATGGTGAAACCCTGTCTCTACTAAAAATACAAAATAGCCGGGCATGGTGGCACACGCCTGTAATCCCAGCTACTCGGGAGGCTGAGGCACGAGAATCCCTTGAACCCAGGAGGCGAAGGCTGCAGTGAGCCAAGATCGCACCACTGCACTCCAGCCTGGGCGACACAGCGAGACTCTGTCTCAAAAAAAAAAAAAAAAAGTTTGAGAGATATGGGTTAACATAAAAAATTAAAGTAAATTTGAGACTCTATTCTGTAAAATGAGAGTAAAATAATGTAAAAAGCTGGCATGGTTTGTACAAAACTGCTTCATTTAAGAACAAACAAAGAAAAAACTGCTGGTGGCGAGGTACATCAAAAACAATTCTGTGGCAGAATGTTAATATGAATCCATATGAACTTCCTCCTACTAGTTTAATTTCTGGACATTTACCCCTGGAAATAATTCAAGAAACTACAAAAGGTTTTTGTATAAGAATATTTACAGTTATTGATACTAACAAAAGTTGTAAACCCGCCAGTGTGCCTATGCTAAGTAAATGTTGCCGTGAGCCACACAGCGACCTAGGCCAGAAACCTGGGGTAAAGCTGGACTCTTCCTGGAGATGTGCACAACCCCCAGGCCTGTCATGTCTACTCCACACATATCTCTCAGATCTGTCCATGCTTCTCCATTTTCACCAGCACCACCTGAGTATGGGCTGTCTCACCCCCAACCGGAACTGCTGCAGTCATCATCTCTGAGTTATCCCCCTGCTTATCTCACCACCATCCAGTCCATTCTCCATACCACAGAGTGGTCCCTCCAGAATGATAATCTGATGATGCCAATCTCCCTGCCTGAAAACCTTCATCTGCCCTTAGGAGGAAGCTCAAATTCCTTAAGATGACTTTCAACACCTACCTAAAAGATACCCATCTACTGCCTTTGCCATTCCCACTGCCCAAGCAGAGGGAGCTTCTTATAGCTTCCTGAATGTGTCAAGCGTTTAACCTTCAGACCTTACCATGTGCTCTGCCCTCTTGCCTAGGCTTGTCTTCCCCCAAAAGCATCTCAGTACCTTTTGTAACTGCCAACTACACTTACTGTTTTTGCTCCCTCATATCTCACCTGCTATATAATGTGGTTTCTGTTCTTTTTTTTTTTTTTTTGAGACGGAGTCACGCTCCAACGCCCAGGCTGGAATGCAGTGGCGCGATCTCAGCTCACTGCAAGCTCCGCCTCCCAGGCTCACGCCATTCTCCTGCCTCAGCCTCCCGAGTAGCTGGGACTACAGGCGCCCGCCACCATGCCCGGCTAATTTTTTGTATTGTTAGTAGAGATGGGGTTTCACCATGTTAGCCAGGATGGTCTTGATCTCCTGACCTTGTGATCCACCCTCCTTGGCCTCCCAAAGTGCTGGGATTACAGGTGTGAGCCACCACGCCCGGCCTGGTTTCTGTTCTTATCATCACCCCAGTATTCACCTCAACAAAGTCATCAATGAAAGAAAAAGAAAAGAAAAATAACATAAAAGGAAAGGAAAGAGAAAATTAAAAACATCCATATTTAGCACTATGTATCAGGCACTGTGCTAAGCTCTTTACAAACTTATTTATCCTCTCTAGAATTCTATGTCCTCCAAAACAGTGAAAGGTATCAAAAAAGGGAGGGAGGCCAGGCGCAGTAGCTCACGTCTGTAATCCCAGCACTTTGGGAGTCCAAGGTGGGCAGATCACTTGAGGTCAGGAGTTCGAGACCAGCCTGGCCAACATGGTAAAACATCATCTCTACTAAAAATACAAAAATTAGCCAGGCATGGTGGCGGGCGCCTGTAATCCCAGCTACTCGGGAGGCTGAGGCAAGAGAATTGCTTGAACCCAGGAGGTGGAGGTTGCAGTGAGCCCAGATCATACTGCACTCCAGCCTGGGCAACAGAGCAAGACTCCGCTCAAACAAAAAAAAAAAAGAAAAAAGAAAAAAGAAAGGGACAGAGGACACTACTTTCATTTTCCCTTTTCCTCTTGTTTTCCTGGCAGTCTTTCTCTGTTTCATTTGCTAGGTAATCCTTCTTTACTTCAGCCATGAATACTGAAATTCCTCAAGAATCTGTCATCAGTTCTTTTCTCTCTCCATCAACTCTCCCTAGGTGATCTCGTCCTCTCCCAGGGCAATCACTGTGTGTAAGTGGATAACTTTCTGACCTATATTTTGAGCACCAGCCCCAATTATCTAACTGCCTATTGTCATTTCCACTTGTACGCCTCACAGGCATCTCAGGCTCATCACCTAAAACACAGCTTGCCATCTCTCCATCACCCAGTCACACACCAGTTCCCTGGTAGAAATGGCACAAATATCTACTCAGCAGTCCAGGCCAGAAACCTGGGAGTCATCTATAACTCTTCCCTTCCTTCTTTCCCCCACATCCAATCAATCTCCATGTCCTATCAATTCTGCCTCCTAAATCTTTCCTATATCCATCTACTTCTCTTCATCTCCACTATCTTCATCCTAGTTCAAGCTACCATCATTCTCAGCTTTGGCTACCTCAATAGCTTCCTAAGTGGTCTAGTTCTATGGTTGGCACAACCTCCCCAATCCATTCTCTACAAATCATCCAGAACAATCTTTCTTAAGTATTGGTTTTGAATGTGAGCATGCCATTTATTGGGTATGTACTCCTGGGCATATCACTCAACCTCTCTAATTCTTGGCTTCCTTATCTACAAATGGGAAATAATCATGTGTCACAGGGTGGTAATAATGATTAAAAGAGACAATCCAGATAAAGTGAGAAAAAGGGGCACTCTAACAAACTGTGAGTAGGAGTATAAATTGTCAGACAAATTAAAATAAGAAATATTAATGAAGTACTCTCAGGACCTTGTCACTGTATCTCACTTCAAATAACAAGAATGGATTGGTCTGTATCTTACAACTTTTACAGGAAAAAATTATCAGAAAAACTTTCTTAAAAGTGCCTTTGGCATGATACAATATAAAGACATAAAACTCACTATTATGGTTAATTTTACATGTGAACTCGGCTAGGCTATGGGGCCAGGTTGTCTGGTCAAACGCTAGTCTAGGTGTTGCAGTGAATACACGGTGTTTTGTAGATGTGATTAATATTCACAATCAACTGATTTTAAAGGAGATGACCCTGGATAATATCGGTGGCCCTCATCAAATCAGTTGAAGACCTAGAGTGAAAAACTGAGGCTTCTAGAAGAAACTCTGCTTCAAGACTGCAACATAGAAATCCTGTCTGAGTTTCCCCTGTGGATTCCAGACTTAACAGCCCCTTAATTGCATGGGTCAGTTCCTTAAGAGAGGCCGGACCTGGTGGCTCATGCCTGTAATCCCAGCAGTTTGGGAGGCTGAGGCAGGAGGATCACGTGAACCCAGGAGTTTGAAACCAGCCTGGGCAACATGATGAAACCCTGTCTCTCCAAAAAAAAAAAAAAAAAAAAAAATCTAAAACAAAAAAACCAAAGTGTGTGTGTTTGTGTGTGTGTGTGTGTGTGTACGTATCCTATTGGTTCTGTTTCTCTGGAGAACTCTGATGGACACAACACACTCACTGAGGAATCTTATAAAGTAGACTAGCAGCTAACAGACATAACTCTAGGTGGCTTCAGGTGAAGACTTTAGAATGTAGAAAAAAAGAGTCCTTATCAGTTGGGTAACATACGCTCTAAATAGATATTAAAGGATAAAGCAACCCCCTTTAGAGCATCTCAGGCTGTTTGTGGTTTGTGCAACTACTAACAGGGGACAAGTACCAGCACTTGCCCACGTGACCACCTGATAAGAACACCTTTGTTGAGCATCTACTCTAGGCCAACTGTTGTCCTTATCTAGAGCAAATGACAAAGCCAGGCATTTTCAGAGCTGCTGTGCCACTTGTGTCTATGAAAAGCATTGGGCCTAGAACAGCTTTGGTAGCCAGGACCTTGTAGCTTACCTGGAGGAAGTGGTTGATGGATACATCGTGGAGTCCCAGGGCTTGCTCTACACCTGCTAATTCTCTCAATATGGGTACACACTCACGACTTGTTTCACCTTTACTGATCTCAACATATTCCAAAGCTGCTTGATAGTGGGACAAAGCTTCTTTTGACTTCTTCTGACCTTGATACACCCTAAAAAAATCAAAGGAATTATTTTATTTAATAATTAAAATAGAAAATACTGAAAATATAGGTGAGCTGGTAGTTGGGATGTGACTCTTTGATCCCTGGTGTTCAGGTTCGTTTCCTTGCTAACTAAGCATTTCCTCCAAGAGCCAGCAGGGCATGGTGGTTAAGAAGATGGGTTCTGGAATCACCAGGAAGGTTCAAGTCCTGGCTTCACCACTGACTAGATGTACGATCTTCCAGTCACTCAGTTTCCTCATTTGTGAGTTAAGGATAACAGTGCCCACACTTCATTGGGTTATTAAGAAGATTAAATTAATTGATATTCATAAAACACCTAGAATAACCTCTAATACACAGTAAGTGCTATATGGGTAGGTATTGGTTTAAAAACTGTTAAATACTTTACAAAACAATGACAGCAACCATCAAGGAAAGGATGCTGAGATGCTAATAACTGATCTGTTGAGAAATTTTAGAAATTTCCCAGTATTGGGAAGGATGTGAAGCACTCTCATCAACTGTTGAGGAGAATATAGTTTGGGCATAAACTTTTCTATATCAAATCATACACATATATGTACACACACACGCACATACACACATACAATTTTGCGAATTCCAATTCTAGGAATTTATCTTGAAGTGATACTCTGGCAGGGCAAGAAGATATATATATAGAACATTTACCTTAGCATTCTCTATAATGGTGGAAAAGTCCAAAGCACTTAAAATGCACCAACAGGAGACTGTGCAAGCAGGTTACAGTAAGTACATCTATACTGTGGAATGCCACGTAGCCATGAAAATTAGTGCTGATCCATATTTATTGACACAGAAGTTTACCCATTCTATATACTTCAGTGAAAAGGCAGGCTACAAAATATTCTGTATATCATCTCAGGCATGTGAAAACTGTATATCTAATTTGCATGTACACATATGCACAGAAAGATGGCAAAAGCCATTGCTATGTTAGCAATACTTATCTCTAAGCTGTTAGACTGTAATTTTACATTTCATGTTTGTGCTTTTCTAAATTTCCCAAACTTCTATGAAAATGTGTTACTTTTATATCATAAAAATGCTAATTTAGAAATTATAAGTAAAGGTGGCAGTGCGAAAATATTTCTATACCTTCTTAGAATAAGAATCTCTCATATAAAAAATGTATCCTTACATATTTTTCAGCAAACACAGCACATATTTAAAAATAATCTTCTCCAGCATATTTGTTAAGACTATTAGGAACCTTTTCTTTCATGGAAAAATTTTATGTGCAAAATTTATAATCCCTCCTATGTTGCCCTCCACTCCAGAACTTTTAATACCAAAAGGCCTTGTGATTCCCAAACTGCCCAAGAGAAAGCTAAAAGACTACAAAAAATAGGTATTATTTTCACCTCAACCACTGGGTATTTTTCACACCTATTTTTGCTCTCCAGAGGAATTAACTGATAGAAGTAAAGATACTTTTCGGATCTGTGGTCCAGATGGCCACAGTGGAATAAAATGCTGATTGAACAGTTTATTAATCTGGATACCTTCTATAATTGTGAAGAGGTTTAAAAACTCAGGAAGACTTCAGGGACTAAGGAGGGCTACAGCTTGTAGAAACTCTAATCTGGGAAGGAAAAAGATTAATAGGCGACCCAGTAATACCGGTCTTCCTTTCTGTGGGCTTCCTTTCTGATGCTGAAGGAGCTTAGAATGTCGGGAGTAATCCTTAGTTTTGTAAATATCATACTTTATATTTGAAGAGAAAACCCATTAGAACCTTTGGTGATAGAAAGTCTCAGAAACATATGGTTGGTAAGAAATCATTTAGCCAAAGACTTAGATTCCGTGGTAGACAAAGCTTAAATAACTAAAAATGGGGGTCAGCAAACTATGGTGTGGGGGCCAAATCTGCTGTTTTTGTAAATAAAGTTTTATTGGCACAATGCCATGCCCATTCGTTTACATATCATCCATGGCTGCTTTTGAAATATGACAAGAGTTCATTGGTTGCCACAGAAACCATATGGCCTACAACATCTGAAATACTTATTATCTGGGCTTTTAGGGAAAAAGTTTGCTGACCTCTGGTCTAGAATCTAGAGAAAGTTACATACTTCTAAAATGATTTCAGATTTTTTTCCACCTAATTTAGCCTAGAGAACTCAGACAATGCCAGGGATATTTGAGAGAAGGAAAAAAATATTCATCTTTTTCCTCGTCATGTTCATAAAAGATGCAGTGTGCCATTGAAGTAAAGAATGGATCCTTTGTTTCCCAGACTGCCCGTAAAAGTCACAGAAGAGAAATGAAGGAAGTACAAACACCAAGATAATTTCATCTGGGCAACTGCTTTTAAAGAAAGCAGTATTTAAAGTTTAGTAATCAAGCTCATAAATGAGCAAAAAAGAAAACAATAACAAGGCATGCATTCATTGATATATAAAAAATTCCTTCTTTCCTGAGATAAGCCACTAAAGAAAAGTGTTTGGGGGTTTGTTAATAGGTGAAGACCACGGAAAACTTGTAGCCACCTACTAGCTATCTCAGCCAAAAGCACAGCATATCATCCCAAGTTAACACCAGGTCACCTTTTCAGGTCTCAAAAGTCATCCTTCAAATAATACCTGACTCCCAGAGAAAATGTTATGGAAAATAACAGAAAATGAGAGGCAGGAGAATCAGTTGTAAGTAAGCAGCAGTAGAAAACCCAAACTGTAGTCCAAGCAGCCTTGTTGACAAAGCTTCGACAAAAACAAAATGTCTTGAACCTTGGTTCCGTCATCTGAACACACTGGTTGTTGTGAGAATTGAATAAGATGTCCGTGAAAGTGCTTTGCAGACAGAAGCACATCACACAGATTAGTATTAAATGTCTACACATAATCATATCTTTTACTCTTTCTCCTCCCAACCTGCACACCATATGCAACAGCCTCAGTTTGTTCCCATGTTGAAATGGGCTCAATTGTGATCTGAGCTCCACCCCAACACCAACCACATAAGAGTTTGGAAAGTCCAAATAATAGGCAAAATCAGAGAAACTGATTGGAACTATTGTGCAAATGAGGTGGGCATTTTCTTATCCAATTGAACTTTAAAAAAACAGAATAATGTATTATAAGAATACATACTCATCACCAAAAGTAAGAACGCATAAATAAAAACAAAAGATATATAAAAGGAGGTACCATGTACACCAAAGCTCCAAGTGGATTAGAGGACAAATTTTTTTAAAAAAATTTTAAATTATTATGGATACATAATAATTGTATATATGTATGGGGTGCATGTAAAATTTTGATATAAGCACACAAAGTTAATGATCGAATCAGGGTTATAGCATACCCATCACCTCAAGCATTTATCATTTCTTTGTGTTAGGAACATGCCAGTTCCATTCTTTAATTATTTAAAAATATACAAAAAAATATTGTTAACTATAGTCAACCTATTGTATTACCAAACATTAGGTCTTATTCCCATTATTCACCTGTATTTTTATACCCAATAGTTTTCCCCTCTTCATCTCCCACTCCCTACTCCCCTTCAAAGCCTGTAGTAACCATCATTCTGCTCTCTATCTCCATGAGTTCAATTTTTCTTTTTTTTCTTTCTTTTTTTTTTAAATCTTTTTAGCTCCTACATTTGACTGAAAATGTGATATTTTCTGTGCCTGGCTTATTTCACTTAACATAATGCCCTCCAGCTCCATCCATTTTGCTGCAATTGACAGGATTTCATCCTTTTTTAATGGCTAATATTCCATTATGTATATCTACCACATTTTCTTTATCCATTCATCCACTGATTGACACTTATGTTGAGTCCTAGGTTGGCCATTGTGAATAGTGCTGCAATAAACATGAGAGTGCAGATATTTCTTTTGATATACTGATTTCCTTTTTGGGGGGTATATACTGAGTAATGAGATGGCTGGATCATATGGTAGTTTTATTATTAGTTTTCTGAGGAACTTCCACACTATTCTCCATAGTGGCTGTACTAACTTGCATTCCCACCAACAGTGTATGAGTGTCCCCCTTTCTCCACATCCTCACCAGCATCCATTACTGCCTTTTTGATAGAAGGCATTTTAATCGGGGTGCGATATCTCATTGTAGTTTTGATTTGCATTTCTGTGATCATCAGTGATGTTGAGTATTTTTTCATATACTTGTTGGTCATTTGCATGTCTTCTTTTGAGAAATGTCTATTCAGATCTTCTGCTCGTTTTAAAATCAGTTTGTCTTTTTCTATTCAGTTGTTTGAACTCCTTATTTATTCTGGTTATTAATCCCTCGACAGATGGGTAGTTTGCAAATATTTTCACACATTCTGTGGATTGTTTCTTCACTTTGTTAATTGTTTCCTTTGCTGTGCAGAAGGCCTTTTAGCTTGATGTGATCCCATTTGTCCAGTTTTGCTTTGGTTGCCTACGTTTTTGAGGTCTTCCTTAAGAAATCTTTGCCCAGACCGATTTCCTGGAGTGTTTTCTCAATATTTTCTTCCAGTAGTTTCAGAGTTTCAGTCTTAGATTTAAGGTTTTTTTTTTTTTTTTTTTTTTTAGACAGGTCTTGTTCTGTGGCCCAGGCTGGAGTGCAGTGGTGTGATCATAGCTCACTGCAGCCTCAACCTCCTGGGCTCAAATGATTCTCCCACCTTAGGCCCCAGAGTAGCTGGGACTATAGGTGCACACCACCACACACCTGGCTAATTTTGTTTGTTTGTAAAGATAGAGTTTCACCATGTTGCCCAGACTGGTCTTGAACTCCTGTGCTCAAGCAATCTTCCTGCCTTGGCCTCCCAAAGTGCTGGGACTACAGGCATGTGCCCCACTGCCTGGCCAGATTTAAGTCTTTAATGAATTTTAATTCGATTTTTGCATATAGCGAGAACTAGGGGTCTAGTTTCATTCTTATGAATATGGATATCCAGTTTTCCCAGCACCACTTGTTGAAGACACTATCTTTCTCCCAGTGTATGTTCTTGGCACCTTTGTAAAAAATGAGTTGACTGTAAATGCATGGATTTATTTCCGGGGTTTCTATTCTGTTCCATTGGTCTATGTGTCTATTTTTATGCCAGTATCATGCTGTTTTGGTGACTATAGATCTGTAGTATAGTATGAAGTCAGGTAATGTGATGCCTCCAGCTTTGGTCTTTTTGGTCAGGATTTCTTTGACTCTTTTGGGACTTTCGTGGTTCCACATAAACTTTAGGATTTTTTTTTTCTATTTCAATGAAGAATGTAATTGGCATTTTGAGAATGCATTAAATCTGTAGGTTGCTTTGGGTCGTAGGCACATTTCAACAATATTGGCACTTCCAATCCATGAACATGAAATCTTTTTGCATGTCCTCTTCATTTTCTGTCATCAATGTTTTATAGTTTTCATTGTAGAGATCTTTCACTTCTTTGGTTAAGTTTATTCTTAACTATTTTATCTTATTTATTGCTAGGTTTTTTTTTGTAGCTATTGTAAATGGCATTACTTTCTTGTTTTTTTTTTTCCAGATTGCTAGCTGTTGGCATACAGAAATGCTACTGATTTTTGTATGTTGATTTTGTATCCTGCAACTTTACTGAATTTGTTGATCAGTTCTCATAGCTTTTTGGTAGAATCTATAGGTTTTTCTGAATATAAGATCATATCATCTACAAACAAGGATAATTTGAATTCTTCCCTTCTAATTTAGATGTCATTTATTTATTTTTTCTTGCCTAACTTCTTGGGCTAAAGCTTTCTGTACTATGTTGAATAAAAATGGTAAAAGTAGGCAAGCCTGTCTTGTCCCAGATCTTAGAGGAAAGGCTTTCAGTTTTTCACTGTTCTGTATGATACTAGCTGTGGGTTTGTCATATATGGCTTTTATTACATTGTGGTATGTTCCTTTAGTAAGTTAAGTAAGTTCCTTTAAGTCCTTGTTAAGTTTTTATCATGAAGGGATGTTGAATTGTATCAAATGCCTTTTCAGCATCTATTGAAATGATCATATGGTTTTTGTCTTTCATTTTGTTGATGTGAGGTATCATATTTATGGATTTGTGTATGTTGAACCATCCTTGCATCCCTGGGATGAATTCCACTTGATCAAGATGAATGATCTTTTTAATGTGTAGTTGAATTGGGTTTGAGGATTTTGTATCCATATTCATCAGAGATATTGGCCCATAGTTTTCTTTTTTGATGTGTCTTTGTCTGGTTTTGGTATTGAGACAACGCGGACCTCATAGAATGAGTTTGGATATACTGCTTCCTCCTCAATTTTCTGAAACAGTTTATGTAGGATTGATATTAGTTCTTCTTAAAATGTGTGGTAGAATTTAGTACTGAAGCCATCAGATCTTGGGCTTTTCTTTGATGGAAGACATTCTATCAATGCTTCTATCTTGTTACTTATTGGTTTATTCAGGTTTCTGATTTCTTCATAGTTCAACTGTAACAGGTTTTATGTGTCTAGGAACTTATCCATTTATTCTAGATTTTCCAGTTTATTACATATTACATATAGTTGCTCATAATAGTCTCTAATGATCCTTTGAATTTCTGTGGTAGCAGTTGTATTGTCTCCTTTTTTGTCTCTGATTTTACTCATTTGGGTCTTCTCTCTGTTTTTCTTAGTCTAGTAAAGGTTTGTTGATTTCGTTTATCTTTTCAAAAAACAAACTTTTTGTTATATTCATCTTTTGAATTTTTTTAGTCTCAATTTTATTTATTTGTGCTTGGATTTTTATTATTTTTTTATCCGAATTTGAGGTTTAGTTTGCTCTTGATTTTCTAGTTCCTTATGACACATTGTTAGGCTGTTTATTTGAAGGTTTTCTACTTTTTGGAGGTAAGCATTTATTGCTATAAACTTCCCTCTTAGTACTGCTTTTGCTGTATTATATATGTTTTGGTATGTTATGTTTCCATTTTCATTTGTTTCAAGAAAATTTTTAATGTCCTTCTTAATTTCTTCATTGCCCCAATGGCTGTTTAGGAGTCCTAAATTTAAAAATAAAAACTTTGATATGTTTGAGAGAAAACATATGGAAAAGTAACCCTGTGTCTTTGAGTAGGGAAGGATTTCTAATATATACACAAATAAGAACAGAAAAGATAGGTAAAATTGATCATATTAAAAATAAAAACTCTTGTGCATCAAAAATCAAGGCAAACTACACATCTGAAGTACATACAATATATGTAAACAGCAAATAACTTGTTTCCAGAAATATGAAGACTATCTACCAATTTTTAAGAAAAATGCAAATAGCTCAATAGCAAATAAGCAAAACATGTGAATAGATAATTCACAGAACAAGAATTCCAAATGTCTAGCAAACATATAAAAAGATATTTAACTTCCCTATCAGAAAAATTCAATTAAAGAAACCATAAGGGCCAGGTGCGGTAGCTCATGCCTGTAATCCCAGCACTTTGGGGAGGCCGAGGCAGGTGGATCACTTGAGGTCAGGAGTTCAAGACCAGCCTGGCCACGGTGAAACCCCGTCTCTACTAAAAATACAAAAATTAGCTGGGCCTGGTGGCATGTGCCTGTAATCCCAACTACTCAGGAGGGTGAAGCATGAGAATCGCTTGAACCCGGGAGATGGAGGATGCAGTGAGCTGAGATCATGCCACTGCACTCCACCCTGGGTGACAGAGGGAGACTCTGTCTTAAATTAAATAAATAGATAAATAAACCATAAGATATAATTTTGCATCCATATAATTGAGAACTATAAGAAGCCTGAGGACGCTGAATAACAAGAATTTACACACCCTGCTGGTGGACACATAAATTGTTAGAAAGCGTTTGGTAAATCCAGTAAAATTGAAGATGCAGATGCTTGTCAAGTAAACAATTCCACTCCTGGGAATATACCTCAGAGATAATCCTGCATATGTGCCCAAAGAGACTTATATAAGCATGATCATGAAAGTAGTGTTTACAGTAGTAAAAAATTGGAAACAATTCACATGTTCACCCTCATCAAAATAGACAATTAAATTAGAGGAAAGTCAGACAATTACACACCATATGGAGGTCTAAAATGAAAAGACTAGAGCTGGATTATATCAATTGGTAGAGATATATCTCAAAAATACAGATGGGAAAAAAGGAAGTTACAGAAGGAAACATACATATAAAGTTTTAAAATATGACAAATTTTATATATATATACACACATATATATATGCTATACATATACACAGTAAAGGTACAAAAACATTCAGAGGAATGAAAAACACTAAATTTCAGCATAATAATTGCCTATAATGTATGGGAATAAAATGGTATTGGGAAGAATGCATAACAAGCTTCTATTTATCAGAAATAGATTTTGTAAGCTTAGTAGTGTGTATACTATTCTTTACACTACAGAATTTACATAATACTACATATATATGTGTCTAAAATATTTTATTAAAAAGATGAATACAACACGCAATTGCACAAAGAATGAAGCACATCCTACCCCTCACCTCCTCAGGTTGCTGTTGCAGGCTATTTCATGGTCCTGGCACTAACACAGCCAGAAATGGAGGCTATCAAGCTAATGCAACCCACAATGAGCCTTCTGAAGCTCATTGTGAGTACACTATTCACATAAAAGAAAAGGCAAAATAGAAAATAAAATTACTTTAGTTTTATATTTAATAAAAAAGGAATTGAGAGTACTACATCAAGAAATAACTAAATTATAGTCTTACATCCATCTACAACTTACTTAAAGCATCAGTCAATTTCGGGTAATCTTGTGTGTTTCCATTTTCTTATGTGTAATGTTTGAGAGCAATATTTTCTCCTTTCCATTTCTGGCTACCTGCCAGGGATGATTTGAGGATTTATTATCTAGTGTATCCACAATGTACTTGGTAGCTTAAGAAATACACTAGACAGATGAAAAGACAGAAAATTTTGAATAACAGAATGTGGCAGTATGTTAATTTGGCAGGTGCACAACTTAAGCCATGGCATATTTTATTGAATGAAAGTTTATACGCAGTAATTCTACAGAGCACAAGAGGAGACACTATCTCATTGCAGACAAGTTTCAGATCTCATAGGGATGGAGACTCGTTTTAACAAGCAATAAACAAATGCAATTTCTGGTATTACTAAGGCAACAGAGTTTCCTTTTAAAAACTCTGGAATTTGGCAAGAATATTGAGCACCAGTATAAAGGAAAGGCTTTGTGTGAATATCACTGATCAGAATCTGATGAGAAACCAATCCCAAAAGATAACAAATGGGATTTTCCATAGCCAACATGAGAAAAGAATTACATCTGGGTATCTTTTTATCACCTGATACATACAGGTAAAGGCTTTGCTCTGTTGAATGCATTGTGGGGTTTCCAGTCTACATCAGTGAATGTAATGTGTGCCATGGTCAGGAGCTTGGACACTAGCGTTGAATAAGCAGGGCTCTGCTGGGCCACTTTCCAGCTTTATCGCTTCCTGCCTGTGTGACCCTGGAAGTGACCTCACTTCTCTCAGCTTTAGATGCTACATTTGAACATGGGAATACTAACAGTATCCACTACACAGAGAGGACTAAGAATGAAAGGAGATGACATCTGTAAAGCACTTAGCAAAAGCCTGACACAGAAGGTGGTCAATAATTGGTAGCTAGTGTGGTTTTAAAAAAATCATTATTATTATATTTTTGAGAAGGGGTCTCACTCTGTCACCCAGGTTGGAGTCCAGTGGCATGATCTTTGCTCACTGCAACCTCTGCCTCCCGGTCTCAAGCAGTCCTCCTACCTCAGCCTCTGGAATAGCTGGGACTACAGGTGTATGCTACAACGCCTGGCTAATTTTTTGTATTTGTAATTATGTATTAGTTGTATTAATTTGAGACAGGGTTTTGCCATGTTGCCCAAGCTGTCTCGAACTCCTGGGCTCAAATGGTCCGCCTGCTTCGGCCTCCCAAAGTTCTGGGATTACAGGTGTAAGTCACTGTGCCCTGCCTATTATTTGATATATATTATTATATGTTGTGTTATTTATTTAGAGATATATGATTATATATTTATGTTACATATTAATACTAATAACATGTCATTTTAAAACATGATTCTATTATTTAAATCATTATTCTCATATATTTAGGAAAAGGTACATTATAAGGGTATAATGTCAGAAAAGGAAAGACAGAAATGCAGTGCTCTAAAACATTAAAGCTTTAGGAGATTCAAGAAATAGAAAGCAGATAAAGTATATGAGAGTAACCTGTGCCATGTGGTTTTTCTTTGGCTTCCCCACATTGAAAATAATAATAATAAAAACAAAAATGAGACTTGTGTAAGTTAAGAGCATATCTTCAACCACAGAAATATAGGATTAGGAAGAGTCCCAGAGAAAAAAAGCAATTTCCTTCTTTGTTAAGTAAGCAAAAAGTATTCTAGGCACATAGTGTCCCACAGGAGCAGCTGACAGGAGAAACATGTCTGCTGGAGAAGAGCAGGATGTTCTCAGGGAGCAGGCAAGGGAGAAGCAGGACTTGGAACATGTGAGCATCTGTAAGAGCCTTTATGTCCAAAAGAGAGAAGCAGAGAAAATGCAACTTAGACATCAAGGAACCTCAGGTGATGGTAAGAACTAAAAATTTTTTTAAATGCTGAGTCCAGAAAGCAAAAGTTAGATGTAGAAATTTCTGACTGGACCAATTTTGGGAGGACTATGGGATCTAAGAGCAAAGGTTATTATTGAAGTATCAAAAATTCCACTGGGAAGCATTTCTGGAGCAGCTTATGGAACTAAGTAGAACCCCATCATCTCAATGAGGTGATGGCAGGTAGATACATATTCTGTTCCCCTTGCCACATCACTTCTCCATTATTTTCTCCTCCTTCCTAGTAAGTACGAGTTAAGGGAGAAATCTTCCCCATCCCCTTTCCTTTTGGAAAACTTGTGTTAGAATAACTTTCCAAACCTCACAACTTCAATGAATCAAGAGAGAGCAAGACAAAGAAACAAAATCAAGCTTAAGGAAATAAGAATATACAGGTTGGGTGCAGTGGCTCATGCCTGTAATCCCAGCACTTTGGGAGGCCAAAACAGGTGGATCACTTGAGGTCAGGAGTTTGAGACCAGCCTGGTCAACATGGTGAAACACTGTCTCTACTAAAAATACAAAAATTAGCTGGGCGTGGTGGCACACATGTGTAATCCCAGCTACTTGGGAGGCTGAGGCAGGAGAATCGCTTGAACCTGGGAGGTGGATGTTGCAGTGAGTC
Organism: Homo sapiens; assembly: GCF_000001405.40. Classification (NCBI taxonomy): domain Eukaryota; kingdom Metazoa; phylum Chordata; class Mammalia; order Primates; family Hominidae; genus Homo; species Homo sapiens. The sequence goes on from NC_000015.10 coordinate 99,211,324, forward strand.
AAGATCACGCCACTGCACTCCAGCCTGGGTGACAGAGAGTCTCAAAGACAAAAAACAAACAAACAAAAAAAAAGAAGAAGTAAGTATATACAATTGTCTGATTTTAGCTTAGATGATTCATGAGAGCAAAGAAAACAAAATGTAGCCTTCCCAAGGCACAGGGAAAAAATGCAGAAAAAAATTGCACACCAAGGGCAGTCTTGAAGTACAAAACCTTAATATGTGATATAAGTACCTGATTTAAAATCACCTCTGGGATGAAACAGCAGAAAGGAAAATGTTCAATTAGATCATAATGATAATTATATTGCCCTTTTCTTTCTTGCTTTCTTGCTTCTGAGGGTCTCCCATGCACCTAGATGCTTTAAAGTAATATCTTTTTAATCTTCACAGCAACCCCTGGAGGTCTTATTATTTTCACTTCAACAGGAGAGGAGAGTGAGGCTCCCAGGAAGCACAAGATCTACCCAAGTTCTACAGCTGGGAAGTTTGAACAAACACTGATTTGAACCCAGGGCTTCTGACTCCAAAGACTACATTTTTTTGTTTTTAATAGAGATGGGGATTCACCATGTTGACCAGGCTGGTCTTGAACTCCGGGCCTCAAGCGATCCTCCCATCTCAGCCTCCCAGTGTTGGGATTACAGGCATGAGCCATCATGCCGGCCCAGAGCCTACATTGTTAATGACACCATGGCACACTGCTTAGAAATACTTGGGAGGCGTCTTGTTGATGCTCTGAGGAAATAAAAGTGTTTACTCATTCCTGAGTTAGTTCAGCACAGTCATGCCAGGCAAAGTGTTCGCTGGACATGCTGTGGGAGACTTCAAGGACATGTCAAGCAGTCAGAGAGAGCTGGGGGAAAATCACATGTTCTGGAGCAATAGTCTCAATAGGTCATCATCATGCTGCATAGAAAGATAATTTAAAGAGGGATGTGTGTGTGTGTGTGTGTGTGTGTGTGTGTGCATGCATGTGCAATGGCATATGCCTGTATATACAAAGACAACTATTTCTCTCTGGGCATCTATCAATAACCAGGATAGAAAATAATTCTTAACACTGGGGATAAATTTGCCCCTTTTTGTAAGTGACTTTCTTTACCAGATTTAAAGAAATATAACTGTGCACATAAGAATACATGATTTGGATTCACTCTCCAAAGTTAACAAACCATTACTGTACGAAGTAGCACCGGAACAGAGGAGAGGAAGAAGGAGAGAAGTTTCAGGCCATAGTCAGGGATGGGAGGCATGGAGCATGAGTCACCCCGCGGCACTTATCTGTCAGCCCAGGGAGAAAGGCACTGGGCTGTTGCGATGGGCACCATAAAAGGACAGGCAGGGCAGGAAGATGATACACTAAAAGATATCCTTTTAAGAGGGACATAGGACTGAGTGCAGTGGTTCATGCCTGTAATTCTAACACTTTGGGAGGCCGAGACAGGAGGATCGCTTGAGCCCAGCCTGGGCAATATAGTAGTAAGACCCTGTCTCTACAAAAAAATAAAATTAGCTGGGTGCAGTGGCACGTGCCTGTAGTCCCAGCTAGTCAAGAGGCTGAGAGGGGAGGACTGCTTGAGCCCAGGAGGTCAAGGCTGCCGTGAGCTGTCACTGTGAAACTGTACTCCAGCCAGAGCAACAGAGTAAGACCCTATCTCAAAAAAAAAAAAAAAAAAAAAAGGGGGGGACATAAATCCAATGAGCGCTGCCTGAGAAATTATCTTGGCCTTCCACTTCCAAGACCTGGCAAAAGAAAAGGCCCTCATGGTTCAAGCTTACCTACAGAAGTGCATAAATCCAAAACACCTTGTTAATTTCTAAAGCAGATAAATTTGGACAAAATACATTTCAATAAGGAAATGAAGCAAAGTAATTGAATGAAAATTATACAGTTTAAACATGCACATTGTGGTGATTATATCAGGGTGAAGAATTAGGATGAAAAGAAGTAGCAAAGTTTGAAACAACTTGGCTAAACACAAAAGTAACTTTGTAGAATAGTCTGGAATATTAACTTAAATTCTTGTTGGCTATTCAGCCTAGATGTGTACAGGGCCCGCCATCTGCTGGCAAGGCTTGGTGTTGCTAATTTGGAAAGCACTCAGAGGAGGTGCCAGAGGATCATTTACTCTTTTTTATAGCAACACTGCTCAATGTTAAATACTGATATATTAGGTCTCAACAGATGCAACAAATATTATATCTTGGAGCTCTGAATTGTGTATTTCCTATCTTATAAGACAGAATACCTAATTTCTGGCAGGAAGGGATTCTGGACTGGTAAAGCCTTCCCAGTCACTAACAACCTTCTTCCTCCTCCAGTTATATAAATGGAATTGTACAGTATGATTCTTTTGCATCTGGCTTCTTTCACTACACATTGTGAGAGCCATTCATGCTGTTAAGCATAGGAGTAGTTTTAATCATTTTATTTATATTAACATCACATTTTTTCTGTTTTACTTTTGGTGAACATTTAGGCTGTTTCCAACTCTTGGCTATTACAAATAATGTAGCTTTGAATATTCTTGGCTATGTCTTTTGGTGAAAACATGCATGCATTTCTATTGGGTGTATAATTTAGTAGTGATACTGCTGGGTCAAAAGGTATGCAAATGTTTAAATTTAGGAGACAATGCCAAATAGTTTTCTAAAGTAGTTACACCAAATATATTTGAAACAATGGTATATGAGAGAGCATATCAGAGAATCACATCCTTCCAAATGTTTGCTATTAGTAGTCTTAAAATTTTTTTAGCCATTCTAGTGGGAATGTAAGAGTATCTTATTTATTTATTTATTTAAAGAGACAGAGTTTTGCTTTGTCATCCAGGCTGGAGTGCAGTGGTGTTGCACAGCTCACTGCAAACTCAAATTCCTGGGCTCAAGAGATCCTCCCGGCCGGGTGCGGTGGCTCACGCCTGTAATCCCAGCACTTTGGGAGGCCGAGGTGGGCACATCACAAGGTCAAGAGATCGAGACCATCCTGGCTAACACGGTGAAACACCGTCTCTACTAAAAAATACAAAAAATTAGCCAGGCGTGGTGGTGGGTGCCTGTAGTCCCCACTACTCGGGAGCTGAGGCAGGAGAATGGCGTGAACCCGGGAAGGTAGAACTTGCAGTGAGCCGAGATCGCGCCATTGCACTCCAGCCTGGGTGACAGAGTGAGACTGCATCTCAAAAAAAAAAAAAAAAAAAGAGATCCTCCCACCTCAGTCTCCTGAGTAGCTAGGACTATAGGTGAGCACCACCACACTTGGATAAATTAAAAAATATTTTTGTAGAGATGGGGGTCTCCCCATCTTGCCTAGGCTGGTCTTGAGCTCCAGGGCTCAAGCTATTCTTCCACCTCAGCCTCTCAAAGCGCTGGGATTACAGGTGTGAGCCACCACACCCAGCCATATCTTATGATTCTAGTTTTCATTTTCTGATAACTGATAAGGTGGAACACCTTTTGATAGGTTTATTTGCTATGCGGGTGTTCTTTTTTTGGGAAAAGTTTCCTGCCCATCTTTCTTTTCTCCTTTTTTTTTTTTTTTTTTTTGAGATGGAGTTTCTCTCTTGTTGCCCAGGCTGGAGTGCAATGGCGCGATCTTGGCTCACAGCAACCTCTGCCTCTCGGGTTCAAGCAATTCTCCTGCCTCAGCCTCCCGAGTAGCTGGGATTACAGGTGCCCACCATCAGGCCCAGCTAATTTTTGTATTTTTAGTAGAGACAGGGTCTCGCCATGTTAGCTAGGCTGGTCTTGAACTTCTGACCTTGGGTGATCCACCCGCCTCGGCCTCCCAAAGTGCTGGGATTACAGGCATGAGCCACCGTGCCTGACCTCCTGCCCATCTTTCTATCCAGTTATGTGTTTGTTTAACTGATATATAAGGGTTCTTTGTAGACTTCAGATATAAGCCCTTTGTCAGTTGTACGTATTACAAATATTGTCTGTAGTATAAGATACATGTGATTTAAATACAGGACAACACAGCACCAAGCAGAGAGGATAAAGAGTGCTGGCACGCTCAAAGGTCCTTGCATTGTTCAGGAAGTGGTTAAATGATTAATTTACAATTAGATTCTAATAAATCAGGGATATAAGTGACAAACTCCACAGTAACTACTAGAATAAAAAGAAGATAACAAGGCCAGGCATGGTGGCTCATGCCTGTAATCCCAGCATTTTGGGAGGCCAAGGTGGGTGGACTGCTTGAGCCCAGGAGTTCAAGACCAGGCTGGGCAACATAGCGAAATTTCATCTCTACAAAAAATACAAAAAGTTAGCTGGGTGTGGTGGCACACACCTGTAGTCCAAGCTACTCAGGAGGCTGAGATGAGAGGATTGCTTGAGCCCAGGGAGGTTGAAGCTGCTGTGAACCATGACCCCACCACTGTACTCCAGTCTGGGCAACAGAGTGAGATCCTGTATACAAAAAAGAAAAGAAGAAAGAAAATAAAAAACAAAAGAAAAAAATGTATAACTTGCAAATTAATGGGTATAAAATGGAATGATAGAAATATTTGATTAATCTAAAAGAAAGCAAGTAAGGAAAAAGAAAAGAACAAAAAGTTGGCAGGAGAAAAGGAAATTTAAACCCAAATAAATATTTTTTAAAAGGTATTGTAGGAAAATATTTACCAAAAGAGAGCTAGGATATAGTATCAGACAGAATAGATGTAGGGGACAAAAAAGGACAAGGTCAACTAACCAATAAAGTGATAGGTTAAGAAGATATGAGGCTGCTAAACTCTCCTCTCACCCCAACAAAATAGCTTCAGGATATATATAACAATGCAATACAATTACAAATCAGTAACACCAAGATATCTTGAAAACTCTCATACCTGCAAACCAAAACACACATCATTTGAATAATCCTTGGACTAAAGAGTAATTTATAAACTGAGTTATGAAATACTAAGAAGTTATCACAGTGATAATGCTTCATGATAAAATATATGGAGTAGAGTTAAAGTAGGTCTTGGAGGGAAATTTTAGAGAATATTTTTGATATTTAGCTGGAAAAGACTTTCTAACCAGACTCCCAAAGCATAAATCATAAGGTGAAAATGAATGGATTTGAGTGAACCAAATTAATAATTTCTAAGCCACGAAGAACACCATAGACAAAATTAATAAGCGGGCAATAGATGTAAGAAAATATTTATATCATTAATATTTATAATATATAAGAAAACCCTGATTATCAATAGGAAAGGTACAGGAAACTCTAAAAGAAAAATAAGAAGGAATACTAACAGGCTATTCATACAAGGTGAATCCCAAGTGGCTAAGTCGTATATGAAAAGTATTCAAACTCACTAATAGGAGAAATGTAAATAGAACTTTAATAATTAGATAGCACGTTATATGCACCAGGTTGGCAAAGATTAACAAAGTCAAATATTGCCAGTGGTGTGTTAGGAACCTACCCACCCTGCAAGTAGGAATGCAAATGCAGATGGGTGTCGTGGTTGGCTGGTGCTTGGTGAACTTAAAGTCTGTTTGTACTCAGTACCACCCCTGGAATATAAACCTCAGAAAAGCAATACCACCCTTGGGATATAAACCTCAGAAAAAGTGTCACTTAGCCACGTAAGTGAAGCTGTGTAAGGATGGTCATGGCAGCACTGCTATGGCAGCAGAGAGCTGGGGACAAGCTGAATGTCTATTGTTAGGAGGATGGACAAACAAAATACAACAAATGCATTCTATAGAGCATTATACAGGAACCAGAAGCAATGAACTAAAATCCAGGCAACAACCAAAACGTGCTGAGTGGAAAAAATAAGAAGCAGAATGATACATACGCTACAAATTTATACAAATTTTCTTTTTTTCTCTTCTTTTTTTTTTTGAGACAGAGTCTCACTCTGTCACCCAGGCTGGAGTGCAGTGGTGTGGTCTCTACTCACTGCAACCTCTGCCTCCTGGGTTCAAGCGATTTCTCCTGCCTCAGCCTCCTGAGTAGCTGGGATTATAGGCATGCGCCACCACGCCTGGCTAATTTTTGTATTTTTAAGTAGAGATGGGGTTTCACCATGTTTGTCAGGCTGGTCTTGAACTCCTGACCTCATGATCCACCTGCCTCAGCCTCCCAAAGTGCTGGGATTACAGGCATGAGCCACTGTGCCCGGCCAAATTTATACAAATTTTAAACACATAAATATATAAAACAATATTGTTTGTTATTCAGAGATACATACTCAAAAACGTAAGCCATCATTAAAGTATTTATCTATGATGTGTGTGTAGGAGAATGAGAGAAAAGATCGGAGATGAAGGGAAAAATTAATTTAAAAATCCATACCAGAGGATTTGCACAGATGAGTGAGCTCTGCACTTGCAGTTCAAAAACCACCCAAGAAAAACAAAAGAACAAAGGGAATTGTGATCACAAAAGAAGATCTTTAACTGCATGAGTCAAAGTTGGTTCTTCCCACTTTCCATTCACATGGAAGCATTAGGTGTGTTCTCCTGGGGCCCTTTCCTAGCACCTTTCTTAAAATGATTCCGTGGGTTCTCTGAGTCGTCTTGGCAATCAACCTACACATACAATCTAGTTAGGAAGGTAAACTGAATTCTTCCGGCTTTGGCTAAGGGCAGCCATGTAGGTCAACTGGGATACTCTGCCTCTTCCAACACAGACCTTTCTCCACCTTTTCCTCTGCACAAGTCCATCTTTCCAAAGAGTGTGGACAAACTCTGTCACCCCAATACTCTGAGGAATTGGCTTAGGTTGCTCTTTGGAGAAAGATAAAAGTACTAACTATGCACAACCTTCTCTTCGTGTCTCTTCCAGCTGAGTTTATTTGGTGAGTATGGAGTAAGGTGAGGAACAAAGAACAATCCTTTCGTGATCATGGATTCAGATGTGTTTAAGATCTTTCTCCTTTGAGGCTTTCATCATAAACTCAACCTGTTGAAGCATTTTAGACTGGAGCAGGGCAGGGAAAAAAGGAAGGGAGGGAGGAAGAGAAGGGTGTAGGGGCTGGGGGTGAGGAGGGAGAGCAGGTAAAACGAAAGTCAAGAGAATAATGATCAGAACTCTGGGACCCAGGGCACTCCACAGAGAGTGAAAAGTGTCACTGATGGATGCCCTGGTTGGGGCTGCTCTGACATGACTGTGTTCCTCTTTTACTTTTACACAGTGACCTCCAGAGAAGCCATGGCCGCAGCCTCATGGAGATGCTCCTCCTACCTGAGACAGATTCTACAGGCAAAGAGCCTCCCGCCATCATGTATGCAAAATCCTAAACTTGAAACTTACTGTGCAAATGATAATCTGATCCGTGCTTCAATTTCTATCCATTCTTCCTTTATAATTCTTCCACATTGTAGCAGCTCCTTTGAAAGTCTCTCTGCTTTTGTCAAATTCTCTGCAGCTTCCTTAAATCTGAATTGTGTTCAGGAAATTTTCCACTTGGTTCTAGATTCTACACCCCATGTCCTGAACTTCCTTGGCTCCCATACTTCCAATCACACTTCCTAAGTCATCCATCAGCATCAGCTTTTTACTTGGCGTGTAAGTGTTACGTGAATAGTATTTCTATTTGTAAAAGTTAGAGGCAAAAGGATACTTTTGAAGGGAGAGTAAAGCTCTGCCCATGGTATGGAAAAGCTCAATGGAAAACTTGAAAACATCTGTATTCTCACTATAGGGAGGCACAATGGAGTTGGCGAGGATTTGTCTGGCTTTTTCTGCATGTTGTTTTGCTTGCAGTGACAGTCCTGTGGACAAAGAAAAAGAGGTCTCAGTTTCTCTATCATCTCAACTGGACAGGAATACAGTTCCTTATGGTCTGGGAATCTAACAAGGTCTCCTTCACATATTGTCAAATGACACATGGAGACGTATCTGGGCAGCATGAAACACTGCCATGACTGTAACAACCAAAGAAGTGTTTTATACCAAGTACCCAAGATAAATTTTCCCCCAAATGGCCTTTTTAGAAATAAACAAAATGAGCTGGAATTGAACAGCTTTGAAACCTCACCAATAGCAGAAGCAAAATATGTTACATATAATTATAAGAAACAAACTGAATACAAGAACTATAGCATTCTGAGCAGGAAATAAAATATTCATGAATTTTAATCCTGGCTGTGTAACTGCAATCTTAATGAAATACTAAAAATTCTGAATCTTCAGCTCACCCACCTATAATCATAATGTCAGAGAGTTATTTTTTTAACATAATACATATCTGATATCTACAAAAACTTACAAACACAATTCCAGTGAGGTAACAGATTAATGTGTGACAATTTCATCTTCCTATGTGGTAAGAGACTAATATGAAACAAAGTGGAGCAAAAAAAAATCACTACTAAGAAAGAATTCCCCAGTGTGTTCCAGTGTTCCTCCACGGGCTTGTTAATCTGTGGGAAGGGAGGACTGAGATCGCTAGCACGGCTTCAGGGCTTTGCACGTCCCTGTATTCCCATCCTCCTCCCCTACACCGACAACCACTTCCACTCACATACACACAGCCCCCATCTTATGTTCTTAGTTACACAAAATTGTATCTTAGATCTCTAAAAAAATCTGTCAAAATATGAAGTTAATTCTGTTCCTATGTCTATAAAACAGGAAGAATATATTTTCTAATGGAGAAAATCAAGGGTATGTGTTTCATGTGGGAATTCTTACACAAGATTGTCTTATTACATATTTTTAAAAAGCACAGACATGTATTAGTGCCACCTGTGCTTGTGATGTTACACAAAGCATGTTGGACTGTATTTTCAACTGTGTCGAGTCCCTGAAGGAACCTGAACTCAATTTACTGGAGGCAGCATAGGGTGAAGTTCAAGAACATTGGCTCTGAAGTCAGACTGCCCAGGATGGATCCCCTGCTCCACCACTTATTATAAAACGTTGGCCTCAGCTTTCTCAGCTGTAAACAGGGATATTAAAAATACCCACCTTTGAGGACTGTGGTGAGGACTGAATAAGGTTATGCATGGAAAACAACATGCCTGGCACCAAATGAGACTTTAATAAATGGTAGATACTACTTTTACTTTAAATTGAGAAAGAAGGACTGTCACGCAGAGAGGCAGCAGGCTGTATAAGAAAAGCATCGTCTGAAACCCCAGATGGCAGGACAAACTGGCATTGAAAACCTAGGTCTGAGTCTCAGATCAGCTACTTATTAACAGTGTGGTATGGGGAAAGCTGTTCTAACTCAGACTCATTGTTTTCCCTGAATCTACAAAATGGGGTGGGAGGGCAGAGTTTAAATTAGATAATCTCCAAGGTCCCTAAGAGCCTTTGATCTAATAGGTAGGACCAGTCTATAATCAGATTTGGCCAAATTTATTGGGTGGCAATAATGAATACGCTTGGTATAGAATATGCTTGGCATTTGGTGTTTTCCACTTCTATTATTTTCTTTATTCACTGGGCCAACCCTGGAAAGTTAGCATCACCATTACCATCATCATCACTTTTCAGCTGAAGAAGCTGAGCACAGAGATGCTCTTGTCCATCTTGTCTTAGGCTGCACAGTCAGTAAGTAGAAGCCATCATCATATCCTGGGTGTCTATTGTTTTTGCCTCCCCTGCACGCATTCTCCCCTCTGTTTCCCTTTTGGGATGCCTGGCTCCTGCACATCCAATCCATGAGATGTGGCGAAGGCCTGCTTCTCCTTCAGGATCCAATGAAGCCAAAAGAAAGGTTTAGCCAATCAGACTATTCCTTGCCTTTGGTATACAACCCAAGTTGTTCCAATTAGAACCCTTCCCAAATCCCGGGATTTTGGTGGAGGGACATTCTTTTCCTCCTGGGAATGCTTATAAGGGAAGTCTAAAGTTGCAGGCAGTCTTGTTGCCACCATGTGGGCAAAACCTGGCAAAGAATGGAGCAAATACCAAGAAAAACAGAGCCAAGCAGTGGGAGAGAGAAAAATTGAATCCTGGTCACATTGTTTGAACACTGGATATGGCTAAGTCTAAAAATTTTTTCCCTTGAATTTTTAAGTTGTATGAGCCAAAAACTTTTGTTTATGCCAATTTGGGTTAGTCTTTTTAAATTTTTTGGTTATTTACAGTCAAGAGATTCTCCAATAAAAGTGTGAATGGATCCCATTCTGGGCCCCTATTCCATACCTTGGGTTTTTTCCTACAAAGTCTTCTGGCCCAACAGATTAATTTTCTCCTAAGAACCTTACTTTTGAAATCATAAAAACAAAAACAAAAACAAAAAAACCAGAAAAGTTAAAATATTTTTTCCATTTTTCCCCTTTGAATGTTTACAGGTTATATACCTTATCAACTCTTTCTAAAAAGAAATGGCTTCTTGGTATTTAGAAAGGAGAATATTAAAAAACCTGATCCTTCTAATTAAGTGTGAATCAAATTTTGGGGAGAACAGCAGAAATCGACCAACTGATCCCCCTCAGTCTAAGGCGAGCTTACCTTTCAGCTGGAGGTAGCCTTGAGCCAGATTAACATGTGCCTCTGCTAGTTTCCAATGTGAGTCTCCATAGCAAATTCTTGTCAGTGCTACGCAACGCACAAGCTCATGGACGGCCTGTTTGTACTGTTAGGAAGAGAAAACAGGCTTACCAGTTATACAACTTAAGAGTCACAAAACACAAAATCAATGCGCTTTTATATCCCTTTGATAAATACTGAGTGACTACTATGTGCAAAACATTGTTCTAAGCACTTGAGATGTATCAGAGAACAAAACAGACAAAGATCTATTTGGGGTGGTAGCATGTACATCTGGTAAGATGAAACAGACAATAAACATAAGAAGTACAATTTATAGTACATTTAAGGGTGAAAAAAAGAAATAGAATTTAAAAAATAGAAAAAGTAGAGCAGACATCTAGTCATTCTCTAGGTTTCCCAGCTGCCCACCAATGAACAGCTACTACATATGCAGGCACAACAGGGGCAAATGGTAGTGTTTTCAAATAGTACACTTTGTGTGTGTGTGTATGTGTGTGTGTGTATGAGACAGGGTCTCACTCACCTGGAGTCACCCAGGCTGGAGTACAATGGCACGATATCAGCTCACTGTAGCCTCGACCTCCAGGGGGCTCGAGCAATCCTCCCACCTCAGCCTCCTGAGCAGCTGGGACCACAGGTGTGCACCACCACACCTGGCTAGTTTTTTGTATTTTTGGTAGAGATGGGATTTTGCCATGTTGCCCAGGCTGTCAAATACTATAGTTTAGCTCTCAATTCAAAACTTTCCTTAGCCATCTGCACTAGCATAGCAAATGAGATCAGCAGGACTTACAGACTTGATTAAAGCAGCAAGAAGCACAGTTTCATTCAGGGATAGGACAAAAAGAACAGAAAACTGGATTCCCAGCTCCAGGTGATCTCAGAGCAGCCATATCCTCAAAGCAGAGCTGGCAGTTTTAAAACACGGTTCCAGGCTGGGCGTGGTGGCTCAAACCTGTAATCCCAGCACTTTGGGAGGCGGAGATGGGTGAATCACAAGGTCAAGAGATCGAGACCATCCTGGCTAACATGGTGAAACCCCATCTCTACTAAAAATACAAAAAATTAGCCAGGCATGGTGGCGGCCGCCCGTAGTCCCAGCTACTCGGGAGGCTGGGGCAGGAGAATGGTGTGAACCCGGGAGGCGGAGCTTGCAGTGAGCCGATATCGTGCCACTGCATTCCAGCCTGGGCGACACAGCGAGACTCCGTCTCAAAACAAACAAACAAACAAAACCTCAGCTCCAAAATTATTTGATACTCCTTCCATTCAGAGATGGGGGTCTATGTCCCATTCCCTTTGAATCTGGGCTTTATGACTGTTTGGCCAATAGAACGTGGAGGAAATGATACAGTGCCAGTTTTCAGGCCACAGTCTAAAGGAACTGGTGGCTTTGCTTTCTGTCTCTTCTTGGGTACTCACTCTTGAAACCTGTTATGGGCTGAACTGTGTCTCCTCCCCAACCTCCCTGAATTCATATATTTAAGTCCCAATCCCCAGCACCTTATAATGTAACTGTTTTTGAAGATGAGGTCTTTAAAGAGGTGATTTAAGTTCGAAGGAGGTGTTAGGGTGGACCCTAGTCCAATACAGCTGGTATCCTTATATATGAAGAGGAAAAGACACCAGGGATGGGCATGCATATGGAGAAATGACCATGTGAGAACACAGCAAGAGGGCAGTCATCTACAAACTAAGGAGAGAGGGCTTTAGAATGAAATCAAGCCCTGCTCACACCTTGGTCTTGGACTTCCAGCCTCCAGAACTGTGAGGAAATAAACTCTGTTCTTTAAGCCACAGCATCTGTGGAATTTTGTTAGGACAGCACCACAGACTAATACAGAATCCAACCACAGTGCTGTGAGGAAGCCAACATGGCCCCATGGAGAGAAGACCCACATAGAAAGGCCTGATAGTTTGAGTGAACCATTTTGGCAGCAGATTCTCCAGACCCTTCAAGACCAGCTGATGCTGTGCGGAGCAAAGCTGAGCAAACCCCACTGAGCTCTGCAAAAACCGCAGGCTCATGAGAAAAATGAATGGCTGTTTTGGTTTTAAGCCACTAAGTTATTGGGGTGTCATGCAGCAACAGATAGTCAGAACAGCAAGAGAGATGGCTGAAGAAAGAAAGCTGAAGGGGTCAAAGCAGAGGAAGAAAGGTAAGAACAAGGACAGAGTTGTGAAGAAGATCCAGGATACACCTAGGATGCACGCCCATCAATGTCAAAGCTCAAAGGGCTTGCATTTCCACACAATTCCTACATGCATTGGAAATACCTTCACCCTAAAACAACATTTTTCTTGACAAAAATACACAGCCAGACAGTTGGCCAAAGGAGAGTCACTTTTGTGACCTAGCAGGAGGAAGCTAAGGAATACATGCTCACCATAAAGTGCTGAAAGAAGGTGGACTGTCATATTCTTTTCTACAGTAACGTTTCTTACTACAAAAATAATGTATGCTCATTGTCAAAATACAGATAAGCAAAAAGATAAAAACTAAAAATCACCTGTAAGTTTACCGCCTAGAGATATCTAGGTAGATAAATATCCCTTTATTCTTTATTTTTGTGAATCTATCTTTATATATTTTTTCTTTTTCAAAAATAGGTTCATAAACTACATGCAGGTTTACAGCTGCTGTTTTAACAATTTACGAATAACTTCTCATGTCATCTTCTATGATATAAGTTTGAATGGCTGCACAGTATTTTATTATATGACTATATCATAACTGCATTACTCAATCCACTCTTTATTGGGCATTTAGCTGTTTGTAAATTTCTTACTCACTGAATATCCTGTATGGATAGCTTTGCACATACCCATAAACATTTCCACAAAACAAATTCCCACAAATGGGATTGCTGTATAAAGGATATGCAAAATTCTGAGGCTGTGAGTAGCTATTGAAGTGCCTCTCCCAGAGGTTGTACCAGTTCATACTTTCAGCGCAGCACATGTGAGCAGAAATGCCCCTTACGTTGAACTGAGTACAAATTGTGGAGTTTTTGTTTGGTTTTTAGTTTGTCAGTTTGTCAGTTAGCCCATTTCTCCTTGATTTAGTCCACATTTTTCTCCCAAATTGATGAGGCTGAGCATCTTCATGTGTTAACTGGCTGTTTGTACTTCTTTTGGGAATCACCTTTTTATTGCCTCTAGACACAGGAAGTTTAGGGAATGACTACTTTGGAGAGAGAGAAAGAGAACAACAACTACAGTGTATGAAAGACACGGAAATGATGACAACATCATGGAATCCAGACAGACAAAAAGAGAGGTAGATCTGTTTTGATAGTGAATCTGTCCCAACTACAGATTTCCAGCGAAGAGGACGGTGCAGGCTGAGTTGGGCTTCCCTGATAATAGCCTTGGTTCTCAGGACCTGAGTAGGGATAGAGGTATACAAGAAACAGCTTGTCCTTCCTTCACGTCCTTATTTGTTACAAGGCATGGTCCAAATATCCCTATTGGTTTTCCAACCTTTATTCTACCAGTTCCAGTGACTTTAGCAATAGGCATCAGTAAGGGGCAGACAGAAGACAAGCACGAAGTAGGAAGGCAATTTCAAAACTGGGAGGAACCTTGGAAATCATCTCACCTGGTCCCCTCAGTTTAAAGATGAAGGAGTCTAAGGCTGGAAAGTCGAGATGATTTACCAGCAAGTGGTAGCGCCAGGAAGTGGTTAAACCGTAAGGGGATGCATTGAGGACTCAGGAGCCAGCTGGAAGGGTCTCTCACTGGCAGATACGGAACAATCCGAGCTTCCATGAAAATAACAGGTTGTAGTGTATTTGAAAAATACAATTTCCTGAACCCATACTGATAGGAATAAATGAATGATAAATAAGCTGTGAAGAAAGAAAAGCTCTTCCTTATAATAGAATGCCAACAAACAAATGTTGAAATAATGTGGAAGTCAGAGACTGGCTATGTGACAAACATCATAGTAATAACTGATTCAGGTGGCAGAGTGAAGTTTTAAATATATACATAGTCTCAGTGAATCTACCCACAAAATACTTATTAATTACAAAGGGAAAAATGGCAATTCTGCAGTAAAGAAACCTGCCAGACAGCACCTTAACCAAGTGTTCAAGGTTGGCATCACTGTACGAAGACAAACAGACATTCTGCACCTCCTGACAGGACGCACTAAGGAGCGCCCCATGTCACACCTGTGGTAGTCCTGCTCCAAATGTACAATCTGAATAGAATCATGAGGAAGCATAAGACGAACTCAAACAGAGAGATATTCTACAAAACAATTAGAGTATATATTTCCAAGATATCAAGATCATGAAAAACAAAGTAGGTTAAGCAATTGTTTCAGATTAAAGGAGACTAAAGAGACATGACAACTCTATTTAACATGAATTCACAGACTGAACCATGGGTCTGATTGTTTTCTGTAAAGGACATTATTAAGAAGAAATATAAACAAGGTTTACAGATTAGATAATAGTATTATACTGACATTAATTTCCTAATTACGATCACTGTACTGTGGCCATGTAAGGGAATAGCTTTATTCTTAGGGAATAAACACTGAAGAATTTGGGGGTAAAGGGCCATAATATCTATAACTTACTCTCAGTTCAGAAAAACAATTAGAGTCAGAGAACAAAGCAATAAAGCAAATGTTAAAAATGAGTGAATCTTGTGCCTTTTCTGTAAGTCAGAAATTATTTTAAAATACAAAATTACTAAAAAACTGATATTTTAAAAAGTAAATTACGTCATGTTAATACCATGCTGAAAATATTTTTAAGGCCTTCCAGGGCACTTAGCTTGAAACCTGCAAGGCCCTAAGTGAACTGACAGCCTCTCTCACTATATTTAATGTCAGCTTGCAGCTTCTTCTCCTTGCTTCAGATATGTCCTGCTTGTGCCTACCCTGTAGATTTATGTGTGCTGTTTCCTCTCCCTGGAACTCCTTTCCCTCAGCTCCTCCACACTGGCTCTTCTCTTCCTCAGGTCTCAGCTTATCTGTCACGTCTTCCTGGAGGCCCTCCCTGATCACCCTACCCAAGACGGAGCCACTCTATGTCCTCCTTAGCACTTATCACAGTCTATAATAATCCGGTTCATTTACAATGTTGATTGCCTCTCAGGTCCATCAGGGTATGCACCTTGTCTGTCCTGTTCACCATTGTATGCTGGATTCTTCACCAGAACCACAGAACAACGAAATGTTTAATACCATTCTAGTTACACAGAAAAGAAGTTAATTCTTTACATTTGTTAAATGCCTTTGGGCATGAGGGCTTAATTCTTTTGCAGAAGTCTGTTTGAGAAAGGCTGCCAGCCTAGAGCCTACAAATAGTAGGTTCTGAGTGAGTATCTGTTGCATAATGAACAAGCACAACCTCAAAACCAAATTTATGCTCTTTCTCTATAATCCTGGTCTTTCTCCTGTATTTGTTATACTGATGAAGGTCATGGACAAGTCTCCAATCACCCAAGCAGACTCAGACCTTGGGTGGTGGGAATTCTACACACCCCATCTTTCTCACTCTCACATCTCCATTCCCTATGTCCCCTCAGTCATCCAGTCCTGTCCCACTGATTTGCATTTCTAAATTCCTTTCAAAAGAGCTCAGCATTTCTATTGTCTCTGCCACACGTAGTTCAGGTCCTCATAATTACTTGCCAGGATTACTGCAAATATCCTCCTAACTGATGCTCCTTTTCCAGTTTTACTCTTTTTTTGTCCATACCCTTCACAGCTATGGGAGTGACTGTTCTTAAAATCAGACCTGCTCATGGCATGCTTCTGCTTATAACCTCATGGTAATCCTCCATCATCTTTAGGAGAAAATCAAAACTCTTTCACTAGGCCTTGAGTGCCCTCTGGGCCTCAGTTCCTGCCCATAATCCAGCTTCATTTCTTGCCCTGTGTCACTAACACATTAGTCCCAGACAGCTCCTTACAGTTCCCCAGACAGACTGCACTCCCTCAGACCATTGGCTCTTGTCCATCTGCTACCTCTGTCCAGAACATTTGGTCCTCTTCCTCACCTGTCCAACTCCTAAGCACTGTTTACCAGTGCAGTCTACGTAACTCCCATCCGAAGAAAGTGTGCCTTAACTGCTGTCCCTCTACCACCTCCAGGCTCACTGTCCACCCCTTCGTGTTTTGCATCTATGTCACTCGAGCTCTCACAGAACTCATCAACCTGACTACCATTATCTGTCCCCCGTCTATCTTCCCAACCAAATCCCGAGTCCCTCCAAGACAAAGACTGTGGCTTTTCCTTCTGTGCCCCTGGCACCTACATTGCACCTGGCACATATTAGTCATACAATAGATATTTATGATGACTGGATGAAGAGGACCCAACATATAAGAGGTGATAGAGAAATGCCTACTGAATGAGTTAGTGAATGAGTAAAACTTTTGAGGAAAGAATGGGAAAGAAGCATGCAGAGAACAAGATTTGAGATTATAAGGAATTACAAGCTCTATGAGAGCAGAAGCTGCATCTGCTTTGTTTGTGTTGTATCCCAATGCCTAGACTTGGCACACAGTGCGAGCTCAACAAATATTTGTTGTTGGCCATGCGAACTGCTGTGCTTGGAGCCTAGAGGTACTGCATTCATTCATGTTATAACAAAGGCACTGTCTTATATACTTTCTTGTATCAAACTGCTGAGATTAGGAATGTAATCCAAAACATTCTACTTCTCTTGATTATACCATATAGCTCAATTCTCAGAGTAGAAATACAGAAACAAAAGTCTCCTTACCTCATGACTGTTGGAATAGGACTTTGCTTTCTCTTCACAGAGGTGGAGTTTCTCTCGAGGAGGCTGGAATAGTGCTGTCTGAAGCAGCTTGTTTTGGAACTTCTTTCTATGAGTGATGCTAACAGCAGCAACAACTTCATCTAGGTGGTTGGATATGTGGGTTTCCTGTGATTCTTGCATATTTTTATATACATTGTCTTCTAATTTTAAAATAAAAAACAAAGATGTTAAATGATAATTTCCATAGTTACTTTTAGAAATATACATTTCAACACTATACCCATAATTTCTTTGAAATTAGTAGCATTATATCCCAAAAGATTATGGTGGCTACTACTGACCTGCTGATTTCTACTTTCAACTAAATTAAACCTTCTTTCTTTATGTATATAGACATACATATATATATGCCTACATACATATACACACATACATACACATGTATATAAACACACATACATACATGTATATGTGTATGTATTACACACATACATACATACGTAAAGTCCAGTAGAAATTAGCCTAGCACATACATATGTATTTGTATGTACATATATATATAAAGTCCAGTAGAAATTAGCCTAGCACATACATATGTATTTGCATGTACATATATATATATATATCTAAAGTCCAGTAGAAATTAGCTTAGCCCAAACAGCTCTCAATGACCCCAGATTAAATCAGCTGAAGCCCAATTGACCCTGAGGTAGAAAATAAATAATTGTTGTTACAACTTTTGCTTCTGGCCAAGATGAAGTCTAGTAACTACATTTATCCTCTTGCCTGAAATAACCCAAAACAAACAGATAAGCAGCCCACAGAACAAAGGATAAAACAACGGTTTCAAGAAACAAGACAAGCAATGAGAGAGCAATTCCTGAGAGATGGAAAAAATAAATCACCCCAGTTTATTGCTTTGAGAGAGTTTCCAGGAAACAGCACAGGGAAGAGGGGACCCAGAAGTTATCCCAGTGGACTACCTGAGTTGAGGAAGTAGAGTTGAGAGTTTGGGGAGACCAAGGTGACTAGAACTGACAGGACAAATTACTGAAGAGGAGAAGGCTCCAGAGACAGAGGAACCAAGATATTAGCAGAGGGACACCCTCAAGTATAGGGACAGAATACTGATTAGCATGTGTGTAAGAAAAGTATTTTAGTCTGGAGAAAGAATCCTTCAATAAGGTTACAGGGAACAGTGTTTTGTGCTAACGTAAGGCTGGCGCCTGTTCCCACCAACCAGACTGAAAAAATTTCTAATTCATGAGGCATTAGATAGTTAGAGTACTCAGAAGCCTTTCATCTCAGTAGAGGCGATAATTAGCTCTAGACTGAACACTGCTCAGATCACCACACAGATCAAAAAAGTAAGACCTAAAAGGATCAAACTGTTTTCAAGGGACTTAATTGCACTAGAGGATAATACTCAAGGATGTTCATAGGAATACTAAAATAACCAACACCTAACGAGGTAAAATTCACAAAGTCTAGCATCCAAAGATTACCAAGCATCCAAAGAAGCAGGAAAACATGGCCCATAATGAGAATAATCAATCAAAACTGACCCAGAATTGACACAGATGTTAAATTAGCAGATAAAAACATTAAAACAATTACAATAATTGTATTCTATATGTTTAAAAAGTTAAATAAAGACATGGAAGAAATAAAAAAGACCCAAATGGAACTTCTAGATAGAAAAATTATGTGTGAAGATGAAAATGTGTGGGATTAATGGCAGATAAGATACTGCAGATGAAAAGATGAATTTGTAGACATAGCAATAAAAATTATCAAAAATGAAAAAAAATCAGTGGGCTGTAAAACAACTTCAAGTTGCCTAATATATATGTCATTTGAGTCCCTAAAGAAAAGCAGACTAGAGGAGGGACAGAAAACATATTTGAAGAAATAATGGCCAATATTTTTCCAAATTTAAGAAAAAGCATAAAGCCAGAGATCCAAGAAGCTCAATGAACACTAAACGCAAGAAACATGAAGAAAACTATACCAAATAAAGTCAAAACATCATAAACAAATTGCTTAAAACTATGATAAAGCAAAAATCTCAAAAGTAGAGAAAAAAGACACATTACGTATAAAAAATAAAGATAAAGATGATAACAGATTTCTTAGGGGAATAAAAAGCAAACAAGGAGAGAGTTAAAGATACTTCTTATCTTTAAAGTATGGAAAGAAAAAAGTTGTCAACCTTAAATTCCGTACTGGTGAAAATACCTTTTGAAAACAAAATTTTAAATAATTAATCGCCAGAAGACTTGCACTACAATGTTCTCAAAGAAATGTAAAAGGAAGTCTTTCAGAAGGAAGGAAAATGATAGCAAATGGAACTCTAGTTCTACAAAACAGACGACCTTGGAAATGGTACGTACATGGGCAAATGTGTAAGGCTGCTTCCATATTACAATCATGTCCAGCTCCACAGCATTTCAGTCAATGACTGCATACATAAAGGTAGTCCCATAAAATTACAGTGCAGCTGAAGAATTCCTACTGGGTAGTGATACAGTAGCTGTCGTAACATCATAGCGTAATGCATTGACTCATGTGTTGGTGGTAATGCTGGTGCAAACAAACCTATTGTGCTGCTAGCCATATAAAAGTAAAGCATATACAATTATGTACAGTACACAATATGTGATAATAGTTGATAAATGACTGTTACTGGTTTATATATTTAATATACTACATTTTATACTTATTTTAGAGGGTACTCCTTCTACTTATACATTTCTAAAAGTTAACTGTAGAAAAGCCTCAGGCAGGTCCTTCAAGAGCTATTCCAAAAGAAGGTATTCCATTATCATCATAGGTGATGAAAGCTCCATGCATGTTACTGCCACTGAAGACCCTCCAGTGGGACAAGACATGGAGGTGGAAGGCAGTGATATTGATGATCCTGACTGTGTAGACCTACATTAATGTGTGTGTTTGTGTCTTAATTTTGTTTTTTTTTGAGACGAAGTCTCGCTCTGTTGCCCAGGCTGGAGTGCAGTTGGCACGATCTCGGCTCACTGCAAGCTCCGCCTCCCGGGTTCACACCATTCTCCTGCCTCAGCCTCCTGAGTAGCTGGGACTACAGGCGCCCGCCACCATACCCGGCTATTTTTTTGTATTTTTAGTAGAGATAGGGTTTCACCGTGTTAGCCAGGATGGTCTCGATCTCCTGACCTCGTGATCTGCCCACCTCTGCCTCCCAAAGTGCTGGGATTACGGGCATTAGCCACTGCGCCTGGCCTGTTTGTTTGTTTGTTTTGAGACGGAGTTTCACTGTTGTTGCCCAGGCTGGAGTGCAATGGCTCTATCTTGGCTCACCGCAACCTCTACCCCCCAGGTTCAAGCAATTCTCCTGCCTCAGCCTCCTGAGTAGGTGGGATTACAGGCATGCGCCACCATGCCTGGCTAATTTTGTATTTTTAGTAGAGACGGGGTTTCTCCATGTTGGTCAGGCTGCTCTGGAACTCCTGATCTCAGGTGATCCACCCGCCTTGGCCGCCCAAAGTGCTGGGATTACAGGCATGAGCCACCATGCCTGGCCTGTGTCTTAGTTTTAACAAAAAAGTTTAAAAAGTAAAAAAAGAAAATAAAAAATTTTAAAAATAGAAAAAAGCTTATAGAGTAAGGATATAAAGAAAGAAAAATTTGGCGGGGCGCGGTGGCTCACACCTGTAATCTCAGCACTTTGGGAGGCCAAGGTGAGCGGATCACAAGATCAAGAGATGGAGACCATCCTGGCTAACATGGTGAAACCCCATCTCTCCCAAAAATACAGAAAATTAGCTGGGCGTGGTGGCACATGCCTGTAATCCCAGCTACTCGGGAGGCTGAGGCAGGAGAATTGCTTGAACTTGGGAGGCGGAGGTTGCAGTGAGCCAAGATCAAGCCACTGCACTCCAGCCTGGGCGACACAGTGAGACTCCATCTCAAAAAAAAAAAAAATGATCAAAGGGCCTGATAGATATTCCTCAAAAGATATACAAATGCCCAATAGGTGTATGAAAA
This sequence comes from Homo sapiens, assembly GCF_000001405.40. NCBI lineage: Eukaryota > Metazoa > Chordata > Mammalia > Primates > Hominidae > Homo > Homo sapiens. Next base: position 99,232,556 of record NC_000015.10, read on the forward strand.
AATGCCCAAGATTGTTATCATTAGAGAAATGCAAATTATATCCATGAGATTTCATCTTACACCTGTTAAAATGGCTATGATTAAAAAAAGAAAGATACATGTTGGTGAAGATGTGGAGAAAAGGGAATCCTTGCACATTGTTGGTGGGAATGTAAATTATGGAACACAGTAAGGAAGTTTCTCAAAAATTAAAAACAGAACTACCATATGATCCATGAATCCCACTACTGGGTGATACATCCAAAGAACAGTATTAGTATATTGAAGAGATCCCTGCACTCCATGTTCATTGCAGCATTATTGACAATGATCAAGATACGGTGTTAATGTAAATGTCTATCAACAGATGAATGGATAAAGAAAATGTGGTATGTATACACAATGGAATACTACTCAGCCTTAAAAAAGAAGGGCATCCTGTCATTTGTGACAACATGATGAACCTGGAAAATACTATGTTAAGTGAAATAGCCAGGCACAGAAAGACAAATACTGAATGGTCTCATTCATATGTACAATCTACAAAAGTTGAACTCACACAAGTAGAGAGTAGAATGCTGGTTAGCGGAGGTTGTGGGAGGAGGAATAAATTCAAGAGATCTATTGTATAACATGGTGACTACTGTATTGTTTCCTTGAAAATTGCTAAGAAAGTAGATTTCAAGTGTTCTAATCACAAAAAGTGATAAATATGTGAGGTAATACATATGTTAATTAGCTTATTTAGCCATTCCACAACATGTACATATTTCAAAACATCATGTTGTACAAATAAAAGAATGAGAGAGATGACATCACTACAGATTCTACAAATACTAAAAGGTTAATGAGAATATTGTGAACACCTTTATACCATAAATTTGACAATACAGATGAACAAATTCCTTTAAAGACACAAACTACCAAAGCCCAAAATATTAATAAAAAAGAAAAACTGTATGATCTCACTCAACATAGAAAAAGCACTTGACAAGATCTAATATCTAATATCTATTCCTGATGAAAATTCTTAGCAAAGTAGGAATAGAATTATACTTCCTCAATCTGATAGGCACCTTTGAAAAACCTACAGCTAACATCAGACTTAACAGTGAAAGACTGAATGCTTTATCTCTACGATCAGAAACAAGACAAGAAGGTTCACTCTCAATACTTCTATACAGATTTTAGATTTTAATCTAAATGTGAAATTTAGATTTAAATCTAAAATACAGATTTATTGAGCTATATTTATGATAAAGCTACGGTAGGCAAGGCAGTTTGTACTGCTGTTAAGTAGACAAGCAATGGAACAGAATGGAGAGTCCAGAAATGGACCCACACATACATGAATAACTGATTCCTGACAAATATGCAAAACCAATTCCTTGGAGAAAGAAGTCTGCTCAACAAATGATACTGGAACAACTAGATATTCACACGTAAAAATAAAACAAAAAACCCCTTTGATCTATATCTCATATTATATACAAAAATTAACTCAAAATTGAACATAGAGTTAAATATAAAACTTAAAACTATAAAAACAATGTGTAAGAAAACACCTGTGACCATGCATTAGGCAAAGCTTTCCTAGATATGACCACCAAAAAGAATCATTAAAAGAACAACATAACCAATTGGATTTCATCAAAATTTTAAATTTTTGCTCTTCAAGAGAAACTGTTAATTAAAAAACTAGAGGCTGGGAGAAAATATTTTCATAAACATGTATCTGATGTAAGATTTGTATCTTACTGGTATAAAGAACTCTCAACACTCAAGAAAACAGCTCACTATACAAATGGGCAATTTATTTATTTATTTATCTATTTATTTATTTATTTATTTTTTGAGACGGAGTCTCGCTCTGTCGCCTAGGCTGGAGTGCAGTGGCGTGATCTCGGCTCCCTGCAAGCTCCACCTCCTGGGTTCACACCATTGTCCTGCCTCAGCCTCCTGAGCAGCTGGGACTACAGGTGCCCGCCACCATGCCTGGCTAAATTTTTTTGTATTTTTAGTAGAGACAGGGTTTCACCATATTAGCCAGGATGGTCTCGATCTCCTGACCTCGTGATCTGCCTGCCTCAGCCTCCCAAAGTGCTGGGATTACAGGTGTGAGCCACCGCACCTGGCCAAAAATGGGCAATTTATTTTAACAGACGCTTCATCAAAGAAGATATACCAAGAACAAATAAGCACATGCTTTATATTCAACATTATTAGGCATCAGGGAAATGCAAGTTAAAACCACAATGAGACGTCACTCATCAATTAGAATGACTAAGATTAAAAAGACTTATTGTAGTAAGTGTTGATGAGGATGGGAAATAACTGGAACTCTCATACACTGTTGCTGTAAATGTAAAATGGTATACCACTTTGGAAAACAGTTTGGCAGGGTTTAAAAAAAAAAAAACTGGTAAAATAAGGCCAAGCATGGTGGCTCATACCTGTAATCCCAGCACTCTGGGAGGTGGAGGCGGGAGGGTCACCTCAGCTCAGGAGTTTGGGACCAGCCTGGGCAACATGGCAAAACTCTGTCTCTACAAAAAATACAAAAATTAGCCAGGTGCAGTGGCATGTGCCTGTAGTCTCAGCTACTCCGGAGGCTGAAGCAGGAGGATGGCTTGAGCCTGGGAGGGGCAGACTGCAGTGAGCCAAGATCACACCATTGAACCCCAGCCTGAGAGACAGAGGAAGACACCATCTCAAAAAACAAAACAAAACAAAATTGTAGTAAAAAATATATATATATAAAATAAAATTTCTCATTTTAACCTTTTCATTTTTTTCCCTTTCTTCATGTGGACATTTTAAGCATTTTTTTTTTTTTTTGGTTTGTTTTTGTTTTTGAGACGGAGTCTTGCTCTGTCGCCAGGCTAAAGTGCAGTGGCGCGATCTCGGCTCACTGCAATCTCTGCCTCCTGGGTTCAAGCGATTCCCCTGCCTCAGCCTCCCGAGTAGCTGGGACTACAGGCACACACCACCACGCCCAGCTAATTTTTTTGTATTTTAGTAGAGATGGGGTTTCACCATGTTGGTCAGGATGGTCTCAATCTCCTGACCTCGTGATCCGCCTGCCTTGGCCTCCCAAAGTGCTGGGATTACAGGCATGAGCCACTGTGCCCGGACCATTTTAACCATTTTTAAGTGTGCAGTTCAGTGACATTAAGTAAATTCACATTGCTGTACAACCATTACCACTGTCCATCTCCAGAATTTCCTTCACCTTGCAAAACTGACACTCTGTACTCATTAAACAGTAACTTCCCATTCCCCCTACCCTCCACCTCTGGCAACACCCATTCTACTTTCTGTCTCTGAATCTGACTGCTCTAGGTACTTTGTATGTGTGGAATTATACATTATTTTGCCTTTTGTGACTGCTTATGTCTCTTAGCATAATGCCTTCAAAGTTCATCCATATTGTAGCATGTCAGAATTTCCTTTCTTTTTAAGGCTAAATACTATATAACATATTGTGTTTATACATTTATCCATTAAGGAACACTTGGGTTGCTTCCACCTTTTAGCTATTGTGAATAATACTGCTATTGAACATTAATGTACAAGTATCTCTTTGGGTTTCTGCTTTCATTTTTGGGAGGTACATGCCCAGAAGTGAAACTGCTGGATCATATGATAATTATGTTTTTAGTTTTTGGAGGAAACATCGTATTGTTTTCCACAGAGGCTATGCCATTCTACATTCCCACTGGCAGAGCACAAGGGCTCCAATTCCTCCACATTCCCGACAAAACTTATTTTCTTTTTTTAATAATAGCCATCCTAATGGATATGAAGTGATATCTCATGGTGGCTTTGATTTGCAGTTCCCTAATGACCAGAGATCCTCAACATCTTCTCATGTACTTATTGGCCATCTGTATACTTACTTTGGATAAATGTCTATTGGAGTCCTTTTCTCACTTTTTTTTTTTTTTTTGAAACAAGGTTTTACTCTGTCACCCAAGCTGGAGTGCAGTGGTGTGATCGCAGCTCACTGCAGCCTACAACTCTTGGGCTCAAGTGATCCTCCTGCCTCAATCTCTGTTGCCCCGGCTGGTCTCCAACTCCTGGGCTCAAGTGATCCTCCTGCCTTGGCTTCCCAAAGTGCTGGGATTATAGGTGTGAGGCATTGAGCCTGGCCCTTTTCCCACTTTTTAATTGTTTTTGTTGTTCTAGTTATTGTTGATCTGTAGGATTTCTTTATATATGCTAGACCTTAACCCCGTATCAGATACACAATTTGCAGATATGTTCTTTCATTCCATGGATTACCTTTTGTTGATTATTGTCCTGTTTTTGCACAAAAGTTTTCAATTTTGAAGTAGCCCAATTTATTTATTTTTTATTTTGTTGCCTTGGCCTCTGGTGCCATATCTGACAGTTTCTTACTAAGTTAAACATACGCTTAGCACAGGAGTCATCATTTCACTCCTAAGTTTTTTTTTTTTTTTTGAGACAGAGTTTCACTCTTATTGCTCAGGTTGGAGTACAATGGCACAATCCTGGCTCACTGCAACCTTCGCCTCCTGGGTTCAAGCGATTCTCCTGCCTCAGCCTCCTGAGTAGCTGGGATTACAGGCGCCCGCCACCATGCCCAGCTAACTTTTGTATTTTTAGTAGAGACGGGGTTTCACCATGTTGGCCAGGCTGGTCTCAAACTCCTGACCTTAAGTGATCCACCTGCCTCAGCTTCCCAAAGTTGTGGAACTACAGGCATGAGCCACCATGCCCAGCCAATTCCTAAGTATTTACAAGAGAGAAATGAAAGCATGTATTATAAAAAGACTTACATACAAATGTTCATAGAATTTTTATTTTTAATAGCTAAAAAACTAGAAAAAAAACCCCAAATGTCTATAAATGGGTAAATGGGTAAGCAAACTGTGGTATAACTATACAATGAAATACTACTCAGTAATAAAAAGGGATGAATATGTTGCGACATGAATAAATCTCAAAATAGTTATGCCGAGTGAAGAAGTCAGGCAAAATAGAGTACATATCACGTGATTCCATTTATATAAATTTCAATGAAATCTACTCCAATGTATAATGACCAAAAGCAGATCAGTGATTGCCCTGAATTGGGCTAAGGATGTGGTATGACGGGGACGGGACACAAGAGGGAGGAAGATGTAGGAAAGGGTGGAGAGGAGGGATTACAAGGGGCATGAGGAAACTTTTTGTGGTGGTGGATATGCTCATTATCTTGACTGGTTGCAGTTTCTTGGGTGTACACATATGCCCAAACTTAGCAAATTGTATACTTTTATGCCAATTAATAAAACTGCTAAAAATCATATATATAGACCAGGCTTTCAGAGATCCCTCCCCATTCCTCCTCTTCAAACTCCAATTCCATTATCTACTATAGATAACATTTTAAATTTCATCCTATTGCAACTTGTTTATTTATTTTTTATTATTATTATTTTTTGAGACGGAGTCTCACTCTGTCACCCAGGCTGGAGTACAGTGGCACGATCTCGGCTCACTGCAACCTCCGCCTTCCAGGTTCAAGCGATTCTCCTGCCTCCGCCTCCCAAGGAGCTGGGATTACAGGCATGCACCACCATGCCTGGCTAATTTTTTTTTTTCTTTCAGTAGAGATGGGGTTTCACCATGTTGGCCAGGTTGGTCTTGAACTCCTGACCTCAAGTGATCAGCCCACCTCGGCCTCCCAAAGTGCTGGATTACAGGCATGAGCCACTGCACCTGGCCACAACTCATTTAGTTATTCATTCCACAACTATTTACTGAATTCTGGCTACAAACAATGCACCAGGCTAATGTATTACGCAGAAAACAATAACCCCAAGAAATGTAAAATGGAGCAGGAAAAAAGATCAGGTACACATTAGCACAGTACTAGGTGCTAAAATTGCTAGAAGAGTGGCAAGTGCTAAGACTTCAGAAATGGGAATCATTGCTGCTGCAATGACCTTGCTTGTTTGGCTAAAAAGACTCCAGACAACAAGAAGGGAGAAGAGAAAGCATCCCAAGCAGAGTGAATAATTACAAAAGGCTTGGAAGTGGGAAAGTGAAATACATGCATGGCTAACTGCTGGTGGTTCAATTTGGTGTATGTGAAATGAGGCTATAGAACAGCATTTTCCAAGCCAATTGCTGCAGTACACCAGAGCCACAAGACATTAACGTACATGCCATTGAGGAGGGTTATTGACAGAGGTGATCAAATGAGTTGGTAAACACAAATATTGGTTCCACAAAAGGAGGATTCTGTGATCAAATAAATGGGTAAACAGGTCTTCTCAAAACTTTAATATAATACCTTGTGAATATCCCAGAGTGGGTACAGTATACAGCACTTTTCCAGTCTTTTTTTGACCATGAGATTATCTTTTTTCTTGAGCACCTATTAAATCTTATGGAAATAGCACTTTAAAAACATTGTTTGGGAAACCCTGAGCTAGGGGGAAAGTAAAATGCTGGATTTCAGGCTAAGAAGGCATTCATTCATTTCAGGCTAAGAGTTTGATTGACTCATTTCCTCATAAAGCTTATATAGCACAAAAATATGAAAAAGAGAAAGAAGGAATCAGCCAAAGGTCAAACTGTGAGAATGCTAGAGAGGCTGATCTACAATGTAGGTGGTGTTCTCATTCCTGGGTACCTCCTAAAAATGTTAAAGGTCGGCTGGGCATGGTGGCTCACGCCCGTAATCCCAGCAGCACTGTGGGAGGTCGAGGCATGCAGATCACAAGGTCAGGAGTTCAAGACCACCCTGGCCAACACAGTGAAAACCCATCTCTACTAAAAATACAAAAATTAGCCCAGTGTGGTGGCATGTGCCTGTAGTCCCAGCTACTCTGGAGGCTGAGGCAGGAGAATCACTTGAACCAGGGAGGTGGAGGTTGCAGTGAGCCGAGACCACACCATTGCACTCCAGCCTGGGTGATAGAGTGAGACTCTGTCTCAAAAAAAATAAAAATAAATAAAAAATAAACAAATAAAAATAAATAAATAAAAACGTTAAAGGTCAATACTTCAGATTTAACAGGAAAGCTTTGCCTACACCCTGTTGTACAGAGACACAGTGCTATTTGAGATCCTAAGATGTTGGCTAACTTTTTTCTAATAACTTCTTGCCTTATGCTTCCTCATCTGTTCAACCCCACTGGCTGATAAGATGACCATTTCAACAGGTGCTGCAGTCTAGGGAAAGAGCAGTAGCCAGAGATGGAGAATCTGAGATTCAAGAACCTGTGCTGTCCCAACTACCCATGTGATTTGGGCAATACCAACTAATATATACATAACACTTTATACTTTCACATGTTTTATCTCATGTGGCCCTTACAACCATGTAAGGTACAGAGGGTAGCTATTATCATCCCCATTTTATAAATAAAGACGATGAAATGAACCTAAATCAGTTGCACATCACACAGCCAGAATTAGCACCCTGGTCTTCTCATAATTTGGGGGTTTCCCATGACATCATCCTGCCTTTCACTGACCACAGTCTACAGCAGTGGGAAGCAAATGCTGTTGCTTTGGAAACCTAAGCCTGCATTTTAAAAAGTGATCATACATTTTTATAAACAGGAATGCAACATCTTCAATAGATTTAACTATATTTTCTTATCTTCCATTTAGTGGGAGGCAGAAAAGAAAGTTTAAAGATGAAATAAGTAAGAGGCCCTGCAGTATTTGTTATTCTGGGCCTCTGAACCTAGTGTTAAACTTCGAAATGGATTTAACTTTTCTTTTTTGGCTTAATTGTAAAAACTGGTTTGTCTCATGCTGCCTCTTAATATTGCATCCTTAAAAGAGAGGTTATATTTATTCTGAGCACTCATAGGCTCATCTAACTTGTATATATATATTTTTTTTCGCCAGTTAAAAAAAATTGAGCCATCATTTTAAAATTAGGAGTTTCACATGAAGATGTAGATTTTGGGGTTTCTGACTTCCTTTGAAAACTCAGAACACTTGTCAACACTAGATCTATGCCACCACAGGCAATAATCAGCTAGGGAAGAGGGGGAGCTGCCCTGGGGGCAAGGGTACTCTCCAGTTTGCCTGTTGCCACCAATCCCTATTGGCTACCGGACATGAAGGCAGCAAAGTCGTTCCCATTTGTCATTGTTCTTGTGTCTTATTGTAGGAAAGTAGGTCTCTGTATCCATTTCTCTCTTTCAAAGTGAAAGGCCAACAGAGAAGGATATAATTTTCCTGGCCAACACCACTCATTTTCTGTTATTTCGTCTAATCTAAAGCACCACTGACTATAAAGATGCTGCTTTTTTATACACCATTTGACTTGCAATTGTAACGTTCACTCTAATTTCAGAGATGTTCAAATGCCAAAAAAAATGTACGTCTCTGAATCAATGAAAGGAGGAGGTATGCTACCTGTCTGGCTTCTAGAGGCATTTGAGTCTGTGGCCTTACTTTAAATGTATGTGTTTCAATGTATGTGGCATCACACAGTAACATCCTCAACATAAAAACATACTTCTCAGGCAGGGCGCGGGGGCTCATGCCTGTAATCCCACCACTTTGAGAGGCTAAGGCTGGCAGATCACCTGAGGTCGGGAGTTCGAGGCCAGCCTGACCAACATGGAGAAACCCTGTCTCTACTAATACAAAAAATTAGCCAGGTGTGGTGGCACACACCTGGTAATCCCAGCGACTCGGAGGCTGAGGCACAAGAATCGCTTGAACCTGGGAGGCAGAGGTTGCAGTGAGCCGAGATTGTGCCACTGCACTCCACCCTGGGCAACAAGAGCGAAACTGTCTCAAACAAACAAACAAACAAACAAACAAAAAACATGCTTCTCAGTTCACTTACTTTGAGTTACATGCTTATCATCAGCCACTTTTCTTTGTAGTAGCTATAGCTGGGGCTTAAAATTTCATCAGACATCAGCCCAGGTCCCACAAACCATCCTCTTCTTGCCAGCCGTGGGTTCAGCTTTCTAGGTCTCTGAATCACAACTGCCAATGAGACCTACTCAGTCAGTTGATACTGTTCCTTCTGCCAGACCTGCCCAGTAGAATGTTAAAGCACATAATCAGCCCCAGATCAGGGTGTTAGGAAGAAGAGGTCTGAAGTGGAGTCTCAGTCTTCCAAGTGGTGATGTTCAAAATAATAACTGAAATAGCAGGAGGGCCAACCAATCTATATAGGTGCCAACTAGGCTGGAGCTCAGTTCTGAAGGTCCCCTGCTTTTCCAGGTGTGAACCGTTGGAGGCTGACTTGTGGAGAGATGTAGGGGAGCCTGAGGAAGGGGCAGGGGCCCTCAGGGCAGTGGCTTTTAGGAAATAAAAAACCTCATCAATCAGGGACGGTGGCTCATGCCTGTAATATCAGCACTGTGGGAGGCTGAGATGGGTTGATGGCTTGAGCCGAGGAGTTCAAGGTCAGGCTGGGCAACATGTCAAAACCCCGTCTCCACTAAAATTGCAAAAATTAGCCGAGTGTGGTGGCGCTCGGCTTCTCCAGCTACTTGGGAGGCTGACGGGAGAGGACTGCTTGAGCCCAGGAGGCGGAGGCTACAGTGAGCTGAGATCACACCACTGCACTCCAGCCTGGGTGACAGAACAAGATCCTGTCTCAGAAAAAAAAAAAAAAAGTTAAAAAAAAGAAGCCATTATGACTAGTTTCTTAACTAGTGAAAGTGTACGCTAGTTAAGAAGCAAACTTACCCATATGTAAGCTAACGCACTGGAAAAACACTCTAAAAAGATAAAAAATACCAAAAAAATAGTGATAAAAAAATAACAGAAAAATAGAAAATCTGAATAGATCTATAACAAGTAAAAAAATTAAATTAGTAATTAAAAATATTTATACAAGGTTAAGCCCAGGCTCAGATGGCATCAGTGATGTATTCTACCAAACCATTAAAGAAGAAACAACATGAGTATTTTGAAAACTCTAACAGAAGATAGAGAAGGAAACTCTCACTTGTTCTATGAGGTCAGTATTACCCTGATACCAAAGCCAGACAAAGACATCACAAGAAAATAACAAATGAATACCCTTCATGAATATGGACACAAAAATCCTCAACAAAATATTGGCAAACCAAATCTAGCAACATATACAAAGGATAATACATTATGATCAAGGGGAGTTTATCCTAGAAATGGAAGGTTGGTTTAACATCTGAACTCATTAATATAATACACTATACAGTAGAATGTGGTCACAAACCATCTGATCATCTTGATAGATGCAGAAAACACATTTGGCAAAATCCATTATCCAATCATGATTAAAAAAACTTCCCCAACCTGATAAAAGGCTGATAAAAGCCTGATTTTACAAATCAAAGTGGATTAAAGACTTAAATATAAGACCTGAAACTATAAAATTACCAAGAGAAAACACTGGGGAAACTCTCTGGGACAGTGGTCTGGGGAAAGAATTCTTAAGAAAGATCTCAAAAGTACAGGCAACCAAAACAAAAATGGACAAATGGGATCACATCAAGTAAAAAAGCTGCTGTATAGCAAAGGAAACAATCAACAAAGTGAAGAGACAACCCACAGAATGGGAGAAAATATTTGTAAACTACCCATCTGACAAGGGATTAATAACCAGAATATATAAGGAGCTTAAACAAAACCCAATAGGAAAAAAAATCTAATAATCTGATTAAAAAGTGAGCAAAAGATCTGAATAGACATTTCTCAAAAGACATGCAAATAACCAACAAGTATATGAAAAAATACTCAACATCACTGATCAGCACAGAAAGGCAAATCAAACTACAATGAGGTCATCTCACCCCAGTTAAGATGGCTTTTATTAAAAAGGCAGTAACAGATGCTGGTGAGGATGTGGACAAAGGGGGACACTCATACACTGTTGGTGGGAATGCAAGTTATTACAGCCACTGTGGAGAACAGTATGGAAGTTCCTCAAAAAGCTAAAAATAGAAGAACTACCATATGATCCAGCAGTCCCACTGCTCCATATATATCCAAAAGAAAAGTATATCAGAGATATCTGCACTCCCATGTGTACTGCAGCTCTATCCACAACAGCCAAGATTTGGAATCAGCCTAAATGTTCATCAACACATGAATGGATAAAAAAATGTGGTAGATATACACACAAAACAGAACGAAATCCTGTCATTTACAGCAACATGGATGAAACTGAAGGATATTATACTAAGAGAAATTAACCAGGCAGAGAGAGACAAATTTTGTATGTTCTCACTCATTTATGAGAGCTAAAAATTAAAACAACTGAACTCATGAACACAGAGAGTAGAATGATGATTACCAGAAGCTGGGAAGGGTATTGGGCAGGGAGGGAAAAGTGGGGATAGTTAATGGGTACAAAACGTAGTTAGATAGAATGAATAAGATCTAGTACTTGATATCACAACAGGGTGACTACAGTCAACAATAAGTTATTGTATATTTTAAAATAACTAAAAGAGTAGAATTGGAATAATTCTAACACAAAGAAATGATAAGTGCTTGAGGACACAGATACCCACTTACTCTGATGTGATTACTATACATTGTATGCCTGTGTCAAAGCATCACATGTATCTCATAAATATATACACCTACTACTATGTACTCACAAAAATTAAAAATTAAAAAACAAAACCAAAAAATCCTGATTTACAAAAACCTAAAGCTAATATCATACTTAATGGAGCATGTTTGAATGTTTTCCAAGATTGGAAACAAGGCAAGAATGATTTCTCTCACCACCTGTAGTCAAAGTTGTGGATATTACAGTCAGAGCAACAGGCAAGAACAATAAATTAAGGCATGAAGATTAGAAAGGGAGAAATAAAACATTATTATCAGCTGACATAACCCTCTATGTAGAAAATCCTAAGGATTCCACAATAAATAAACAAATAAATCGCCCCCCCCAATTAGAACGACTAAATAAGTTCGGCAAGGCCATAGGATACATAATAAATAAATAAAATTGTATTTTTATATGTCAGCAATAAATAATCTGAAAATAAAATTAAGAAAACACTGATTCAAAATAGGATAAAGAGAATAAATATGTAGGAATAAATTTAACAAAAGAAATACAAGACTTGTACAATGAAAATCATACATTATCGAAAGAAATTAAAGATCTAAATACATGGACATTCCATGTTCATAGATTAAAAGCCTCAATATTAAGATAGAATACTCCTCAAATTGATGTATCGATTTAATGTAATATCCATCAAAACTCAGCTGTTTTTTTGCAGAAATTAACAAGTTGATCCTTATTATGGATGAATTAAGATGGAAATACGAGACTAAGAATAAATAAAACAATCTTAAAAAAGAAGTTGGAGGACTCACACTTCCCATTTTTAAAATGTACTATAAAACTAAAGTAAAAGTAATCAAAAGTGTTGTACTTAAAAATTTTCAGTTATGAGGTAAATAAGTTCTAGAGATATACAGCATGGTAACTATAGAAAATAATTGAAATTTGTTAAGATCTCAGATGTTCTCATCACACACACAAAAATGGTAATTATGTCAAGTGATGAATGTGTGAGCTAGCTCTATTGTGGGAATCATTACAAAAGGTACACTTATATCAAAACACCATGATGTTTACCTCAAATGTATATAATTTTTAGTTTGTCAATCATATTTCAATAAAGCTGGGGAAAAGCCCTCCCCAAAACAACGTGGTGGTACTGGCATAAGAAATGACATATAGAGGCCGGGCGTGGTGGCTCATGCCTGTAATCCCAGCACTTTGGGAGGCCGAGGTGGGCGGATCACTTGAGGTCGGGAGTTCGAGACCAGACTGGCCAACATGGCAAAACGCTGTCTCTACTAGAAATACAAAAAATTTAGCCAGATTTGGTGATAAGTACCTGTAATTCCAGCTACTCGAGAGGCTGAGGCAGGAGAATCGCTTGAACCTGGGAGGCAGAGGTTGCAGTGAGCCAAGATCACACCACTATACTCCAGCCTGGGTGACAGAGCGAGACTCCATCTCAAAAAAAAAAAAAAAAGAATTAATATATAGAAAAATGGGATAGTGTTGAGAGTCCAAAAATAAACTCTTATATATGTGAATTATTTTTTTTAACAAGCATGCCAAGATAATTCAATGGGAAGAGAACAGTCTTTTCAATAAACAATAAACAGTGCTGGTACAACTGGATAGATACATGAAAAGAATAAAGTTGGATCTCTACACCTCACACCATATACAAAAATTAACTCCAAATGGAGTAAAGACTTAACAGTAAGAGGTAAAACTATAAAACTCTTTGCAAATATAGGAGTAAATCTTCATGAACTTTTTTTTTTTTTTTTGAGACAGACTCTCGCTGGAGTGCAGTGGCGTGATCTCGGCTCACTGCAACCTCCACCTCCCAGGTTCAAGACATTCTCCTGACTCAGCCTCCCTGACTCAGCCTCCCAAGCAGCTGGGATTACAGGTGCCTACCACCACGCCCAGCTAATTTTAGTAGAGACGGGGTTTCACCCTGTTGGCCAGGCTGTTCTCGAGCTCCTGACCTGAGGTGATCCACCCGACTTGGCCTCCCAAAATACTGGGATTACAGGTGTGAGTCACAGGGCCCAGCCTGTTAGGCAAAGACTTCTGAGATATAACACCAAAAGCATAAGTGATAAAAGAAAAAAAAAGATAAATTAGATTTCATCAAATCCAAATCTTTACTGCTTCAAAAGACACTATTATTAAAGTTAAAAGACAACCCACAGAATGGGAGACAATATTTGTAAATCATTAATCTGATAAAGGACTTTAACCACAATATATAAAGAACAATTAAAAATCAGTAACATGGGGCTGGGCGTGGTGGCTCACGCCTGTAATCCCAGCACTTTGGGAGGCCGAGGTGGGCAAATCACGAGGTCAAGAGTTCAAGACCAGCCTGGCCAACATGGTGAAACCCTGTCTCTACTAAAAATACAAAAAATTAGCTGGGCATAGTAGTGGGCACCTGTAATCCCAGCTACTCAGGAGGCTGAGGCAGGAGAATCGCTTGAACCTAGGAGGCAGAGGTTGCAGTGAGCTGAGATCGAGCCACTGTACTCCAGCCCGGGTGACAGAGTGACACTCCGTGTCAAAAAAAAAAAAATTTATTAACATGGGCTGGCGCGATGGCTCATGCCTGTAATCCCAGCACTTTGGGAGGCCAAGGCAGGTGGATCACGAGTTCAGGAGTTCGAGACCTGCCTGGCCAACATGGTGAAGCCCCGTCTCTACTAAAAATACAAAAAATTAGCTGGGCGTGGTCGTGGGCACCTGTAATCCTAGCTACTCGGGAGGCTGAGGCAGAAGAATTGCTTGAACCCGGAAGGTGGACATTGCAGTGGGCCGAGATCGTGGCACTCTGCACTCCAGCCTGAGCGACAAAGCGAGACCCAGTCTCAAACAAACAAACAAACAAACAAAAACCAAAAAAACCAAAAAACAATCAGTAACAAGATGACAACTCAATTAAAAAAATAGGCAAAATATTTGAAAGACATTTTACAAAAGAAGATATATGGATAGTCAACAAGCACATGAAAAGATGCTTCATATCGTCAGTCATCAGGAAAATGCAAATGAAAGCTGTAATAAGATACCACTTAAAATCCAGCTGAATGACTACAATGAATAAGACAGATCATAAGGAGTGTTGGTGAGGATGTGGACAAATTGGAACCCTCATACACTCTGGTGGAAATGTAAAATGGGAAATTCACCTTGGAAAGCAGTTGTGCAACACCTTGAAAAGTTACACCCAGAGTTACCATATGACAGTAATTCCACTCGTAGATATACACCCAAGAAAACTGAAAACACACGTTCATACAAAAACTTGTACCCATCTTCATAGCAGCATTATTCATAATGCTAAATACTGTACTGTATTTACTGTAATACAATTACAATTAGTACAATTAAACACTATATTTAAATACTAGAAGAAATCCAAATGTCTGTTAATTGGTACTGTTAAATAAAATGTGGATTATTACTTAGCAATAAAAAGGAATGAAGTAATGAGACATACTACAACATGGATGAACCTCAAAAACATTATGCTAAGTAAAAGAAACTAGATGCAAAGGATCGCATAATGTGTAATTCCACTTACATGCCCAGAAAAGGTAAATTTATAGACAGAAAGTTTTTTAGTGATTGGGGCTGGGGATAGGAAACCAGGACTTGCCTGCAAATGGGCACAAAGTATTTTTTTAGGATGATGAAAATTTTCTAAATTTTCTAGGATGATGAAAATTTTCTAAATTTTCTAGGATGATGAAAATTTTCTAAATTTTCTAGGATGATGAAAATTTTCTAAAATTGGAATGTGGTGATGGTTGTGATTTTCTAAAACAATCATTGAGTTATATCCTTAAGACAAATGAACTTTATAATATATAAATTATACTTCATTAAAGCTGTTAAAAATAGCTATGAAACCACAACGCAGTTTTATGTGTAATTCTGGTTTTTATACATATTATGACAAGACTTTTATAAAGACGGGGCAACCATGACTCCCCAAGACAGTGTGGCAGCGGTCCCCAAAAATCTTAAAGAAGTAAACTCAATGCTTTCGAAGACTACAAAGAAGTGCATCAAAATTTATATTATTCAACAATGATAAGGTAAATGTATTCGGGTAAGAAGCATGGTTACTAACCTGTGTGCCAGTATTTACACAGCATGGGGCCCCTTAGCTTCTGGTCTCTGCTCTGGTCTAGCCATCTTAAATTCCACTGTCAGTTTTATTGTCTTCAAATATTACTTTCATAAGGGGTGCCTCCTGTTCCAAACACAGGACCCAAACCCCTGATTTTGGGAATTCCGGCTCTTTATATTTCTCATGCTGCTTTTTAAAATTTGTAACCAAAGTTTCCAAATGAACCTTCTGCCGCAGTCAGAACCAACTCTTCCTCAGGCTGCATGTATTTGCTAACAACTCACTCACTAGTAGGGATGCCACTTCCCTTATTTTTCTCTCTGAAATTCTGCCCATTGCTCAGGCCCAAATTGAGTCTTACCCATACTGTGAAGCCTTCTCTGAATAATTCATCTCACATTGAGCTGAGCTCCTGAAGCACCTGTGCTCTACAACAGTCATCCGGGCATTAAGAACTGTTCAGAAGTTTTAGTTTAAATGTTCTGAGCCTCATTTGTCCCTGCTCTTGAGGGGCTGGATTTTATTACTTTATATTCCCCTATATGGATTAACACAGGCAACTTAAGAAATAGTCATGTTCATCAACGTTTCCTTGATAAATTCTTTTGTATTTGTTTTAATTAAAAATGTCATTTTTGAAATATGA
The DNA here is from genome assembly GCF_000001405.40 of Homo sapiens. Lineage (NCBI taxonomy): Eukaryota > Metazoa > Chordata > Mammalia > Primates > Hominidae > Homo > Homo sapiens. The sequence goes on from NC_000015.10 coordinate 99,248,834, forward strand.
TTGCTGGATTTTTTTGAGAATTTACCCTTACATGCTGATTCTGCTTCAGGTATCTGTAGTATGTTTTGTTCAGCCATTAGCAGATCTGTCCCTGGAATCCCTAATCCACAAATATACACAAAATTTGGGTTCAAGCAACTCTATTTTCTCCTATATCTTTTAATAGATATATTATCTATTATGCCAGGTATGACAATATATAAACAAAAATATCCATATAAAAATTACAATATTACTAAATGTCCTTCTAAATCCACACTTAAGCAACAATAACGAAGCACAGTTTCTTAAAGTAGAAAATGATCTATAGTTAATCTTATTATCTTGCCTCCTTTACCTTTCAAAAATCCACTGATAATCTGGGCATGATGCTTTCAAACTTCACCCTAAAGAGAAAAATGCTCTCTGAACACTCTTCTTCCTGCTGTCTTTAAATTGTGCCTGTATTTTCTCTGCTTTTCCTTTGACACTCAATCACTCCTTTAAAACTTGTAAAAAACCGGAAAAGTTTCTGTAACTCTCCAATCTCCAACTATGTCGTAAAATCCCTTGCCAGTTTACCCAGTCTGCTGGAGAGGCTCACCGTTTCTTTTTCGAGCGAATTACACAGTTGTCTTGGCAGCGTGATTTGCCCTCTGGTTCCTGCTTTATCAGTTTGGTGATTCTTTGTACAGATTGATAACCATGAAAAAGTCTAAAGTAGGGCAGTTCCGGAGCAGCCTTTTCCCATAAAGCAAGCGGGTACCTCACAAAACTCCAGGCAAAAGAATGAATGATAGAGCACTCACCAATAGCGAGTGGAGAAGAGTATTTTGTCGAAGTTTGCAAACCAATCTTTGGGAGCCAGAGGTGGGAATTTTAAAATGAGGTCTTTTCCTTGGAATTTTCTTAAAGTGGTATCGTTGCCTGTTGATATTGAAGTTTGTCAAAGAACGTGAAATCACCAGCTTAGAGGATTTTTTTCCCCTTTAAGAGAGACAAAACGTGCGAATTGATTCTCTACAAATTGTGAGAACTTCAAGAGTGGGGTCATAAAGTATTATCAAATATAATCACTTGGTAACTTTTGTGTCAATGTGGGGAGGAGGTGAAGGTTATTTTAACATGATTCATTTTTCATGATCAAATATCAGATATTAATCACTGAAAAACAGTATTCCCCATTAAAAAAAAGAAATGAAAACTAAGAGGCTAACATTGTTTTCAAAAAACTGTTCTACTGTTAATCTTTTTTCTTTTTTGGGGGGTGTAACTCTTCATATATTAGCAGCAAGTCTTATTATTTGGGCTGACCATTAAACACCGTATCTTTGTTTTTACACAAAATGTGGATTTCCTCATTTTAAGACCAGCAAAAAATTTCTGAGTGCCACGAATTCTTAGGTATTCCGAAACTATCTTAGAAATACATGACATATACCAACCATGCTGTATACCTGAATAGCTCTTGAAGACCAGATTTAATAGATAACTGATAATTTTTATTATAACTCATACCTTGTTTTAAAACCAATGTTTTTTATTTAATATAACTCTGCTTTCTAGGTTATTCGTCTCTATGAATAATTAAGTCAGCAACTGTAAAAACTACTTCATTATAAAGTTAAAGTTCCTTGACAAGGAGCCTCGCAAACTCATAGACAGGCTTTCCACAGAACAAAAAATATCAGCGGTTGTAGTAGAGGATTATACTTTAAAATCTTCATTTCAGAAGGAAATTTGTCATATTAATGAGACACTTTAAAAAGTGTCTTTTAAAAATGTTTCCGAACTATGCTTCCAAGTATTTTTAACAGCATAAAGCCCTCTTTCATGCTATTTCGCTGACATAATAATTTTCGTCTTGAAGAAATACATATTGACGGCCTACTCAGTCAGGCTAGGAAGTGTCATTGTATTTAACTCTCTAAATTGTTCCTGACCTTTTTAGCAATCTTTACTCAAAATAAACCTTGGGTGTTTGAAGGGCAGAGACTAGGTTACGTCCTCCTCATCTTTGTTATCTACCAGTTCGTAGTGACCCCTTAAATCCGGTGCTTAGACTCACTACTTGCTAAATAACGTTGGCTTCGTTACATAAACCCACTGGCCTGTTTTTCAACGGTCAGACTGGCGCTGTTAGTCCCTGTGTCATGGGATTGCTGTCAAGGGTTCAACGAGATAATCTATAAACAGCTCTTAGAACGAACGCTCAACGTGGGATCATTGTTGTAATCCCTCAACGTGTGCTCTGAATGAGAAGCCGAGTGACTGAATGAATGTATGAATGAAGGAACAGGTCAGTAACTGGCGGTTCCCGAAGTTGGAGCCGACTAAATTACCCCTTCAAGACGCTAAGCAAAAGCCACTCCGTCGACATCAAACCCCACGCCGGAGCCGGAAGCAAGAGTAGAGCCGCGGGCGGGGCCAGCATAGAGGAAGTAGCGCTCTCGGCCAATACACAGATCGCTTGGCAAACGAGCATTTTCCCGCGCCTATCGTGAAAGCGCGAGAACACAGGGGATTATCGCGAGGTTCCGTGCTCCTCTCCCGCTCCCTCTTCCCCAGCTCCCTCTGGCGCGGGTTCCGCTCCACCCCCGGAGCCCCGCCCCCGACGCCCGGCGCTCCGCCCCGCCCTCGCCTGGCTCCCTGCCCCGCCCCGCCCGCCGTCCCCCGCTTGGCTTCCAGCGCCGCTTGCGCTCCGGAGCGCTGGCTCTGCTGGCGCTGAGGTGAGTAGAGCTGTCCGCCTCGTCGGGTGATTCAAGTGGCGAGGCTCTCTGACCCGGCCCCCCGGCGGGGACGCCCCAGACGTGGTCCTGCCAAAGCGTCCGGGTCGCGGCGAGTGGGACAGCGGAGCCGTCCGGGCCTCGGGTGGCCACAGCTGCCGGGTCCTCCTCCCACTCTGCGGCCCGCGGCCCCTGGGACCCGAGAACCCTGATACCGGGTCCGTGAAATCCCTGCTGCTGGGCTCGCTGCTTCCCAACTGTAACGATCTCAGTGGCTGGCTAACTCGGGCGAAACGGCGTGTGTTTTGCCTAAGACTCTGCCAGTGTTTGTTACCACAGCTGAGAAAATAGCCTTTTACAAATGCTTTTAATATGTAGCTTATAGTTCTCTAATCTCCAGCGTTAGGAAATTGGAATGCGTATTCTACTAAATTGAGTACGGGGAGGTCAGTATAAGGGACTCCTTCCTTTCAAAATACTCCTTAATATGTGTGGAATTTTGTTGAGAGGTTTTTGATTTTTTTGTTTTGTTTTTAATAATAAGATAGATTGGTGTTCACCTGTCAGAAAGCTCGTGTGTAAGTGCAGCTGTATACAGCTGATATTAAGTAATACTATTTGCCTTAACTACATAAGAGGTAGTATAACTATACAAGAGGTAGTTTGCTTAACTAGGTAAGATGTAGTCAAGTGAAATGGGGTAAGAAAATTACCTTGTTAAAGGCTGTGTATGGCCCGTGAATGCATACTGCAAAACTGTGAGCATTGTTGATGCTTTATTGCTATTATTGGCAGTTTTAGGATTTCATTTGTTTAGATTTTATCTCCCAAACAGCCTTTGTAGCAATTTTAACAGAGTGTAATGGTGTTTTTGAGGCAGCCAATCCCAGCCAGAACATTCAGAAGGAAAGCCGTCAGGTTACAGGGACTGTCTTATTGAATCTTCCTTCAGTGAGTGTGGTTTTGCATTATAGGGCGGCGGTGCACACGCTTTGTAGTCAGTCCACCTGCGATGGAACTATGGCATGTTACCCTCTGAGAAACTCAGTTTCCTCCTCTACAAAACGGGCTACATAATGTCTATTGCAGTGCATGGTTGTAAAGATTAGACATCCTTGTGGCATGTAGCAAGCTTATAGGCTCTATCCGTGGTCTTGACATAGTTGGATGAAAAATCAACCTTGCAATGTTCTTCCACATGTCATCAGATATTAGAAGGCCTACTTTAAAATTTTAAGTCCCTGGATACATGTGCAGAATATGCCGGTTTGTTACATAGGTAAACGTGTGCCATGGTGATTTGCTGCACCTGTCAACCCATCACCTAGGTTTTAGGAAGGGTTACTTTTAGTTACTGTGCTAGATGCAGGTATGCAAGCGTGAAGAAAACAACGCAGTCCCTGCCCTCAGGATTTCTAAATAAGTTTCGGAAGGGTTTATTTACAGGCTTTTTGGCTTTATTGACAATAGACAGATGCAACGATAAATATTTAAGTGACAAATTGTGAGGAGTCCTACGAAGAAAAAACAAACAGCCAAGTTCCTCTGAAAGAACACCAGGGGAATTACTTTGGGATAGGGAAGTGATTTTTTTTTTTTTAAGACTGAGTCTCGCTCTGTCGCTCAGGTTGGAGTGCAGTGGTGCGATCTCGGTTTACTGCAAGCTCCGCCTCCCGGTTTCAAGAGATTCTCCTGCCTCAGTCTCCCGAGTAGCTGGGATTACAGGCGCCCGCCACCAAACCCAGCTAATTTTTGTATTTTTAGTAGAGATGGGGTTTCGCCAAGTTGGCCAGGCTGGTCTCGAACTCCTCACCTCAGGTGATCCACCCTCCTCGGCCTCCCAAAGTGCTAGGATTACAGGCGTGAGCCACTGCGCCCGGTCTCAGGAAGTAATTTTTATGTTGAAATCTGGAGAATGATGGGACATTGCTTTCTAGGCTAAGAGGAGACCAGCAAGTGCTGTTAGGGGTTTAGTAGCTTTGAGGATTGGAAAAGCCCAGAAGCTTGGTGAGAAGCCAAGCAGAGTTGCTGGAGAAGTGGGTGGGGGCAGATGGTGAGGCACCCTCAAGGCCTAGTATGAGTTGATTTTCTAAGTAAGAAGTTTCTGAAGGGTTTATTTAGTAAGATGTGTACCGAAAAGAGTGAGATGTAATTGGATGTACATTTTTAAAGGCCCATTGCTGGGATTAATGTGTTGGAAGTGACTAGAGTGGACACAGGGAGACTGGTAATACTGTTGGCCAGGCAGGAGATGACTGTGGCTTGTGGTTTTGGCAGATGGAGAGATTTGGATGGATTTGAGATGTATTTGGGAGATAGAGGCCACTAGCCTTGTGATAGATTGGAGGTGGTCAGAATATGAAAGGATGGAATCATTCATGACTTCCTGCTTCTCCGGCTTGAGCCACTGGGTGGATGGAGGGGTGAGCCATTTACTGAGATGGGAAAAACTGTGGAGATTCGGATTGATGATGAAAATGGAAAGCTCTTTGAATGTGTTAAGTTTGAGATGGTTGTGAGACATCTAAACTGCTAACAGTTTCCTAGTTCAGTGAATAATTACCTATGAAGTTTCACTTTCTACACAGAATCATTGATGTTATTTGTAGTCTACTTCCCTTTGCTTTACAGGTAGGATAATTAAGATGTGGAAAAATTATCTTGCACAAAGTCACATTAATATATCTCATAAAATAGGTGAGTAGGTGGAATAAATGTGGGAAAGTATTGGATCCTTACGTTGCTTTGGAAATAGTATTTCATACTTTGCCTTTTTATATAAAATGGCAAGTGCTAGCTCATTAGCCAGGAATTAGAATTTGAAAATAATAAAATATAGCCAGAAAATTACAAAACTCATGTTTATTGAAAGCTTATGTTGCTGCCTTTTGTACTAATTTGGTATTAATTCCCAGTGAAAATCACTTTCCTTAAGAAAAAAAATTATTGAAAGGTACTTTCCAATAGAGAGTTGGGAAAAAGAGCTGAGGAAAACAGTCAAATCTTTAAGCAGAGCTCAACTTCTTTGTAGTTGTTTCAGCATTTCCTTAGTATCCTGTGGAATCTTGTGAGTCAGTGTCTGTGAAGAACCCAAGCTTTGAAATCCACTGGACCTGGTATCAAACCCTTGCTTTTATCCCTTGTGAACGGTCTAACCTTGGACAAATTACTGAAGCCTTGAGTTTGTTTCTTTTTGTGTTAACTGATGGTGAAGTTTGTTTTAGCTCTGTGCCTAGTGGATAAAACGGCAAATGTTACTTGTCTTCTTGCCCTTGTCAATTTTGGAGCTAGAAGAGAATTTATAATAATCTGCCCTGGACTCAGGCCTTTAAACCAGTACATTAATTGCTATCTCCATTCTGCATATTAGGCAACTGGAGACCCAGAGACATTGTAATATTATAGAATAATACAGGATTCTTGTTTCTGAGTGCAGTGTTTCTTCTTTCATTGAAATAATTTAAACTAATGAGACTGTGTGGCCCTGGATCTATTTCTTTGATGCCTCTGATAATCCATAAAGCTAAAAACAAAGAGGCGAGGCATCGTGGCTCATGACTGTAATCCCAGCACTTGGGGAGGCTGAGGTGGGAGGATTGCTTGAGCTCAGGAATTTGAGACTAGCCTGGGCAACACAGTGAGACCCCCATCTCTACGAACAAGTAAAACAATTAGCTGAGTGTGGTGGTGCTCTCTATAGTACCAGCTACTTGGGAGGCTGAGGTGGGAGGATCACTTGAGCCCAGGAGTTGAGGCTACAGTGAGCTATGATTGAGTCACTGCGCCCCAGCCTGGGCAACAGAGTGAGACCCTGTCTCTAAAAAAAAATAAGAAGAAAGAAAAGAATAAAGAGATAAAGAAAAAAATCAGAATATAGGACAATATTTATATATTAGGAAGTGAAGAAAATGAAGCTATTAGTGCTCTAGATATAAATAATATATATTTTAATATTTTTGAAGTACCTTAAGCTAAATACAAAATGAGGTAGTTCATAAAAGAAATGGGGTTTGCTGCATTTGATTTTTAAGCTTCTCCTTTGGTTGTATGTTATGAAACTGGTCACTGTTTTTCTTACACAAGGTTTCCTATCTCAAGTGCAAAAACTATTTTTTTCCATTAGGACTATTTCTAATAAGTAATAAATATTGCTTAATCAGAGTATTTTTATTAAATTGTTATTCATTTTAATCTCCTCCTAAATATGTGTGACAGTTTTAGTTTTGAAAGTAAAATGTAGGATTGAATGTATTAATTATTTTTTTCAGTGTCTTCAAGTGGCTCTGTGTGCTAACTGGTTTATATGGCAATTCTTGTAAAAAATCTTACAATGAATAAATTTTCTCGTTCTCTTTATAGAAATGGACCAATTTTGACAAGATATAGTGCTGCAGCGTGCCTGATGGGATATATTCAGTCATGGCGTCCGAACTTTGTAAGACGATCTCTGTGGCAAGGCTAGAAAAGCACAAGAATTTGTTCTTAAATTATAGGAATCTGCACCATTTTCCATTGGAGTTACTGAAAGATGAGGGACTGCAGTACTTGGAGAGACTCTATATGAAAAGGAACTCCCTGACATCCTTGGTACAGTATTATATTACACTACTGAAAAATTATTTATACATGTGGTCCTGATCAAGATACATTTACATACCCTAAGGTATTCAGACCAAGACTTATATCCCCTGTTGTTATATATACAGTTAATATAAATACACACACAGGGGTTTCTCATTGGCTATGAATTTGTTATCCAAGTTCGTGCAGTTATGAGGTTGCCGGAGAAGTTGTGTAGGAAAGCAAAATACTCACTGATGTATGACTTATAAAGTTAGTACCCATTCAGAAACCCATCTTCGTTTAGCATGTGCTTCTGTCCTGACTTGTAATTTGTTTGTGTGTTAAGCTTCTCAGGTGATTCTTGAATATTACAGCATTCACCAGACCAGTTAAAAAGTAAACGAGAAAGACCAAAAATGCTTTTGAGGTACAGGCATTAAAGGGAGAATGATTTGAAAATTAAAGCATTAAGAGATGCACTTGGGAAGCTTAATGTAACTTTTCAGTGTTTTGAAAGCAAAACCTTTATGATTGCCCTGTGAAACTCAAATGATTTTGAATTGGGCTAGCATACAATTTTTTGGAAAAAATTTTGCCACAAAGGCAACATTTAATTTGCTCTTTTTATGTTCTAAGAATAAGCACGTAGTTTTCATTATAATCTGAATTGTATTACATATAAGATAAACTAAAAGTTTTTCAAGAGAATGTCCAAATCAAGCTTTTTATTCCTATTATTTATTGTAAAATTTGGTCTCTGTATTAAATGGATTTACTTTGTATGGCCTTTTCTGGTTATCACTTAACCTTATTTGAATCTTGTACTTGAATTCTAGTGCTTACTCATTTTAGATGATTTATGAAATCTTACTACTTTGTGAATTTACCCATTCTTCATTCCCTTCCCTATACTGGACTTTGCTAAATATCTGGAAATTGTATCTTATTGGCTTCAAGTATATGGCATGTTTTCCTGGAAAAGTTTTATTTAATCTATGTACAATGCCTATAGTGGGTAGAAAGCATTATAAAATTAGTTTATCTTTGCTCTGTCTGGAAGTAAATAGATACGTATGTCTTGTTCTTTTGTGATTGGCATATTGGCATATATGTTGAATGCCTACTTATATTTCTGAAATTAGATTTTTCAGTTTTCCAACTTGGAAAATCTATTTGCAGTTATAGGAATCCTTTTTTGCAAAGTCATCATCCCGTGCTATGAAACCATATTAGTACTTTTTAACCCTTTAACGAGAAGTGGTATAAGAAATATTTTGACAAGGATTATAGCCTAGATTTTCCCATGTTTGTTCTTTATGTATAAAGAAAAATTTGTGATTGGATTACTTATTAACTATCTGCCATAGCCCAATGGGGTAGACTTTGTTCAGAGAATTGACCTTTGCTTATAAAAGTTAAATTTGTGGGCGGACCACGCGGCTGGAGGTGTGAGGATCCAACCCGGGGGTGAGAGGGTGGAGGTGGCTCTTGCGATCGAAAGGGACTTGAGACTCACCAGCCACAAGCTGTGAAGGCCCTGTGGGTGCTGGGGCCTCTGCTGCGTCCTGCTGACCTTCGGGTCGGTCAGAGCTGTTGATGAAGTTGATGTGGAAGGTACAGTAGAAGAGGATCTGGGTAAAAGTAGACAAGGCTCAAGGATGGATGATGAAGTAGTACAGAGAGAGGAAGAAGCTATTCAGTTGGATAAATTAAATGCATCACAAATAAGAGAACTTAGAGAGAAGTTGGAAAAGTTTGCCTTCCAAGCTGAAGTTAACAGAATGATGAAACTTATCATCAATTCATTGTATGAAAATAAAGAGATTTTCCTTAGAGAACTGATTCTGACGCTTTAGTTAAGATAAGGCTGATATCACTGACTAATGAAAATGCTCTTTCTGGAAATGAGGAACTAACAGTCAAAATTAAGTGTGATAAGGTGAAGAACCTACTGCATGTCACAGACACTGGTGTAGGAATGACCAGAGAAGAGTTGGTTAAAAACCTTGGTACCATAGCCAAATCTTGAACAAACGAGTTTTTAAACAAAATGACTGAAGCACAGGAAGATGGCCAGTCAACTTCTGAATTGATTGGCCAGTTTGGTGTCAGTTTCTATTCCATCTTCCTTGTAGCAGATAAGGTTATTGTCACTTCAAAACACAACAACGATACCCAGTACATCTGGGAGTCTGAATCCAATGAATATTCTGTAATTGCTGACCCAAGAGGAAACACTCTAGGACGGGGAACGACCATTACCCTTGTCTTAAAAGAAAAAGCATTTGATTACCTTGCATTGGATACAATTAAAAATCTCATCAAAAATATTCACAGTTCATAAACTTTCCTATTTATGTATGGAGCAGCAAGACTGAAACTGTTAAGGAGCCATGAAGGAAGAAGCAGCAGCAAAAGAAGAGAAAGAAGAATCTTATGATGAAGCTGCAGTAGAGGAAGAAGAAGAAAAACAGAAACCAAAGACTAAAAAAGTTGAAAAAACTGTCTGTGAATGGGAACTTATGAATGATATCAAACCAATATGGCAGAGACCATCCAAGAAGTAGAAGATGAATACAAAGCTTTCTGCAAATCATTTTCAAAGGAAAGTGATGACCCTGTGGCTTGTATTCACTTTACTGCTGAAGGAGAAGTTACCTTCAAATCAATTTTATTTGTACCCACATTTGTTCCACGTGGCCTATTTGATGAATATGGATCTAAAAAGAGCGATTACATTAAGCTCTATGTGCGCTGTGTATTCATCACAGATGACTTCCGTGATACGATGCCTAAGAACCTGAATTTTGTCAAGGGTGTGGTGGACTCAGGTGGTCTGTCTTTGAATGTTTCCTGTGAGACTCTTCAGCAACATAAACTGCTTAAGGTGATTAGGAAGAAACTTGTTCATAAAACTCTGGACATGATCAAGAAGATTGCTGATGAGAAATACAATGATACTTTTTGGAAAGAATTTGGTACCAACATTAAGCTTGGTGTAATTGAAGACCACTCGAATCGAACATGTCTTGCTAAACTTCTTAGGTTCCAGTCTTCTCATCATCCAGCTGACATTACTAGCCTACACCAGGATGTTGAAAGAATGAAGGAAAAACAAGACAAAATCTGCCTCATGGCTGGGTCCAGCAGAAAAGAGGCTGAATCTTCTCCATTTGTTTAGCGACTTCTGAAAAGGGGCTATGAAGTTATTTACCTCACAGAACCTGTGGTTGAATACTGCATTCAGGCCCTTCCCGAATTTGATGGGAAGAGGTTCCAGAATGTTGCCAAGGAAGGAGTGAAGTTTGATGACAGTGAGAAAACTAAGGAGAGTCATGAAGCAGTTGAGAAAGAATTTGAGCCTCTGCCCAATTGGGTGAAAGATAAAGCCATTAAGGACAAGATTGAAAAGGCTATGGTATCTCAGTGCCTGACAGAATCTCTGTGTGCTTTGGTGGCCAGCCAGTACGGGTGGTCTGGCAACATGGAGAGAATCATGAAAGCACAAGCGTACCAAACGGGCAAGGGCATCTCTACAAATTACCATGCGAGTCGGAAGAAAACATTTGAAATTAATCCCAGACATCCGCTGATCAGAGACATGCTTCGACGAATTAAGGAAGATGAAGATGATAAAACAGTTTTGGATCTTGCTGTGGTTTTGTTTGAAACAGCAATGCAGCAGTGATTCGGTCAGGATGTCTTTTACCAGACACTAAAGCATATGGAGATAGAATAGAAAGAATGCCTTGCCTCAGTTTGAACACATCCTGATGCAAAGGTGGAAGAACCCGACGAAGAACCTGAGGAGACAGCAGAAGACAAAGAGCAAGACAAAGACAAAGAAATGGATGTGGGAACAGATGAAGAAAAACAAGAAACAGCAAAGGAATCTACAGCTGAAAAAGATGAATTGTAAATTATACTCTCATCGTTTGGATCCTGTGTGGAGAGGGAATGTGAAATGTAAGTCATTTCTTTTGGCAGAGACTTGTTTTGGATGCCCCCCACCAGTCCCCTTCTCCCCTGCACTGTAAAATGTGGGATTATGGGTTACAAGAAGAAGTGGGTTTTTTAGTTGATTTTTTTTAAACATACCTCATGAATGTAAATTTGTACTATTTAACTGACTATTCTTGATGTAAAATCTTGTCATGTATAAAAATAAAAAAGATTTCCTCCCCACCAAAAGTTAAACTTCTGGTCTTGTGGTAGTTTCTCAGCTTCAGTTTTTTATTTATGAAAATAAGAATCTACTGTCCAGTAAATTGTTCTTTATAATAGCTTATGGTAATACATTTTATTTCCCTGCAACCTTTTTAATCATCAAAGATTAAATTGTTGTATGTGTTTATAATGATGTATGTATTTTACTTTGTTTTCTCTTAGCTGCGATATTTGATTTACGTATATCAAAGAACTTTGTAAACTATAAAGGCTGTACAGATATGAGGGGATGGTGGGAATAGTAGCTGTCATCCAAAGCCCACCCATTGCCTGATTATATCAGATATATGACAGCTTACAGCACAGTTTTTGACAACAGGTAAAACATTACTTTTCCTAGAGTGCTGAAAACTAGTAGTGATTCTTAGGGCTTTTGGAATGTTTGCTGATGTTAAAATATAGTTCCTAAAGGAGAGTAGTATGTGGAATTTTATTTACAACTGCAATACTGCCCAAAACTGGGGAAAACGTTGAAAATATAGAGTATCTCGAATATGTTATTGCTTAATTGGCCTTTTACTTATGGATTTTAAACAAGCTTGGGAATCTGTCAGTCACTTCCATTTTCATGTTGTTTTTGTGTTTCTTAACATTTTTTGTTTGTTTGTTTCCTGTTAACATTTTTGCGTGTGTGTTAAATGCCTTCTCTCAGCATTTTCCTCCTTTCCTCTCCTACCCCTCAGCATGTTAGGCCTGTTGCTGAGAAGAGAAGTTGTCGCTAATACTCAACCTCTACTCTTCTCCCTTTTGCCCCTCAGTCGCTCAAAGCCGTGTAGTGGCTTGTATTTGTAGGACGATTGCATGACAAAAGTCCAGAACTTGGTGAATGCTCATGTTTAGAACTAAAGCACAAGAAAAAGCCTTTTAGCACATTTAAAAGAATAAACTTTTCAATTACAAAACCGGTATATGCCCTTATGTCAAACAACATAGAGGCGTATCTGGAAAGCAATCCTCTCTTTGTCCAGTTTGTGAAGCAACCAACATTAATAGTTGGATTGTATCCTTCTGCTTTGGTTCATTCATGCTGCCATAACAAAACACCATAAAATCAGTGGCTTATAAACAAATTTATTTCTTAACTGCTCTGGAGTTGGGGAAGTACAAGATCAGGGTACTAGCAGATTCGGTGTCTGGTGAGGTCTCTCTTCCTGGGTTCGCAGATGGTGCCTTTTTGCTGTATTCTCACATGGTGGAAGGGGTCAAGGGTCTCTCCCCGACCTCTTTTAAAGGACACTAATTCCATTCATGAGGGCTCTGCTGTCATAATTTAATTGCCTCCCAAAGGTCCCACCTCTTTTATTAATTTTAATTTTAATCTTAATTTTAATTTTAATTTTTTTTTTTAGATGGAGTTTCACTCTTGTTGCCCAGGCTGGAGTGCAATGGCTCTGTCTCCGCTTACAGCAACCTCTGCCTCCCGGGTTCAAGTGATTCTCCTGCCTCAGCCTCCCGAGTAGCTTGGACTACAGGCATGCACCACCACGCCCGGCTAATTTTGTATTTTTAGTAGAGATGGGGTTTCTCCGTGTTGGTCAGGCTAGTCTTGAACTCCTGACCTCGGGTGATCCACCCACCTTGGCCTCCCAAAGTGCTAGGATTACAGGCGTGAGCCACTGTGCCCGGCTGGTCTCACCTTTTAACACCATCATCATCTTGGGGTTTAGAATTTTAGTGTGTGAATTTGGGGAAACACAAGCTTCAGACTGTACCACCTTCCACCTCCTTGCTTGTGTTTATATAATTACATATATTTTTTATTTATATTTTTCCTTTTTAATAACAAAAAATCATACATATTTCTCTGGAAGTCTCTTTTTTCACTTCATGATATTCTCATTCCACTAACCTCTAGGCCAATAGATATATGTACATTCTTGTATGTATGTGTATGTTTATATTTAGGATAGCCTAAAAAGTAGGATTGCTGGTCTAAAGGGTAGACATGTTTCATAATTCAGAATACTTTTAGGCCAGGCATGGTGGCTCATGCCTGTAATCCCAGCATTTTGGGAGGCCAAGGTGGGCAGATCACTTGAAGCTAGGAGTTTGAGACCAGGCTGGCCAACATGATGAAACCCCATCTCTACCAAAAATACAAAAATTAGCTAGGCATGGTGGTGCGCGTCTGTAGTCCCAGCTACTCGGGAGGCTGAGGCAGGAGAATCACTTGAACCTGCAAGGTGGAGGTTGCAGTGAGCTGCAATTGTGCCACTGCACGCCAGCCTGGACAACAGAGTGAGACTCGGTCTCAAAAAAAATTTTTTTAAAGCAATATTTGATTATCATTTATTTGTATAGCTGAGAAACCTTAAAACTTTTTGTTTTGTTTTGAGTCAGGGTCTTTCTGTGTTGCCCAGGTTGGAGTACAGTGGCATGATCCTGGCTCACTGCAGCCGTGACCTCCTGAGTTCAAGTGAGCCTCCTGCCTCAGCTTCCTGAGCAGCTGGGACTACAAGCACACACCACCACACCATACCCAGCTGAGTTTTACAACTTTTTATAGAGATGGGGTCTTGCTGTGTTGCCCAGGCTGGTCTCAAACTCCTGGGCTCAAGTGATACTCCTGCCTTAGCCTCCCAAAGTGCTGAGATTACGGTGAGCCACTGTGCCTGGCCAGAACTTTCTTTTTAAACATAAGCTAGTTTGTATTGAAATCTAGTTATATAACTGATAGGTGAAAAAGAAGTAGTTGTGGGGGCCGGGTGCAGTGGCTCATGCCTATAATCCTAGCACTTTGGGATGCTGAGGCAGGCGGATCACTTGAGCTCAGGAGTTCAAGACCAGCCTGGGCAACATCACAAAATGCTGTCTTATAAAAAATACAAAAAAAAAAAAAAATAGCTGGTTGTGGTGGCGTGTGCCTGTAGTCCCAGCTACTTGGGGGGTCTGAGATGGGAGGATTGCTTGAGCCCAGGAGGTTGAAGCTGCAGTGAGCCAACATCACGCCACTCCACGCCAGCCTGGGTGACAAAGTGAGACCCTGTCTCAAAAAAAAAAAAAAAAAAAGAAGTAGTTAAGAAACATGATTTTGCTTCCTATCATTTACCTTAGAAAATGTTTTAAATACTTTTTCCATAATTATTTTAAATGCAATTTAGGAATTAAGTCTGATCTTTGTGATCGTTTTAAGATAAATAGATATTAGAAGTAATATAGGGTCTGGGTTTGTCACATGATAGGTATTCATGCAGTGGTAGAATTAAATAAATGAATATAAAGTAGAATTGCATAAGGACCATATTATAAGAGTTCCAGACTGAGAGCTTTCAAGAGCAGGAACTGTGTCTTGCGTTCTGTACCTTCACTGCCTGGCTTACTGCTTAACATGTGTAGTACACGTAATTTCATTCTATGTAGCAGCATTGTAGAATGTTTTAAAAATAAGATCCTATTTGTATGACACCGAAGACTGACTTTGACAGGCACTTAGGAGGAAGAGCATCATTCAATCAGTGTGTATTTGTTGAGTACTTAACTGTGTACCCATCACTCTTCAAGACACTGACAATAGATACATCATGGAACAGCTGCTGCTTCTTATGGAATTTTCATTTGTTGGAATTTCAAGTTTAAGGAAAAAAAATGAACTAAGACTCAATGGCATAACGTTCGAGGGACAAGTCTACAAAGCTGTTCTGCTTGCCTTGAGCAGTGGTTTTATAGGTTCTGTTGGAAGTAAGAGCTCAGGGCCACAAAGAAAATGAACACTCAAAAAGTTTCTCAGCAAGGCCAGTTTTCTTCTGCAGAAGGGTGCTGCTCATAGGCCTAGCCACCATGAGAACACACAGAACAAAGGAGAACAACACAGATTCTGTGTCTGTGTCTTTCCCCCATTAGCTGGGGTTGGACCACACAATCTAAACTAGTCCTGATTGGCTAAACATTTAAACTTTCTTAGACAAGGTAGGCGCATGATAGAGGAGAGAGGGAGAGGAGGAAGTGGTCACCTGCAGGCGACTAGAAAGCTAACCTATTTCTACATAAGGAAAGGAATGTGGAACAGGGCTGTGGCATGTCTAGGCATATTTAGACACGTTAAGGCTCAGCAAAAGCGGGGAGTGGGGGGTGGAACTTGGAACTAGAGAATAAAGAAGAGGGGAACTGGACAAGCTGTTTGAAGAGGAACCTAGCTGTATCTAACAGTTCCACAGAACCTTAGGTTTACTGAGCAATGCTGAGGTGGGGACCGAGCAATAGTGTATCTCCACTTCAGCGGGAGCAGCTCTTCTTTTGTTTGAGTATTGATGTTCTCTATGCAAACCCCCACATAGATGGGATATGCAGAGAGGACCTCTAGTAAACAGATGGGTAGATAGGTTTTGAAGTTTGGCTGTGATATGGGATGGGCATAGTGGGAGGGGATTTGACAGCAAAGGAGATTTTTCTTCTATTCTTCCCTTTTCTTTTCTTTTCCCTTTCCTTTTCCCCCCTCTCTTCTCTTTTCTAAGAGGACAGAGTAAATGCTGATAGGAAATTCCCATTAGAGAGGAGTTGAACCTCTGGAAAAAGGGAATAATGAAAAGTCCAAGTTTCCTAAGAATGGGCTCCAGAGTACACATGGAAGGATTGACCTTAGGAATATATCCTTTCCTCCTTTGTAAAAGTAAAGAAAGGGAGAACAGGTGGAAAGACAGATGTGCACTGAGGGAGAGAGAGGCAGTTGAGAGAGTTTTTGTCTGATGCTTTTACCAGGTCAGACCATCTGCTTGGGAATGAACATTTGGGGAGAGGGCAGGTTTGAAGACTCACATGGCAGTTTGGCTAGAGAAAGATAGAATTGTTGGGTGTTATTTAGCAAGCAGTTGGTGACTAAGCTTATGGTGGAACCTTCTGCTCGTTTAGGGAACTTTCTCTTGCTGTACTCAGCTGTCTGAGGGATGGAGAAGGTAGACTGTGGCATTCATACAGATTTAGGTTTTTGCCAGGTGGATGCAGTACAAGTAGAGAGAGACTAAGGAGGTTTAGGATTTGGCCAAGAGAGTGATATAACATGAAATCTGAGTTGGATTGGAGGCAAATAAAGGAAGAGTGAATACGGAGAATGGAGGTGGGCCAAAGTACCCATTGATGTTGACGAACTGCTGTATTGGGCACGACTGAGTAAGCCATCTGGGGTATGGGACATTTTGGTGGCAGAGAAAGACTGTGGTCATGGAGAAGTTTCTGATGATGACACGGTCTTAGTGTGCAGGGTGGAGGGGGCTGAGGTAGAGCCTTACAACCTTCCCTGCATCGGTCCCTGTGGTCTTTGTAAGAAGGAGAAGGAATATAGCGTGGAAGCAACAATCACTAGTCCTTTCTAAAACTCTAAAGTTCCTCAAGGGAGGAAATTAGTAGTGGGAGCATTTCAGGGCTGCAGTCCCAGGAAGCGGGTGTTTCATGGTTTGGTAGCAAAACTCAGGACTGAGAGGTAAGAGAGGTAAGAGATCAAAGTCCTATGGCTTAACCTCTTTGGACCTCAGTTCCTTTATTTACAAGAAAAAAGGCCACAAGAGACTTGGAGGAAAACATAAAATCTCAACCTGGAAGCAAAATCACTTAATGAATCTGTCAACTGCTTTTCTTAATGGTAACAGTTGGCCTTCCTGAGGAAATGAAAGAGTAACTTGCCCAAATACTGATAGAGCTCTCACTACTTGCTAATTTTATTTTATAAATATGAATGGACAAAAAAGAGGTATCCAAATTTTAATGAAAGAGGGGAGTTTGGCTTATAGCTAAGCAACAGGAGCAGATGGATCCTGATTAAGCAGTTAATCTATGCAACAAGAGATAATTTAACTTAAAAATTATATTCCACTTAGTGAAGGAAAGAGAGATCTGTCAATCATGTTCCTGAATTGGGCTGGGAAATGAGGCACAGATGTTCTTTCTTTCCTGTTAGCCCAGGAGAAAAACATTCCTGACTTTCTGCTTCAAATATGAACAGGCAAATGAAAAAAGAATACAGATAGCAAAAACACGTAAAAAGATGTTCAACTTTTAGAAGAAGTGATAAAACACTAATTTTTACCTATCAGATTGGCAAAGATGAACACCTAGCCAGGCATCGAGGCATACCAGCTACTTGGCTGAGATGAGAGGATCATGTGAGCCCAGGAGTTTGAGACCAGCCTGGGCAACATAGTGAGACCTTGTCTAAAAAAAAAAAAATTAACACCTAGTGTTAAGGATAATTAATACCCAGTGTTGGAGACAGTTAGGAGAAGATACTGTCACATACTCCTAATGGAAATTAATGTTTTTGTTGAGTTGTTGGGCCATATCTAGCAAAACTACATGGATATGTGTTTGAATCGGCATTTTCACTTGCAAGAATCTACCCAATAGAAAAGTCTGGTGAACAAGAGTGTTTATCACAAAATTGAATATGATGAAAAATTGTTAAAACCTCGATATTCATCAATAATGGATTTGTTAAAATATGATAGCAGCTAGCACTGTTTGAGTCTTTACCAAGTGCTCAAACAGTTTTACGCAAATGACATGTATTATTTAATCCTCAGGACAATCCTGTGATGTAGGCACTATTATGATCCTTATTTTATAGACAAATAAACTAAGTCATAAAATGTACATCAAACTGAATAATGATTAAAGTTGGAGATGGATGGAGAGTATGAGGGTAGGGGTGGAGGCTGAAAGAAACAGCCTTACTTAAGTGTTTATAGGACAAGGGAAAACTCTACTAGTAAGTTTGGTTTATATTACTTTCAGTAAATATTTATTTTTATAATTTGGAGTCAGTTAAAATAAGATGGTTAGAATATAGTGCCACTAAGTTTTTATCAAGCTTTCTAATCAGCTAGTCTAAATATTTTGATTTACAGCGATGCATATGTTTATGCCATATTGACATAGATGACTCTCTTAGCCGGTGGTTAGGTGAGGGTGAGAGAGGTTGATGGCTAGGAAAGTCACACAACTATATCCGCCACCCCCTCCTTGAATTTGGTAGTAGTAGGATCTGGATCAAATAAGGATCAGAACACCCTGAGGGGAAAAACAGTAAGTTAAGGAGATGGCCTAAAAGAGCATCATACAGCCAAGTGCGGTAGGAGAAACCGGGAGCGGGAATTAAGTTTTGTTATTAGTTTGGTTCATTTTGAATTCCAGAGCAAGGACTTCTTGTTTTTCTCCAGTCTGTTGGATCCTTGCAGCTTGAACTGCTGCTAGGGTGCAGGGCCTCCATAATCGCCATGATTGCACTGTTCTTGAGCTAGCTCTGTATAAAAGCATCTCTGTTTCTTAAATTGACTATGTGGAAATATGTGAGTATATCAAATAGTAAAGCATTCTAATGGTCCGTTAGTGTTTTAGTGTTTGTAAGTAAATGTGGTACAGTTCTGGAAAACAGCCATTGCACATTTATCCTGTCTTCATAATACACATGTGCCTGAAAATTAAGTTTTGTTACAACAGCTTCTTTTCCTGTTGAATTTTCAGATTTAGAAGCTTTTCTGTCATTGTTACTGATTCCTTGTCAGTAATGTGAAACGGTGATTCCTTGTCAAATAATTAAGAAACTCAAGCCTCTCACATGTCATAATGACTTTCATTTTTCAGGAAAATGAACGTCTGTTCCATAACTTAAC
This sequence comes from Homo sapiens, assembly GCF_000001405.40. NCBI lineage: Eukaryota > Metazoa > Chordata > Mammalia > Primates > Hominidae > Homo > Homo sapiens. The sequence continues at coordinate 99,267,927 of NC_000015.10, forward strand.
TCTATTTATGGAGTCATAGGATTTTAAAGCTAGAAGCTTTATTTATAATTTAGACAATTTTTCTTTTTGAGGAAACTAAGAAGAGGATAATGGCTGGTTCTAAAGTCACTTTTCAGTGCAAAAATAAGGTCTCCTAATTTGTGGTCCAGTTAGTTTTGCTTCATTTTAATTCTGTAGATATTTATTGATAACCTCTTCCTAGCCTAGCACCACCATGTCGTTAAAATTTAACCACGTTTATCGACTGTGGAGAAATGAAGTGCTGCATGTTAAGTGAATTTTCCCAGTTAATTTTTGTAAAGTCTGTGTCTGAGTTTTCCTGTGAATAAAAGTCTAGCTTAATAGAAATATTTTTAAACATGTATCATTCTTTGCTTTTTAAATGAAATGTAGGGAACCTGACTTAGCATATACCCTGTAATTTGTAGTTTCTGCCTAGGGAGTTAGGAGGGGGACAGTTTAGAAAGAGGTGGCAGGGCTAGGGGTCTTTTCTTAGAACAGACCATTATCTTGTGTACTCGAAGGGTGTTATTTGCAAGCAAAAGACTCAAAACCATTGGTGTATGTATGTTTCCACAAGTTTAAATTCATTTTTCAGGCATTCACTTTAATGAGGCACCTGTGTACTGGAAGTGAGACACCAGTGCCTAACTGTTAGTCCCATCGAATCAGTCAACAAATACATACGTTATGTAAGTAAGGCACTTGTACACGGATCTTGGAACATGCTCCCCACCCCACCCCCGCAAAACCAAACAGTTATGTCATAAACTTACAGAATTGTTCAAGCTAGGTGTAATCTTAAATCATTGATCTGGCTTAATGGGAATGTGTTTGGTATTCTATTTTTGTGTGTATTTTTATATTGCTTTGAAAATTGCATTTATAAAATCATACTTATGGCATGTTTATTAAATAGGTTTTTTTAAAAATAAAAAGCTGGAGAAGACACTTGATGCTTGTAACCTCCAACCCTTGTTTCCGACATTTACATAACTTAAAGTTTTAACAAATATTAAGATAAACACTTCAAGAGGCATTTCAGCAATTTTTAATGCCTGTTTTTTCTTTTGAAAAATCTTTTCTTGGCAATCAAATTTCTATCAAATTCAGAAACATTGTATTTTTGTAAATGTACTGGATGTATAGTTTTTTTTATTTTGAGCTCATTCTGTAAGTTTTTGCTAAGTTAAAAATATCAGTCTTGATGTTTGTTTTACATTTTTTGCCAGAAAACATTTGTAGATTTGAAGATACTTAAAATATTTTCATTTACATTTCTTAAGATGACAATTTTAATTTCTACAAATGCTAAGCAAATACTTTCATTTATTTCTAAGAAAAATAATCTAAAACATTTATCATTCTTACAGTTAAGTAGTTATTCTTCATGTTTTACATTTGAAAGAGCTGAGTTTAAGTGAAAAATCAGTAGTGAATATGAAGGTATGAATTCTGCACACTTTACCAGCCACATGTGCTGTTAACTTTTTTTTTTTTTGGAGACAGAGTTTTCACCCAGGCTGGAGTGCAGTGGCACGAACTCAGCTTACTGCAACCTCTGCCTCTCAGGTTCAAGTGATTCTCCTGCCTCATCCTCCCGAGTAGCTGGGATTACAGGCACCCGCCATCACGCCCAGCTAATTTTTGTGTTTTTAGTAGAGACGGGTTTCACCATGTTGGCCGGGCTGGTCTTGAATTCCTGACCTCAGGTAATCCACCTCCCTCAGCCTCCCAAAGTGTTAGGATTACAGGTGTGAGCTACCATGCCTGGCCTTAACATTTAAATTAAAGTAAAATAATATTAAAAATTCAGTTCCTCCATCACATAGCCACATTTTAAGTGCTTCATAGCCACATGTGGCTAGTGTCTGCCATATTGGACAACACAGATAATGTTTCCATCATGGCAGAGAGAGAAACAAAGGAAAATGAGTAATTATTATGAAGTGAGTCAAGAGACAAAGGTAATGGTAACTAGGACCCTGAAGGCATTTATGCTACTGGGGAAGAAGAAAGAATGCTGGTTCCTTCATTCTGTACCATTAGCCTGCTAGGGTTTCTGATTCCTCTGTTGATAAATATTGCTCTATGACATATATAAAAATGGAGGGAAATACTGGAGAAGGAATGGACAAGTTGAAAAGAGGTCTACCACAGTTTTAAAAAATCTGGACACGTGGTATTTAACTCATGTCGTGTACCTGCTCAGAAGCAATGACATCAACTTATTGATTCAACTAAAAAGCTTGTTAAGTGTGTTGTGGTAGTTTGTGAATGAAGTACTTTTTATTCCTTCAGTGCCAAGACTTCATTAGCTTTTTAAAAACGAAAACGAATTTATTGGGGTGAAACTGACATAACATAAAATTAATCCTATTGAAATGACAATAGGATTCAGTACATTCACCGTGGATGCAGCCACCTCTGTCTAGTTCCAAACATTTCGTTCACTCCAGAGTAAAACCCCTCACCCATTAAGCAGTTCCTCCCCATTGCCCCGCCCCCACCCTCAGCTCCCACACCCAGCCCTGGTAACCAGCAATCTGTTTTCTCTCTGGGTTAACTCTAGATATTTTATATAAATGGGATCACAAAATATGAAACTTTGTGTATCTGGCTTCTTTCACTTAGCAAAATGTTTCCAAGGTTTATCCAAGTTTTAGCATATATCAGTACTTCTTTTTTTGTGTGTGATTCCGTAGGGATTCCATTGTATGGCTATACCACCATTTGTTTACCCATTCATCTACTGATGGACATTTGGGCTATTTCCACTTTTTAGCTATTGTGAATAGTGCTGCTATGAACATGAATGGACATGTTGAAGGACCTGTTTTCAGTTCTTTTGGGTATATAAATAAGAGCGGAATTACAGGGTCATACGGTAATTTTATGCTTAACTTTTGAGGAGCCACCAAAAAGTGGCTGAGCCATTTTACATTACCGCCAGCAGTGCACAATGGTTCCAGTTTCTCCACATTCTTGCCAACACTTGTTACTTTTCTTTTTTTGTTAGTGTTACAGCTGTCATAGTGGGTATGAAGTGTCACCTTATTGTAGTTTTGATTTGCATTTCCCTAATGCTAATGATGTTGAGCATCTCTACATGTGCTTGTTGGTCATTTGCATATCTTCTTGGGAGAAATGTCTGTTCAGATCCTTTGCCCATTTTTTAATTGAGTTGTTGTTTTGTGGTTGAATTGTAAGGGTTCTTTTTATAGTCTGGATGCTAGACCTTTGCCAGATATATGATTTGTAAGTATTTTCTCCCATTCTGTAGGTTGTGTTTTTTATTTTCTTGTAGTGGCCTGTAATACACACAAGTTTTTACATTTTGATGACATCCAGTGTATCTATTTTTTTTTTTTTGAGATGAGTCTCATTCTATTGCCAGGCTGGAGTGCAGTGGCACCATCTTGGCTCACTGCAACCTCTGCCTCCTGGGTTCAAGCGATTCTCCTGCCTCAGCCTCCCAAATAGCTAGGACTACAGGTGTGTGCCACCATGCCCAGCTAATGTTTATATTTTTAGTAGACATGGGGTTTCACCATGTTGGCCAGGATGGTCTCCATCCCTTGACCTCATGATCCACTTGCCTCAGCCTCTCAAAGTGCTGGAATTACAGGCGTGAGCCACCGCATCCAGCCCTATTTTTCTTTTATTTATTTATTTATATATTTATTTAGAGATGGAGTCTCACTCTGTTGCCCAAGCTGGAGTACAGTGGCGTGATCTCAGCTCACTGCAACCTCCCCCTCCTGGGTTCAAGGGATTCTCTTGCCTCAGCCTCCAGAGTAGCTGGTACTATAGGCGCATGCCACCACGCCCGGCTAATTTTTTTGTATTTTTAGTAGAGATGAGGTTTGACCATGTTGGTCGGGCTGGTCTCGAACTCTTGACTTCAAATGATCCACCCACTTTGGCCTCCCAAAATGTTGAGATTACAGGCTTGAGCCACTGCACCTGGCCAGTGTATCTATTTTTCTGTTGCTGCTCATGCTTTTGATGTAATAGCTATGAATTCATTGCCAAATCTAAGATTATGGAGATTTACTCCTATGTTTTCTTCTATGAAGTGTGGTTTTAGCTCTTAAATTTAAGTTGTTGATCCATTTTGAGTTAATTTTTGTATATGGTATGAGATAGTGGTCCAAATTCATTCTGCTTTCTTCTGCTTTTTATAGCTTGTATAACAACCCAAATGCATTTAATCTGTGACTTCTTTGAAATGTGTTGTTAGAAGCCAGGATGGAGCAGGTTTTGCCAAACCCTGAGTCCTAGTGGCTTGTAACAGCACACATATTTCTTGTCTACACTGTACTAGTCTCTCAGAGCCTGGAGCCTCTGCCCAGGAATGAAGCTGACAAAACGTCCACCGTCTGGTGGTCACTGTGGAAGGGGTGAGGTCTTTTGCACTCAATCTTGTCAAGGCTTCCTCTTTGGCTTAATTTCACTGACCAAGCTAGTCACTTAGCCATGGCCAGCTTGATGAAAGATGTGCAGTCCTAGCAGGTGTTCGGAAAGAGAAGGAAAGAAAGTAGGTAATGCACAGTGCCCACCAGAAAATACTATTGAACATGGTGGTGTTTGCAAAATATTTGACGTATTTGTTCCAAGTTAAAAAATTTTAAAACATTCCCATTTAAGTGGAGTCTAAAAGAATATGGTAAAGCATCATTGATTCAGAATTTGGGGTAAGTTTTATACTAACTGTGCTTGCTGAAGTTTACTTTTTCATTATTGTAAAGAAAAGTTGTTTAGCTAGATAATAATGTAAATGAGATTTAATGAAGAGAATCCTTGGCTTGATTTAGAGAAACAATTTCTAGGTAATTTAGTAGGAGGTATCTGAGTACATGTTATGTTTATCTGATAAACTTTTCTGTTTCAAATTGTGAAAAAAGAAGGTAATAATAGATTTGAGAAGCACTTTAAGACTATTGCTTTTATCAGGATTTTAAATTTAAAAACATTAAAAAACTTCATAGCTTGTAAATCCTATGGATTAGGATACACTAGTTTGTGTGGCTTCTGTAATCCAACATTAGAGCTTAGTTACCCACAAAGTAACAAAAATTCTGACATTAATTTCTAGTTGTCTAGTCTCTTATATGCTGTACCTAAATTATAGAAGTGTAAAAATTAAAACGTATAACATTTCTCAGCTACATTGCTAAAAATATGGCATTAGAAAACAGAGAGTGATATTATGGAACACCAGTAGGTGTCAGTCACAGCCTGTGCAAGGGCTGATTACTTGCCAGGAGTTTTGGGCATCTATTCCTAAGTGTGTGGTGTGTTTTTTTTTGTTTGTTTTTGTTTTTTGAGATGGAGTCTCACTCTGTCACCCAGGCTGGAGTGCAGTGGCGCGATCTTGGCTCACTGCAAGCTCTGCCTCCCGGGTTCAGGCCATTTTCCTGCCTCAGCCTCCTGAGTAGCTGGGACTACAGGCACTCACCACCACGCCCGGCTAATTTTTTGTATTTTTTAGTAGAGACAGGGTTTCACCGTGTTAGACAGGATGGTCTTGATCTGCTGACCTCGTGATCTGCCCGCCTCGGCCTCCCAAAGTGCTGAGATTACAGGCGTGAGCCACCGTGCCCGGCCGTGTCTGTGTGTTTTAAGGCGTTATTCTAATGAACTGCAATTTTCTCAAAGTGAATGTGCTTATTTTTAAATAAAAACACAATGTATCTACTTGTTAATAAAGACATAGAGATGCTCTATTGGCAACAGAAGCATTATTTCAGTGCTTAATTGTGTGTAGAGCTACACCTCAAAAGAACTAACTAGTTTGTCATGGAAAGATTAGAATGCTATTTGATGGAGCCAAGTAGACATCCAGAAAGAATGACCGTGGAGTGTGTGAATTAGCCAGATATAGTATTGGTATTAGCAGATGAAACTAGGTGAAGGTCTAACAGTCAAACAGCATTTCTTTTTGGACAAATCTTTCCTTTTTATAGGAACAGCTATAATTAAGGCCCTCCACCCACTGGTTCCCTAGTTTTTCTAGGATGCTTTGTATGTATGCCCATAAACGGAAGCGTATATTCTCAAGGGAGATACTGATAATAAAAACAAAACATTCCAGGGATTTAGACGGATCCACAAGGAACATCTGAGAAATGACTAGTTATGATGGATCTTGTTGCATATATCAGTATAGAAATATGGGGCAAAAAGAATCACAGCTTTCAGCATTTGAAAATGAAATACAAATGGTACTGTCAAGAGTGAGTATTCAAAAATGCTTCCTTGACTTCATAACAATATTCATATTCAATGATACTTGGTTATCACAAAAGGGAAGGATATGTATATATAAGCAGTTTGTGATACTGTTGCTAAGTATTTAAATACATCAGTATGCCAGTATGACATTAATAATGACATTTTCTGGTTTAAAATAAACCAGTGATTTTCCATTGTGTTCAGGATTTTTTAAAAGCTAGTCCTTAGTATAAAATATAAGCCTTTAGTGTTCTGTTCCTTGCCATTCTCTGTAAAATCTCACATCTTCATACCTAATGGCCCAGACATACCAAACTAATGTCATTTGTCTTAGTGAGTGTTTAGATCTCAAATTGTATATAACTGATTAATCAATTGTATAACAGCTTATGCTGCACACAGCAGATCTTAAAATTCAATTTTAATTTTTTCAATTATAAAAGACACATGCTTATTTTTAAAAATTCAAGTTTATGAAAAATTTCTTGGTTATTTAAAATAGTCAACTTTCTAGTACCTAACACGTTAGTTTTTCTATTGACATGATTGTTTTTCTAACAGGATTTTTGAAAATGTAAGATTTCTTCGGGAGTGCTGTTATGTAGTTATAGCAGAATGGATTGTATTTGCAGTTTCCCAATTGTACTTGTTCTCTTTTGGCTTTTCATATGTTGCTTCTTGTGCTTAGAAAGCTATACAGAACTACTCTCCTCTCCATTCCATGTCATCCTCTTATAATTTATGTCTTTTGGAACTCGGGTCAGACCTAATGTCTTCTAAAAAGCCATTCCTGATTCATTATTATTGATACACAGTTTACCCTATAGTAGCTTGAATGTAAATGAAAAAAAAATTAGTTTTGACTCAGTGTGCTCCTTCAGCCTTTCGACTCTTTCTTTTCGTATGTGTAAATTTGAACCCCCTATGTGTGTGTGAGAGAAAGAGAGAGAGATATTATATGTATATATATGCCTATATACTTGTGTGTGTGCGTATGCAGACTGGCTTTCAGTTATTTACAGGAGGCTTTCTCCACTACCCAGTACCTCCAGCAGAGAGAAGCCTGCTTTCAACCTGTGAGTAGACTTTTGTTCTAGGATTCTTTTCATGGAAAGGCCAGCCCTTTCAGGGCTCTGACTTCTTCTGGGTAAAGGACCTAGGTTTGTCTGCCTTTCTTTCTCCTGCCAATGGCCAATTTCCTGGCCCTCTACTCTGATGTCTGGACCTGTGGCCAGGTCTGACACTCCCTTGGACCACATGAGCTCCAGCTTCCCCTGTTCATTTGGAGCTTAGTCAGGTCTTGTACCTGGGGGCCCTGCAGATTTCCCTTACTTTCTCTCGAGGAGCATGATTTGGGAATTTGGAGGATATATTAGTTTTTCAGGGCTGCCGTGACAAATTATCAAAAACTGGGTAACTTAAAACAACAAAAATGTATTCTCTGACAGTTCTTGAGGCAGGGAGTCCACAATCAAGGTGTGATTTGGATTGGTTCCTTCTCAGGGCTCTGAGGGAGCACATGCTCCTTGAGTTTCTCCTTGCTGGGAGTGGCCGGCAACCTTCGGTGTTCCTCAGCTTCCAGTTACATCACTCCAGTTTCTGGTTCTTCCCTCTCTCTGTGTCTGTGAAGCACATTTTTATTTCTTCCATGACCATGGATTATGAGGTTTGTGGTTTCTCTAAGGCAGGGGTCCCCAATCCCTGGGCCACAGACCTGGTACCTGTTAGGAACGGGGCCGCACAGCAGGAGGTGAGTGGCAGGCAAGCAAGCGAAGCTTCATCTGTATTTATAGCCACTCCCTGTGGCTTGCATTACCGCTTGAATGCCACCTCCTGTCCCATCAGCAGCAGCATTAGATTCTCATAGCACAAACCCTATTGTGAACTGCACATGTGAGTGATCTAGTTTGTGCACTTGTTATGAGAATCTAGTGCCTGACGATCTGTCACAGTCTCCCGTCACCCCCAGATGGGACCATCTAGTTGCAGGAAAACAAGCTCAGGGTTCCCACTGATTCTTCATTATGGTGAGTTGTATAATTATTTCATTATGTATTACAATGTAATAATAATAGAAATAAAGTGCAAAATAAATGTAATGCGCTTGAATCATCCCCAAACCACCCCCACAACCTTGTCTGTGGAAAATTTGTCTTCCATGAAACCAGTCCCTGGAGGCAAAAATGTTGGGGACCGCTGCTCTAAGGGACATTGTTTTTTAATGTTTGAATTTATAAATTTAAATTGTAGTATGGTCTCTGTAAGAATAAAACCCAGACCTGCTGATTAATTATTTTCACATTTTCTCAAAATTTACACCCCTCAAAAAGGTAGTACTTTGTATTTAAACAAATTAGAAATGTTTAGACATTTTTCAAAAATAAAATTTAATTCTGAGTTTTTAATTTTCAGCCAGAAAACCTTGCTCAGAAGCTTCCAAACCTTGTGGAACTGTGAGTCTGTTTATTCAAATTTTTTAAAGACAAGAATGAAAATAATTCTAAGTTGTTTGAAATAATAGGATATGTCATCTTAATGTATTAATTTGTTATTTTTTGGTATCATGATCATGGTACTCATGTAGGTAGACCTGTGGTTCTACTAAACCCAATAGTATTTCAAAGTATTTAACCATTTAAAATTGTATTTTAAATATTTCACTTCAAGGTAGTGAAGATGATGAGAAATGCCTTTTCTCTGGGTATAGTGTCTTCTGTCACAGAATCTTTCTGGATAGTCCATGTAATTGGGAAAATCTATTATTGTTATTACTACTACTACATGTGATACTTGATATAAACAGGTCGTATAAAATGTTTAAAATGTACAGTAAAAGTCTCTTTTCCTGCATCCTCCACGCTTCATTTGTTTTAGTTCTTTTTATGATTACCTTCAAATGCTAAATACTATGTTTACACCTTTGTTTTTTTAATGCACCAGTGTTAATTATCTGTTAACTTACCACTAAGGAAGACAAATTTAGATATCTTATATTTCTCTCTCTCCTTAGCTACCTCTTAATTTTTGCAGGAGGGTTTGCATTGCTATTTCTTGTACTCTTTGTTATTTGGCACGATTTTCAAGAGGTCAAGGAAGGAAAGCTAGCCTTATACTCCCATCTTTTCTGTCATTTCCTTTGTCCCATCCTTTCATTTTGAAAAAAATTTCAAACTAATAAGAAAGTTGAAAACATAGAAAGAACACCCGTAAACCCTTCACCTAAATTTAACCAATTTTGACATTTTGCAACATTTGCTTTCTCTTTCCCTTTTCTACCTGTCTCCTACCCCTCTGCCCCCTCCCCCAAGCTGAATGATTTGAAGGTAAATTACAGACATAATGTCATTATCACACCTAAGGAAAGTAATATTCAATATAATTTAATACACAGTTCATGTTTAAATTATGCAAGTTTTCAAAAATAATGTATTTTAAAAGTAGATGTCTGAATTTACTGTATTATTTGCTCTTGATTAGATTGATTTAAACATTTTTTGTGGTGTTTGACCCCAAAACTTGCTTTATCAAGTTTTTGCTTTCATCCTTTTGTATGTATGTATATGTGTATTTATTATTTTCTGAAGCTTTTGTGAGTTATGCACATCATGGCTTTTTCTTTGTCTCTAAATAAGTATGTATTTCTAGGAACAAAGATGTCTTTCCATCTTTTTAGTCTACTTTTGCATCCTTTAGGTACTTTATAGTTTTCTTTAAAATAGGTTTTGAAGATTTCTAAAGTCTGTTACTAAGTATTTAATCTTTTTTTACTATCGTAAATGAATTTTGTCATGTTATATCTTCTAACTGGTTGTATTTTGTATATATGAACAATATTGATTTTTGCGTGTTAACTTTATATCCTGGTATCTTGCTGAAATCTTTATTGTTTCAATTAGTTTTCATGATAGATTCTCTATAGAGTTTTCCAGGTATACTCTTATGTTGGAAAATACAGATAGTGTTACTTATTCTTTTCCAGCTGTTATCCCTTTAATTACTTTCTTTAGTCTTATTGCATTGGCTCGTTCCTCTAGACAATGTGAAAGTGTCCTGGAGAGAGTGGACATCCTTGTCTTCTTTCTTTTTTAAAAAAAAATTTTTTAAGACCGAATTTCACTCTTGTCACCCAGGCTGGAGTGCAGTGGCACAATCTTGGCTCACTGCAACCTCTGCCTCCCAGGTTCAAGCAATTCTCCTGCCTCAGCCTCCTAGTAGCTGGGATTACAGGCATCCGCCACCACGCCTGGCTAATTTTTGTATTTTTAGTAGAGACGGGGTTTCACCATCTTGGCCAGGCTGGCTTCAAACTCCTGACCTTGTGATCCACCTGCCTTGGCCTCCCAAAGTGCTGGGATTACAGGCGTGAGCCACTGCACCTGGTCCCTTGTCTTCTTTCTGATCTTGCTGGGAATGCCTCTAGGGTTTCCCCATTAAGAAAGATGCTGGCTTTACAGTTAAAGTGTCTGTAGTCTATTGTGTTAAGCAAATATTCACCTTTTTAATTATCTATTGCTGCTTAACAACTTACCCCCAAATGTAGTGATTTAAAAGAATAAACATTCAGTGTCTTGTATTTTCTGAGGCCCCAGAATCTGTGCCTGACTTAGCTGGGTGCCTTTGCCTCCAGGTCTCTTACGAAGCTGCAGTCAAGGTTGTTGGCCAGGACTGCAGTCTCATCTGAAGATTTAACTGAAGAAGGATCTTCCTCTATTCACGTGGTTGTTGTCAGGTTCAATTCCTTGTAGGCTGTTGAACTGAAGGACTCCATTTCTTGCTTGATGTTGGCTAGAGCACTTCCCTCATTTCCTTGCCATTTGGCCTTTCTGTAGGATAGTTCACAACATAGCAACTGTCTTCCATCAGAGCAAGCAAGCCAAAGAGCAAGAGAGAGTATACACTTTCCCACAATCCCTGGTAATCACTAATGTACTTTCCGTCTCTATGGATACACGTTTTTCTGGATGTTTTATATTAGTGGAATGAGACAATATGTGACCTTTTGTATCTGGCTGCATTAACATAGCATAATGTTTTCAAGGTTTATTCATGTTGTAGCAGGTATCAGAATTAATTCCTTTTTATGGCTGAATAATATTCCGTTGAATAGATACATGACTTTTTGTTTATCTGTTCATCAGTTGATAGACATTTGAGTGGTTTCCACATTTTGAAAGCTTTTCCTTTTACAGTTTGTGGTTTGTCAGTTGTTTGTTACAACTGTTTCAAGCAGCTGTGAAGTTAAACAATTGCCTGTAATTTGTTTCAGTTTACAGTGGTTTTTGCCCTGGGCAATCTGCTACTCAGACGGAATAAAGACAGCCTTGCAACTGGGTCTTCCAGGGAACCTTGAGACAAATCTTTGACAGTTCTCTGAGAAGGAAGCTTTGAAGGCACTCTAACGTGGTCCTACCCCCTTGCTACTGCTTTTCTCTTTGATTGTGAACTGTTGGTTTTTCAGGCTTCTGCAGAGCAGGAGAGTGGGGTTAGGACTAGAGCAAGCGAAAATACCATGAAGCCTACAACCCACGGTTCTTACTGACGCTCAGTCATTTTTTTCTTGGATAAATTCTCCCTGTATTATGGTAAGCCTTAGGTTCATTTCCAGAGTTCTCAACATGTAGCATTTGGACATTTCTGACAGTTTCTCATTGTTTTTATGGAAGAGAATTTTTGGAGGTTCTTACTCTACCACTGTTGCTCAAAATTTTTAGTTTTGTAAAAAACTGCCGGTTTACCAGATTAGCTGTTCCATTTTACATTTCCCCTGGCAATGTATGATTGTTCCAGCGTCCGCACATCTTACCAGCATTTGGTGTTGTCTTTGTTATTTTAGTCATTTGGATAGATATGTGGTTTTTATGACATTGGAATTTCCATTTGTATTTCTAGAATGACTAATGATATTGAACATCCTTTTGTATACTAATTTGTCATTGGCATCTTTTTTTGGTGAAATGCCTGTCCATGTCTATTGCTCATCTTCTGATTGTATTTTTTTTAATTTCTGAGTTTTAAGAGTTCTTTGTAAACTAGTTTTCTGTTCTATATGTTGTTTACAAATATTCTCTCCCAGTGTATAGCTTGTGTTTTCATCCTGTTTATGTTCTTTTGCAGAGCAAAAGTTTTACATTTTGATGAGGTCCAGTTTATCATTTTTTGCTTTGATGTGTCATGCTTTTGATGGCAAGTCTAAAAACTCTGTGTCTAGCCCTAGGTCCCAAAGACTCTCTCCTTTCCCCGCCCCCACCCCAAAGTCTTACAGTTTTTTATTGTACATTTATCACCTATATTTTTAAAATTTTTTTCTGGGATTAGAATTCTTAGTGACCATTTTTTTTGTTGTTGTTGTTATCAGCACGTTCATGATATTCATTATTCCCTGGCGTGCATAGTTTCTGAAGAAACATCTACAGTTGTTATATTTGTTCCTTTGTGTGTATGTGTCTTTTTCTCCCTTGGGCTACTTTGAAGGGTTTTCATTTTTTACACTAATTTTAAGGGTTTGATTTAGGTGTATCTTGTTGTAGTTTTCTTCTTTCTTACCTTTGAGGTTCATGGGGTTTCTTGGGGTTGTGTCTTAACAGTTTTTATCAAATTTGGAAAACTTTTGACATTGTTTTTTCAGATATTTATTTATATACCCTGTTCCTGGCCCCTGCTTGTGGAACTCTTACCTGTTTGTTAGACTGTTTAATACTGTCTCGTAGTCACTAAGACTTTTCATTTCCTTTTCAGACTTTTATTCCCTATGTGCTTCAGTTTGGACAAATTGTATGTTCTGTGTTAAAAGTCAGTAATATTTTCTTCTTCAGTGTCTAATGTACTATACTAATCCCACTCAGTGAAGTTTTCTCTTTGGTTACTGTATTTTTTTTTTTTTAAGGGACAGGGTCTTGCTCTGTCGCCCAGGCTGGAGTGCAGTGGCTCTATCCTAGCTCGTTGCAGCCTTGAACTCCTGGGCTCAAGGGATCCTCCCATCTCAGCCTCCCAAGTAGCTAGAAGTACAGGCATGCACCACCATGCCCAGCTAAATTTTAAATTTTTTCATAGACATGGGGATTTGCTGTGTTGCCCAGGCTGGCTTTCTGTGTGTGTTTTTGAGACAGGGTCTTACATTGTCACCCAGGAGTTACACTGGAGTGTTGTGATGCAATCATGGCTCACTGTAACATCAAACTCCTGGGCTCAAGTGATCCTCCTGCCTCAGCCTCCCAAAGCTCTGGGATTATGGGAGTGAGCCACTGTGCCCAGCCTGTTACTGTATTTATGATATTTGGAAGTTCTGTTTATTTTTCTTTATCTTACAGTTCTTATAATGTTCATATTTTCATTTAAATAGCTGAATATAGTTATTATAGCTATTTTAATGTCCTGTTTGCTAATTCTGTCATCTGTGTCATACTGGTTCTATTTGTACTGACTGATTTTTCTCCTGGTTATGGGTCATATTTTCCTGATTCTTGGCATGTCTAATACTTTTTGATTGGATGGACCTTATAAAGTTTGCATTTTTGAGAGTCTAAATTTTATTGTGTCCCTTTTTTCTGGCATGCAGCTATTTGCAGTTTACTTTGATCCTTTTATGGCTTATTTTTATACTTTGTTAGGATAGGTGGTTAGGTTAGCCCTATTACTAAAGCATGAGCTTTCCAGGATCTCTCTTGAATACCTCAAATGATCAACAAGGATTTGGCATACTTGCTCAGAACTTGAATGTCTCTCAACACTGTGAGCTTTGCAGGCTGTTCAGCTGATTGATTTTCAGGTGCTTTTTGCCTGGAGTACCTTTTATTTTTCTTCTATTATTTTTTGAGATGGGGGTCCCATTATATTGCTCAGGCTGGTCTTGAATTCTTGTCCTCAAGTGATCCTCCTGCTTCAGCCTCCCAAGTAGCTAGGGTTACAGGTATGACCCATGACCCACTGTATCCTGTTAGAGTTTTTCTTATGTGTGTTTGTTCTAGAATTCAGCTATGAGTGAGGCCAAGGGATTCCTTATGCAAATTTTTGGAGGTTTTTTTTTTTTTTGTAGCAGTAGCTCTCTCTTCTTCAGAACTTTACCCCACAACTTCCAGTTGCCTCAGGTTCCCTGAACTCTGATATGTGTCTCCATAACTCAGTAAGACTTCTGTACTTTGGGATTTCCTTCCTGTTCTACAGTCCAGAATTTGCCCCTAGGGTGAAAGCTAGGGAGATTGTGTGGCTTACTTCCTTTCTCTTAGGGAATGTAGTCCTAGTTGCCTTTGTTAATATCTGAAAATAATTGTTTCATGTACAGTCATGCACAGCATAATTATGTCAATGACAGGCCACATACATAATGGTGGTCTCATAAGATTATAATACTGTGTTTTTACTGTACCTTTTCTATGTTTACATATGTTTAGATACACAAATACATCGTGTATCAGTTGTCTGATTGTGTTACAGTTGTCTACAGTATTCAATACGATAACATACTGTCCAGATTTGTAGCCTAAGAGCAACTACACCTTGTAACCTAGGTGTGTGGTAGGCTATACCATCTAGGTTTGTGTAAGAACACCCTATGATGTTTGCATAACAAGGAAATCACCTAACGACACATTTCTTAGAACATATCCCAGTCATTAAGTGGCATGTGACTGTATTTCATCTGGTTTTCTTGTTGTTTAGAACAGTTGGGAAAATCCCATTTACTCCATTGTTGTTATTCATCCTGACTGAAAGTAGAAGTCCTGTTTCTTTAATTAAAAATTTTTTTTTTTGAGATGGAATTTCGCTCTTGTCGCTCAGGCTGGAGTCAGTGGCAACATCTCAGTGCACTGCAACCTCCGCCTCCTGGGTTCAAGAGATTCTTCTGCCTCAGCCTCCCAGGTAGCTGGGATTACAGGCATGTGCCACCATGCCCAGCTAATTTTTGTAGTTTTAGTAGAGACGAGGTTTCTCCATGTTGGTCAGGTTGGTCTCAAACTCCTCACCTAAGGTGATCCACCCACTTCGGCCTCCCAAAGTGCTGGGATTACAGGCGTGAGCCACCACACCCAAACTAAAAATTATTTTTTAAAACTTTTTTTATTTTGGAACAATTTTATATTTATAGAAAAGTTATAAACATAGTATGGGTCATACTGGTGTACCCCTTACCCAGTTTGTCCTGTTGTTAACATCTTAGAATTCCATGGTACAGGCCAGGCATGGTGGCTCATGCCTGTAATCCCAGCACTTTGGGAGGCCGAGGTGGGTGGATCACGAGGTCAGGAGTTTGAGACCAGCTGGACCAACATGCTGAAACCCCATCTCTACTGAAAATACAAAAAAAAATTAGCCGGGTGTGGTGGTGCGCACCTGTAATCCCAGCTACTCAGGAGGCTGAGGCAGGAGAATCACTTGTACCCAGGAGGCAGAGGTTGCAGTGAGCAGAGATCGAGCCACGGCACTCTAGCCTGGACGACAGAGGGAGACTCCTTCTCAAAAAAAAAAAAAAAAAAAAGGAATTCCATGGTACATTTGTCAAAACTAAGAAACTGACTCTGGAATATTCCTATTAAGTAAACATCATATTTAACATTTAAAAAAAACTGCCAAGCCATTTTCCAAAATGAGTATACCCCAAAGTGACATTCCCCACCAACAATGAATGAGAGTTCCTGCATTATTTGAGAAGAGGAACATTTTATTTTAATAAGAACATTGAAACATCAACATTTCAACTACTCTGAAATTACCAAAATTAAGTAAAAGGAAGTGACTTAAATTTGAAAGTCCTAAGCCTGTGATTACAAATGACTCATAATAACTATAATAACAATAATAAGAGCATTCATTTAACTCTTACCAGGAGCCAAGCACTGTTCTAAGAGCTTTACATTTATTAATTCATTTAGTCCCTGCAACATCACAGATTAGGAGAGAGAGCAGTTCAGTGATTTCTCCATAGTCACATGGCTATTAAGGTGCAGGTAGTGTGGCTTCAGAGCCCGCTCTCTGATCCACTTTACCAGTAATGGTTCTTAATCGGTTGTACATCAGGATTATTTGAGTTGAGATGGTGTTTCACTTGCTGCAGGATGGTTTTGGGTACCAATAAGACCCCTGGTGATTCTAATGTGCAGTCAGGATTGGCAACACTCTGTTATCTTTTTTTAAAGATACATTTATTCAGCGTCATGATCACACTACTATATTTAGCAATCAACAGCATGAGTGCAAAAAAAAAAATCTACATTAAAACCCTTTGTTGGACTGCTTTACACTTTCCACAGAACAGAAACTAAAATAATACAGTTATTCACAAATACAGTCCTCGAGTTTTTTGCCCATATACATGAGTATTTGTCTAAACCATGTCTTCTTTGTAGCAGGTAGGCCCTGCCACCACTGTGCTTGGCTGAGTTCACAAAACTGTTGTAACCTGTAGCTTCCCTGTCACTTCTCTTGCTCTCCTTTCCTGCTAAGCTTTGTTTCCTGGCAGTAATTAAAATCTTCTGACACTGCCATAGCTGCTGCTGCTACTGGAACTGGCATAGCCACTTTGGTTTCATGGTTTGGCCAAGTATTGGACTCCACCCCCATAGGAGCCAGAGCTTCTGCCACCATTGTCCTCCCTTCATGGGTTCAAAATTTGAAGACTGACTATTGCAATTGTCAAAATCATTGTAGCTTCCACCACTTCCAGAATTGCTTCCATCATTACCAAATCCATTGTAGCCATCCCCACTGCCACCATATCTACCATCACCATGGCTGCCACCAAACCCATCATGACTGCTGAAGTTTCCTCCACGACCAAAGTTGTCATTCCCATCAAAACCACCTCCACGACCACCATCAAAATTTCCAGAATCACTTCAGCCTCTTTGGCTGGATGAAGCACTAGCCATCTCTTGGCTTTGATGGGGCTTTCCTGACTTCACAGTTGTGGCCATTCACATTATGGTATTTCTGAGTGACAGTCTTATCCACGAAGTCATGGTCATCAAAGGTTACAAAATCAAAGCCCCTTTTCTTGTCACTGCCTCAGTCAGTCATGATTTCAATCACTTCAATTTTTCCATACTGTTCAAAATAATCTTAGGTAATGTTCTTCAGTGTCTTCTTTAATGTCATCAACAAATATCTTTTTCACAGTTAAGTAGGCACCTGGTCTTTGAGAATCTTCTCTTGAGACAGCTGTCTTTAGTCCCACAACTCTTCTGTCCACCTTGTGTGGCTTTGCATTCATGGCTGCATCCACCTCCTCCGCAGTGGTATAGTGACAAACCCAAAGCCCCTGGCGTGCTTGGTGTTGGGATCTCCCATGACCACACAGTCCGTGAGCGTTCCCCATTGCTCAGAGTGACTCCTCAGGCTCTCATCGGTTGTTTCAAAGCTCAGGCCTCCAATGAAGAGCTTCCTCAGCTGTTCGGGCTCTTTAGGAGACTGACTTAGACTTGACGGCAGGGGGAGGAGAGACTTTAACGATGCTTCCTCAGCAGCATCCATGGGCAGCCACTGTGTACTATTTCATACAGCATCTTGATTATATGTAGATAATATTTTAAAGTCTGTTTGAAAAATTCTAATCATAATAGTGGGTACTTTAGTTCATATTTTGATTTGGACATTTTAACGTCTTTTTTATAGGTGGAACTTGAATTGAGGCAAGTATTTTGTTGAAAAAAATTTTTTTAATCAGTTCTCTATTTTGATTTAGGTATTCCTTCCTAAAATTAATGTTTAAAGAGTATTGATTTCATATACAGAAAGCAAGGAATGAAATGTATCATAGAGTAAATGGTGGGCTTATTTAAATTGTGTTATACCCAGCAGGTTAGTTAACCTTCTACAAAATTGATTTAATTCAACATAAAATAATCTTCATAAAATTATCAATTTTCTGTCTTATTTTGTGTTTATTGACATTTTAATATTCAATATTAGACTTTAAGAATGCAGAAGAAAACTTCTGAATTCTATTTAAAAGTACTTTATAAATTTTTTGTTTGTTTGTTTGTTTTTGTTTTTGAGACGGAGTCTCACTCTGTTGCCCAGGCTGGAGTGCAGTGGCACAATCGCGGCTCACTGCAACCTCCGCCTCCCAGGTTCAAGCAGTTCTCCTGCCTCAGTCTCCCAAGTAGCTGGGACTACAGATGCACGCCACCACGCCTGGCTAATTTTTTTGTATTTTAGTAGAGATGGGGTTTCACCTTGTTGCTCAGGCTGGTCGCGAACTCCTGAGGTCAGGCAATCCGCCCTCCTTGCCTCCCAAAGTGCTGGGATTACAGGCGTGAGCCACCGCGCCCGGCCATAAAGATTTATTTTTAAAGTACAATAAATAAAACCATAGGTTTTTACTAAAATCTTGTTCTCTTGTCTCTAAATCAATGATATAAATTTATTTTCTTAAATTATTGTTGTGTGATCTCCAGCATTCACTTGTTTTGCTCTGAATAGTTGGTTACTGATTGCAGGAAGTCTCCACCAGAGTGTGCTAAAGACACTGTAGTGGGAAAATTGTTACTTAGGCTTGTCTAGACTTCTCAGCCTCTGTGAAAAAGATTTTTTAAGAGAAGCATTTGATTTCTTGTTACAAAATTTCTTTTGCCATGAAATAAATTCTGTACCTCGACAGTTGAGTATTTCTACAGACACTGTAAATGATATTTAATCTGTTGTTGGTTCTCCGTATGCATGCTAGCTAGAAATATCTTTATTTTGTGAAGTTATTTTTTAGAAACGAAAAGTTCATCTTCCTTTACACAATAGGTGTTGATTTTTCTTCACACAGTAAGTATATTTTTTAAAGCCTGAATAAAATGAACTGGAAAAACTAGTAATTTGTGTTATGAAGTTAAAAAGACCTTATAGTTTATCCATTATGTATGCTTTTATTTTAAAATAACAACTAAATCAGTAAATAGATTTAATATTTGCAATTCTGGTACAAAATATTTTTCTCAAAGTATTATTAGTTAGCTGTGATAACCATTATTGTATGTTGATGCATTAGAGTAGGGTGCAAAAGTTGTGGCCTATTTATATTTGATAAATTTCTAAGTGAGCATTTTATAAACTGATTATCTGGCAAAAGTACTTAATGATAATGGCTGTTTTTTTTCTTTTTCCTTCCTAGATACCTGCACTCAAATAACATAGTTGTGGTTCCGGAAGGTATGTTTAACTTAAAAATTTTAGTTAGAAGATAATATAATTTAAGCTTTGCTTTATAAATAGATCAAATTTTATTTTTAAGACACCTTTAATTTTTTAGCTTCAAAACTTTTTTCTTCTAATAAGTCCAGTTAAGAACTATAATTAAATAAATCTAAAATGGTTATAATGGTTAGGTAAACTATTGTTGGATAAATTGCTATTAGGTAGATAATAAGTTGTAAATTTAATAAATCTAGTTAAGAATTCTGGTCAGATAAAAAAAGCCCTGTGTATCATTTCTTGATTTATTTTAGTCTTAATGTTTTTATTTGTGCTGTATTTTAAGTTATATTTTATCTTGAGCTGGAAGTATTTATCACTTTCATGAACTTAGTTTGATCTGTGTTTTTACTATTTTGTGAGCAACTGAGACAAGGAAATTAAGTAGTAAAATATTTTAACTTGGAATACTTGCTTTAAAGATTTGATGTAATACTTGAGTCAAATTCATTTTGCCTTCTCCTTTTCTCTTTGAAGCCATTGGGTCTCTTGTAAAACTCCAATGTCTGGATCTTAGTGACAATGCCTTAGAAATTGTTTGCCCAGAAATTGGTCGTCTGAGAGCTTTACGTCATCTTCGATTAGCTAATAACCAACTGCAATTCCTACCTCCAGGTAATCATAGTCTCTAGCACACTATAGTTTCTTGTCTATTATAAATCTGTATTCATATTTCTCACTCTATGTCTAGGCAATGAGCTGTAGATGTATTTATAAGTATTTGTCCATTTGTTTGAAGATGAAACTAAAGAATGGGTGAAATATTACTAAGAGTCTTTTTTGTGATGCAAATGTAAGAAGGTAGAATTTATATTTTAGATATAGCTACAATTACTACAATTGTGCATTGCATCCAATATCCCTTTGAATCACTGCTCTGGCAAAATATTTGTACAAAGAGTTACTTCAGTTCTGAATTTCACATAAGAGAATTTAGGTGAACTTTGCGTGATATAATCATTTTACTATCCAAAAGTCAAATGCATACAATGTTTTCTCTCTTACTCTCTAGTGAGGTAACTAATGTACATTAACTTTTTTTTTTTTTTTTTTTTTTTTTTTTTGAGATAGAGTCTTGCCCTGTCGTCAGGCTGGAGTGCAGTGGCACAATCTCAGCTCACTGTAATCTCTGCCTCCCAGGTTCAAGCGATTCTCCTGCCTCAGCCTCCTGAGTAGCTGAGATTACAGGCGCGTGCCACCACACCCAGCTAATTTTTGTATTTTTGGTAGAGATAGGGTTTCACCATGTTGCCCAGGGTGGTTTCAATCTCCTGACCTTGTGATCCACCTGCCTTGGCCTCCCAAAGTTCTGGGATTACAGGCATGAGCCACCGTGCCTGGTTGACTTTTTTTTTCTGTTTTTAACAGAGTCTCACTCTGTTGCCCAGGCTCTAGTGCAGTGGCGTGATCTCGGCTCACTGCAGCCTCCGCCTCCCGGGTTCAAGTGATTCCCATGCCTCAGCCTTCCAAGTAGCTTGGACTACAGGCACGTGAAGCCATGCCTGGCTAATTTTTGTATTTTTTGTAGAGACAGGGTTTTGCCATGTTGGCTAGGCTAGTCTCAAACTCCTGACGTCAAGTGATCCACCTGCCTCAGCCTCCCAAAGTGTTGGGATTATAGGTGTGAGCCACCATGCCTGACCTAGTATGTTAACTTTGATTTTAAAAGGAATCATACTAAAATTTAGTAGAACAATTTAAATTTGAGCCTTAGGATTTTCAGTTCTGCCTGATGAACATGTAAATAAATTATGAATGTGCCTTATAGATAGGCAGTACTAAAATCTTGCATTTTATTGAGAGCCACCATTAAACCCTTTGATTTCTTGGGAGGAGCATCCAGAGACCTTGCTTTGTGAATCCACGTATTAGCAAATTCCACTGTCATATATGGTTTCCTATATTAAAAAAAGATAGATAATTAAAAAATAAAAAACTTATGCTTCAGGTATTATATGAAAGTTACTGTGTATTCAAGAATGAGCAGAGAAAGATACAGATGTTAATTTGTCTGAGATTATTTTTACTCTTTTGAGTAAAACCAACTCGAGAACACCAACCAGCCTTTTAGTGTATCTAAGTGAAATATGTGACTCAAATAAAATTACAAATTACTACCTGTCATAGAACTTCAGGGTTGCAAGAGAATGTTAAAAATTATGCATGTTAAACCCATGAATGAAAAAATCTATGGTATTTCTTTGTTTTTTCAAGTACAGAAATGTCTAAATTAAAACATACTAATGGATTAATTTTTAGACTTTATGTTCTGGCCTTAATATATAGATTCAATACTGTGTATAAAAATGGCACCAGGCCGGGCGCGGTGGCTCACGCCTGTAATCCCAGCACTTTGGGAGGCCGAGGCGGGTGGATCATGAGGTCAGGAGATCGAGACCATCCTGGCTAACAAGGTGAAACCCCGTCTCTACTAAAAATACAAAAAATTAGCCGGGCGCGGTGGCGGGCGCCTGTAGTCCCAGCTACTCGGGAGGCTGAGGCAGGAGAATGGCGTGAACCCGGGAAGCGGAGCTTGCAGTGAGCCGAGATTGCGCCACTGCAGTCCGCAGTCCGGCCTGGGCGACAGAGCAAGACTCCGTCTCAAAAAAAAAAAAAAAAAAAAAAAATGGCACCAGTCAGGCTGGGCGCAGTGGATCACACCTGTAATCCCAGCACTTTGGGAGGCCGAGGTGGGTGGATCACCTGAGGTCAGGAGTTCGAGACCAGCCTGGCTAACATGGTGAAACCCCATCTCTGCTAAAAATACAAAAATTAGCCGGGTGTGGTGGCATTGTGCCTATAGTTTCAGCTACTTGGGAGGCTGAAACAGGAGAACTGCTTGAACCTGGGAGGCGGAGGTTGCAGTGAGCCGAGATTGCACCACTGCACTCCAGCCTGGGTGACAGAGTGAGACCCTGCCTCAAAAAAAAAAGAAAAAAAGAAAAAAATGGCACCAGTCAGCAGTGACTGTGTTTTAAAAAATATTTTTTTATTCTCATATAATGAATGTCTTATTTTTTCTAACTATAGTTAATATAAAAATTTTTGACACAATACAGGAATATGGTCTTTCCTTTATTGTATATCATCAGGCCAATGGTGTTTCATCATTCTAGCTTTCATCAAGTTTGTACATTCAGATACACAGAAAATGAGATACTCTTTTGAAGATTGCCTAGAAAATGTATCAGTAAAGATAATACTTTACATTTTCCTAACATTTTCCTATATGAAACTTACATAAGATATACAACCAAAATTCATGAATATAATGCTGTATTTATGAACTTTTTTTTACATACATTTAAAGAATATACAAAAAATACAATTCTGCCAGGCATGGTGGTTCACATCTGTAATCCCACCACTTTGGGAAGCTGAGGCGAGAGGATCAGGATCGCTTGAAGCCAGGAGTTCGAGACCAGCCAGGGCAACATAGTGAGGCTTTGTCTCTACTAAAATCCAACAATAAAAAAAAAAAATTAGCCGTGCATGGTGACACACACCTTAGTCCTAGCTGCTTGGGAGGCTGGGGCGGGAGAATCTCTTGAGCCCAGGATATCAAGGGCTGCAGTGAACTCTGATTGCAGTATTGCACTCCAGCCTGGACAGCGGAGTGAGACTCTGTCCCCAAACCCCCACAAAAAACAATTCTGTGATAAACCATTGTTCTGGGTGTTGTATTATTCTGTGTTTTCCTGTAATATAAAAACATGATGTGGTAGAATATAGTCATTGCCTTCCATTATATATTCTTAGAGGTTAAGGATGTACTTCTAATGTCATTGACTGCTTCTTAATAACCAGTGAAGGGTATATGTTTTGTGACTACTTTCACATAATTTATTTATATCTCACCTGTTACACAAGAAATTCGAGGCATATACTTGTGATTTTATTTTCCTAGGTTTGTTTCTATTTGTGTTTGGTTTTGCTTGTTTTGAGTAAAATTATATACCTTAATAGTTATACATTTTGGATAGGAACTTTTGATTGAGCCATGTATATAGGCTTTATTATTTCTTGCCACCATGAGTAGCACTTGACTGGGTCTTATGAATTATTTGATTCACTTTATGCATCTCATGAGGTGATTTCAGATGTTATGATTTAAGTCTGTAAGGGGCTAAGCACACGTCCCCTAAATGCTTGATTATGTTTGGAGACATACTATGGGAGGGTATTCTAAAGGTGGGAAAGAAATGTGAGGGCCTGTGATGTTATCCCCATTTGACCACAGTAGGCACCAGTTGATATCTGCTTAACAAACCCCTTCTCCATAGTCCATGCTGAGACTTGTCACATGTTATATTCTCTTAAAAGACTTAACATTTTACCATGTTTCTTTGTTGTCATTGAAAAGCCTTTGAATATAGTTTTGTAATTTTATATCCAATATTTAAAATTTGCCAGTTAGTTTTCAAAGTGGTTATGCCATTTTACACTGTTCTGTCAGCAATATATGAGAGGTGCAGTTACTCCACATTCTTGTCAACATTTGGTGTTGTCTGTTTGTTTAGCCATCATAGTGGGTGTGAAGTAGTATTGCATTTTTTTGAATTTTATTTAATTTGCATATCTCTCTTGACTGATGTTATTTAGCACCTTCTCATGTATTTATGGGCTATTCCAAATCTTTTTGAATTATAGGAGATATCTCCATGCTTTAAAGACCAGCTGCCAGCAGGTTCAGTTGCTGAGGAATTCTCTTTGCTCTCCAGTTTGGCTTCTGACTTTCTGTGCCTCGAGAGCTCTTTGAGTCCTGCTGCTCCATCCTTGGCCTGTAAAGGTTGACTGTCATTGCCCTGTACTCTGTGATGGTGGGTCTTGCCTGTGAGAAGTTTCTCTTGGCTTTTCTGTTACTGCCTATCCTCCAGGTTTTCCCTTGCTGGAAGCCTAGTGTACATTGAGGAGATTATCTCAGCTCTTTCTCTCTTTTCTTGCCCTCATTTTTGGTAAAGGTTGGTGGGACGGAGTGTGTGTGTGTCTGTGTTGAGCAGGGGGATTTATTAATCGTACAGTCTTTTTTTTTTTTTTTTGAAACGGAGTCTCGCTCTGTCGCCCAGGCCGGACTGCGGACTGCAGTGGTGCAATCTCGGCTCACTGCAAGCTCCGCTTCCCGGGTTCATGCCATTCTCCTGCCTCAGCCTCCCGAGTAGCTGGGACTACAGGCGCCCGCCACCGCGCCCGGCTAATTTTTTGTATTTTTAGTAGAGACGGGGTTTCACCTTGTTAGCCAGGATGGTCTCGATCTCCTGACCTCATGATCCACCCGCCTCGGCCTCCCAAAGTGCTGGGATTACAGGCGTGAGCCACCGCGCCCAGCCTCGTACAGTCTTTCTATACCTACGAATCCTCTGGGTTCTACACGGGTATGTCCACATATAGCTTTCAAAGTTAGACTGATTTTTCTTTAACCCTTGTCTGTGGCAGATTTCTTTTCCCACCTCTATTTCAGTCAGGGATGATAGCAGCCGAGGATCTCTTGTCTTTGAAAATGTGCTTCTCACTCTGGAGTTGATTTACATTTCCCTATGTCCTCAGTCTCTGATGGGTTTTTATTCAGCTTGTTTTAGTTGTTAGGGTGAGAGTGATGATCTCTTTGGAGTTTCTATTTTCAAATTGGAATTAAGTCCTCCTTCTTCCCAACTGACTTTCACCATTTGTTTCTGGTTCCTCTTTGCTTCCTTTCTGTTTCTGGATTACTTGAGTATGTTTTAGTGTTCTGCTTTATTTCCTCCATTGGCTTTTCTCTAGGGTTCACAATATCCTCCCTTAACTTACTACATTTAGAATATTGTGCCATTTCATACAAATTACATGCATTTTTATATTATTGTGCATATTTTACAACAGTATACTTCCTTTTACCCTCCTCCTTTTGTACTACTGTGTCATATATTTTATTTCAATGTATGCTGTAAACTCCATTAGATAATATTATTTTTGCAAGTCAGTTGTCTGTAAAATACTAAGGTTGGGTGCGGTGGC
This sequence comes from Homo sapiens, assembly GCF_000001405.40. Taxonomy (NCBI): domain Eukaryota; kingdom Metazoa; phylum Chordata; class Mammalia; order Primates; family Hominidae; genus Homo; species Homo sapiens. The sequence continues at coordinate 99,293,328 of NC_000015.10, forward strand.
TCATGCCTGGAATCCCAACACTTTGGGAGGCCAAGGTGGGTGGATCACCTGAGGTTGGGAGTTCAAGACTAGCCTGACTAACATGGAGAAACCCCATCTCTACTAAAAATACAAAATTAGCCAGGCGTGGTGGCGCATGCCTGTAATCCCAGCTACTCAGGAGGCTGAGGCAGGAGAATCGCTTGAACACAGGAGGCAGAGGTTGTGGTGAGCCGAGATCATGCCGTTGCATTCCGGCCTGGGCAACAAGAACGAAACTCTGTCACAAAAAAAAAAAAAAAAAAAAAAAAAAAAAAAAAAAAAAAACCTAAACAATATTTACCTGAATATTCACCATTTCCTGTGCTTTCTATTCTTCTTTTCTTAAGAGACACAGTCTTGCTGTGTTGCCCAAGCTGATCTCAATCTCCTGGCCTCCTAAAGCACTGAGATTACTGGTGTGAGCCACTGCACCTGGCCATTTTTTCCTCTAGATTTAGTTTCCATCTGTCATTTCTCTTCAGCCTGAAGTATTTCCTTTAGTATTTGTTTTAGTGCAGTTCTACTGGCAGTGAACTATCTCAGTTTTTCTTTATGCAAAAATGTTATTTCATTTTCACTTTTGAAGAATATTTTCTCTGGAAATAAAATTCTGGATTGACAAGACTTTTTTCTTTGAGCACTTTAAGGAAGATCTTCCATTATTTCCTGGCCGCCATTGTTTCTGATGAGAAGTCAGCCATAATTTGTATCATTGTTACCCTGTATCCTTTTCTATGACTGCATTAAGATTTCTCTCTTTAATCTTTTATCTTTATCTTTGGTATTAGCAGTTTGTATATGATGTGTCTTGATACAGGATTTTTTATATTTACCCTTCTTGGGGTTTTCTTTATTCCCAAATTGGCAAGTTTCCTTTTATTAATTTTTCAAATATTTTTCTGTTCCACATTTCCTCTCTTTCTGGAACTCTGGTTACGCACATTAGATAATTTGGTATTCTTCTACAGGTCAGTGAACTTTGTTCTTCTTCTTTTTTTTTAATGTAATGTTTTTCTTGCCCTTATCTCAAGACTAGAAGTTATCTGTTGATCTGAGTTCTACTTACTGTTTGTTTTATGCTCTCCAGTGTGTTAGTTTTTATGCTCCTCTGTCTTAATCCATTCAGGCTGCTGTAAACAAATACCATAAATGGGGTAGCTTATAAACAACAGAAATGTATTGCTGAGTTCTGCAGGCTGGGAGTTCCAAGATCAAGGTGCCAGCAGATCTGGTGAGGGCTTATTTTCTGATTCATAGATGACACTTTTTCACTGTGTTCTCATGTGGTAGAATGGAGCAAGGCAGCTCTCTGAGGCATCTTTTGTAAGGGCACTAATTCCACTCATGAGCGTTTCACCCTTAGGACCTCCCAAAGGCCCCACCTCCTGAGACCATTGCATTGGTGACTAGGTTTCAACATATGAATTTAGAGGTGGGGACACAAACATTCAAATCATAGCACCGTCTTGACCTCCTTACAGCCTTTTCATCTTTGGTGCCCTGTCCTGCATCTTTCAGGTGCTTCACTTGCCCCCAACTCTGATCTATTCCTCTTCAGGTCTGCAGGACTCGAGCTCTGTTTAGGTTCCATTTCCCTGTGCCATGGCCCAAAATATGCCCCATGGCAGAAATTCAGGTCCAACATGGGGCTCGCCTCTTGTGTTCCCTAGATTTTAAGGATTGTAGTTCTGGGTCACCTGTCCATTGCTTGAAAACAATTGCTTCATATGTTTTTGAGTAGTTCATTGTGTTTTGGCGGGAGGCATGTCTGGTGTGAGTTACCCTGTCATGTCTGGAAGTGGAAGTCCTGTTAGATGTCCTTTGATTACTGATCCGATTGCTTCCCTGCCTTCTTTTATGTATGTGTTTTTGTTGCTGTTGCTGCTGCTGCTGCTGTTAAGCATGTACCACTTAAACATTTACGTATTGCTTTTCCCTACACCTGGCATCAAAACTATAACATTATTTGTCATAGAACATATTTAAACTAATTTTCTCCCAATGACATTTTGTAATTTGATTGTATAAAATTATGTAATCTATTATGAAGAGAATTACTGTGTACCTAGAAATAAAGGATTGTTGGGGAAAGGCTTCCATCAGTACAGGGCCCCTTTCTGATTAAACCTCGCTAAACATCACAAAGTCCAATGGATGTTTGAGGAGACAGAAAGAACAGCCAATCTTTAATACTCGAGAAATCTGATACCTTTGTGAGTTGCTGTAAACACTGAATTACCATGAGAGAAGGTTATAGTAACAAAGAAACAACAAAAAGTAACCAGCAGTCAGAAAAGATGTTGCTTACATCTGGCATATAAATCAGCCTATTTTTAAAAAATACTTTTATCCTTGAAAAGTTGTTTTGCATACCAAAAAAGGAAGGATTTTTAGCCCAAGTTAATAGCATGAATCTGTTGTGTTTTAATGGCTGAAAGTATGCACAGACAGAAATGTGTACCACATATAACCAGCATGTGTTGTTCCTAAAACCCAGGCTTCAAGTGTAGTCAAATTTATTACCATTTTTTTCTTAAAATTTACTTTTTCTCCAGTTGAACCTCTGTAGGTTTATTGGAATGAAATTTAGTATCCTTTCTTAGGTCTGTCCCATTGCCACCTGAATTGTTGTGAAACCTCTGTGTTTATTGATCTCATGTGGAGGTGAAGAGGAGTGGATCAGCCTTTTTCCTACAGAGGACATAAAAACAGCCAGAGCCTGGTCCTCTAGGGCTTCTGCTGTTGCTTACTACCCTGTTGTTGAGAGTGTATTGGCATAGGCTGCTGTTCTGCAGCACAGGCTGCAGTGATTTTTCAGAGGTGCTGATCCCACCTTGTAGTTACAAGCCTGGGCACAGATGCTCCATATTTGAATTCCCTGTGTTACAGTTTCTAGGAGTGACAGGTGGCCCAGGAACACTGGGTCAGCCCTGGTTTCCTCATCACTTCCATTGTGCCTACCTACTATGTGATCAGTTCAGAAGGAGAACAAAGCAGCTCTCATTTTGAATCCTCAAAACACGCAGTGTGTTATTGTGCCTCCTGTCCCCAGATATTCAAGGCTCTTCACCCCACGTTACCCTCCTTAGGCAAATACCATGGTAATTTTGGGTGATTTACTCTTCTGGGAGACTCAGCTTTTCACTGATTACACATCAGTCTGGTAAAATAACTAGCTAGCACTTCTCTCACTAAAAAAGAATCTAAAAAATTAATCTCTGGCAGAGCATCCTTCTGGTGTCACCAGGCTGTATATGTGTGGTCAGCAATATACGTAAATAGATTTTCTCTATTTTGTGGGGTTATCTGCATGACTGGAGGGGGGACTTGCTGTTTCATCTGCTTAACAAAATAGTATTTACTGCTGCAAAGTATGCCATGCTATGTGCTAGAGAAAGTGGGCACTAAGAAGGAAAACAAAATCTGGACCCAGACTTAAAGGGAGCTTATAATATTTTATTGTCTAATATTTAAACTGCATGTAGTACTTGCAAAGAAGGGATTAGACAGGAGAGAGAAGGAAGTATTGAGTGTGTTATTGTAGCTAGTGATTATCTTGGTACACAGTGCTGAGACTTGAAATACCCATTTTGACAACTAATGGGTAGAGGGACAAAATCTAACAATCTGCCTCAGCTTGCTAGATGACCACTGAATAAATTATCTGCCAGATACAAAAATAATTAGCCGGGTGTGGTGGTGGGCGCCTGTAATCCCAGCTATTCCGGAGGCTGAGGCAGGAGAATCGCCTGAACCCGGGAGGCAGAGGTTGCAGTGAGCCAAGATTGCACCATTGCACTCCAGCCTGGGCAACAAGAGCAAAACTCTGTCTCAAAAAAAAAAAAAAAAAAATATCTACCAGAGCCCTAAACTCGTATTCAGAACATGTTCTTTCAGTCACTTTATATTTTATTTTATTTTAGGGGCAGGATCTCACTCTGTCACCCAGGCTGGAGTGCAGTAATCGTAGCTCACTGCAGCCTTGACCTCCTGGGCTCAAGTCATCCTCCTGCCTCAGCCTCCTGAGTAGCTGGGACTATGGGCATGTACCACCATGCCTGGCTAATTTTCTTTAATTTTTTTTTTTTTTTTTTTGGTAGAGGTGGGGTCTTGCTATGTCACCCAGGCTGGTCTCAAACTCCTGGCCTCAAGTGATCCTCGTGCTTTGGCCTGCCTAAATGCTGGGTTAAAGGTGTGAGTCATCATGCCTGGCCCTCAATGACTTTCCTAGACCTAAAGTTACTTTATTATTAATTGTAACTTTGTAATGGATATAGTACTTTATTAGTAAAGTAACTTTATAGTATAATTAAATATACATATATTAATAACTTTATAATAACAGATTTTAAATTTAGATTTTTACATAAAATTGTGATATAATAGATAAAACATTTCTCAGAAAAATATTTTTACTATAGATAAACTATCAGCTATTGTAAAATCTTTTTACAAATGAAGCTAAGACTTTTCAATTTTATTTACAAACTTTTACAAGCTTTGAAAATTTGGCAAAACCTTAGGATAAAAATGACTGTTGAAATTATTCTAAAAGAAAAAAGGTTTTGTTTTCTGAACGATGTGTCCTTCTCAGTGACAAATACATACAGAAAAATACTCCTTTTTAGGAAAAGTGTAAAGGGAAATGGTAGAAAACTTGCCAGATATCTAAAAAACAAAAGTTCATTGCTACAATACTTTTAAAAAAAAAAAGGCAAAAGAAGAAAAGTTGGTTGCTTAGACTTGGAAAGCCTCTGCCATCAATCATGCTTACTGCACGTTGAGCTCCTTTCCAGGGTGCGTTCCTTTGTGAAAAGATTTAAAAGCAACTAACACTATAACCCAAGTGATCCAAATTCACTTCACATGCAGTACTTCTTATAGAATTAATTTATGACAGCATGGTGTATTATAGGCTTGGTGCTGTATGGGAACAGTGATGACAGCACTGAGGTCGGTTAAGGAGGGCTTAAGGAGAAGGCAGATGTGATTTGTGGGGACTAAGCTGATGTGAGAGCAGTATGCAGGAGCAAATGATTTGGTTTGGGTATTTTCCACTATTTATCTCTGAAAGGTATCTGTCTCATAATCCATCATACACACTACTTCCAGGATGCTCTCTCTCAAATACAGATTTGACCCACTATTACCCCAGTTTAAAACCCTTCATTTAAATAAATTGCTGAAAATGTTGTGGTTGCATGATAGAAGCCTATAATGAGTTCATAACCATTTGTTTATGATGAATACCAGGAATGGGGACATTTTTAAAAACCTGATAAATATAGAAGTGTTTTTAATCTTTTCAAGTGAATTTTCTTGAGAATATGTGTTTTCTTAGACACAACCTATTAATAAGACTTCAGAGGTCTAATTGTGAGATGGAGTCTCGCTCTGTTGCGCAGGCTGGAGTGCAGTGGTGCAATTTTGGCTCACTGCAACCTTCTCCTCCTGGGTTGAAGCGATTCTCCTGCCTCAGCCTCCCAAGCAGCTGGGATTACAGACATGTGCCACCACACCCAGCTAATTTTTGTGTTTTTAGTAGAGATGGTGTTTCACCATGTTAGCCAGGCTGGTCTCCAACTCCTGACCTCAGGCAATCTGCCTGCCTCTGCCTCCCAAAGTGCTGGGATTACAGGTGTGAGCCATTTCGCCTGGCTTTGTTATTTTTGTATCTAAATCAGCTTGCAATATTTTAGATGTGGCATGGAGTAATTTCTACCATACCGTTTGCTATCTTGGCAAAATGTGGTTTAATAGTTCGTTTTTACTGAAGAACTTTCAATTATTAAAATATATGAATAGTGATTTGATGTATTGCATTTGTTAACCAAACTTTGGCAAAGTATGTTTTTGATAAATACGTTAACAAAGATAGCATTTTCATCTGTAATTATTTTATAGTTTCAGCTAATTTTTCTACCTTGATTTCAATATATTTAAATGATTCAGTTGATTTTTCTACCTTGATTTCAATATATTGTTTTGTGACATGATCAGAAAATTATTTTATGTAAATTGTGAAGAAAAAGTAATAAAGACAATATATCTACATGTATTATGTAGATTGATATAATATAGATTTCATATATAGGTACACATAATATAGATACCAAAATAAGTGTTTCTTAAAAATTAATGTATTTAATATACAGAATGTTTTATTTGTCATTTATTTGAACATGCTGTTGCTTTACTTCATCTGTGAATTGTGTTTCAACTTGTTAAAGGTTTCAATTTAAATCAGATTTCTGTTCTGCAAGTAATTTTAGAGTTAACGCTTGTTTTAATGAGTGAAAAGCTTTATGATTTGCCAAGGGTCAATGTAATGAGAAGTAATTTTTACAATGTTGTTTGATATTGTTTGTTATGAACCCCCCCACTCAATGTGCATAATAGTTCTTTGTTTAATCCTTTTTATTAAAGCTTTTATTAAAAATTGACATTTTAAGCAGATACCTTTTTTTGAGAAGTTTTGGTTTTCACTGTGTATTTTTTGTAGGTAGTAGGAAAACATTAAGTCAAAACTGGCTGTGAAAGTGAGGAAGCACTCAAAAAATGAGTATCTTTATATGCTTATAACAAATATCACTAGTTGTTTATATGTCTGATCTACTTCTTAGCTGGATCTGCTGACATCTCTGCTCCTGACGTAATCTGAAAGAGAATTAAAGCCCGGCAGAGCTGTTTGATGACTTTTTTAAATTTCAGAAGTTTGGCATTCTTCACTTTAGTATGAATTTACAAGACTAATATTAGTGACTTAGTGTTTTTTTTTCTTAATAACAGCAGGTTTTGTGGAAGTCATGTTATTTTCTTATATATTTAGGTTGTAGCATGAATCCATTTTTCTTAAATGAGATAGTTTTTACTGTAATTTCATAGTCATTATAAGATGTTGAAATAATTAAAAAGTATTCTGAGAAAAAAATGCTGAAAGATATATATGGATGTTTATAGTAATGTAAAGTCTTAGAATTTTTATCTATTTTTACCTAGTTTTAAAATATAAATGCATATTTTTCTGAAGGAAAGTACAAGTCTCATATATAAAATTAAAATTTTAATTATTAAAATATTCAATTGAGTAATCAAATAATACTTATAATTTTTTTGTTTACAGGCTATGAAAATAGTGTTTAATCTAAAGCAGAACAAATGTACATTGGAAAATATTTTTAAAGGTATGCACAATTGGCCGGGCACCATGGCTCATGCCTGTAATCCCAGCACTTTGGGAGGCCGATGTGGGTGGATCACTTGAGGTCAGGAGTTTGAGACCAGCCTGGCCAACATGGTGAACCCTGCTTCTACTAAAAATACAAAAATTAGCTGGATGTGATGGTGTGCACCTGTAATCCCAGCCCCTCAGGAAGCTGAGGCATGAGAATCGCTTGAACCCAAGAGGCGGAGGCTGCAGTGAGCCAAGATTGTGCCACTGCACTCCAGCCTGGGTGACAGAGTGAGACCCTGTCTAAGAAAATAAAATAAAATAAAAAGTGTGCACAGTTATGCACATTGTTGCATATATGTCCTGAACCAAAATTATGATTTCTGTGGTGCTATTCTTCTTTTACTTGATATCTCTAGGAGACTGAATACTACATGTTCAAAAATGTGAGATAATTTTTCTGTACAGCTCTGTGTACATAATCAGTGAAGGAAGAATCACCATTACTGTTTTATATACACAGGGTGTTGTCTTGCAGTATTTTTATCCATCAGAGGAGCTGCTCTTGTTCAGAGATAAATTTCTGTAACTCATTCTCTTTAAGTGAGAAGATCCAATAGCATAGTTGAATATGTATTTTACAAAGACCAAATCCCTAAATTATTTAGCAATCTAAGAGTCAAATATTTGTATTGTTTTTAAGTGCATGTTATATTAAATATAGACTATAGAATACTATTTTTTAAAGGGAAATGAACATTTTAACCTTTTTCTTTTGAGACTCTTAATAAAATCAGCTTCATAAATCAGAGTTACTAATAATTTTATCTATTCTGTACTTCTTAATTTTTTCCTAAATTACCAACCACCATATCTATTTTATTTGAATATTCTTGGTTTGCTTATGATATCCTGTGAAATTGCATTTGAACTTTATAGATAAAACTATTTAAGTCTCCCACAACGGAATTCCATGGAACTTTAAGTACTATAAACTTTCAATAAGGCAAAAGCCTATAAAATTATTGTTACTTGATCCCTCTGTGTCTCCATTTTCTTATCCAATGTGGTAGGTAAATTTTAACATGGTGGATTCTGATATTCATTCTACCATTAAAACTCAACATTTTTAAATTTATACTAGCTCTAGCAGGTTTGATTTTATGGAGGACTTAAAATGATGCCTTTGAAAATTTGCTTCTGCTGCTAAAAGAGGTGACATAATAGGGTGTGAGAGTTTACATATTACCAGTGTTTGTTTCCTATCCGTAGTTTAAATTTCTAACTACTTCTAAATCAGAAACATATGTAAAATTATGATATATAATGGTATGACAAGAAAGAGAACCTGTATTTCCTTATCCCCAGGGCATTATCTATACTGATTTACAATGTGTGTTCCATACATCACTTTTTTTTTTCTACATACCACTCTTAAATGTCATCTAAATAATATCTTCTTAAACTTTATAACAATGTCAATAATTTTGTTCTTGGCGTGAGTTAATAATTTTTTTTTTTTTTTGAGACGGAGTCTTGCTCTGTTGCCCAGGCTGGAGTGCAGAGGCGCGATCTCAGCTCACTGCAAGCTCCACCTCCCGGGTTCACACCATTCTCCTGCCTCAGCCTCCTGAGTAGCTGGGACCACAGGTGCCCGCCACCATGCCTGGCTAATTTTTTTGTATTTTTAGTAGAGATGGGGTTTCATCGTGTTAGCCAGGATGGTCTCGATCTCCTGACCTCATGATCTGCCCGCCTCGGCCTCCCAAAGTGCTGGGATTACAGGCTTGAGCCACCGCACCTGGCCAAGTTAATAATTTTTTAAGCTATTGATTTTCTTTGTGTGGGTGTGTGTTTTTGTTTTTGTTTTTGTTTTTTTTGAGATGGGCAATAAGTTTCACTCTTGTTGCCCAGGCTGGAGTGCAATGGCGCAATCTTGGCTCACTGCAACCTCTGCCTCCCCGGTTCAAGCAATTCTCCTGCCTCAGCTTCCCAAGTAGCTGGGATTACAGGCATGTGCCACCAAGCTATTGATTTTTTAACAGCTTTATTGAAGTGCAATTTATATGCCATAAAATTCATCATTTTACATGTACAGTTAATTAACTTTATTCAATGTCCACAGTTTAGGAACCCTCAATACAATCTAGTTTTAGAAGACTTCCGTCATTGCAAAAAGTTCCCTGGTGCCTGTTTATTGCTAGCCTTTGTTCTCACCCGCAGTCAACCACTGATCTTGCTTTTTGTCTCTATAGTTTTGACTTTCCAGAAATTTCATGTAAATGTACATAACCTCATGTTTTAGTAGTTTAAATGTATATAACCTCATCTTTTATTGCTTAGTAATGTTTTATTGTATGGATGTGCCATATTTGGTTTATTCATCAGTTGTTTATTTAGGCTGTCTCCAGTTTGGGCTGTTAGGAATAATGTTGCTATGAACATTTGTGTACAGGCTTTTTGTAGGCATATGTTTTCTTTTCTCTTGGATAAATACCTAAGAGTAGAATTGCTGGATGTATTTTTAACTTTGAAAGAAACTGCCAAACTGTTTTCCAAAGTGGCTGTACCATTTTACATTCCCACTAGCAGTGTATGAGGGTTCCAGTTCCTCAACCTTGCCAGCATTTGGTATCTTCAGTCTTTTTTATGGTAGCTATTCTAGTTGCTGTATAGTGGCATCTCATTGTGTGTTAAATTTGCATTTCACTAATAACTAAAGATTAAGCACCTTTTCATGTGTCTATTTGCCATCTCTTTGGCAAATATTAACTATGCCTATCTTTTGGCCATTTTTAAATTGAGTTGTTTATTTTCTTATTATTGTATTGTAAGAGTTCTTTATGTATACTGGTGTTAATGGATAATTTTCATAAAAAAGCTAAGATCGTGATGCCCATACAGATATAAAAAATTTAAAATGTGGCAAAGCTTTTATTTAACTTATTAATGAGTAAATTGATAAGGTGTTATAACAAGTTCAAGGAGAATCCCTAGAACACACACATTCATAGATCAAGAATATAAAAACGGCCTGGGCACGGTGGCTCATGCCTACAATCCTAGCACTTTGGGAGGCCGAGGTGGGAGGATCACTTGAGGTCAGGAGTTTGAGATCAGCCTGGCCAACATGGTGAAACTCCGTCTCTACTAAAAATACAAAAATTAGCTGGGCGTGGTGGTGCATGCCTGTAATCCCAGCTACTCAGGAGGCTGAGGCAGGAGAATCGCATGAATCCGGGAGGTGGAGGTTGCAGTGAGATGAGATCTCGCTATTGCACTCCAGCCTGGGGGACAAGAGTAAAACTCCATTGCAAAAAAAAAAAGAATATAAATGAATATTCAAATGGAGGCAAAGCTAGTTTTCTCAACAAAGACAGAGCATTGTCCCCCCCACTGGATGTAATTTATGTATGTGTTTATAAACAAGAATTGTTTACATTGTTATCAGTTATCTGTAGTTTACAGAATTGTAAAATTGCTGTCAGAGACTCAGTATCAGATAACCTGTACGGATATACTAGGGACCGAGGTTAGAAAACTCTGACCTGTGGGCCAAGTCTAGCACTTCATCTGATTTAGTAAATAAAGTTTTTTTGGAATACAGCCATGTCCATTCGTTTACATATTGTCTCTGGCTGCTTTTATGCTGCAGTGGCAGAGTTGAGTAGTTGTGACAATGACCATATGGTTTGCAAAAACGATTTACATAAATAGCCCTTTACAGCAAGGTTGTCAACTTTTGTCAACCCCTGTGATTATCTGGATACAAGTCATTTATCAGATATATGATTTGCAAATATTTTTTCTCAGTCTGCGGTTTGTGTATTTTTTTAATTGGGGTGTCTTTTGAAGAGCAAAACTTATTTTTCCTTTTTCCGGCACTCCATTCATTTATATATATTCCTTTTCTTTTTTCTTTTTTTTTCAAGACAGGGTCTTACTCTGTCACCCAGGCTGGGGTGCAGTGATGTGATCTCCGCTCACTGCAACCTCTGCCTCCTGGGTTAAAGTGATTCTTGTGCCTCAGTCTCCTGAGTAGCTGGGATTACAGGTGTGCACCAACACGCCCGGCTCATTTATTTATTTATTTATTTTTGTATTTTTAGTAGAGACGGGGTTTCACCGTGTTGGCCAGGCTGGTCTTGAACTCCTGACCTCAAGTGACCCACCTGCCTGTGCCTCTCAAAGTGCTGGGATTACAGGCATGAGCCACCGTGCCCAGCCTTATATATATTTCTTTATGTGTGTATAGGTAGCAATGTTAACAAGAATGAGGGTCTGAAAGACTATTTATTAAAGTGATCTATGGGGATCACGACCCTATTCAGTATAATTTTTAATCATTTGATCTATTTCTTGCTTTTATTTTTATTTATGTAAAAATACAGCTTTAGCCTTGCTTCTCTCATTTTGTTGGGCCTCCACAACAATGTGCCTCTTTTCAACAATATAGGGAGATACTTGAGACTGTGTGGCCCACCCCAATCTTGTGGACCTGCTCGCGTGCATCACTGATGGCCAGATCTTAGCGGTAGGAGTTGAGCCAAAGAAGTGAAAGGCTCTGGGTTTTGGCACACGTCAGATCAGCTAGGTGCCTTTTGCTGTGCTCTAGAGATCATATAAATACGTATATATAAAAGGAGACTAGATGAAGGCATGCCAACAGCCAGGATGGTTATTGGAAGAGTTCATCTCTCAGGATTTTTTATAAATGTGAATGAATTTTCTGTCTTGCTAAATGGTAGTAAATATTGTGAACAGCTTTTTAATATAGTCATGGTTGACAAGTCTTTCAGGGCTTTTACAGCGCTGAAACTTGGTTTAATTTTTCTGTAATTTCTAAACTCTGATATTTAAATACATAAATTATCTGTGTAAAGATGTAGATTTTCTAGCACATATTCATTTAATTTTTTATTTTACAGAACTAAAGTAAAATGAATGCTACTTTGAAATTAATTAAGAAAATGTTTATGATGTTTGAATTTAACAAAATGTTTATAAGAAAAAAGTATTTCTGATATCGCTAAAACTAAAATTCTAACACTTTCAGGATTCAAGCTTTAGCTTTCCATAAAATATCAGGGCTTGTTTATTTAAAGAATGTTAATTAATAGCTACTATCTTTTTTTAAAAGCTCTATGATGTGCAAATTTGGGGTCAGTAAAATTTGGAAAGAGGAATATTATGTATTTTTCCTTCTATATTTTTCTATCATTTATAAATTAATTTGAAAATAAAAACAGTGGCTTTGTTTTCTTGAAATCCTTCTTTGTGTTTCTCCACTCAAATCTCCTTGAATGTTCAAACTGAGCTCTACATAAAGTATGTTAGTATATATTTGTAAGAATTGTGATGCATAACTTCGCATTTCTCCTTCATCACTTAGAAAAAGAGGGCAGTATTTTAGTACCAGTCATTGAGAAATTAAGCCTTGAGTGGTAGTAGTTCATTTATTTTTAACAACATGATTAAGGCTATTCAGAAGAATACTTTTGTTAAACATTTGGATTTTTCCCTTTTGTCTTCATTTAATTATTTCTTAGTATTGCACAATATTAGGCTACATTGCCTTGGTATCTCTAATTAAAAATTAAATATCTTATAATGATATAGCTTTTAGGGAGACTTGCAGGCTAATGATGCCGAGGCATTTCTCTTTGCTGTTGTCCCAGACATTGCCCACTCGGTTTCCTAATTTAGTAACAGAAATAAAACTGTGCACGACTGGGCAGGTTTGGTATGCCGGCACCCTGCCAGGAAGCATGGGTTTCTTAAGCAAATGGACCGATGGGGATTTGAGGAAAACACAGATTATGTTACATGAGCTTTGCACTTTGCAAATCCCTAACTATTTAAAGGAACTCGGCTAACCCGCTGATACCTAAATAAAGTCAGTTTTGTTTAAACATACATACACACAAAATGATATATTGTTTCCTTTTCCAAAATTAAAAATTACCCTTCATATTTGTGTTTTTAATTTCACATTTTTTGTCAACGTTTAAAAGCTCTCTCTTGGTTAAGTAATGTATGAAAATTATTGTTAATTTTGTTAAATTCTTTTATGTATTTGTAATACCCTTCCATATAGCATAATAAAAGGAGTTGATAATGTACATATGCATTGTGCTTCTGTGTGAGGAAATGAAAGAAAGTTCTGGCAGGTTTTAAAAGAAGCCTAGTTTTATACCTTGGCTCTGGCACCAGCTTGGCTGAGTGACCTTGGTGCCTATTGTCTGTCCTGCACTGTGAGTGTCATGAGTGTTCTGTGTCACGCTAACACTTCAGGTTGGTCTGCAGCAGTTTCTTTGCTGAGTGTTTGAGCACGGGCTGCTTTCCTATCCACTGACATGTTTCCTTCTTGCTGGTGCGTCTTGTCTGGCACATCTTTGGTCCTTTTCGGGTCCATTGCCTCTGAGTTTGGAGAAGAGCCTTCAGCCCTGAGGATTAGCCTGCTGCTTTTCTCCTTCAAGCCATTACGTGTTTCTTCAGCGTCTGCCATTCATTGTCAGAATGGGGCCAGCTGTTCACTCTGGTGATCTTTGTTTAATTGCCATTAGACTGTATGTAAACACTGGGGGCAGGTAATTCTGAAGCATGTTTTCATTGAGAGAGAGAGTTTATCTCATCTTTTACTAGACTTTTGGCAGATAGAAATGAAGAATTCTAATACTTGGGACACTGTGGGTTGGGTAGGGAGAACGATACAGGGTGCAGGGTCCACATCATGCTTAAGGCAGCACTGGCTACAGTGCAGAACAAAGTGGATTTAATATAAACTGAAGTTGTCAAATCCCACGGACTTGAGGACCAGTAAGATTTCCCATCCCATAAATGCCATCCAAAAGTGTGAAAGAAAGAATACTAAACATCAAAAATTCTTAACTGAAGTGGTCAGAACATTACTAATCTTTGAAAATAGTTTTTAGAAAGATCTATTCCTCTCCTTTTGAATATCTGAATAAGGCAGATAGATGCCCAGTCCTAGCATCAGAGACCAAAGATTCTAATCCCGTTCATTCATTTTTTAAAATGTAAAAGTTGTTACATATAGAAAAGTTCTCAGACCAAAAGTATGTACTCAATAAATTTACCTTCTTCCTCATCTCATTTTTCTGCCTTCCCAGTTTATTTCTATCCTCTTAGAGTCCACACTCCATGAAGACTGGCTCATTGTTCCTCTGCCATTAGCCTTGCCTTTGTTTTCCTGACTTCCAACACTCATCTCAGTTTTAAAGCGAAACTAAAGATCCTGCAATTGAAAATCTTGTTAAGGTGCAATATGTTATACTTGTTAACAGTAAAGACTTAATTTTGTGTGACCTTGGTCACTGTGGATTCCATTCTGGATGTGAGGGGAAGTCACTGGTGGATTTTGAGCAGACGAGTCCTATGATCTCATTTAGGTTTAAAAGAATGACTCAGATAACTGTAAAGAGGGGCCAGTGATGAAAACTTAAACGAGGCGCCGACAACAAAAACTGAGACGAGTTAGGAATCTGCCAAAATAACCCCAGCAAGAAATGATGATGGCTTGCACTAGAGTGTTAGCAGAACTGTTGGTGAGAAGCAGTTGGATTTTAGTTTATTTAGTGCTTTATAATTTTCACAGTGTCTCACTCACTTTCTTTTACCAACAGGGCAGGTTTTATCCCTGGTTATAAATAAGAATTCTCGAGGCTCTGAGAGATTATGAATCTTACACAACGTGACTTAGTAAGGTAGAATCGAGACAATGCTAGGTCTTCTGATTCTCAGTAGTGTTTTTTCCAAGTCGTTAACATAAATACTTAATCTTTAAAAAAAAAGTCTGTTTCAAATATTTTATATGATTGAAGAAAGTAAAATCATGTACTAGTGACAGATCATGGTGGCTCACACCTATAATCCCAGCACTTTGGGAGGCCGAGGTAGGAGGATCGCTTAAGCTAGGAGTTCAAGACCAGTCTGGGCAACATAGTAAGACCTTGTCTCTACAAAAGATAAAAATAAAAAACTTAGTTAGGCGTGGTGGCACGTGCCTGTAGTCCCAACTGCTTCGGAGGCTGAGGTGGGGGGATTGCTTGACTCTAGAATATTTGAGGTTGCAGTGACCTATGAACGCTCCACTGCACTTCAGCCTGGGCAATAGAGTGGGACCCTGTCTCCAAAAAATAAATAAATGAATAAATAATCATGTACTAGCTTATAATACTATATTATTTATCTCTGCATAACAAATTACCACAAAGTTAGTGGCATAAAACAACACACATTTATTATCTCAATTTCTATGGATCAGCAGTCTAAGCACAGCTTAGCTCGATCTGCTTAGGGTCTCAGAAGGCTGCAGTCAAGGTTGGGTTGGCCAGGGCTGCAGTCTCATCTGAGGCTCAACTGCAGACGAATAAAGGAATTCTTGATTGTTTTTGCTATCTAAGAGAAAGAATTAATTCTACTAAGGAATAGTGCCCTTGTCTTTTTTTCTGTATTATCACTCCCTTCTCACCTCAGCTTTAGATATATAAACTTAGCAGTTGGAGTATAAATGCTTGTTTATTCCATTCTATAAGAATCTTGGAATGCAGACTTTGTGTTTGTGGGTGTTACCCTTATTTTGCTGCCATGAGTAAATATACTAATTAGGCTTGTTAGTGGTTATTTTCCATTTAGTTTCCTAATTCTGCTTTAGCTGTTAGTCCACTGTCAGGGTGATATTTTGCAGGTTCTTTGGCTGATGAATTAAGAAAATTTGTGGAACCAACCCCTGGGTTCAAAAAACAGAGTGACCCTCAACTGTGATCTGACTTTCCACTCCTGAAGCCTTTCTGAATTCTACCCCAGTTTAGTTGATTGTTATGAACTAGTCTTTATTTGTGTGTGGCATATAACTGAGGGAAGATGTCTTTTTTTTCTTTTTTTGAGATGGAGTCTCGCTCTGTCGCCAAGGCTGGAGTGCAGTGGCACAATCTTGGCTCACTGCAACCTCTGCCTCCTGGGTTCAAGCAATTCTCCTGCCTCAGCCTCCTGAGTAGCTGGGATTACAGGCACGCGCCACCACGCCTGGCTAATTTTTGTATTTTTAGTAGAGACGCGGTTTCATCATGTTGGCCAGGCTGGTCTTGAACTCCTGACTTCGTGATCTGCCTGCCTTGGCCTCCCAAAGTGCTGGGATTACAGGTGTGAACCACCACGCCCACTGGGAAGATGTCTTTTAAAAGCTTTTGGGTGCTCTCTTCCACAATTTCTTATCTTAGGACTTCTGCTTATAGAATTGCAAGACTAGATAATTCAGACCAACCCTCCCTTGAGGACAGTGCAGGGTGGGGAGTCTGGGAAAATCTGTTTTGAAGGCATTGGTGAGCTAATAAGGTGGTGAAGAATTCCAGGCCAAAGAGATTAAAGCCTTTAAAAACCATTTCCCACTAAAATGAACCAGGTTGCTGTGTTTGAGGCACAACTTGTAGAAGATGCACCCTCGGGACATCTTGTGCCAGAAAACAGAATCAGTCAGAGACTTCTGAGGGTCATGTGAAAATCGTACAGAAGTCAAAAGTGAACTGTTAAGCATAAAAAGCTATGACTGAAATGTATTAAAACATATCAGATATAGAAACATGTATGAGTTTGTAATGGTGCTCTTAAAAACTTGTTGGTAAACTCTGGAGGTTGTTATACTACCAACTTGTTCTTCAAAATTTAAAGGGAAAGAATCATTTTTCTGCCTTTTTCTAAAACAACTATTTTTCAGGGTAACTGAATAGTTGAAGGTGGGAGAGTTTTTCTACATGGAATAATTATAGTTAATACATATAGAAGGAATGATGGAATTTTAAAAACCAACATTTGTAATTTCTAATGAAATATCTTGGCAAAATCATTAATAGCTTCCTGAACCATTAGGTAAAAAGTTGATAGGAAGCTTTGTATTGAATGGATCAGGCTGATAACACTAGAATCTACTAGTTAATCTTAACTTCACTAGAAGTGAGACAAGCAGACATTATGTTCTACTACCCAGTGTGATGAAATTGGAAGGGTGTAACCCTCTCCTTATAATGTAATCATGCCAAAGAAAAGTGAACAGGGATAAGTGAGTATTTTTGATGACACAAAGAAGGCACAATAAACCAAATCGAGGGTGTTGAAAATTCTGTAAGACAAAAATCCGTGTAAGTAAGCGAAAGACATGAAAATGAAGAAAGGAGAGGGAGAACTGTTATAAATTAAGAGATTTAAGAATCATATCCTTCCATTTCTTCAAGTCATACATGGTGGCCTGCCAACACTATACTCTTCTGTAAGGTGTTTCACGCAATACGGCTGTCCACTTTCTCCAACAGTTTGATTTTCTGTGCTGTAGATAAACACAAATGCTTCCTATTTTTCTTATCACTGTTACCCACAGAGGTATTTGCAGGCCTTTTTGACATTTTCAGCAATATATTTACACCACAAAGCAGAGAATAAACAAAAAACCACAGTGAGTAATGCACGTAGGTCTTGGCCCTGTGTGGGTCATGGTGGGGAACCTGCCGTTGGTGTCCTTAGTCTGCACACATGCCATTTCACTACCCTTTTTGGTTTGCTTGCGTGGAGCTATCTGGGCATGCACAGAAAAGATATATTTCAGCTAAAGGGGACTGGGAGGGTCTTTTCTGTCTTGGGGACATGGAATAAACTATGTGTTGTGTACTTGCATTTTGACTGCAACCTGGCACGTGAGGTCAGGTGTATAATTTTCCACTTGTGGCATCATGTTGGCACTCAGAAATCTTTGGATTTTAGAGCATTTCAGATTTCAGGTTAAGTACTTCTTTCGTTGCTTTACGTGAATTGTGATATGTTGTGTGTTCGTTCTCATTCATTTCAAATATATTTTCTAATTTTCTTCACAATTTCTTCTTTACCCATGAGTTGTTTACAAGTGTATTGTTCAATTTCCAAGTGTTTGCACATTTCTCAAATTTCTTCCTGTTGTTGATTTTCAATTTAATTCTGTTGTGGTCAGGCTATATTCTTGTATGTTTTCAGTTTTAAAAAGGAAATGTATGAAGACTTGTTTTATATCTTAACATGGGTTGGCAAACTATGACACACAGACCCAATCTGGTCATTGGTCTTTTTGTGGTTGTTTGTAATTGCCTGCAAGTTCAGAATGATTTAAAAATTTTAAAGAGTACTCTAAAAAGCCAAGAATATGCAACAGAATCTGTACATGGCTTGCAAAGCCTAAGGTATTTACCATCTGGCCCTTTACTGAAAAAATGTGCCACCCCTGCTCTAGAATATGATCTATCGGATATGGTAAATGTATGTGAAATATAAAGGGCTGAATATGTATATTTCTTAATTTCTTTTAAAAAACCCTAAAGATTATTTAAAGCCATAGTCGTAACAGTGAGGAAAGTGGAAACAGAGCTATACTGGAGCAAAGTTACTGTGTTTTACCAGAATTAAGCCAATATTGACCTGAAATATATTGTGATTAATGATGTGTATTGTGATTCCTAGAATACTCACTAAAAAAACCCTCAAGAATTATAGCTAAAAAATTAATAAAGGAAGTTAAAACAATACACAAATATTTCTACAGTCACGCACTGCTTAATGGGAATACATTCTAAGAAATGTGTTGTTAGGTGATTTTGTTGTTGTGTGAACATCATAGAGTACACTTACATAAACCTAGATATTATAGCTTGCTACACACTAAGCCATATTGTATAACTTATTGCTCCTAGGCTACAAACCTGTGCAGCATGGTACTATACTGAATACTATAGGCAATTATAACACAATGTGACTTTATTGTTAAAAACTGAGACACTAACACACATATTAGTCTAGGCCTACACAGGGTCAAGATAATCAATATCACTGTCTTCCACCTCTAATCTTTTCCCACCAGAAGGTCTTCAGGGACAACAGCATGTATGGAGCTGTCATCGCCTATGATAACAATGCTTTTTCCTGCACTATCTCCTGAAAGACCTGCCTAAGGCTCTTTTACAATTAATTTTTTTTATAAGTAGACGGAGTACACTCTAAAATAAAAAGTATAGTCTAATTAATAAACCAGTAACAGAGTTGTTTATTATCAGTTATTATGTACAGTATTTGTATGTGCTGTCCTTCATACAACTGGCAGCATAGTAGGTTTGTGTTTATACCAGCATCATCACAAACACGTGAGTAATGAGTTGTGCTACAATGTTACAATGGCTACAACTCTCAGTAGGTGATAGGAATTTTTTAGCTACATTATAATTGTATGGGACCACTGTCTTCTCTGCGGTCTATTGTTGACCAAAACGTAGTTATGTGGTTCATGACTGTATGAGATAAAAAATAGAATGGAAAAACAGAGACACAAAAAGACATGAGGCGTAATTTTAAAAATAGCTGAATCACAATTGTAAATATAACAACATCAGTAATTACATTAAATGTGAATGGTCTAAACACTACAATCAAAAGGAAGAGATTTTCCAACTTAGTCATAAAGCAAGACCCAAACTATATTTTGTCAGAAGAGGTACAATTTAGGATCAAAGACACAAATAGGGCCAAAAGAAAAAGAAGGAAAAAGATATACCTTGCAAACAGGAAATAATAGCTGTAGTAGCTATTTTAATAACAGACACAATACACTTTAAGACAAGAAATATTGGAACTAAACAAGGACAATTTATAATGATAAAAGGATCAGTATATTGGGAAGATATAAGAATTATAAATGTAGATGCACTTACCAAAAGAGGCCCAGAATACATGAAGCAGAAAATGACATCTGGCTCACACCTGGAATTGAAAGGGGAAATAAACAACGCAATTATGTTGAAGATTTTAATAGTCCTCTCTTGGCATCTGAGAACAAGTAAAGATATAGAAAACTTGAACAATTTTGTTGACCAACTTGAACTAAGGTAACTCTCCACTCAACACAAGCAGAAGGCATTATTCTTTTGCAGCACACATAGAATATTCTTCTGCAGCACACATAGAACATTCTTCAGGATAGATCATATATGCTAGGCCATAAAGCAATTCAAAAGAACTTGATTCCTTCCTGTTATTTTGAATTACCATCTGATAATCATTTTCTTTCAGCCCTTTTAATATTTCTTATAGGGCAGGTTTGCTAGCAACTAATTTTCTCATTTCTTATTTATCTAAGAATGCCTTTATTTTGAATTCATGGCTGAAGGATAGTTTTCCTGTATGTAGAATTCTTGGTTGACATTTTTTTTCTTTTCCTTATGGATTTTGCCAGTTTTAGGGGACAAAGCTGTGGGATTTTGTCCCCTGCCCCAAATTGAGGGTGCTCTCTCTGGTAGCCAAGCTTTTGGTTTCCTTAGCCCTGTTTTGATAAACTGCTATTCTTGTAGACTGGGCTGGGGGTAGGATGTGACAGGAGCCATCCCAACCAAGAAAAGGCTGCAGACTTCCACTGTTCTTGAATGAACAAACACTACTGAATTTATTTTCTGCCTTTGGTTGATTTCTAGAGTTATGAATAGTTGTTTTTCAGAGTTTTGTCCAGTGTTAAGCTTGTTTTTGGTGGAGAAACTTCGCTGAGTTTGTCACATGCCTTAGGCTGCTATTCTTCCAAAATATTCTCAAGCCATTTATTTAATTAGCTATTTAAAAATATTGGCCAGGTGTCGTGGCTCATCCCTGTAATCCTAGCACTCTGAGAGGCTGAGGCAGGTGGATCACTTGAATCTAGGAGTTTGAGATCAGCCTGGGGAACATGATGAAACCCTGTCTCCATAAAAGATTAGCAAGGAAATGGTGACACATGCCTGTAGTCTCAGCTGTTTGGGAGGCTGAGGTGGGAGGATCACTTAAGCTTGGGAGGTTAAGGCTGCAGTGAGCTGTGATCACACAACTGCACTCCAGCCTGGGTGACAGAGTGAGACCTTGTCTCTAAATAAATAAATAAATAAATAAATAAATAAATAATTTTGTAAAGATGTAAGGAGCTCACAGAGCTGCGGAATCCATATTTTGTCATGAATTTGTAACAATATTTTATCATCTCTGATTCTCTGGCACTTCTATTCTAAAGTTACTGGGTAAGTTCCTGTGTTCACAGTTACTGACAAAAACATTGGGAATATGTTTTTATGTTCTTTCATTTACTGAGATGGTATTTGTTTGGGTACGTAAACTGCTTTAAAGTGTATGAAAGCCTTCTTACCCCCTTCACCTAACCTGGGTTTTAAGTTCCTCTATAAGATGTTTGAACATCAATCTCTAGTGGAGAAAGTAGCCTTTAACTTGTCATTTTAGCGAATTATTCTTAGTGCAAGCATACATACAGAAATCTTTCTGGTATTAGCATTTTTTTGAAGTGTGGCTCATGCAGGACAATGGAATTTACTTCATTCTTGCAGATTCATATAGCTAAAGACAAATGTAAATCTTTGGTTGTAGCTTTCTCTGAAAGCAATAAGATGTATATACAACTTTAAATCTTGGATTTTATTTACATAGGGTGTTATTTGACATCAATTTTTATTCTCTTTACTCCAAAGGAATAAAATAGTAAAAGCTAGAAAATGTTTTTCATAGATTTTCAGCTCTTCAGAGGATGAAAAAAAATTTTTACCATTAAACAAGGAATCATGCAGTTCTTATAAAAATTACCAGAGGACACAGTATAATTTCAGTGTTGATTATTTATTTAAAATATTATACATAATTTAGTTTTTGAGGACAGCAGCGATCAACAGACAGTAATATCTAGGTAACAGGAAAGTAAATTCATTTTATTGTTTTAGGTGCTGTTTAGATAGTGTCATTGTTTAGGTTCTGTTTCTGTATTGTTTCTGTGATAGAAAGTTTCTTGGTGTTTTGAATCATTAACCAAATGAACTTTCTTATTCTCTTATTATAGGCTTAAAATGAACTTCCAGTGGAAAGTCACTACTACTATCCTAAAATTTTTATGGTGGGAAACAGAATTCTAGGATCTCATGCCAGTAGTGCTATTGACAGTCCATATGCTTGTTTGTTGATTAAACTCAATTTTGAAACAATTAGAGACTCATATGCTGTCCATATATTTTGAACCAATCATTTTTTTCTTTTTAATTTTTTCCAGCTATTACCTGGTTTTGTACAAATTAGCTAATGCTATTTTATGGGTAATGAAGGAGGCCATATAGAAAGGTTTGAAGTTGACTGCTACTCTGTGGCCCCAATTTTGTTAAGCACCAACTATGATAATAGTCATGATTAAGGTAAGGTATCAGAAATACCATCTTCAGGCCAGACATCTGGCTCACACCTGGAGGCTGAGGTAGGAAGATAGTTTGAGGCCAGGAATTCCAGGATATAGTGAGTCGTACATTCCAGCTAGGGCAGCAGAGCAAGAACCTGTCTCCAAAAAAAGAAAAAGAAACATTATCTTCACCTACTAGAAGCCTGTTTCCCACTCATGAAATTCTTATTTTAAATTATGAATTCGTAACAAAAAGCATCATACATTTTAAAAAGTTGAGTAAAGCATCAAATTAACAACTTTTGTGTGCTATTAATGGAATCTGCTCATGTTTTCTAGAAATTTTAACTTAAATAAAACATTTAGATATTAATGCTATATTGGCTCAACCAGTAAGCCTTTTATAAAGTTTGTTGTATCTATGTTGACAATATTTCTGAATGTAAGGTTATATAAAAATCATTTCATCCATACTTTTGGTTACTCATAAAATATAATTTGTTATATATACTACTTATATCTCTTAATGAAAGTGAATACAAAGGAAATAATTATTTGAACAGTAGTTGTATCCATGTTTTTGTAGACTCATTTCAAAACAGAGTGCTCTTTTTTTCCTTTTAATTTTATTTACTCTAGCATTCTATCTGGCCCTTTTCTTGTGAAGAATTTGTGTGGTAGAAACCACTTGCCTCTAATAAGGAACTAGAGAAATGGGAATTAGGGAATAAGGAAATAGGGAATTAGGGAATAAGGAAAGTCATTTTTTTGGTGGAAAGATTTGAAGGAAATTATGGATACAGTTCATTCCATATTTTATGAGGAACTTTTAAATTCTATTACTGTATTGGGAACATGTGCCATAGGGGGCTGAAGGCCTGTTTTTGCTTATAGGGAAGAAAGTAGAGAATTAATGGATGATAGGAGAGAATTATTGTGCAAAGAGAGATTTGAGGTAGGATTTAAATAGAAAACTCTTAAAAAAAAAAAAAAAAAACTCTTTGAACATCCTTCAGGAGAACTACAAGAATAAAACAGTATCTGTAAAGTATTGAAAGGACCCTGGCGGATACAAGCTTGGACACCAGGGAAGGTTTTTTGTTTGTTAGTTTTTTAAAGATGAAGTCTTGCTCTGTTGCCCAGGCTGGAGGAGTACAGTGGCATGATCATAGCTCACTGCAGCCTCAAAATCTTGGGCTCCAGCAATCCTTCTCCTTGGCCTCCAAAAGTGCTGGGATAACAGGTGTGAGCCACCTACTGGGCCTTTTTTTTTTTTTTGGAGAGGTGGGGAAGGTTTTTTTTAAAGCACAGCCTAAAGTGATAATAGTCAGAGCCTCATAAATGTTGCGTGTACGCAAGTATGCCAGTGACCATGAGTATTAGACTAGGATTTAGCATCCCATTTTCATTTCGTTTCCCTTGAGCAGGGTCCAAAATAATTCCTTTTTATTTTTCCTGTATAAAAGGAAAAAATATTAGAGCTACTATTAAAAATGTCTATGCCTTTCTGATGGAATACCTAGGGAAAATGTTCCTTAAAATGTTGATAACCAACCTTTTCCAAACTTTCTTTACATGTTCTATGAAAAAGTGTGCGGTGGCCAAATGTATGGGAACCTGCTGGTGAATCACAATTAAGTGGGTTTCCTGACTTGATAATGCTCTGTGATATGCTAATGTGTATTACAGTAAACTGTATAATGTATTGTTTTTCCTAAACTTAATAGACCATGAGAACATTGCTCTGAACTGGTGTTCCTGTGAACACAGTTGGACTAACCGCTACTTGAGATGTGTGTTGTTCCATAAGGTCAGTAGTAAAAATTATTACAGACATTTGGTTTTACTTAAAGTTAATTTAAAAATTAGATGTCAGCTTTCTTTTGTTTTTTTTAAGTTGCTTTTTGGGGTGTTGTTTTGAAATAATTCCTATATTTTGCTAATCTGCCAGTTCAAATATTATAGGAGAGTAGAACATAAACTTAATTTGGAAAATGTTAATATTCTTGGAAATTTTATTTGCAACTAAAGCATTTCTGAAAAAAATATGACTTATAAAACACATGTCATCTCTGCAGCGTTGAACTGTTTGCTATTCTCCATAAACATACAAGTTTTATTGTTCTTTTCCACTGTTTTGTTACTTCCTTCCTATTATTGAGGAGCATTTAAAAGCTTTGTTGATGCAGTGCACAACAAAAGATTGGTAGAACACAATAAAAGATTTTGAATTCTGGTATGTATTGACTGCCTTGCAGCAAAGCAGTAGTCCTCTTTGTAGTATTTTTGCAAAGATTGGGAATAAACAGAAATCTGAAGAAATACGTTTTTATGTGTTCTCATTAGAAGCATCATACAATTTTCTATAGTACTTGTAATTGACAGAAACTGTATGAAATTTGAGATTTAAAAAAATTTTATAATGACAGAACTTGTGAGACCCTCAGCAATATAGATTTGCATAAAAGCATTATATATACACGTTTATTAAATTTTTGTTTTCTGTTGCAGTGAACCAGAATATCATTAGGAAACTCAAATTTTTAGAATTTTAATCACAGATTTCAGTGTGATAATTCTTAGCTAAAGTAAATACAACTAATAAATAAAAATATAACAGGTGCTTACAATTGTTGTGTTTCTTGTTCTGAGGAATCCCAATGTGTGTGAGGAGGCACCATTAAATAATTAATTTTTATTATAGAAGTAGTTCATAGCAATAGAAATAAAAGTTTAAACAGCATAGGAAATTTTGAAATGAAAAGATAACATCTTTCTGTGCCACATTTCATTTCTACCCTTGATATTAATCATTTTTGAGTCTTTTTTTTCACTCTGTAGGTGGTTATCTGAGAACTCTAAACAAGAGCAGGCAGTAAATTTAGAGACTTTGCTTTTGTATTAAGATTAATAACCAATATATGCCTATTCAGAAATCTCTAATGCAATGTTTTTCATGTAAATTGTGATGTGAGTTTCTTATTGTTTCTTACAAAGGCTATATATTAATATTTAGAAATCAAAATTATATATTGTATTTAGTATGGAAGTATTTTAATTGAGAGATTTTTTTTAAACTAGATAATTTTTGTGTTGTGCATGTGTTTTTCCAGTGGTTTCCAAATGTTCTATCAGTGGAGGTCATCAACCGCTTTCTATTTTTCATGGTAATTTTTTATGGGAATTTCAAAGAAAGAAACTGGAGTGAATCAGTTTGGTAATCTGAAATGTATATGCACTAAAATGTTTTCCTTTAAAATTTCTTCCTGTTTTGAATTTGGAAAGTGAGATGAAAGCAGTCATCATTATTATATCATTCTTTCCAGCAAGTAAAATAGAGATTACTTTTACTTATTCTGTGCAAAGTAGTAAAGTTAAAAAATAAATTTTTATTCTGGACTATGATGCTGTGATATTTCTTAAGGCAATGATTATAATAGTTTTATACCAACAATAGACACCTAGTGGCCTCATTCAGGTCAAAGCTTAAAAACTCCATTGTGCTAACTCAGTAAAGAGAAAAAAGCCTCCCTAGAAGAAGTCTATAAAATTGACCATCGCTAAAATAAAACATAAAATGAAAATCTGGGTATGTGGTCTCCATGAATCTTGAAGAATGAGGAAGATAAAGGATTTTTCCAAATAGAAATCCATGTACAGACACAAAGCGATAACAAAGATGCTAACTTTTAGAATAAATGCTTTTAAAAATCAAAGACAATATATCTGAAAAAGATAAATGCCATTTCTCTCTAGCAGTTAGTTATATTATAATTGTCACTTAGCAAGAATACTTTATTGACTAGTTGGTTAGATACCAGCGAACACCTGGGAAATAACTTATTTGGAAGAATACTGAATGAAATTCTAGTGCATAATCTAGTCACACACAAAGCACGAGGTAAAATGTCAAAACAGTGTGGTTTTTTTTTTTAAATTACTGTCTTTAACATTTAAAAATTTCTACTGGGAATTAATTGGCAAGCTTGGCACCTAGACATAAATATTTAAATCAAATTCATTTTTCTTACGTTTCTCAGATGTCATATGTTTGGGAACATTTTATTTTATTTTATTTTATTTATTTTTTATTTTATTTGAGACAGAACCAGGCTGGAGTGCAGTGGTGCAATCTCAGCTCACTGCAACCTCTGCCTCCTGGGTTCAAGCTATTCTCTGCCTCAGCCTCCCAAGTAGCTGGGACTACAGGTGGCCGCCACCACGCCCAGCTAATTTTTTTTGTACTTTTTAGTAGAGATGGGGTTTCACCATGTTGGCCAGGCTGGTCTCCAATTCCTGACCTCAGGTGATCCGCCCTTCTCAGCTTCCTGAAGTGCTGGGATTACAGGCGTGAGCCACCGTGCCCAGCCGGGAGCATTTTATTTTAAAGCTCCCAAATAATATTTAATTATCTTTTATAAATATAGTATTCTGTTAAGAGGTCTTGTTAATTGCTAATATAATTTTTTTAAGTTCTTCTTGTATATTGCTTATATTAGACAAATGCATAATTAATAGATTTTCTCCGTGTGCTTCCTGGTATTGTTCCTAACTTTAAGTTATGGTCATTTGTTACTAAATATAACCTGCCACACATTCAAAAGTTATGAATATATAGCAAGCCTCTTATAATATGGACAGTTGTGTCCTATACTGGCAGACCCTAAGTAGTGTATTACTAAGGGTTATAAAAAAATAAACATGAGTTCATGTTTAAATTTGTAGACCATTACTCTTTAGAGCCAAAATAATTGCTGGATAGGTTCCAAAGCAAGTTTCCCAACACCTGGTTAACTCCTGGTGCCTTTGAAACATGTTATGCACTTGGAATTATAGGAGGGAACACATGCTAGTAAGCATGCAGCTATAATGGAGTGTAATAAGAGCATGGAGAAATATGCTGGTGCTGTTTGAGCCCTACAAGCAGTCACCCCTTCAGACTTACTGGATCATGATGTGAACCAAAATCAAACTATTTCTGGCCCATCAAATAGACCAGGTAAGGCATAGATTTGGTTTTGCCAAACTGGGTGGATCTGGTTGTACCTTCTCAAATGTGAAAATGATGTAATAGTTAAACAAATACACCCAGATTCCAAATTTATAAAGTCAGATCATTGTTAATTCCTTCAGATTAGTTAATCTTGAAAATACACTTATTCCAAAAAGACTCCATGGTTTTTAAGTTCAAATAAGATCTAATCGAGTTTCTAAATAATTCCAAAAACAAAAGAACATCATTCTTACAAGAATGCCTCTGAGCTGTCATTGAGTATGTTACTCAGAGGATGCCAATCTTGTTTAAACATGAAAAAAATGTTTTCCTTTAGACTTGCCTTCAGAGTTTGAGGCATGTTCTTCTCAATATAATTGATGGTATCATATCCTTATCATTTTGGGGGTAGATTTGATCCCTAGAATCCATGAAAAAATTCTATATCAAGATCTTAAGGGAATTTCAAAACAAATTTCAAAAATATGAATGAACACATATCATTGGATTGGTTTTGCTGGTTTATGATCTTGAAGGGCAATATTTATTTGCTTACGTGACTTCTGACATGCCTGCTGAAAATTTAGTTATGTTATTGTATAGTCTAAGTTATGCATGTTACATTTATTTCTGTAAAACTGTGTCAGCTATATAGCAGATCACACACACAAATTTGAAAATGCGTAAGAGACTGGGGCTATTTAGCTTGTGGGCAGCTGGCGTTCGGTCAGTAATGTCTTATAGAATACTCCCATCACTTGCATTCACAGAGATAATTATAAGACATTAAGGAAAACTTAAATTATGTTAAATGTGCAACAAACCTCTAGCAGTCTTGGATTTCACTTTTTTTTCCTCCAAGGATTTGTGAGTTTCCTCAAAAGTCCACAACTGTTGTAATTTTGCTAAGCAACAAATCTGAATCATAAGTGTGAGGTTTGTGTGCAGCTGCAAGTCTGGTCTGCGGCCACTGAACAAGTGAGGTAGTTTAAGGAATACATTAAGTCAAAAAATATTTACTGTGCACCTACCATGTGCTAGACTCTGCTAGGTGCTAGGAATATGGGGAATATAGCAGCAAATAAAATCAAAGCCCCTGTTCTTATGAAATTTATTTTCTAGTGGGAGGTACACACTGTGGTTTGACATGTAAATAAATGAATAAGTAATTAAATAAGTAAATGCAGGGAGGGAATAAATAGGATGCTACAATTGAGAAATAGGGAATCTGCTTGAAGTCAGGGAAGGCCTTTGTGAAAATGTGATGGTAACATTCTGAAACACAAGAAAGAGTCTACGGTTGGGAGGGTTGGGAAGGAGCATTCCTGACCGAGGAATAGCAGATTCAAAGCCTCCAAGGGAAGAAATAACTTGACACTTCATTGGGCCAGACAGAAGGAAGGACAAGGTAATTAGATTGTAGCGAGGTGGGGAAGAGAGGTGGGCCAGGGCTGATCTGGAGACCATGTTGCTAGTAAGATGGTGTTAGAGATTTTATTGAAGTGCAGCAGAAAGCCAGGGCAGAGTCTGGGGGCAGGAAAGGACCATGATCTGATGTATATTTTAATATCACTGGCTTCTGTGACATTGGAGGGGGTGAGAATAGAAGCAAGAAGACCAATGGGGAGGCTTGTTGGTTGGGTTCAGGCAAGAGATGGTAATAGGGTGAGCTTGGTGTCAACAGTAGAGGTCTCGGAGAGGCTAACAGATTCAGTATGGATTTTGGAATGTGGACTCTTATGGGGCCCTCACCTACCTTTGTTCTGTATTTCTCTCTATTCTATAGAGGGTGTAAGTTACAGTGGTGTTCCCAGATTTGGTCATTACCCAGTTCATAAAATATCAATAAAATAAGGGTATGTTCTTTGCTTTTTAAAAAATAAAATAAGTGATTAAAAGATTTTAAAAGGTATACTTTCTTACCTGGAAAATTATCTTCAGACCCCCATTAGGGTCCAGATACCATTTTACAGCATATTAATCACATTCTAGTTTATTCTTTCAGCAAGGAGATAATGGTGCCTCCTGTGTTCCAGGCACAGAGCTAAGGCATGTTGTTGCAAAGGTGGGCAAGACAATCCCTGCCCTTTAAAAGGTCATGTCCTGGGGCAAAGCAAGCAAGAGCCAAATAAACAGCTAAGTTACTATTCAACTTTGTGGAAAGAACCAGGCTACTGAGTTAGCTTGGGTAGATGGTGGCTAGCAGAGGCTTTGACCACTTTGTTGATGCTGCTGATTTTTCTGTGGTATTTCTGTATTTAATTTCTGTTCTTTTCTATCATCCAGTAATTTCTCACAATTTCTGGTCCATGATGCCTGCCAGTATCTTTTTTTACTGCTTTTGTAGATTCTCTTTCCCACCTTTTAAAATAATGTACACTCAGAAACATCTCAGAACAGAAGCATCAAAGTTTATTTGTATTATTAAGCATAATTTACCACAGTTTGATTTTGGCTCCCTGGTCTGTGAGCATGATTCACCCCACGTGTAGAGACCAGGTCCTTTCTAGCTAGGCTGCTTATTTGCAGTGACCAGTCTGGGTTTAAAAATATAAGTACAATAATTTGGTGTTAAAGGATTTTAATCCTCATATCAGAGAGTCAGGTTAAACTCCTTCTTAGGAAGATATGAATTCTGCTTTTTAAAAAATGATTTTAGACTATATCTAGGATTCGATCCCAATTGTTACAAGGAATGTCTAAGAGGTTGCGTTGTTTGATAATTGCAGTTAACTTAAGTGTGTGGGACATCCTGAATGCTGTTCTTAGCCTTAAAAATGGACTAATATTTCAAGTGAATCTGAATTGCTTTTAATTTTTTTAATTGTCCAAGGAAGATAGTGCTTCACAGTTTCTGAAAGTCATCTATCTCCCAATAAAGAGCCCTTTTCTCTGTGTTAGAGTTAACAAACATGTTTGTGTTTGCAGTTATTTTGATAATAAAAAACTTCATCAATTACAGAAGTATTTATATTGAGTTTACATTTGGAATATTTTGTAGTATGAACTGAAAAATTAGAAGTAAATACTAACTTTTCTGTTATTGTTATTGAATTATATGGGATATTTTAATCACTATTAATCTCCTGAGTTAGGTGTTACTCTTTTTTCTTTAACAGCAATTCGATGATCTAAATAGTTGAGTAAATAACCCAAAGTTGCATGGCCAATAAGTAACAGGATTATGGTTTGAACCTATTTGTACGTACCAGAGTATGTGTATTCCACAGCTCAAGAGAAAGAAAATGGATATAAAAAGGAAGACTTACTGTACACCAAATGGAATTTGGCATTGAAATGTTGTCTTTTATTTATTTGTACAGTAGTCCCCTATTATCTGTGGGAGTATGTTCCAAGACCCCCCGTGGGTGCCTAAAACCTCAAATAGCACTCAACCTTATATCCACTACGTTTTCTGGAGCTAATACCCTAAATGACTAAGTGACTAATGGGCGAGGAGGGTAGACAGGGCGGGTACACTGGACTAAGGGCTGATTCATACAATGAGGTTTCATCATGCTGCTCAAAATGGCATGAAATTTAAAACTTACGGACGGTTAATTTTTGGAATTTTCCATTTAATATTTTCAGACTGCAGTTGACTGTGGGTAACTGAAACCTCAGAAAGCTAAACCGCGGATAAAGGGGGATTTCTGTATGTTCTCAACCCAGTGTGCTCTGGAGCTCAACTTAGAGCTATTTTTAGTGGTACCGGAAAAAGCAAGTGCTTAAAAATATCAAGTCTGTCATTGACTCTCTGTGGTCACTAGCTTGGTGTGGAGTGGGTGGCTTCCTTCCCATTCCCATTTAAATTTTAGGTTAGGTCATTGTGCATCAGCACAGAACTATGATTTAAAGGGGACTTACTGTGTTTTTCTTTTGAAATTGACACCATAATGTTATTTTTGTGCCTAATCTAAGTAATTACTATGTGGCAATAATAAAATCATTTTCAGAATACTCTATAAGTAGCTGAAAAGTTTCAAGGTATTGTGTATTTAGCACAAAAGTAAACAATGCAAACAACTGTAAAGTTAGAGACACTAAGGAAATAAGGTGTACAGACTTATGTTTGCTCCCAGGGAAGGGGTAGAAAGGATTGGGAGTGGTGTGAAAAGAGTAGGATTCTACCAGGATTCCAAAAAGAATGCATTGTAACTCTGTGTCAGGAATACAACATTAATTTCAGCATGACACAGCAATAAATATTTAAAATCAGTCTGTCAATTTCTACCAAAAAAAGCCTCCTGGGATTTTGATAGGGATTGTGTTGAATCTGCAGATCAGTTTGGGGAGTGTGCCATCTCACCAGTGTTGTCTTCAAATCTATAAACATGAAATATCGTTCTGTTTATTTAGATCTTCTTTAATTTCTCTCAACGGTATTTTGCAGTTTGTAGCATATAAGTTTTGTACTACTTTTGTTCAGTTTATTACCAAGTATATAATTTTTTTTGGTGCTGTTGTGAATGGAATTATTTTCTTAATTTAATTTTGGAATTGTTTTTTCCTGATGTATAGAAATGCAATTGATTTTCTAATATTGATCTTGTATCTAGCAACCCTTTAAAACTTGTTTATTAGTTCTAAGAGTTTTTGTGGATCCCTTAATTAGTATTTTCTACTAAGGATCATTTTATCTGTAAATAAAGTTTTACTTCTTCTCTTCCATTCTTGATGCTTTTTGTTTGTTCAGTTTTTGCCTTCCGGCCTTTGCTAGAATCTCCAGTATATTGTTGGGTACCAATGGAAACACTCAGCCTCCTTGCCTTGTAGGCACAAGGGGGATTTAAGGGGAAAGCACTCAGCCTGTCACCATTAACGTAGTGTTCCATACGTTCTCAGCTAGAGGTGTTTTGTAGATGCCCCTTATTGGTTGAAGGAGTTGCCTTTTGTTCCTAGTTTGTTGAGAGTAGTTATCATGAGTGGATTTTAGATTTTGTGAAATGCTTTATTCTTATTCCATGAACATGTGTATTACATTGATTTTTCAGCTGTTGAACCAACCTTACATTTCTAGCATCAGACCCACTTGTGGGGAAGAGAGGTGGGCCAGGGCTGATCTGGAGACCATGTTGCTAGTAAGACGGTGTTAGAGATTTTATTGATGTGCAGCAGAAAGCCAGGGCAGAGTTTGGGGCAGGGAAGGACCGCCATCTGACGTATATTTTAATATCACTTTGACTTCTGTGTAGAAAATAGATTGGAAGGGGTGAGAATAGAAGAAGACGACCAATGGGAAGGCTTGTTGGTTGAGTTCAGGCAAGAGATGGTAATAGGCTGAGCTTGGTGTCAACAGTAGAGGTCTCGGAGAGGCTAACAGATTCAGTATGGATTTTGGAGTGTGGCCTCTTATGGGGCCCTCACCTACCTTTGTTCTGTATTTCTCTCTATTCTATAGAGGGTGTAAGTTACAGTGGTGTTCCCAGATTTGGTCATTACCCAGTTCATAAAATATCAATAAAATAAGGGTATGTTCTTTGCTTTTTAAAAAATAAAAAAAATGATTAAAAGGTTTTAAAAGGTATACTTTCTTACCTGGAAAATTATCTTCAGACCCCCATTAGGGTCCAGATATCATTTTACAGCATATTAATCACATTCTAGTTTATTCTTTCAGCAAAGAGATAATGGTGCCTCCTGTGTTCCAGGCACAGAGCTAAGGCATGTTACTGCAAAGATGGGCAAGACAGTCCCTGCCCTTTAAAAGGTCATGTCCTGGGGCAGAGCAAGCAAGAGCCAAGTAAACAGCTAAGTTACTATTCAACTTTGTGGAAAGAACCAGGCTGCTGAGTTAGCTTGGGTGGATGGTGGCTAGCGAGGCTTTAACACTTTATTGATGCTGCTGACTCTTTTGTGGTATTTCTGTATTTAATTTAATTTCTGTTCTTTTCTATCATCTAGTAATTTCTCACAATTTCTGGTCCATGATGCCTGCCAGTATTTTTTTTACTGCTTTTGTAGATTCTCTTTCCCACCTTTTAAAAAAATGTACACTCAGAAACATCTCAGACCTACTTGTTCATGATAAATAATCATTTTAAGTGTTGCTGGCTTTCATTTGCTAATATTTTGTTAAGGACTTTTGCACTTATGTTCATGAGGGATATTGGTCTGTAGATTTCTTATGATGTTTTTGTATGGTTTTAGTATCAGGGTAATGTTCATAGAATGAGTTGGAAAGTTTTTCCTCCTGTTTTCTGAGACAGTTTGTGAACAATTGATATTATTTCCTCCTTAAATATATAATAGAATTGAAATATTTGTTAGAATAGAAAAGCCATCTGGACCTGGTCTTTTCTTATGGGAGGATTTAAAGATTTAAAATTACGAATTCAGTTTGTTTTTTTTTAATTTTTTTTGAGACAAGAGTCTTGCTCTGTCGCCTAGGCTGGAGTGCAGTGGCACGATCTCGGCTCATGGCAACCTCCACCCCCCGGGTTGAAGCAATTCTCCTGCCTTAGCCTCCTGAGTAGCTGGGATTACAGGTGTGCACCACCACACCCAGCTAGTTTTTGTATTTTTAGTAGAGATGAGATTTCACCATGTTGGCCAGGCTGGTCTCAATCACCTGACCTCAAGTGATCCACCCACCTCCCAAAATGCTGGGATTATAGGTGTGAGCCACTGTGCCAGGCTACTAATTCAGTTTTTTAACTTGTGATACATCTATTTAGATTTTTATTGACTTCTTGAATTTGGTAATTTGTATCTTTTTAGAAATATGTTTATTTAAATTGCTAATTGGTTGAAATAAATTTGTTCATATTATAGTATGTCCTTTTAATCGTTTTAATTTCTGTAAAGTTAATAGTGATATTTCATCTTTTGTTCCTAGTTTTCCTAATTCAAGTCAGTTTTCCTTTTCTGTGTATGTATTTATTTGCTTTGGTTAGTCTAGCTAAAGGTTTGTCAATTTTGTTGTCTTTTTAAAGAACTAACTTTTGTTTTCATTGACTTTTTTTTCTGTTGCTTTTCTAATTTCTATTTCATTGATATCTACTCTAATTTTTATTATTTTCTGCTTATTTTTATTTTAGTTTTTACTTTTTCTTTTTTCTAAAGGTGGAAGCTTAGGAAATGGATTTCAGAACTTTCTTTTCTAATATAGGCATTCGAAGCTTTAAATCTCCCACTAATCATTTCCTTGGCTACATTCTATGCATTTTGATATCTTGTGTTGGTTGTTTCTATTTGGCAAAAATATTTTCAAAGTTTCCTTCTGATTTATTTTATTATTATGGGTTATTTAGAAGTGTGTTGTTTAATTTCCAAATACGGGGATTTCCTAGATTTCTTTCTGTTGTTGATTTCTAATTTAGTTACCTTTTGGTCAGAGAACATACTTTGTATGATTTAAATTCTTTTAAATGTGAGACTTAATAGTCTAGCATGTGGTCTGTCCTGGAGAATATACCATGTGCACTTGAAAAGAATGTGTGTATTCTGCTGTAGTGTTCTTCTTAGATGTCAAATTAGGTCAGTTTGTTTGCAGTGCTGATCATAATCCTGAAAGATACAGTCCTGAATGTGAGAACCCCAAATGTTGAAAGATCGAGTTTCCTAAAGATGAGAACGCCTAACATATAAAATTCTAAAAGTCACAATTGTGAAAGATCAAAATCCTGAATGTTGAAATCCTGAAAGCCGAATTCTAGGGAAGGAGTTTTAGTACATTTTGGTTTTACCAGGATAGTTGCATCATGTTAGGTGGAACTATTACCTTGTTATTGTCTTTATTTGGAAATTAGGTGTGGTTTAAGGAGACACATGAGTGCCAGGTTGACAAGGAGTGGACTCGTGGCCTTAATTTTAGGTGTCAACTTGACTGAATTAAGAAATACCTAGAAACTTGATAAAGCATTATTTTGGGTGAGTCTGTGAGGTAGTTTCCAGAGGAGACTAGCACATGAGTCTGAGTGGACTAGGTAGGGAAAATCTGCCCTCATTACTGGTGGGCACTATCTAGTAGGCCAGAGAGGACAAATACTGAAGGTGAATTGGTCTGTGTCTCAGAGAAGGGACAGCCTTTTCTCCTGCTGCCTTAGACATTAAAATTCCAGGTTTGACATCCTTTGGGCTCCAGGATTTACACCAGCAGCCCGCCGGGTCCTGAGGCTTTTGATCTCAAACTGAGAGTTGCATCATTGGCATCCTTAGTTCTGAGGCCTTCAGACTGGGACTGAGCCACACTGTAGATATCCCAGCGTTCCAGCTTGCAGACAGTCTGTCATGGGACTTCTCATACATGAACTGATTCCCATAATAAATCCCTTCTCATATATCTATATACATATCTTATTGGTTCTGTCTCTTTGAAAAACTCTAATACAGATTTGGTATTGGGGAAGCCAAGTATCATTCCTTCTTACCATTTTCCTTTTAACACAATGGAACAGATCAGTGAAATTGTTCTCTTGCAAAAACGCTGAGATAAATTAAGTGTATGAGGCTACTTAATGGTAAAAGATAAATTTTAAAATATAATTGGTGCTGTGAATACAGAAAATCACTTAATTGTAATGGTAAAGCCATAACCAGACTTTCAAACAGACAGCATACACTTCAAAAAGTTGTAGAACACAACCACCCTCCAAATATAAGTGGAGAGAGTTTTGAAGATCATAGAAGTGAAAATGCAAGTAAAAAATACAAGAAATCTCCCCTGCCAAATTTTTCAGTGGTGTACAACTTCTGCCCCTTCACTCATAGTGCCACTTTGTTATGCTGAGCATTCCATCTTCGCATAATTTCCAACACTGGAGGTATAAATTGTGTAAAAATTTCGAGAGTTCTAATTTATTGTGTGCATTTTTATAAATTTGAGTCCATAAAATTACATTATTACAATGTTAACTTTGGGTATAAGCATTGGGCATGTGTGGAAAAGGTTGAAACTTCCTCAGTAAATGAAGAGATGTCCATTTTGTACATCTGCATATGTGAAAGATAAAATTTCTTGAGATCTTCGCTCTTTGGATATGGATAACTGCATATTCAGTGGTTGACCCATCATAGTTTTTCATTGATCTCGTCAGAAGACTTAGGTTGTTCATCATGGTATTTCATGCAGCTGACTGCAGTTATAAAGCTGGCTGCACGTGGTCGCCAACCATAGTGGTATGCGTGTATGCATTTTGCTTTTTGACATATTTCCTTATGAATATGGTTTTTCTGCTTGTAACTATTATACCCATGCACCTATGATTAATATATCTGAGTGTTTATGCTTGCAAAAAATATGTATGTTTATTGCCTATTTTATTGCGTAAAGTGACCTATCAAGTATTGTTAGGTTTTTATGTTTCTAAAATAAACCCTCTTTATAAAATAAATACATGTCTTTTTTAAAAAAGGAATTTTTAAAAATTCTTTCGAGAATTATACTTTTGGGATATTGATCTTTCAGGATTGTGATTTTCATTCAAATTTTACACTTTATTGATTTTGGATCTTTCAGGATTTCAACATTTGGCATTATGGTTGTCAGGAGTGTGTCTTTTAGGATTTTGGCCCAAGCCCATTTGGTTGATTGTGTAGTTTTAAGTTTTCTATATTCTTAGTGGTTTTCTGTTTAGTTGTTTTATTTTTATTGAGAGTAATGTATTAAACTCTCCATCTATCATGTTGAAATGTCTGCTTTCCCTTCCAGTTCTGTCAGTTTTTTGCTTTATATAATGTTAGGCTCTCGTTACATGTCTATATATTTATAGTTGACTTATTTTTCTAAAGTATTATCCATTTTACTATTATGAAATATTCGTCTTTGCCTCTTATAGCATTTCTTGTCTATTTTTTTCTGATATGAATATAGCTGCTCTCTCTTATGTTACTTTTTGCATGGTATTTTTCCCATCCTTTTACTTTTCAACCTATTTGTGCCTTTGAATCTAAAGTGTATTTCTTATGGATAGCATATTGTTTTTTATGCGGTTGACAGCCTTCCCATTTGAGTGGGTTATTTAGTCTGTTCACATCTAATGTAATTATTGATATGATTGTGTTTATTAATACATCAACCATTTTGCTATGTGTAGTCTACATATCTTGTATTTTTTTCCCCATACCTCTCCTTTTATTGCCTTTTTTCATGTTAGATAAATATTTTTAGTGTGCAATTTCAGTTACTGTGCTGACTTTTTTTAACTATATATTTTTAGTTATCTTCTTGTTTCCTCTGAACATGATGAGTCATTTTTCTGTTGATGCTTTCAAGATTTTTTATGTATCTTTGTCTTTTATAGTTTGATTATGATGTGTATAGGTGTGGGTCTCTGTGTTTATCCTACTTGGTTTTTATCAAGCTTCTTAAGTCTTTAATATTTCTCATCAAAATTTAAATTCATAATCACACATTGTTGCCCCATTTTACAATAACGCAAAAAAAGTGCAAGCCTTAGTAATTTTTGCAGCCATGTAAAAACACTTTTTTGCACATTTAATTATTTTTGAAATATGTTCAAAATCATTTATTTTACTTGCTGCCATGTAAATTTTGATGGATTTTTTTCAAATACCTTTAGGTAGATGGTTTGCAGATAATGCAATTCAGAGGTATTGATGACATTTTAATTGTTTTTCTATAAAAATAAATTTTTAGCATTGGCATCAGCACACTTAGAGTGTAATAGTCTAGAAGCTTGTGCCTGTCTTTGACTTATTCCTATTTTATTATTTTCCATATCCGATCAAACCTACCTCATGCTTCTGTTAAAAGTACCTCTGGAATTTGTCTTCAAATTCTATTGCACTGCCTCTGTCCTAGTCAAATGCCTACTTGTTTTGTCAGCCTAGGATCTCTTTCCATATCATTGCTTTCTGCATATTTGCCTGTCTAGCCTTTCCAAAAAACATCCTTTCATCCTTTAAGAATCTTCGGGAGATGTCATATTCTCACAATAGCAAGTCCAGGCTCCTCTACCCAATATTTATTATCATTCCTGTCTCCACCAAGCTCTCTCTCTCTCTCTCTGTTGAATTTATTTTCTGCTCTTCTCCCATTGGTGTCTCTGTCATTTGCTGGTCCCCAAAGAGCCCATTGTGCAAGCTGTATGTAGTTTTTCACCTCCATGCTTTTCCTCATGGTTTTAACCCCCCGCCATGCCCTGCTGGGAATGCTTTATGCATTTTCTTTGTGCCTTATTCAAATTCCCATCTCCAAATTCAGATTTTGGAAGAGTTTCTCCAAGCCTTCACATAACCTTCTCTGAGCTCCTCTTGCACCTCGTCGGTTGTGTGTGATATGCTTCTCAATGGCAGAGGCCTTGTCTCATCATTGTCTTGACACGGGCTGTGGTATGTCTGGGATTGGTTACTCTTCTCTCCCACATAGTCATTTTTTGATTTTTAAATTTAGTTCTTTTTCTTTTTTCTTTGTATTTCTTCTTATGACTTATAAAACACGATGATTCTTCCTCATATTTTATCCCCACACCCCTGAAATCAGAAGCATTTTTGTTTTGTGAAAGAGATAGACAGGCTTAGCAAGGTGGAGTACTATGCCAGTGGAGCCAAGCGTGAAATTGACTCTCCTATGCACCAGTTAAGTTCAAGTAGAAAACTCCCTTTCAGAGTCACAGGCTGTATACTGAATCCTACCTGCCCGCTCCACTGCAGATGTATATTTTGTTCAGTATTGAGGAAATTGAGCAGTAACGTATGAACTTCCTAGCACAAATTCGTAAATATTAGAAAAATAACTACAAGTTAGGGTATTTTGGACTTGTATTACTTTTATAAAGTAAAATAATTATTTTAAATCCTCCTACTAACAAAAAGTCTATAGCAAAGATCAGCAAACCTTTTCTGTAAATGGCCAGATAGTAAATATTTTTAGGTGTTGCAGGCCACATATGTTCTCTGTCACATGTTCTTTGTCTTTATTGTTGTTTACCATCCTTTAAAAATGTAAAAAACCAGTTTCAGCTTGCAGGCAGGACAAGAGCAGGCCATGGGCTAGATTTGGCCTGTGAGCCATAGTTTACCACCAGCTGGTCTGTAGCAATGAGAAAAACTAATCTGTTTAATTGAGCATCCAAGACGGCAGAAGACTCTTACCCAGTAGAGAAGACATTGCTAATACTAATCCAAGTGTTGTACAAACTGGAATGTGCACAGAGGGGTACTGTCAAGTGGTAGAGCTTGGGAAACCTTAACCTAGGAGGAATGACTCGGGAACAGGGACAGGATGAGAGAAGGGGAAACCTTAACCTAGGAGGAATGACTCGGGAACAGGGACAGGATGAGAGAAGGCAAGAGATAGTATCACAGTGGTCTTCAACGTCTCAGTCTCCATGATGTGAAAGTAGGCTTGTCCTGCACAGTGCTGACTGTAGGTCTTCAGTGTAATGTGCTGACCTGGGAAACAGTAAATGTCCTTCCCCTAAAATGGTGATTTTCCCTGAGAAGGACTAAGTTCCTTGTAAGGAACTTCCTAATCTTCACTCAAGTCTTAAGTGATTTGATGTATGAAAAGGACCTAATTGTACTCTCCATGGAAGAGATGACAACTGTAGACATCAATGATGAGGGAATTTTGGAGTAAATGGAAGTATTTAATTTGGGAATTAAAGTAAGTCTTTATAGGGTATGTATACTTTGGGTTTTTTAAAAGGTGCCGCATGCCTAAACGGTATCTAAAAATGTTAGTTAACTGTATCTCATTTTATTGTTACAATCTTTACCATGGTGAAAATTTCCAAAAGACATTCTAATTTCTACTCCAGAAATCTGTTTAGCTCATATGAACAAGTTGCACTTACTTCATTGCTATTATTCATAAATCTCCTATTTTCTTCTTAGATGGATGGTAAAATCACACAAGTGGCAAAAACCAGGTTCCTTGAAATGACTGTAATTGTTCTTTTCTCACCCTGGCAACAAACTTGACTCATCAAGATGCAGAAGCCATAGTGACAGACTTCTGGTTCAGACTCACCACTTTGTGTCTCTTTTTTTCTCCATGCTACCCAGCCCTTTTCTCCATTTAAGAAATGTTGGCAGGGTAATTTAAAAACACTCACCTAGCTTGGATTATTTGCATTTTCACCAAAAATCCTGCACTTCAGCATTCATGTTTATGGGAATAGTCGCAGCTACTGATTTCATTTGGTTAAACTGTTATAATATTGATTCATTTTGTTTATTTCAGTTCATAAGGATGCAATTTATCCTAATTTTGATTTTGGTTGTAGAGGTTGGCGATTTGAAGGAGCTGCAGACACTAGACATTTCTACCAATCGTTTGCTAACTTTACCCGAGAGGCTTCACATGTGCCTTTCTCTGCAGTACCTCACTGTGGACCGAAATCGTCTATGGTATGTGCCGCGCCATCTCTGCCAGCTGCCCAGCCTCAATGAGCTCTCCATGGCTGGAAACCGTCTTGCATTTTTGCCACTTGGTAAGTGATTGTGTTTAAAGTAAAGCAGCCAAAGAATAAGATGGAAAGCCTTTGTTTCTTTGACTAGAACCAATTAGTTAGTTTCCTTCCTTCTGTTTATCTTGACGATTGCTTCTCTAAGTTTGTTTTTGCAGTGAACAAAGCGTCATTCCTAGCTAACAAATGGAATTTATTTCAGTGAGGGATTTTATACTTTAAAAAAGAAATCTGTGCTAAAACTGTGTTTAGGGATAAAATATATGAGATGATTTCCTCAGAGAAAGGAATTAAAGAGTGTGTGTGTGTGTGTGTGTGTGTGTGTGTGTGTGTGTAAGGTATTGAACAATATGAAAAGATAGCTAGCTACGGGTCTTAAGTATTGGCTTAGATGTTGACTTCTCCCTAGAAAAATTGGTATTGGGTATCCTAATAATTAATATTGCCAGATAACCAGATTATAAAACTTTAAAGACCTTAAAATTGGCTGAACTTCCTGCTGAGCTAGAAATGTCAGCCTGGCTAAAAAATAATATATTATCCACTGTAGAGTTCTGTAGCTGACCCATTTTGACATATTATATGTCATAGTACATAGGCCTTGAATAAAACAGTACATTTATTTTATAGATAGCTGAATAATTTTGTTAACTTGTAAGAAACAAAAGTGCCATTTAAAAAAATTAAAATATGAGGCCACTTTGAACCTTAAACTGTCACAATAAGCATCATATGATTTTACTCATAAAAGCATTTTTATAATTTATCTCTGAGGGTAGTAAAGTGAATAATTTACTAGTCCCTAAAGGAAATATTTTCCAAGATAATACAATGCACATATTATTTTCAATTTAATATGTTCAAGGTAACTTTAAAATAATGGATACATTAAAATCAATGGAAGTAATAATCAAATTTGAGGAGATTATTTTTCCATAAATATAATTAAATTTTGTATTTATAAAATTAACAAAATGAAATGAGGCCGTTTCAGAAGCAGGCTACATTTCTAAGAAATCAGAGCTTCTTTCAAGTGAGAAAAATATCAAATATAAATAGAATTAAAAAAATAAATGTACCTGCTGCACTAACCCCACAGGTCATAGACCGATTATGGTGGTCAAGCACCAAATTACAAATCTAGAGCTCCAGCTTATAGCCTGATTCCACCATTTCACAGTGTGTGACCTGGAGTAAGTCACCAGAACCTCTCTGAGCTTCATAAATTTTATTTTCTGTGAGCCAGAGATCATATTTATCCTGCTTCCTTTATAGT
Source organism: Homo sapiens (assembly GCF_000001405.40). Lineage (NCBI taxonomy): Eukaryota > Metazoa > Chordata > Mammalia > Primates > Hominidae > Homo > Homo sapiens. Next base: position 99,335,382 of record NC_000015.10, read on the forward strand.
TATTTTGAAGTTGAATATGATAGTTTATGTATAAGAATTATAAAGCACTGTACAAATGTAGATGATTCTCAAATGAGAAGATACAACTTGTAGATTACCATATCTGACTTAAAAAATTTTTATTCTTGAGCCAGGCATGGTGATGCATACCTGTAGTCCCAGCTACCCAGGAGGCTGAAGTGGAAGGATCACTTGAGCCCAGGAGTTTAAGGATGCAGTGAGCTATGACTGTGCCTGAGAATAGCCACTGCACTCCAGCCTGGGCAACATACCAATACCCTGTCTCTAAAAATTTTTTTTTACCCCCCTCACATTCACCCCCTCTCCTTGTGGTAAGTACCTAAGCTTGTATTTACCACTTCATAATGGAGATGGAAGTGTGACCTACACCAGTGCCAACTCCCTTCCAAGTGATTGCCAGGATGTTGCAGTCAGTGCTGGCAATACATGAGGGAAGGCAAGGAGAGAAGGAGGGAGGGAGATAAAGGATGTGATGGTTTGATTTGTGTGGCATGAAATGCAACTTACTGGCATAACACCAGAGTTCAGAGTAAAGTTGCAAATTTCATTATAAGCAGCCTTTAACTTACTGTGGCTTGACTTTCAGACGTTACCAGAAACAGATTAGGTTGTTAAGTCTGGGGTCGCCTATACTACTATTCATAATGTTGTTGTTATTACAGACAATATATGTAAAAAGGAGTGTTTCCATGTGCAATAATGGTATTATGTATACTACTATGACTATTTGTAAGAATAATAATAGCTACCATTTATTGAGCACCGAGTCTTCGGCCAGGTACTCTGTTTAATTGCTATACATATGCTCACTAATTTAGTTATTACAAAACCTTATGACAAAATCTATTATTATAAAAGTTATTGGCAACCTAATTTTATAGATAAGGAAATTGAGGCTCACAGAAGTTAAGTTACCTGCCAGAGTCACAGCTAGTAAGAGACAGAATTGAGTTTCAGACTTGTCTGATTCTAAACCTACATTCTTGCCACATTGACATGCTGTCTCCATATTTCAGACATGGTCTCTCTACAGGGGGCCCTTATTTGGGAATAGGGCTGAACCATATTGAGCATCTTTTAGTTGTTGTGTGGCCGTTTCCAGTGTCAAAGTTTGGCTCTGCCATTTTGGGCTCAAGATACTCCTATTGACACTCTCGTTGGCCTCATTCAATCTCTCTCTCTATTCACTTAGCAAGATTACCTGCTAGAGGCTAGCGCTTTCTCTCACCTACCCACTCCGTACGCCAACCAGGTGCTCCCAATTACTTGTTTCCATCTGGCCTAGTGTCAGTAGCTTCTGCATCAACAGAAATCTTATAAAAGCCTAGGCCTGAGACCTGTTATCTAGGTCTGTCTTGGTGCTGATAGTAACTCTTCTTCCATTGCCCGGCCCCTGCAACTTCAGCAGAACTCCTGGTTCCTTAATTTGGAGGTGTGCTCCTAATAACTTGTTTTTCTCTTGTCTTGGTTATTCCATTACATATCCTTTGTCTCAGCTGTGAACCATTCATACAACTACTGGCTACATTGAGCCTGCCAGAGTCTGATCCACAGCCCTGTTCTCTTGTCTGATACTCACATGTGCTCTTACCAGAATGCCATCTGGTTCTAGAGCCCTGGCTCTGCCTAGACTCCTGCATACAATTGAACTCCTTAAGTCGAATGACTTTTGTTTGCTGCAGCTGGTTTCTGTGCCCTTCACCTTTGCCTATTCTCCCTCCCTCACTATAGCTCCTTAGCCCTGGCTCCTCATTCCCCTAGTCATTGGCCACTCATTCCTGCCTTTCTTTCAGCAGTGACAAAAGCTGAGTATGTGCCAAGGTGGCAGTGTTGTTGGGAGAATAGAGGGAAGCCATTCCCATAGGAAGCTGACCACTGTAATGTTTGGGGTCCTGGGGAGTGACGCTGTGTGTCATGCTGAATGCTTGCAGCAACAGAGGACCTGACTTGCAGTGGCTGGTGCAAGGTGATAGAAATGGTTGTTGGGTAGAGAACTGAGTGCTACATACACATAGCTAGGCTGCTCTTCTGCCTTGGCACTCTCAGTTATTTACTAGGGCATTTTCTGCATGCACCATGCTAATGGCCGGTGTGGCTAAGGAGGTGGGCATCTCTTCTTTGGTACACAATCTTCAGTGCTGAGTTGAATTATTACAGAGTAGCTTCTTCTGTCTCTAGGTTTCTTGTCACTCCAAAGCCTTGCCTCTGTGTCAGGAGCAACTTTCCTTTGTGAATTTGTGAATGTGGTGTCAAAGAACTTTAGAGGCAAGAGGGTCTGCTCTGCACTTTGAGGAGGATGCCTTATGGCAGTTGAAGTAACCACAACTCCCAAGTCGGGCTGCAGATAGCCCAGGATAGGAAGCAGCTTCCACAAGGCTCTGGGCACCATCCTGGCTCACAAGGCTTACAGCCCTGGCAGAACATGGGCCTGTGAGTAGGTTTTACTTTACTTAAGAAAAGCATACAAGCAAGAGGATGATGATGATGATGATGAAGATTATCCAGTATAAAAGAAGCAGGCTACCTGAAGCAATGCTCTGCCCTGGTCTAAAACTGAATTCTTTGAGAACAGCAGGAAGAAAGGATCAGGGAGCAAATGCAAGCCCCGGTGGCCTTGCTACATCTGGTATACTGGATATTCTTTGTAAGAAATGGAGGAGACAGCTGGAGACCTCTGTGTGAGGTCACTCAAGGAAGGCTTCAGGAGACTGGAGACAGGATAATCCACGGAGATGAAGAAACTGAAGCTGACCAAAATAGCCACAGTCTCCTCAGTCTTGTCTTTCTGTTTCTGGGGGTATTTTTTGCCATCATGAAGATCGGTGTGGAAATTGAATTCAGTTCTGTGTTTAGGAAGAAAACAATTAAGTTTATACACTTAAAACCTTTCCATGAACCGTTTTCTGAAAAACCAAAGCCATCTAATGCTAAGAACTATCTGGGAGAGAGTCAAACAAAGCATGCAGCCTCTGGCACTGCCTTTTTTTAGAGAACTGAACTGTTCTTAGAAACTTAGCAAATAGGGGTACCTCTTTACAGTAGTTTGGAAATACTCTGCACATACACACAGGCACACACTCACGTGTACCCCTAAGGTTTTCAAATATTAGAAGGCTCCTGTGTTCTAAGAGCCTTGATTCTATAAACATAATACAGGAACTTAAAAGTTTTATGAAATGAATGCTGTGATATCGCTCCCTATGATGGGAGGTGGGAATCTTACTTTGGGGAGCCACTTAATGAATTCAATTTCTTGCCAAAGAAGTGTGATTTAGGAGAAAACCAGTTTTTAAGTGGCTTCTTAGAGAAATGTAAGATTATAGCCTCTTCAAAAGGTAACTAGAGACACCACCTGTAAGGATGACTTAAATCACTTATAATACTGTCTAACCCATTAACAGTCTTTGAGTATGTTTCCCTAAGTCACTTGTAATACTGTTGAAACCATTAAGACTCTTTGACTATGTTCTTCTTAAGATGAAAAGATGCACCGGAAGAAAAGGATGTTCCTATTATTACTATGCCATCACAACTGAGTGACAGAAGATTCTACAGATAGAAGCTTTGTTCACAGTGGTGACTATCAGCAAGGAGGAGGGAAAGCAGTCACTTGAGCCTAGTGCTGTGAAATTTAATAGAGGCCTCGAGACGTGAATATTTGCTTTTGATTCAATACAGCTCTGTTAACTAACTCAGAGAACTGCAACTCATTTCTTGGCTTCTGAAAGTGTAGGGAGATATAAAGAAAATGATTTTTTTCTCTAAGGCTTTTTAACCATGCGCTTCTGGTTTTCATTGCATAATTAATAAGTCCAATTATCCAGGCGTGTTTACAACTTATTCAATGTTGAATAATAGATATAAGGATTGTGTTCCGTTCACAAATTGACTATGGAAGAGCATCTTTAGTTAGCTCCCAGGAAATGCCACGTCAGCCAAACTCAAGGCCAGTAACTTCTGTAGTTTAAGAAAACAAGAAAACAAAAGTTGTATCCACTTTAGCGATGGAATTCTTATTCAATGTTAACTTAAAAAAACAGTGATTGGGCTGGGAACCGTGGCTCACGCCTGTAATCCCAACACTTTGGGAGACTGAGGCAGGTGGATCACTTGAGGTCAGGAGTTCTAGACCAGCCTGGCCAAGATGGTGAAACCCCGTCTCTACTAAAAATACAAAAATTAGCTGGGTGTGGTGGCAGACACTTGCAATCCCAGCTACTGGTGAGGCTGAGGCCCCAAAATCGCTTGAACCCGGGAGGTTGCAGTGAGCCGAGATCGCACCACTGCACTCCAGCCTGAGCAACAGAGTGAGAAAAAAAAAAAAAAGCGATTGAATTTGTAATCAGGAACGTTTAGCACAGGACATTGAGATTTACAGAATAGCTTGTGCATAAACCACCACGTAGTAAGCCCAACAGCTAGTAGAAAATAACTTTCTACGAGGGAAAATTAACTGGGTTTCTAAACCAGCCCCAGAATTATCTCTTGGAGATTCTAGTAGTGTTTATTTTCTTGGGAAGAGTTATTCTGTGTATCAAGGACTTGTGCTACATAATGAAATGATGTTTGAAAAATATCAAATATAAATAGATTTTTAAAAATAAATGTACCTCTGCATTAACCTCAAATTGTTTATAGAAGAATTTTAGTGGACAAGCAAGCACGTGAGTGCAGAGAGTCATGTTTTAGCGTGATTCTACCACTCCTCCAGATCACACACTGTGACTTTGATAAGGGTATAAAGCTGGCCCTTTATCACATAACAGGAGAACACTCCAGTTTTTTGTAGTGGTAGTACACTTGTATTTGTTTGTAGGAATTGGATGCCTTATGTAGAAAGAACATATAGCAAGTAATGGTGCAGTTTTAGAAACTAGCTCCTAGGCATTTTCAAAGCACATGCTGAAATCCCTTCTCTTTTTGTAAATGGCATATAAAAGGCACAAATCTGTTAACTGTACTTGTTTTTTCTATTGCCTCTTGTTCCTACTTTCTCTGTATTTGCTTAGAAAGTCAGGAAAAGAATTGCTGTTTACTATTTTTTAATAAAAAAGTCCACACAGTAAAACTATTTAAACTTCAATCAACTATTGAAACGAGTTGGAAACCAGTTAATAATTTCCTAATCTCAGACTTGGAGATGAGTGTAAACTGTACTGTACTGAACTGTGAATGTATTTCATCTGCAGTTTGAAGAACTATGGCCTTGACGTCATTATTTAATGGGACTAATTTGCAGAATTTGTGGCCTTAAGTAAATTTCAGTAAAGAACTTCATTCTAGTATGGACAAAAAGTCCGAGAAGTTGGAGTGAGTTCTGTGTTTGAGTAGAAGGTATGAAAGGTGTGATAGCTGCTTTCAAAAAGGGGGCCCAAACATGTGACAAAATGATGTTCTATAGTAATTGCTGGGCAGGTCTCTATCTAATGAAAACAGAGAAGAGAAAGTCTTGAAAACAAGGTTCAAAATCTAGTAGTGGGAAGAAATGAGAGAATTAGTCAGTTAACAAAAATCCATACAGATCTTGTTTCACAAGAAAAGTTAGAGCTCTGGAATGCAAATTTTGTCAAGGAAATGGATGTGCAATGCTTCTTTTTGAGCTCTGTCTTTTTCTAAGTATTTGTAACAAAAACTCTTCTTTATCCTTGTTCTGCTTACTCATCTGATCCTATTCTACTGTCTTTTTTTTTTTTTTTTTTTTTTTTTGAGATGGAGTCTCGCTCTGTCACCCAGGCTGGAGTGCAGTGGCGTGATCTGGGCTCACTACAACCTCCACCTCCCGGGTTCAAGTGATTCTCCTGCCTCAGCCTCCCGAGTAGCTGGGATTATAGGCGCACACTGCCATGGATGGCTAATTTTTGTATTTTTAATAGAGATGGGGATTTCACCGTGTTGGCCAGGCTGGTCTCGAACTCCTGACCTCAGCTGATCCACCTGGCTCAGCCTCCCAAAGTGCTGGGATTACAGGCGTGAGCCACCGCGCCCGGCCTGTTCTGCTGTCTTCTGACAGTGCTTTGTTTTTCTTTCATTGCATAAGGGTTTTGCTCTTGTGTTAGGTTTTCCTAGGAAGCTAACAGGATTATTTCATGTGGCTTCTGCAGCACCTGCCAGATGTTGACTTACTATGCTAATGTATGAAGAGAAAAGTGCACCTAGATTAGGTGAGCTTTAAATGAACAAATTTGTATTTTTCTCTAAGTTTTGGAGTAGGATTTAGGGGGTGGGACATGATTAATGTGAAGAAAGTGAGCCCTGTTCTCCCAAATATCAATTAAGAGAAAAAGAAATGTTCATTCTTAGGGCACAATGTGAAGTTTAGAAAAATAGCAGTATGAGGGCTAGCACCATGAGCAGAATGTTTACCAGGAGAGTTTTTTGTTGTTCTCGTTCTAGAACTCACAGCTTTTTAAATAGTGACAAAAATGTGCAGTACTAGTGAAGTCTGGAAGATGTTATGAATTGACTTAAAAGCAAGAATCTGGAGTCTCCATCAGTCATAGCTTTCAGTAAAGTTCTTAAGTTCCAAACAAACCAGAAAAACAGGAACATAGTGCAGCTGAGCAAGCAGTTCAAGGCACAATGCAGTGAAGACATTTTGCTCTTCATACAAGCAGCCATGGCAGTGTTGTATTTTCCAAGTCCATACTGGACAGTCAGCCTGTTTCCTTCTCTAGGATCTTCTCTGAAGGAATTCTTGGTATTTCTGCCATAAATCTGTAAATTAGAACTAGCCTACCAGTTTTCTAGACCTTTAAAGCAAGCAAAGAGAAACTTTTTTCCTCACTTATCTCTTTGGCAATGTCTGCTTCAAGACCCCACTCTGATACTACACCTGGATGCCTTGGGCAAGAACCAGCTCTCTCACCCTTAGCCCCCGGGGAATCCTGCTAGGTAGTACCACTCCCTGGCCTGCATGGGAGTGCCCTGCTTGTATCAGAATGATGTGTTGGGGGAGGCTGTCTAACTTCCGTCATGGTGAAACAGGCAGATGCGCCTTTCAATCCCAGCTCTACCACTTGATAGCTGTGGAATCTTGGACTTCGGAAGGTTATTGAAGTCTCAGTAAAAGGGTAATATTAGCACCTACTTCATAGCACGATTGTGAGAATAAGATCCATAAAACACATATCACTTACAAATACCACATAAGTATACAGTCAATATGAACTGTTTTACTCTGTAACTAGACTGTAAGGAAGTGTAGGAACTGTGTGTCTTCATGTTTGGACCCCAAGCATTGAGCACAGTGCCCAGCCCATTCCTTGTGATCTTTTTGTTACCTGAACTGTGCAAGAGAAATAGAGATTCTGCAGCATGAATATTTAAACCCACAGCAAAGGAAGCCTGCAGTCATTCAAATTCATTAAAATCTATTTATTTTAATTTAACAGTTGATGATCTACCATGTGTAAAGTTATCTTATTAAATTATAATTCACTGTGAAGTCTTATTTTGTAAAAGGTGAATAGAAAGACAGTGACTTTGTAAGAGAGTTAATGGAGTCTGTGTGTTTGTGTGTATTTAAAGAAGCTAGCACTTAAAAATTTATTACTCTGAGAAAGTGGTTGAAGGGTTCTCTTTGTAAAAAGCATCATGTAGGTAATTTAAATTCATTTTAAGAATTATTTTGGAATACACTGTAAATTATTCTGAATTTATTACTAAGAAGCCCACATTTTATAGTATTTAAAGCATTGTAATTATGACTAATAATATCTCTGATTTATTGAACTATGATAATTGGTTTAACATTGATAGAGCATTCCAAATAATTTATTTTGATTGATTGCTTTGATGTTGTTGTTTCTTTTGCCCCATCATTTTGTTGATGAGAATATACCATTCACCTTTTGATAAAATAAATGAATTTCATACTGGTCAGCATGAAGTAAACACAGATCCTGTTCTGTCCTCTCCTGTGCTGTCATTCCATGCTTGCTTTTACAGTATGGTTAAAAGGGCAGTAGCCTGAATACACAGGAGCTTTTTGTTCCATTTTCAGCCATGTGGACTGTGTATGCCAGAGCCTTGAGGTTATAAGCAAACAAACAAACAGAATTGGAGCTTGTGCAGGACTCCTAGATTTTGCTAATTTCTAAGTCAGAAACTTTGATCTGTGAGTTTGGAAGAAAAAAAGGAAATATTTTGGACACAATACAGTACTTTAAAAAGCCACATGAAAAAGTTCTTTGTGGCTGTAGCATCTGTACGACGGACAGCTTCCTTGCGTTATAGATTTTACATACTGAGCAATTTTGCACAGGAACTTTAAAAATATTATTGCGTGATGTATCTATTGTAAGGTATCGGTGCATTAATAGTAATTAAAGGAAGAAAACAAACCGCCCCAGTGGTTAGTACACGAGTGATCTCTTCCAAAGTTAATTATTGAGTGAAGGGTTTTTTATCTTAAGAATATAAGAAACATCTCAAAGCCTTTTCATGAAGTACACGTTCGTATTTCAGCCTCATAATGATTACGAATGCCATTCCATTGTGCTTGGGGGTTTTTGCCAGCCGACTGCCTTCTGGCCAGGTTCACGCTCTCAAGAGGCCATCACAGCATCGCCTTTACAGCCTGTGACCTTGCCCGGCGCTGCGGTGTCCTGGCCTCCCCACCAGGCTGTGCTGTGCCAACTAAAACAGCAGAGCTGCCTGGTTCTCTTCATCATCCTGCTGGTTCTCTTCATCATCCCACACTGTTTTGTGATCTCCTCTTTGTATTCAGAAGCAAGAGGTAAAAGACTAAGATGTATCGAGTACCAATTATTTTGCCAGGAATAAAGCTGGGCACTATATACGTTGTTTAATCTTCATAACAGGTCTGTGAGAAAGGTACTCTTATCCCCTTGTTGCACTGGAGGAAGCAGGCTCAGAACATTTCATTTCCCTTCATGTCAGGAAGCAGTTAGTAAGTGAGGAAGCAGGATTCAGACTCAGTTCTGACTCCATCACCCACTGCATTGTCTAATTTCAGTACTGCCACTCCCCACTCTATATCAGATTGTGTATTTGGAAAGTTTAAGTGTCTGTATTACATACTCATGTCCATGAGGCATTATGCTGGCTAATGTATAATACATCTGAACAGAGCAGATACTGATTTTCTTTCAGCTTTAACATAAAATAGTCTATTTCATGGTGGGCATATATAAAAAACTACCTTCCTCAGAATAGCCAGGAGGTGCAAACTGAATTATGTGGAATATTGAAAAGCTAAGACAAGATCTGAACCTAATAGCATTTTTAAATTATCAACTCATTTTTTCCTATAAAATTAACATAGGGAAAGAAGACTAAACTATGTAAGAAGTAGCAAGTGTCAGCTCTTATTTAACTGTATTGTATGATCTTTGCATGTCACCTCATTTAATTTGCATAAGCTCTTTTTGCAGTATAGAGAAAAGAGGTGCTTCCTCTGTCATGTCCCATTTTGTGCCCTTGGTTTGAGGGGATGAATCATTGTCTCTAGAGGCCGCTGCCTCCAACTCTTCTCTGTGCAATTAAAGTATAGAAAAGTGTTACTACCATTTGCTGCATGCCAAAGAGAATTCTCTCTTAACTGGCCTTCTTCTACTGTAGGCCGTACTTCCAAATATGTCACTTACTAATAATGAGAACAGTAACTGCCATATATTGGAGAAGGTTATGTGCCAAGAATGCTATTTGATAATTTGTAAACCTTGTTAGCAATTCTCACTAAACCTGAGGACAGCTTTATTTTCCCCATTATACAGATGAGGAAACTAAGCCGCACATTTAGTAAATAGAACAAGGATTCAAACCCCAGTTGTCGGACTCCAAGACTGTGCTCCTGCTCTCTTAACTAGTATGCCACACCCCTTACCATTGCATATACCCAGGTAAAGAGTATTTTCTGCTTTCTGTGAGCCCCCTAGGGGCTCTGAAAGACAAATCTGAGACCAGAGATCATTTGCATTTTATCAACGCAGTTTTATTTTGAAAAAATATTCCAAAGTGTTCTATGTACCTTTGAAGTCTTCTATTTGTGGCTATAGGACTTGTTGAGCACCTTTTCATCTACCTGTTGGCCTTTCATATATGTTCTTTGGAAAAATGTCTGTTTAGATGCTTTGCCCATATTTCAATCGATTGTTTTTCTTCTATTGAGTTGTAAGAGTTCTTTATGTATACCAGAGAAGTAGTGAAGAAATTTAAAATAGGAAATCTTAGTGCCTTGTTGAGGCCTTTTTTATGCAAGTGGATTCTGGTATTTATAGTTTTCCCATCTATATTTTATAAATGTATTGCCTTTTATACCAATAGATATGTCCATGCATGTTTACTTAAGTTAACAGTATGCAATATTTTGGTAATTCTCTAGGCTGATGCTTAAAAAACATATTGTATGGTGATTTAAATATCACAATTTTTTTAAACATTCAGTGACCTTGCAACCGATAAGATTGAGGGACCAGGTACTGTTACACCATTTAACATATGAGCAAACAGAAGCTCTGCTCACATGCCTTGTAAGTGAATAGTCAGACACATGAGTCCTCTTATCCCCACAGTGTGCAAATTATTCTCTTCAGTGACTTACTTCTAGGTTAACGCCTCTCTTTTTATTTTTTTTTTAGCAGGGTCTCGCTCTGTTGCCCAGGCTGGAGTGCAGTGGTGTAGTCATGGCTCACTGCAGCCTTGAAGTACTGGGCTCAAGTGATCCTCCTGCCTCAGCTTCCTGAGTAGGTGGGACTCTAGACATGGGCCACAATGCCCAGCTAATAGTCATTTGTTCATTCATTCATTCATTCATTCATTCATTTGTTTTGAGACAGGGTCTTGCTCTGTCACCCAGGCTAGCGTGCAGTGGTGCAGTTGTGGCTCAGTACAGCCTGGAACTCCTGGGCTCAAGTGATCTTTCTGCCTCAGCCTCCTGAGCAGCTGGAACTATAGGCATGTGCCACCACTCCCAGCTAATTGTTTTGTAGAGACAGTATCTTGCTGTTTCCCAAGCTGATCTTAAACTTCTGGCCTTAAGTGACTCTTGTTTACTTTTGTTTTATGATAAATTACATTTTAATACAATAAGAAATAAAATTAATGCAGAGTAATCCGTGGTAAACAAAATAGCAAAAATTTGAATCAAGACAGGATCTGGCAATGCCGTGTTGAGACATTTGAAGCCTAAGGCAAAAGGAAAAATGTGCACTCCTGTGATTTTTTTCTAGAACATTAATTTTTTTAGGGCATTAAAGTACTTGAAAAAATATCAAAAACTGAAAGTAGATGTATTAAAACTTGACATTATTCTAAGTTTAAATATTTTGTTTATACTAAAGCCAGAATTCATTGTAAATTTACTTCTCTAGCTTTAATGGAAGCACACTCATCAAAAATATTTTCATTACAACCATTACCTATTAAAAAAATAAATAAAAACCTGTATGCGGGGTACACATTTTTCCTTTCCAAATTGCATGACCTCTGTTCAGTGTTATTTTCCATTGAAGAAGTTTGTGTGTATATATATATTTAAGTAAATTTTATTATGTATATTTCAGGTTTATAACACGATATTATGGGATACAAATAAATAGTAAAGTGGTTACTGTAGACAAACAAATGAACATATCTATCATCTCACATAGTTTTTCATGACAAGAGCAGCTAAAAATTTATTTAACAAAATTCTGTAATACAGTACAAGTTTATTAACCATAGTCTTCATGTTGTACATTAGATCTCTGAACTTGTTCATCCTATATGTCTGCTATTTTCCATCCTTACCTTCTTCCCACATGATAACGCCTGTTTCAATCTCCTTGTGTACGTGAGCTCCCTTTTTTTTTTTTGTCTTTTTTTAGATGGAGTCTCCCTCTGTCACCCAGGCTGGAGTGCAGTGGTGCTATCTCGGCTCACTGCAAGCTCCGCCTCCCGGGTTCACGCCCTTCTCTTGCCTCAGCCTCCCGAGTAGCTGGGACTACAGGTGCCCGCACCATGCCTGGCTAATTTTTTTGTATTTTTAGTAGAGACGGTTCCACCGTATTAGCCAGGATGGTCTTGATCTCCTGACCTCGTGATCTGCCCGCCTTGGCCTCCCAAAGTGCTGGGATTACAGGCATGGAGCTCTTTTTAAAAAAATACTCTGTATATAAGTGAGACTGTGCAATATTTTTCTTTGTATGTCTGGCTTATTTCACTTAGTATAATGTCTTCCAGATTCATCCAGGTTTGGCATAAATCTTTCTTTTTTAAGGCTGAAAAATATTCCATTATGTATATGTACCACATTTCTTTATCTAGTCATTCATCAATGGGCATTTACATTGTTTCCATATCTTGGATGTGGTGAATAATGCTGCAGTGAATATGGGAGTGCAGATGTCTTTATGAGGCGATGACTGTGTATCTCCTTTAGATATATACCCAGGAGAGGGATTGCTGAGTCATGTGGTAGTTCTATTTTTAATTTCTTTAGGAACCTCCATACTGTTTTCCATAATGGCTGCACCAATCTACAGTCCTACCAACACATACTAGGGTTCCCTTTTCTCCACACCCTCAGCAACATTTGTTATCTCTTATCTTTTTTATAATAGCCATCCTTATAGGTATGAGGTGATAATCTCATAGTGGTTTTAATTTGCATTTCCTTTATTAGTGATGTTGAGCACCTTTTCATCTACCTGTTGGCCTTTTGTATATGTTCTTTGGAAAAATGTCTGTTTAGATGCTTTGCCCATTATTTAATTGAGTTGTTTTTCTGCTATTACGTTATAAGAGTTCTTTATAAATTTTGTATATTAACCTCTTATCAGTTATGTGGTTTGTAGTTATTTGTTTTCCCTGTCAGTAGGTTGCCTTTTCGTTTTGTTAATTGTTTTCTTTGCTGTGCAGAAGCTTTTTAATTTGATGTAGTCTCCTTTATTTTTGTTTTTGTAGCCTGAGCTTTTGGTGTGATATCGAAAAAATCATTGCCAAGTCCAATGTCAAGGAGCTTTTCTCCTATGTTTTATTCTAGGAGCTTTATGGTTTCAGGTCCTATATTTAGGTTTCTTAATCAATTTTGAGTTGGTTTTTGTGTATTGTGTCAGATAAGGGTCCAATTTTATTCTTTTGCATGTGGAAATCCAGCGTTCCCGGCACCATCTATTCAAGACACTTTCTGTTCCCTGTTATGTCCTCTTGGTGCCCATTTATGTTTGGATTCATTTCTGGACTCTCTGTTCTGTTCCATTGGTCTAGGTTTCTGTTTTTATGCCGCATCATAGTGTTTTTGTTACCATAGCTTTGTAAAATAATTTTAAATCAGGAAGTGAGATGCCTCCAGTTTTATTTTTCTGTCTCAGTATTGCTTTGGCTATTTGGGTTTTTTTTGTTGTTTTTTTTTTGTTTTTTTTGTAGCTCCATATGAATTTTAGAAAATTTTTTTCTACTTTTATAAAGAATGCCACTGGAATTTTGATAGACCTTATATTAAATCTGTATATTGCTTTGGGTAGTTTGGACATTTTGACAGTATTAATTCTTCCTATCCATGAACACTGGATATCTTTCCACTTATTTGTGTATTATTCATTTTCTCCCATCAGTTTTTTATAGTTTTCAGTGTACAAATCTTTTTACCTCCTTAGTTACATTTATTCCTAGATATTTTTAAAAAATACTATCATAAATGGGATTGTTTTCTTGATTTCTTTCTTTGGTAGGTTGTTATTTGTATATAGAAATGCTATGAATTTTATACGTTGAAATGTATCCTGTAGCTATAGTGAATTCATTTGTATGTTCTACTAGTTTTTTTTGTGAAATCTTTGGGGTTTCATCTCTTTTATTTTTTACATATTTTCAGCTCAATTAACACCACGGTTATTCTCTTCTGGAATCTGCACACTTTATAATTGTTTTTATCTTCTAGTCTTAGAGATCTTTTTTTGGTGTACTGGAGTAAAAATGGACTAAAAAGTTCATAAATGACACTGAGACAGCTGAATCACCATTTGAAAAAAGGAATTATTAGCTGTACTTTTTATGCCATATATAAGAATAGACTCCAAATAAATTAGGACTCTATTTGTTAAAAAAAGGAAAAGAAAAATGAAACCATGTAAACACTAGAAGAAAACATCGGTGAATTCTGCTTAAACTTGGATGTCACAGGGAAGAGGTTTTCTAACTACGACTCAAACTCTGGAGGCAATTTAGAAAAAGATAAATTGGAAGACTTTTCAGAATTTTGCATGACAAAAATACACCATCAGCTAAGTTAAATGATAGCTGACAAACTGAGAGAAAGTAGTCATAACATAAACCACAGACATGGAACCAATGTCCCTGATACGTAAAGGACTCTTAAAAAACAAGGGATGAAATACCAAAAACCGGATCAAAAAATGAGAAAAATATTTGAACAGGCAATTTACAAAATGTATATAAATGCCCCTCAGACATAGTTTTGAAATGTTCAAACTCATAAGTAGAAAAATGCGGCCGGGCGCGGTGGCTCACGCCTGTAATCCCAGCACTTTGGGAGGCCGAGGCGGGTGGATCATGAGGTCAGGAGATCGAGACCATCCTGGCTAACAAGGTGAAACCCCGTCTCTACTAAAAATACAAAAAATTAGCCGGGCGCGGTGGCGGGCGCCTGTAGTCCCAGCTACTCGGGAGGCTGAGGCAGGAGAATGGCGTGAACCCGGGAAGCGGAGCTTGCAGTGAGCTGAGATTGCGCCACTGCAGTCCGCAGTCCGGCCTGGGCGACAGAGCGAGACTCCGTCTCAAAAAAAAAAAAAAAAAGAAAAATGCAAGTTAAAACAATGTCAAGATACCTTTTCTTACCTATAAGGATGGCAAAAATTTAAAAACGTGATGTTTTGCTTCCTATGGGGAAGCAGATGCTCTCATACGTAGCTGGTAGGGGTGTAAATTGTTGTAACCCTTTTGAGGGAAATTGTGGTTCCTTTTTGTAACTGGGCAGGATGATTGTAGTAAGACCAGCAGGAAGTAATGTTAACCCACCCTACCCTCTCCCACAGGAACTCTTTCTTACCTTAACTTTATATTACGCTCCTCCTGCTTTCTGGGACAAATTGTCCAGAACCCATTTGTGAAGCAAAAGACCTTCAACCAGCCTCTCTAATAGCAGTGATCGTATTGTATTACAGTTACTGTTTTTCCTGTTTCCACATCGGTTATGCTGTATTCATAGCTACATTTCCAAGGCCTAGCACAGTGCCTGAAGGTCCTTAATGGTTAAATGGGTTTTCATTTGCAATGTAAATGAATCTAAAAACCTCCTGATTCAGCTGTCTGGGCCTTTGACTTTCCTAAACTAAAGAAAGATGAGGAGGAGGAGCTCTCCTTCAGCCTATCTTCTATGTTTGTAAGCAGAACCCTAGAAAACCTTTCAAAGACTATGTTCTTTCTTTTTTCTCTCTCTCTTTTTTTAAAACTTTTAGTCAGGGTCTGGCTCTGTTGCACAAGCTGGATGCAGTGGAATGATCTTGGCTCATTGCAGCCTCGACCTCCCAGGCTCAAACGATCCTTTCACCTCTCCTGAGCAGCTGGAACTAGAGACACATGCCAGCACACCTGGCTGATTTTTTTGTATTTTTTTGGTAGAGATAGGGTTTCACCATGTGGCCCAGACTGGTCTTGAACTCGTGGGCTCTAGCAATCCGCCTGTCTTGGCCTCCCAAGGTACTGGGATTACAGGCATAAGCACCACCACCCCCCACCCCTGCCATATTATGTTCTTTCTTAAGAGCAGATGGTTAGCAAGACTGCTCAGGACTCTGTTGTGTACCTCTGTGACAATAAAGACAAATAGCCCTAGTCAGTGAGTGCTTAGGAGCGGAGAGGAGAGCTGGTCGGACATTCCTGGGCACATGGGAAGGGATGGCCTGTATATCTGAGAAGTGTCTCCACCACCTGTACTTGCCGGGAATCTCCATCCGTACTTTCAGCCTTATTTCCTCACTGGATCCTCTTCCATTCTTTGCCCTCTCACTGCCCTGCTACCTCTGGGAAATACCTGAATTCTGCCTCTTTCTGACATTCTTGTTACTGTTGTAGGCCCTTCTTTTGGGGCCCCCTTTCTCAACTTCCTCCCTTTCTAGGTTCATACCCACTCCAGCTCCTGCTCTCTGGCCCTTAAGTCTTGTCTATGCCACTGTCACACCTCACGGGACTGGGATTTGGGTTCTGCTTCACTTCTTCCTCATGAGGAAGTTCTGTCTATTCCTACATCTGCCTGGATCTTCAGACTCCTGCCTAGCCAGTGCCTGATCCCTAATCCTCCTCCATCCACCTTTGCCCATGGGAGGTGAGACACAGGAAATCTCTGTATAAGGTGTTAAAGAAAAAGTTATTCAGTGGCACTTGTTAAAGCATAGTAAGGAAGACTTTATTTGAGACCATCAGCCTAGGTACAGCAACCACTGCAACTGGGTCTTGTAGTTGGGGAAAGAGATTGGGCCAGCTCTGAATATAACGTGGGCAAGTAGGAATTTACAGCCAAGGAGCAAGGTGGTCATTGGATGGAAAATTGCTCAGAGGCAACATCAGGAATAAGGAGACAATATGTAGTTCTGGCAAGAAAAGGGATGACTGACCAAATAGAATTCTTGCTGAAGACAGGCCAGGGTGATTAGACCAAGGAGATGGGGGAGAAAGGAGGAACCCAATCAGATATCCCAAGTGAGGGGTTCTTGCTAAACTGACTTAGCAGAGTTCTTTGCTAAAACTGGATTTTACAGGGTCCACACGTGGACCTAGAAGAAGGTTTAGGAACCTGACTAAAGTTTGGCCAAGCAAAGAATCTGTATCAAGGGGCAGAACTAGGCTTGTTTAGGCTGACCCATAACTTACTTTATATAACACTTTTTATGGTTTTCTTCCAGAGTAGAAATCTTCGAATATTTCTAATACTATGTATTAAATTTTATATTTCACATTATAATGGTGCCTGTATATAGGAATTACAGCACTTTTCTTTCTAATCCAGATTTAGGTCGATCTCGAGAACTACAGTATGTATACGTGGATAACAACATTCACCTGAAAGGCTTGCCATCTTATCTGTACAATAAAGTCATCGGGTGCAGTGGGTAAGGCCGATTTCACATTTTGAACTAAAAAATAGATTAACTACTTTTGGTACTTCTGTTCAATTTTGTCTTTGCCCTTGATGATATGCTAAACCAGGTATCCTTAGAAACTAAGGATATTGGGCAGGCAGTTTGGAATATTGCACATTGGGTTCAGTCAGTAAGTTATTATTTTCTAGTCTAAAGAAAAATGAATCCATGTATACCTTTTTTTATTACAGAAAGAAACACCTTTATTTCCCCCCACACACCCCAGCTTTATTGAGGTAGAGTTGACAAATAAAATTGTAATTATTTAAATGGTACACGTGATGGTTTGATGTACCTACCACACATACCGTTATAAACTCAGTGGTGCTAGTCACAGAAAGTAGAGGAATCAGCATTAATTTAGAAGGTTTTCTTTCACTGAAGCCCATTGCCATGACAGTTTTACTGCAGTGACAGTCCTAGTGTCTAGGATTTTACCAGTTGGAAATATTTAGAACTCAACATTTGAGATAGTCCCTCAAAATAAATCATGATTCTAGCAACCAAAACAGATATTTCAGTTAATGGGCTTTTATTTTCAGAGCAGCAATAATCTTTTCTTTTTAGTCAGGCTTTTAGAAAGATGGCTTCATCTTCTCCTTCTACAACGCTGGCACAGAACCACCCTAAAGTGTTTCCCTGAGTGGCCAAGGATTAAGATGGGGCCACTCAACCACCAGGACCCACTTGTGACTGACCTTCCCTTCCCCACTTCAGCAGCCAAGTGAACACCCCGGGGGCAACCTAATCAGCATGTTTGACTCTCCCCTTCTAGTCCCCATCATCCTGCATGACTTGGCCCATGCTATGAGTAGTTCTGGCAAGAAAAGGGATGACAATAAGTGTATACATAGAAGACAGCCATTCCCCCCGTTGGTATAGCACAACTCCAGGGGCAGTCCTAGGAGTAGTGGCCTTCTTTTAGGAAAACTTATGCAGCTGTCTTGGGAAAGCCCAAGATGAGTTCAGTGCCTATACAGGCTGATGAACTCCAAGCTGAGAGATGTATTCTGGAACCTTCTGTGAAGCAAAGATAATAGAATAGGTGTTTTTAGCTCAGTGATTTTTCTACAGCTGATTATGTCACAGCTGTGATACTATGTAGTCATTAATCCTAATGAGTTCTTAAAGGATCATTAATATAGCCTAATTCTTCCAGGTGGCGAATAAAGTGCCTGCAATCACCATGGTACATAGAACGATGCCAGCAAGCTCCAAAGCTGAAGGCACTTTTTCCCACACCAAAACCTTCAGAGACCACACTGAAATGCGATCTGCATCTCTGCCACAATTAAGGAGTAGCTTTTAAGAAAAAGTGCCTTATACTTTGTCGTTTAGATATAGATGTTATTGACTACTAGAAAGTTCTGTTTGTGCTAAGTAGAGAGATATTTTTAAATCTTTGACTTGGTGTCTGGTAGCAGTGGTAGTGAATTTCATGAGAACTCCAAATCTTTTTAAAAAAACAAAACACTAGGGGAAAATACACAAATTATTAGGTAATAGTCTACTTTTTTATTATTAAACTTTTGTTATAGTAATAGAGAAATAAAATTATTAACAGGATAGTATCAAACAACCAGTTTTCTAATAGTAGTATTGAGGTAATAAGCAGTCCTACTTACAAATGGCCTATAATCTAAAGGCATTTTTAGCCTGTTGGTTTAAATCAAAACTCGAAATGCTTTCTTCATAGAAACAGCTCTGGCCACTGTATTCCTAAGCAAACTCATTAAAGAGTCATTTGACCTATTTTGCACCCCCAAAATTATACTTACAATAATACTTCTATGGCAAAATGTGCTCAGAATTTTAATAGATGATAACTACTGAAGCTTTGACAACAAGCATTAAGAGTCTTCTTTCTTCTGCCTCTTTTATCTGTTGGATATGTGAAAAGGGACTTCCCAGTTCCAGTTCAAAGTAGTGTTGCTTAGTGCCTCAGCCTAAAGGAAAGGAGGGGGAAGGGGTAGTAGCACAAGGGCCTGGGGGAAATCTAGTAAAAGGACATACGTGTGTTGAAAGCCTAGAAAGTGCCCTTCTTGATTCAGAACACGAATTTTGGTCCAGTTGTTCCTTCAGTGAACATTTATTGAGCAACTACTCTGTTTGGTCACTGTATGAGATAATGGCTGTACAGTGATGAGCTAAGCGATGCAGTACCTGCCCGCATGGACCTTCTGATCTAGCCAGGGAGTCAAGCAAACCCTAAATAATTTAACAAACTTGGTACTAGTTCTCTTTAAGGAGGTAATATTTAATCTGAGACCTGAAAGATCAACTCCCTTCGTTCTTCACTGCTATCATATGTTGCATCTGACCTAGATGTAGGCTTGGGATATAAGAACAGTTTCTGCTGTGCTGTACAAGCTCTGAAGCAATTACAGTACCCTTTTCAGATTGAGGGTCTAAGAATTAGAGCAACA
Organism: Homo sapiens; assembly: GCF_000001405.40. Taxonomy (NCBI): domain Eukaryota; kingdom Metazoa; phylum Chordata; class Mammalia; order Primates; family Hominidae; genus Homo; species Homo sapiens. Next base: position 99,354,928 of record NC_000015.10, read on the forward strand.
ACTGAGCAAAATGAACACAGCTTTAGGTACTTGTGGGACAATATAAGAAAAGTCTGAGATATATACGTATTTATCTCAGATTCACATCTCAGAGGGAGAATAGAGAGACAATGGGGTATAAAACTTATAAATAGGTATAAAAACAGCAAATAACAAATGTAGCAGTTTTAAGAAATCTCAGAAGTCTCATAAAATTCTTTTGTATTCATGGAAATGCAAACAAAGTTAGCTTCTTCTTATTCTATGTTTATTTGTCAAATAATTTGTGAACATTAGCAAATCAGCACAGTGCTAGAAATTGTGGGAAAAACCAAGATAGTTTAAATGTTTATCTTGATATGCAAAAATAACTGTAATACAAATAATAAATACCCTAAGAGAGGTAGAGTGATGGAAATGTATAGCATGGAACTGTGTTTTATAACCTAGCTTCAAAGCCACACACTGTTGTTTCTGTTATATCCTGTTGATTACACAGGTCAACCCTATTCACAGTAGGAGGTGACTACATGGAGAGTGACCACTAGGAGCGAGGACCATTGGGGGCCCACTTGGAGACTGGCTGTCACAGCTTCATGGCATCTATACTATTTGCTAGCCTCATGGAAAAGAATGATCTTTATTTTTTCTGGGTTTTTCTTGTTATTACAGGAGTAAATGTCCTCAATCTTCTACATTGTAGCCAGAAAGAGAGGTTCATCCCATGTTAGAATTTTAGAGAATGGTAATTGGCACATATACTTACTGAGGAGAACTTAATGGTAAAAGTAATCCTCTACAGGATGTTTTTTCCAATTGTTTAATTATGTAAGAAAAAAAAAAAAAAACCAAGCCACTACTTTGCTTTTTATTGTGTAAATAAGCAATTATAGCTGGATTTGTGTCCAAATTGGTTAAATACTATTCTAATGGTTTATTAATATAACCACTGAGAGTAATAGAGTTGTTTGTATGAGAAATGTATTCTGAGTTAAACCAGTATACTAAAAGTATCCATTTTTATGTAGGGGCTGCCTGCCCCCAGTATCGGATACCTGAAACACACTTCAGTGGAGCAGGACCAAAGTGGCCTGGCTGCAGATGAAAGTACTCAAGTGTGATTGAAACTGTCATTTAAGAGACTGAGTTTGCAGTTTGACGCCCATGAAGTTAGTTGTTGTTAAAACAAAAATATTAATTACGTTTAAGTGTTAGCGGAATATAAGAGAACCCAGGGTCTCTACAATATAACTTTCACAATATCTAGGAAACGTTCCAAAATTACAAGACATGTAAAGAATCAGGAAAATGTGACCCATTCTCAAGAAGAAAGATGACCAGCAGAGACTCCAATTTGAGATGACCCAGATTGTTGAAGTGACAGAGATTTCAAAGCAACTGTTACAATTATTCTCAATGAAGTAATGAATGAAAAGGCCAGAAAAATAGAGACTAAAAAAAAGGAAATTCTAGAATTGAAAACAGTGTCTGAAGTAAAAAATTAACTTGATGGACTTCATGGCAGAATGGTTGGAACAGAGGAAATGTCACTGAACTGGAGATAGATCAGTAGAAATGATCCAATCTGAAGGACACATAGAAAAGACATTGAAAACAAAAATGAACACAGCATCAGGGACCTGCTAGCCAATATAAAAGAATCTTATGCATGTATAATTGGCATCCTTGAAGGAAAATAGGGAGAGAATGGGTAACGTCAGTAACAAACATGTTTGAAGAAATAATGTTTAAAAATTTCCCAAATTTGATGAGAAACAAATTTACATTTTCAAGAAGCATAGCAAATCCTAAGCAGTATAAATTCAAAGAAAACCATGCGTAGGCAAAGCTGATGGGTACAAAAGATAAAAAGAAAATTTTGAAAGCAACCAGAGAAATAACATTACATACAAAGGAGTAATTCAAAAAGATTGTTAATTTCTCATCAGAAACTTTGAAGTCCAGAAAACAATGCAACTACATTTTATAAGTGCTAAAGAAAAAAGTCAACTCAGAATTATATAAATACATTCTCAGAACAAAACTTAGCCTTAAGTAGCTCTGCCAAGATGACAGACTCTTTGTCCAAGCCAAGGTTTATTCTTTCTAGGTGACATAGTTTCTTTCCATCTCCATATCCACTTCTTCCCTTTCCTTTTACTTTTAAGCTGAAGAAAAACTTTTTTGCTAAAAAGGAGAAGGATAAATCTGTAGTAGCTCCCACAAAAATGCACATGTAGATGACACAGCATACTTTCTGAAGGAGAAAAGATCATTATTTGGGTACTATCAAAATTCATACAGCTCTCACTCCCCTCTCAGTCTATTATATATTAATGTCTGTCTCTCCTCACTATAATAGGCCCAGCTCTGATCTTAAGTATGTTCCTCACAAATGTATATGCTCATATGTACCAAATACACAATTTTTATGGAGGCACAATTTGTAGTAGCTCCACACTACAAACAGCCCAAATGTCCATCATTACTGCACAGCAATGAAAATTAATAAACTACAGTACACAAAGCAACATGGATGAATTCCAGAAGTATAATGTTGACAAAAGAAACCAGGCACAGCAACCTTCATGCTGTTCAAAAAGGCCAAACCAGACTATAGTGTTAGAATTTGGAATAGTGCTTCCCTTTGGGGTATGGGTTTTGCTTAGCAGTGGGACCCAAGGTGGTCTTCTGAGGTTCTTGTTCTTGACCTTGGTGGTGATTAGTGTGTTCATCTTGTGAAAATCACAGCAATTGTGACTTGTGTACTTTTCTATATGATTATATTTTTAAATAATGTTTTAAATATTTTAAAGTTTACCTTAAAATATCGATAATTTATTCAACATTATATTAAAGAAAAACACAATTATATTGGTATGTTAAGAGAAACTTTTGATGATTTTGTATGATTTCTGATTTTGATGAATTCTGTAGCCACATATAATAATAATTTTTATATTAAATGATGATGTATTCAAACTATGGCCATTAAAATCAGGAATAGGAGAGGAGTGAGGGCCCACTGTCACCACTGCCATCTGTCTAATGCAATAAGATGGAAAAAAAGGAAATAGACATTATAAATACTGGGAAAAAAAGAACCAGAAAGACCTTTATAGGTGATATGCTTGAATACCTAGAAAACTCAAGATATGCTACCAAAAAAAATCTTTCAGACACCTAAAAGAATTTAGTAAGGTGGCTAAATATAAGATAGCATACAAAGATTAGCAGCTTTTCTTTATGTCTTCGTAAATTAGAAATCAAAGTTAGGGGGAAAATGTCATTTATCTTTGTACCACACATTTAAATATACAGTAATAAATATCACAAGAAAGGAACAGAATCTATGTGAAGAAAATTGTGAAATTTTTATTAAAGGATAGGATATAAAGCACTAGGTGGATAGTACAGAGATACCATGTTTGCAAATAAGGAAATTTATGATCAAATTACCTGTCTTAACATAGAAATCGATGTTAATTCTAATACAAATCTCTGGAAGGCTTTAGGGAAATAGAGATAAAATAATTGTAAAGTTCAAATTGAATGATAACTGAGAATTGCAAGAAAAAAATTGAACAATAATAGTTAGGGCAGACTTGTCAAATGATAGAATCTTCTATAAAGTATTGTAATCAAAACAATATAGAACTGACACAGAATTAAACTGATACATCACTGAAACAGACTAAAGACTCCAGAAAGCAATGCCAGTGTATTTGGGAACTTAATAGGATAAAAAGAACAGTTCAATTCAGAGGTAAATGATAGTGTTGTTTAATAATGCTACCCGTATTATTTTTCCATTTGGAAAAAAAAAGCTATGTCCTATTTTATATTATATAACCAAGTAAGACAAATAGATAAAACATCTACACGTAAAGGCCAGGTGCGGTGGTTCATACCTGTAATCCCAGCACTTTGGGAAGCCGAGGCGGGCCAATCACTTGAGGTCAGAAGTTCAAGACCAGCCTGACCAACATGGTGAAACCCCGTCTCTACTACAAATACAAACTAACCGGACGTGGTGGCGGGTGCCTGTAATCCTAGCTACTCAGGAGGCTGAGGAGGTGAATCACTTGAACCCGGGAGGCAGAGGTTGCAATGAGTTGAGATCACAGACTGTACTCCAGCCTAGGTGACAGAGCAAGGCTCTGTCTTAAAAAAAAAAAAATCTACATGTAAAAATACAATAAACATACTGGAAGAAACTTTAGGATAATATATGCACAGTCTTCAAATCAGGGTAACCCTCTTAAGAAATTCAGAAAAATGTAGATACCATGAAGGAAATAAGTGGATAGATTTCACATCAGAAAAGAATGCTGACAAAGAGAACCATATGCAAAGTTAAAAGACAAAAACATTTTTGTCGATAAATATTTCAGTGCATATGACAAAGGATTGTTATTGCCAATATGGAAGTTCCTACAAATTGATATATTTTAATTTAATAGAAAATGAGATAAGGGATGGACGTGGACAGTTTACAGAAGAAGAAATGTAAATGGCCAGCAAGGCTAACAAAAGGTGATCAAACTCATTAGTAACCAAGGAGGCATTTCCATTAATCAGCCTAGCAAAAACTAAAATGACTGATAACATCCAGTTCTGATGATGGTGTGGGGAAATGGATGCTTTCTTACCAATCTTTTTGGAAAGATCTCAGGCATTTAAAATGTTCATTTTTCATGGCCAGTGGTCTCAGTTTGGGAATTTTACTATAATAAAAACATCTGTGCATTGGAATGTATGTAAGATTTATTGTGATGTTGTATGTGTAGTAGGAGAGAAAACATTGAAACCAGGATAAACATAATGAATAAATTAATAAACTGTGGTTCATCCATAGTATGGAATATTACAAAAGAAATTCTCTAAATCTATCTTGATTGGCATAAAAGATTATGTGAACAAAATCGCATTTCAGAATTATTTGCTTTAGGAACTAACAGAGAAAGCCACTGGCTTCTTACCCATAATGATATTCCATACCTCTTCTGTTTATCTCAGGCTCTCATTTTCAAGACCCTAAAGACTTCCCCATTTCTGTTTCCTTCTGTATTTGGGTTCTCTTTACCTCTTTGCCACTTATCAGTCCCTTTCCTGTCTACCATACTGTGGTCAGATATTTGGTAAAAAACAAAACAAAACAAAGAAAAAAAAACCACACCTAACAGTCTTCCCCGTGAATTAAAACCATCTAACTTCAGCTAATATTCCTGGCCTCCTTCCCCTGTCCATCCATACCCTGCATCCCTGTTTCCAGCACTGTTGAAACCAAGACGTAGCCATATTCTTTCAGGCTTCTGTACTGCTGCACATGCTGTTCCCTCTGCTTGGAATGCTCATAACACATTTCCATTTATTCCAGGTGAGTTGAACATTAAGTCAGATATTGTCTTATCTTTAAAATCTCCCCTAATTCCCTGGACAGAGTCAGTCAACCCTTCTTTGCCCCCACATTAGAATAATTGTAATGATTTTCTCCCAAAGGAAGGGTTCATTCTTGTTTTTCTTAATTTAAGTATCTTAACTGACTGGCATATAGTAAGTGCTCTGGAAATGTTTTCTGATGGAGAGAAAGAACAAATGAAGAAACTTTTAAAAAATAAATGAATCAAGGGCTTCTGGCTTCCAGTCCTGTCCCCTAAGCTTCATTGCTTGTATCTGGTCAAGGTTAGTGATATTATTTCATGTTGTCTTCAGAGCCAAGGTTTGTTGGCCAGCTGTTTGTCATTAGACAAGAAAAGTATTGAGGCTCTTAGGTTACCCAATGGTTTCACACAAGAAATAGAATGAGATTGGATTTGTGAGTTTCGGTAACACTGCAGCATTAGGAACGAGGACATCTCTGCCTTCTGGTTATGAGTGGCTGCAGGGAATAGGGCATGACTTGGCTTATTGAGTATGCCAAGAATATTTTCCCCACAAGTTTATGGAAGGATCCAATAAAGTTATCTTCTGCCATTTAAAATCTATTTGCTTTGTGGGTTTAAGTTTTTCTATACAAAAATTCTATTAAACCAAGATGCTGTTACTCAACAAAGTACTCTTTTTTTTTCTTTTAATTTTGAGAGTTTCAGAAAAACACGTACTTGGAGAGGGTAATAAAATTGGGAAAAGTAAAATTTACAAAGCAAATTGTGTACGGCCTAAGAAGGAAAGTTCCTTTAAAGTTCATCCTTGCTGGAAGTGACTGGGCCTCAGCAATGATTTAGCTGAGTTCCAACTGATGAGTTTAGATTGCTGGGCCAGGTTTTATGAAGGAACCCGGGATAGCATCTGTTCACTTTGAAAAGAATTCTGGCAATTCAGCAGTGTCATAAATTTTCAAATGTATATTTTGATTAACACATTTTATTGGCACCCATATTCTTTTCCTTATTGCTAATAATACTGTGAATGTGTGTCTTTCTGCAGCTGTGGTGCTCCCATTCAAGTTTCCGAGGTGAAGCTGCTTTCCTTTTCATCAGGGCAGCGAACCGTTTTCCTCCCAGCTGAGGTGAAGGCCATAGGGACGGAGCATGATCACGTCCTCCCTCTGCAGGAATTGGCTATGAGAGGGCTGTATCATACCTACCACAGCTTGCTGAAAGGTACGTGGGACTTCTGGTTTTCTTATTTTTCTCTCTCATTTAGTGAACATTGTGCTTGGTGCACCTGTTTTGGCGTTCATCTTTAAAAAAAAAATTATTGTGGTAAAATACACATAACACGAAAGTAACCATTTTATCCATCTTTAAGTATACAGTTCAGTGGCATTAAGTCCATTCACATTGTTGTGCAACAGGATTTTTCTAATAAGAAAAATAGTTTTGATATTTTATTAACACTGATCACTTTAGCACCCCCTACAGGCACAGAGAAGCATTCTTAAAAAACGTGGTTGTCAGTTGCAAAGCACGGTGCTTAAAAGTTCAAGTTTCAAGTAAGGAACTTGGTGTTTGGGAATGTGTATTTGGTTGAAGTAAAAGGCTGGCAGTAGGAAATTTGGAAAGATCTTGTCCTCAAAGTTGGATACGTCAATAGAGCAGGTTTTTGCCTTGCCGCCTCCTCGCATCTCAGCAATATGTAGACCTAAAGGAGGTAGAAGTACTGGGAGCCGTTGGCAGTACTGTCGCAGCGTGCCAGCTAAAATTTGGAAAGGATTTGGCCGTGCACAGATTTGATAGGTATTGTGGGTGTATGTCTGAAATGCTTTAAGACAGCGCTAGGCAATATTAATATGAAAAATACATTTCAGGTGTTTTTAAAACTGTGAAATGTTTCGTCTTTACTTAAAAAAGAGTCCATACAAAAACATCTCACATTAACCTTCCAGAAATGCCTAGTGCAAAGTTAAGTTGGTTTTAAAAGCTAAACAGAAAATTATAGTTGTTCACCAATCAGTCAATTCCATTTTTCTAAGTGTTATTGATGAGTCTGGACAGATATAAAAGGTAAAAAGATGATTTGTATCTCCTTCCCAAAGATGAGTTGATAATTTTTAGATTTCACCTCAGCATGACCATGCCTCTTTCTGTTGGATGCTCATCATCAGTAGAAACCCAGTGTAAATGTGTCTTCAAGATTGCCTGGGCCACTGGGATGTTTTGCTTTAAATGTCTGTTTTGTGTAGCTCAGACTAAGCTGGGAAGGAAGCTCCCTGCTTTTATTAATGACAGCTTATGAGAGTAAGTCAAGCAAACGCTTGGTTTCATTATTTTTCATTCTTTTTTTATTTCCTCCTTTTCATTCTCTTCAATAAATATGATTTAGCCTTGGTGGAGGATTGATACTAAATGCCTGATAGATTAGGGAGAACTTAATGAAACTCAGTTTTAGTCATCAGTTCCAAAAATTCTCTGACTCTTATTAAAGTTTCAAAGTCCTCTTTGGGTGAATTATTCCTTTTTGATCTTTGTTCTTAAAAAATATTTTATCTCACTTATTCCTTGCCTCTACCTCAGGACAGCTTCTGGCTCTTAAAATGAGTGAATTTGTGTTTTCTTTTAGTATCAAAAATATAAAAAAAAAATTTCATTTTCAAATGTTAGATTTTTATTCAGTGTGTATCAATCAGATAACAGAATTTTCAACATGAAGTACTTTTAAGTAACTGAACTTATTTGGTAACAAATATTTTAAGAAGCGTAGTTTAAGGAAGTCTGATTTTTTTACTCGTGTGCGTGATTTTCTTTTGTGTTCCAGATTTGAACTTTCTGTCTCCAATCTCATTACCCAGAAGTCTCCTAGAGCTGCTGCACTGCCCTCTGGGGCACTGTCATCGGTGTAGTGAGCCTATGTTTACCATCGTCTACCCCAAGCTCTTTCCCTTGAGAGAGACGCCAATGGCAGGGCTGCACCAGTGGTAATCATGCCTAAGTGGGCACCAGGGTTTACACCCAGGCAAGGGGTGGCAGGTGGGGAGGGGAGAGGCTGTGCATGAAAGCATTAAGTCAGCAGTTTTAAAGGGGCATAACATGCTTCCTGAGAAACAGCTAAATGAAACGATGCTCACTTTCAACATCACAAGAAAACTGGACTTGCCTTTATTAATTTTTTGGTCATGTGCTGGACAGTTTTATTGTATATATTATTTAGAGGAGCTCATTCTTTGTGAGAATGTTTTCCTGCTATTTCCCTATTCACAGTAGCCTTTAGGCAATAAGGGATGCAAGAAAAAAAAATGTGTTACATAACGGGATGAGCCCAGCTCTTTTGCTTGGTTGGTGTTGCTAACTGAAAATGTGTGATTGAGTTCTCTGTATGTGTGTGTGTTTGTGTGCATGCGCACACACACACATTTCTGTTTTGAATTTTTAACCCTTCCAAATGGCATTCTCATGCCACTCTTTATTTCTTGGCACATTGCCTTGAATTTGCGAAGAATGTTCACTAAGTAAAACCCCAATAGTTCTACTTTAAAAAAAGGATAGCAGCTAAAGATAGGCTCTCAAATGAAAAATTCCCCACTTGCACAACCTTAGTTTATGGGCTTCCTAAATTTAGGAAACTAAATTTAAACTTTTTCTAAGTTTGAATTTTTTAAGTAAAAAAAAGTACTATAGTACCTCATTTATCACCATCAAATGTATTTCATATGAGTAAATTTTCCACATAACTGAAGCCATTACCCCTCTTTCCATGCCAAAAAGCATTTTGCTTGTAGTCATGTTAATAGAAACCTCTCCAAGATTTTCTTTCCCTCCTTCGTTTCTTAGTCCATGCAAGATAGGCAATATGGGGCAGTGTTCAGAGCATGGACTTTGCACCCGACAAGTCTGGCCCTTCTGTTGTGAGAACGTGGGCAGGCTGTGGGACTTCTCAAAATGGGGATACAACAGCCTGCGTGGCAGGGCCATGTGAGGCTTGGCAGATGAGAAAGGCACACACCTGGCATGTAAGAGGTATTCAACAAATGGTAGTTCCCATTTACATAGCTCTACTCACGCCATCCCAAAACCGTGTTTATCTTTTTCTTCCTCTGGATAATCCTGTTTTGCTATATTTCACTTCCTATTTCAATCTTCTGTATTTTTAATGTTTCCTGCTTACAGGAGCCCTCCTCCAAATCTTTCTAATTTGCTACTTCTAAGGTGATCAGATAACCAGATTTGGTGGAATTGCATTTAAATTAGAATAAAAATAATTGAATTGGGTTCTGACTGTATTACTACATGAATAAAATTAACAAATAAAATAGATACGTTTATGAGAATCTTACAGTGGTGAAGTGCACAGGCCCTGATTCCAACTCCACAAGGCCACCTCAGGCAACTTACTGACCATCCCTGAGCTTAGTCTTTTCATCAATAGAATGGGAATAATAATAATATCTATTTAATAGGGTCATTGTGAGAATTAAATGTGATCATCCCTGTGAAGAGCCCAGGATGGTGTCTGGCAAGTAATAAAAAGCAAATGTTAACTATTATTATCTATTTTTGTAGTTTAGAGATTTTTTATTTCTTATTTTTGCTGTGTTTTTAGCAAATGATCTTTATATTAGCAAGATATCATCACAGGAAAATCTTAACTAATTCATTAAACTACAGTTCAAACCCTTATGCATTGTTATTATGCAGTTTCCTATAGAAGACATTTCCTTATTGAAAATATGAAAATGTAAACAAAATGATAGGGTCAGGATGCTCAGTAGCCAATCAAATTCTGAATACCTGTTTTTAAAATTAAACTTTTTTAATCTTGGCAATTCATTTACGAAAATAAAGTAGATCCTTCAAATCACTTTTATGTTATCTTTATATGAAATTTGGGGAATTTAGTCAGTACTTGCATTTTCCATTTACTGTTTAATTTCCCTGCTACAACTTAGAAATGTAGTGTGACTAATCTATTGTTTCAGAACATAAATATTATTAATTTCATAAAATGAGTATATCAAGTACATAGGACTAAGGCAATGTCCTTTTCTTGCATAAAGCCAGAGTGCCTCTGTTTATAGCAGAGATGAAATGCCAAGATACAAACATGGCTTTCTGTGGGAAGTTAATGGTAGGGTCTGAAATTGAGAGTTTGTGGCTTTCATTCAGCCCACCAGGCTGTGCTCCTTCCCATGTTGCCATGGAGATTGTATTAAAAGCACCGGCTTCAGTTTCTACCATAGTCTTAAAAGTACTTCCTTTTGTAGTTGAAAACCAAATACTTGAATCTCCAGTAGCTTGTTGCTGAAAATATTTTTTAATATCATAAACTCTAAAAGATCTTTCTAAGTTTTCTAATATATTCAGTTGTTTGCATTGCTTGTCATAAAATACATTATATCAGCCAATATCTAAATTAATGTGAACATCTGGCATTATTTCAAAAAGGAACATATTGAATATTCTTCTAAAATACCAAATTCAGTGGAAGTGTTAGTTTCAACCTAAATTTAATACAGAGTGAAGTAAAAAGAAATGACAGTATTTTGCATAAACAGTAAATACCCAAACTTTCAAATATTTATAGCAAAGAAGAATAGCTAGTAAATTCATGACTTTTGATCCTGTAGGCATAGCAAATTTTCACTTTCAAAACTTATTGTTCATTTATTAAAATGGAGAACTTCAACATAGAAGATTATTTCTTAATAAAATAACATGTCTCTTTTCCCAAGCATGTATGGGTCTTACAAGTTCCATATTTCCCAGTAGGAAACCAGGCTACCAGAGTTTTTCAGGGGCATTGGGTTAGTTTGCCAGGGATGCTGCAACAAAGTGCTGCAAACTGGGTGACTTAAACAACAGAAATTTATTGTATCTCAGTTTTGGAGGCTGGAAGTCCAAGATCAAGGTGTCAGCAGGGTTGGTTCCTTCTGAGGCTGTGAGGGAGGGATCTGTTCCAGGCCTCCATGGCTTGTAGATGACCATCTTCTCCCTTCGTCTCTTCACATCATTTTCTCTTTATGAATGTCTGTCTCTGTGCACAAGTTTTCTCTTTTTATAAGGACACCATTCATATTGGATTAGGGCCTACCCTAATGACCTCATCTTACCTAACTATTATATATGCAAGGACATTGTTCCCAAATAAGGTCTCTATATTAGTCAGCACAGGCTGCCATAACAAAATGACAGGGTGGCTTAAACAGCAGAAATTATTTTCCCATAGTTCTGGAGGAAAGAAGTCTGAAATCAAGGGGTCAGCATGGTTGCGTTCTGGTGAGGGCTCTCTTCCTAGCTTGCAGGCAACCAACTTCTCATCGTCTCCTTACATGGCAGAGAATGTCTCTTCTTATAAGGGCACAAATCCTATCATGAGGATTCCACCTCATGACCTCATTTAAACCAATTATCTCCCAAAGACCTCCTCTCCAAATGCCCTCACACTGGGGGTTTGGGCTTCAACATATGAATTTAGGAAGGAAACAGTCCAGTCCATAATAGTCACATTATGAGGTACTAGAGGTTAGGACTAAAGCACAGGAATTTTGGGGGCTATACAATTCAACCCATAACAGTCTGCGTTCTGGCCCCACTGAGATAAAAAAAAATGTTTTCTCCTGCTCTTACATAGTCACTCAATACTGAATATAACACTGAATGTTTCACTTCTTGTCACCAAAATTTGTGGGAAGTTCTCCCCACCAGCAACCAGTCAGTCAGTTCTCCAGTAGACACTAGCTGGGTGTCCTGTAAGGCCATCAGTTTCTAGACACTATCTTACTGGAGATAGCATTAGATCCCACAGGTTAAGGGCTCAGTCCCACAAGACTGCCTCCACTTAAGATGCTAGTTGCAAGTTGTAGATTGTCACCTGTACTTCTGACCAACCAGCTATAAAATCAGGGTTCCCAATACCTCCTTCTCATGTTCAGTTAATTTGTTAGAGTGGCTCACAGAGCTCATGGAAACACGTAACTGTTTTATCTGTTTTATTCTGCTATGACAGAGTAATTGAGATTGGGTAATTTATAAAGAAAAGAGGTTTATTTGGCTCATGCTTTTGGAGCCTGGGAAGTCCAAGATCGAGTGGCCACGTCTGGTGAGGGCCATCTTGCTGCATCATAACATGTCAGAAGGGCAGCAGGCACAAGAGACAAAGAAAATCAGACCAAACTTGTCCTTTTCATCAGGAACCCCCTCCCACGATAACTAACCCACTCCTGTGATAATGGCACTCATGAGGGCAGAGCTCTCATGACCTAATCACCTCTTAAAGGCCTTACCTTCTAATATTGTCATATTGGCAATTAAATGTCAACATAAACTTTGGAGGGGACATTCAAACCATAGCACTTGAGTTCACTGGTTTATTATAAAAGATACAGGTGAACAGCCAGATAGAAGAGACGTATAAAGCAAGGCTTGTGGGAATAAATATGGAATTTTCATGCCTTCTCTGGGCATGCCATCTTCCAGCTATCCCAGAGCTCTCCAAACCCAGTCCTTTGGGCTTTTATGGAGGCTTCATTACATAGACATGATTAATTAAACCATTGATGATTGGTGATTGGCACAACTTTCAGCCCCCCTCCCCTCCCCAAAGGTCAAGGATGGGGCTAAAAGTCCCAACCCTCTAATTGTGTCTTGGTCTTTCTGGTGACCAGCACACATCCTGAAGCTACCCAGGGATTCCCAAGCCACCAGTTGTCTCATTAGCATATGAATGATACTCTAATCACTTAGGAGATTTCAGAGTTTTAGGAGCCATATGTCAGGAAACAGGGTCTAAGACTAAATATATATTTCACAATACCACATCCCCCAAAACTCATGTCCTCACATGCAGAATGAATTCACCCCATCCCATGCCCAGAAAGTCCTAAATCTATTTCAGCATCAACCCTTAAGTTCAAAATCTCATCTTAAATATCTAAATCAGGTATGGGTCAGGACATAATTCATCCTGGGGCAAAACTCTCCAGCTATGAACCTATGAAACCAGATAACAATTTATCTGCTTCTAGCATGTAATGTTGGGACAGGAATAGGATAGACATTCCTATTCCACAAGTGAGAATGCTAGAAGGAAAAAAAGGGGTCACAGGTCTCAAGTCTAAAATCTAGAAGGTGAAATTCCATTAGATTTTAAGGCTTAAGAATAATCCTCTTTGGCTCCACACTCTGTTCTCTGGGCCCAGTGGGGTGGCAATCACACCCCCTTAGTCCTGGATGAACCAAAGAGGTTGCCCTGCCCCTGGAATTGAGAAGGTTGCCCTACCCTTGGGCTTTTTCTTCTCTTTAAGTATAACATATGTTTGCATCTAGGTAGTTCTTTTGGCCATCCTGCCTAAAATCCCAGAAGTCTGACAGCATTTCTTCATCTCATCCCATTTCTGTCCTGTTCAGTACAAGCTAGCAGTATTTTTGCTGAAATAGTTGATGATCCAGAAGTCACATACCTAATCTGTTTGCAAACCATTGTCCAGCCACACTGTTGGTGTTCTCTTTCATGTTTTACAATATGAATAGGCTGAGAATTCTCCAAATCTTCAAGTTCTGGTTCCTTATGCTTAATAATAATGTGCTCAATTCATCTCTCTCCTCTTGTATTTTACTCACATCTATAAGCAGCAAGAAGAAACCAAGCTGTGCCTTCAACACTTTGCTTAGAAATCTCCTCAGCCAAATATCCAAGTTATCACTTACAAATTCTGCTTTCCATCCAACAGAACACAATTCACTCAAGTCCTTTGCTACTTTATAACAAGGATCACCTTTCTTCCAGTTTCCAATAATACATTCCTCATTTGCAGTCTGAGACCTCACCAGAAGCATCTTTAACATTTTTATTTCTAGCAACATTCTGTTCCTGACAATGTATTTTCTAAGACATTAGAAACTTTATAGCTCCTGCCTTTCTTTTGTGAGCCCTCACTAGATTCTTCTTTATTTCTCCCAATAATCTCTTTTCTATCACTCACCTCAAAATTCTTCCAGCCTCTATTCATTACTTCATGTCAAAGCCACTTCCACATTTTTAGGTATTTGTCACAGCAGCATCCCACTTCCTGATAGCAAAATTTCTCACATTGAAAGAGAGAGAATGACTGATTTTAAGAAATTGGCTCACACAATTGCAAAGGCTGGCGCGTTCAGAACTGGGGCAGACTGGCGGCCTGGACGTTGAGGTTAGAGTTGAAGTTGCAGTGTTGAGTCTGAATTCTGCGGGGCACCAGGCTGGAAACTTAGGCAGGGATTCTTTATTGCAGTCTTAGGGAGAATACCTTCTACTTTGTTGCTCTTAAGGCCTTCAACTAATTGGATGAGGCCCACCCACACTATGGAGGGTAATCTGCTCAACTCAGAGTGTACTGATTTAAATATTAATCATATCTTTAAAAAATGCCTTTACAGCAACAGCTAGGCTAGTATTTGACCAAACAAATGGGCTCCATAACCTAACCAAGTTGACACATAAAATTAACTAAAAGGTCTTACTTTAATCACCAGGGTATTTTGAGACAGGAACTGTAGGTAGGCCGGTAACCCAATGGTTCTTCCCATATTGCTGGGTTAAGCTTTAGCCATAACGGGTAGTACAGAGTGCATTCAGGCTTTATTGCTGTGTTATCTCTGCTTTTGTGTAATAAGCCATGGCGTGCAATGGAAGAACCAGTAGTCCTGGGGATAAAGAGATCTAGTTTGGAAGTTGAGCTATTTTACTTTTCTTAGTACTGTAAGATAGGTACTATCATTAAGTTGAATCATACAAGTCATATGCGTATGGTCCAACCTGTGATATCCCTTTTACAGGGCAAACAGGTACAGGAAGATTGCAAACTGGGCCAAGGTGTCATAGCAGAGCTGGGATTTGAACCCCAATAGTCTGGCTCCAAATCTGTGTTTTAGCCACTGTGCTGTTCAATTAGCTACTAAGTGGACCAGCATATTAGCATAGAGAAATCTCGAAATAAATAAACTTGTAAATAATGAGTTTAAATATACTTTCAACTCATAAACTCATAAATACAAAATTAAATATTCTCTAACATTATGAACAAGGTACTTTCGAAATATATGTGTATGTGTACGTATGTACATATACACACATGCACACGTGTGTGTGTGTATGGTTTGGGTGTTTGCACTAAAAAGTCCAGAAGGATGGAGCTCCAACTCTTTACTATGAGTATCTTGGGAAGGGGGGAATGTGGAGTTATGAGGTAGTCAGGTGGAAGGAGAACTTTCATTTTCAACTCCATATACTTGGGATATAATTTTACAAATCTACAAAACAATATTTGAAAAAAAATTATTTCTAGAGGCATTGAAAAAGCCCTTTGCCTAAAACTGTATACATATTAAAAAAGAAAAGGAAAGATTGTTATGGCAAATTTTTTTGTTCAATTACAAATGTTATTAAGCAAGTTACATAAAAGATTGCATAGTGTGATCCAGTCTTTGTCAAGCAATTATAGGTGTGAATATATGTGTATATCTATGTGCACATATATAGTAAATACATGCACATACACACATATTGAAACAATTGTGTATATATAGAAAAAGTCTTGGGAAGGACTCATACACCAAAGTAACAGTGGTTTCCTTTGAGTAGTGTTAAATTTTTGTAACAAACTGGTATTTGCTTTAGAAATTAAAAATATTTTTAATTATTAAAACATTAGTATGCCAAGTGCCTGTAATCCCAGCTACTGGGAGGCTGAGGCAGAATTGCTTGAACCTGGGAGACAGAGGTTGCAGTGAGCTGAGATCGCGCCACTGCACTCCAGGGTGGGTGACAGAGCAAGACTCTCTCAAAAACAAAAACAAAACATTAGTATGCCAATGGCTTCTTGTAAAAAAAATTTTCAGGTTACTTCCAAGTAACTCAAAAGACTCATCCTCTTGTTTATTAATTTATCCAGTTGGTTAGCAAACACACTTCGAACATCTACTGCCAGCCGGGTGCTGTGGTAGGTGAGGGCTCCATGGGCTTCAATCAGGCCACTTTCAAGCTCAGATTTACATAGCTTGGTTCTTTCAGGAATTCTTGGTCTTCTGGGCCGGAGTGATTCTATGAGAGTGCCACATGTCTGAGTGATTGTTGTGCCTTGAGGTAAAGACCTGTTTGTTAGAGGGCCTGCAAAACTGACTTGGTCTTACAGTTTCCTTTTGTCTTTCAAAACAACTAATACTCCCTTCTCCCACTCACTAGTAGTTTATTTTTAAAATAAGCTCTTTTATATAATTCTTATCTGGTTTCCTCACTTATGAAATGTTTCATATTTCCTTACCCTTGCTTTTTGTGGCTATTGCTTCTTTGAAGCCAAGTAATATCAGTCACACCAACATTATTTGCATACTCATTTTGGGGATTTTGTTTTTCCTTTTGGCAGAAGCCTATTCGTTGGCACCCTCTTAAGGTGACTTATGAAATTTCCCACAAGTGAAATAGTCTTCAAAAATTTAAGTAAATTGTTCTTAGCTGTTTCTTCCTCCTTACAACATTCAAAAATTATTTGTTGACCATCTGTCATGGGCTGTGCTCTGCAGTAGGTACTGAAAATTCTGCTTTGACCCCACCACCTAATTCTTTTCTCATACATATCTCATTCCTAATGTCTAGGGCAATGACACAATCAAGAAAGAAGTCTGCTTGACATTTCTGTTTCTGTTTCTGCACACAGAATCTTCCCATGAGAGACAGTCACTACTAACATAAATGCAACAAGCAGATACAATATGTTATTAGATGATTCTTGAGTAAGTTAATATGTACACAAGCTCAGGATTTTAACTTTGTCTTATAAATACTATTTTTTCTTTTGGCTTGACTTCCTGTACGAGTCAAATATATGCTTTGTGTTTTTAATCAGGAAACATATTTGCAGAAAAAATCGCACATTTCTTATGATTTTTGTGGGCTCCAATATGTGCCAACAGCATTGTGATTCGTTCTTTTAAGGAATAGTGGTATTTCTGTATTTTAAAACCAAGCTGAAATGCTCTTTCTTCTGCCTTGCCTGTAAATATGCTCAAAGATTCTAAAGCAACAAATGTCATGTCTGATGTTCTTTGTAGAATTTATCAGCATCTTTTTCTTAACTGTAGAGCTTATTGCTTAGCTCAAAGTGTTTCCCCAGACCTCTGATGTCTCTGGTGCCACAGTTCTGGATTTTAAAGGACTTAACCAACATGAATCCATTCTTAAGGCAGCAGATTGGTTGGTGTACTTGTAATAACTCAGATTATTAATACAACAAGCAGATACAATATGTTATTAGATGAGTCTCCCAAAAGCAAATAAGTACACAGCCTTGGGATTTATTTGTTGCACAAATATGAAACCTCCAGGTTACTCCACCCCCGTGAGCTTCATAAGTAGTTAATGATGATCCAAAGGACATTATCCTTTAATGAGTGTAAATCCCGTATCTTCATGGAATTGAATGCTTTTGCTTGGGAGCTGTTTTAGTCCGTTCTTATGCTGCTGTGCAGAAATACCCAAGACTGGGTAATTCATAAAGGAAAGAGGTTTAATTGACTCACAGTTCCACATGGCTGAGGAGGCCTCAGGAAACTTAACAATCATGGCTCGAGGGGAAGCAAACATGTCCTTCACATGGCAGCAGGAGAGAGAACTGCTGAGCAAAGAGGGAAACGACCCTTATAAAACCATCAGATCTCATGAGAACTCACTCACTATCACGCAAACAGGAGCATGGGGGTAACCACCCCCCCATGATTTAATCACCTCCCACCGGGTCCTTCCCACGACACATGGGGATTATGGGAATTACAATTCAAGATGATATTTGGGTGGGGACGCAGCTAAACCATATGAGGAGCTTTATTTTTAAAAACTAAATGGCTGTGGTATGAAATGTATCCCTTGTATGAATGATTTGCATTTAACATAATTATCTTTTGCTCCTTGTGTTAAGTTTCATCAGCGAATCCCCCAAAATGCACTTTTTATGTCTGTGGTTCTTTTCAATTGTGATTTATTCAAATGTATACATCCTGGTGTAGCATAAAAATTATTGGAACTAGGGTTCTAACCAACTTCATTTTTTAAAAAAAATTATTTTTAAAATTTTTTTCATTTCTAATTTTTGTGGGTACATAGTAGATATATATATTTATGGGGTACTTGAGATGTTTGATACAGGCATGCAATGCATAATAATCACATCATGAAAATCACATTCCCTCAAGCATTTATTCTTTGTATTACTAACAATGCAATTATACAATTTTAGTTACTTTAAAATGCACAATTACTGACTGTAGTCACCCTGTTGTGCTATCAAATACTAGGTCTTATTCATTCTTTCTGATTACTTTTTGTACCCATTAACCGTTACCCAGCCAACTTTAATTTTTTAAAATTAGAGGTAATGCAAAAGTATCTAATAACTCAAAATTTACAGAATTTCCTGAGTTAAGAAAAAAATTCAAAAGTGATGCTTGCCTTTTCGCTTTCCTAAAGATGTCATTTGAAAACAAGTCTTCTGTTTTGATAAAGTTAAATTAATCCATTTCAATTTTATAGTAATGCTTTTTGTGTTCTAAGAAATCTTTACCTACCCCCAAGGTCATGAAGCCTATATAAATCTCTGTTAATATAATTGTATTATAATTCTCTGTTCCATTCACTTGATCTGTGTCTATCTCTTAGTCAATAGCAAACTGTCTTAATTACTATAGTTTAGATTATGGTAGGCCTTAATATCAGGTTGAGTGATACTTCTACTTTGCTTTTCCCTTTCAGGATTTTTTTAGCTATTCTAGGCCCTACACTTTTCCACTGATTTTTAGAATAAATTTATCTTTGTCTCCAAAAAGCCTTGTTGAGATTTTCATAAGAATTGCTTTAACTTTATAGATTAATTTGGAAACGGTTGACATATATGCTATGTTGAGTTTTCTAATGTATGAACATGATGCGTCTCTCCATTTATTTAGGTCTTTTACTTCTTTCGTCAGCATCTTAAATAATTTTCAGCATATAAATCATTAAACGTTTTCCTAAGTTTATATCAAAATATTTCACTTTTTTGTGTGCTTGTAAATGATACTGTGTTTTAAAATTTCAATTTCCATGTGTTCATTGTTAGCATCTGGGAATGTTACTGATTTTCATATTTCGACTGTATATCTTACAGCCTTGCTGAACTGGCATATTAGTTCTAGGAGTATTTTTTGTAGATGCCTTGGGATTTTCTGCATAGAAAATCATGTCATGCTGTCTGCTAAGGAATAGTTTTATTTCTTCCCTTCCAATCTGTATGCCTTTATTTCTTTTTCTTGCCTTATAGCAGTGGTTAGGACTTTGAGTACTATGCTGACTAAGGTTGTGAAAATAGACATCCTTGCCTTGTTCCAATCTCTTTTTTTTTTTTGAGATGGAGTCTTACTCTGTCGCCCAGGCTGGAGTGCAGTGGCATGATCTCGGCTCACTCTGCCTCCTGGGTTCACACCATTCTCCTGCCTCAGCCTCCCAAGTAGCTGGGACTACAGGCGCCCACCACCACGCCTGGCTAAATTTTTTTTTTTTTAGTAGAGACAGGGTTTTACTGTATTAGTCAAGATGATCTCGATCTCCTGACCTCGTGATCTGCTCACCTCAGCCTCCCAAAGTGCTGGGATTACAGGCATGAGCCACCGCACCCAGCTGCCTTGTTCCCAGTCTTAAAGGGAAAACACTCAGTGTTTCACTGTTAAGTATAATGTGTTAACTATAATAATACATATAATGTGTTAAGTGTAATATAATTTTAATCTGTTAAGTATAATGTGTTAACCCTACTGATAAGCAGGGGTTTTTGGTATGTTCTCTTTATTAAATTAAGGAAGATTTCCTCTCTATGTAGTTTGCTGAGAGTTTTAATCAAGGAAAAGTGTTCTATTTTGTTAAATGCTGCTTCTGAGTCCATTGATATGATCATATGGTTTTTCTTTTGCCTGTTGATATGGTGGGTGATACTGATTATCAAATATTGAACTAGCCTCACACTCCTGGAATAACTCCCACTTGATCATGATGTGTAATTCTTTTTGTACATTTCTTTAATTTGTTAATACTTTGTTGAAGATTTTAAAATCTTTGTTCATGAAAGATACTGGTCTGTAATTTTCTGTTTTTGTATTATCCTTGTCTGGTTCTGGATTCAGGATAATAATGGCCTTATTAAATGAGTTAGGAAGTGTTCTTCTTCTTCTGCTTTTTCCTGAAGAAATTGTGTAAAACTTTTCAAAAATTTATCTTTTTACTCTTTGTTAGAATTCTCCAGTGAAACTATCTGGGCAGGGAAGTTTGTATTCTTTTTTAAATTATAAATTCAATTTATTTAATGGTTGTAGGACTATTCAGGTTGTCTATTTCATCTCAGTTGAGTTTTGGTAGTTTGTAGTTTTCTAGACACTGGTCTGTTTCTTTGAAGTTGTCAGATTTATTAGTATAAAGTTGTCCCTGGTATTCCTATACATCTTTTTAATGGCTGTAGGATCTGTGGTGATATCACCTCCTTCATTTTTAATATTAATTCGTGTGTTCTCTCTTTTTGTCAGTCTTGGTCAAGATTTATCAGTTTTATTGTTATTCATAATCCTAGTGATTGATTTCATTGGTTTCTCCTCTTTATTATTTACTATTCTTCTGCTTGCTTTGGGCTTATTTTGTCCTTTTTTTAGGTTTTTAAAAGCTAAAAGAGGACATTTATAGCACTAAGTACTTACACTAGAAAAGAGGAAAAGTCTCAAATCAATAATCTAGGCTTCTTTGTAATGTAAGCATTTAGTACTATAAATTTCCCTCAGCACTACTGTCTCTAGCTATGTACCAAAATCTTTGATTTTTGAATCGTATTTTCATCTTCTTTCAGTTTGTGTATGTTTTAAGTTCCTTTGAGATTTCCTTTTTGACCTATGGAAGTGTGGTCATTTGATCCATGGGTCAAAGAACTGTGGTGTTTAATTTCTATGTGTTTGAAGATTTTCCTCTTGTCTTTTTGTTATTGGTTTCTAGTTTGATTCTATTATAGTCAAAGAACATACTCTATGATTTTTCCTTGCTTTAAACTTAAATTGTTCTTCATTCTGTAGTTTCCTGGTAGAAATATGAGTTATTGATTTTAGACCTTTCTTTTCTAGTATGTGTGTTTAGTACTGTAAGTTTTCCTTTAAGTACTGCTTTGGCTGCATCCTATTACTTTTTGATGACTAGTATTTTATTTTCATTTAGTTGAAAAAAAATTTTTTATACTGTAAGTTCTAGGGTACATGTGCACAACGTGCAGGTTTGTTACATATGTATACATGTGCCATGTTGGTGTGCTGCACTCATTAACTCATTATTTACATTAGGTATATACCTAATGTACTCCTAATGCTATCCCTCCCACTTCCCCCCACCCCACAACAGGCCCTGGTGTGTGATGTTCCCCTTCCTGTGTCCATGTGTTCTCATTGTTCAATTCCCACCTATGAGTGAGGACATGTGGTGTTTGGTTTTCTGTCCTTGTGATAATTTGCTGAGAATGATGGTTTCCAGCTTCATCCATGGCCCTACAAAGGACATGAACTCATCCTTTTTTATGGCTGCAGAGTATTCCATGGTGTATATGTGCCACATTTTCTTAATCCAGTCTATCATTGATGGACATTTGGGTTGGTTCCAAGTCTTTGCTATTGTGAATAGTGCCGCAATAAACATACGTGTGCATTTGTCTTTATAGCAGCTTGATTTATAATCCTTTGGGTATATACCCAGTAATGGGATTGCTGGGTCAAATGGTATTTCTAGTTCTAGATCCTTGAGGAATTGCCACACTGACTTCCACAATGGTTGAACTAGTTTACAGTCCCACCAACAGTGTAAAAAGTATTCCTATTTCTCCACATCCTCTCCAGCACCTGTTGTTTCCTGACTTTTTAATGATCGCCATTCTAACTGGTGTGAGATGGTATCTCATTGTGGTTGTGACTTGCATTTCTCTGATGGCCAGTGATGATGAGCATTTTTTCATGTGTTTTTTGGCTGCATAAATGTCTTCTTTTGAGAAGTGTCTGTTCATATCCTTTGCCCACTTTTTGATGGGTCTGTTTTTTCCTTGTAAATTTGTTTGAGTTCTTTGTAGATTCTGGATGTTAGCCCTTTGCCAGATGAGTAGATTGCAAAAATTTTCTCCCATTCTATAGGTTGCCTGTTCACTCTGATGGTAGTTTCTTTTGCTGTGCAGAAGCTCTTTAGTTTAAATAGATCCCATTTGTCAATTTTGGCTTTTGTTGCCATTGCTTTTGGTGTTTTAGACATGAAGTCCTTGCCCATGCCTATGTCCTGAATGGTATTGCCTAGGTTTTCTTCTAGGGTTTTTATGGTTTTAGGTCTAATGTTTAAGTCTTTAATCCATCTTGAATTAATTTTTGTATAAGGTGTAAGGAAGGGATCCAGTTTCAGCTTTCTACATATGGCTAGCCAGTTTTCCCAGCACCATTTATTAAATAGGGAATCCTTTCCCCATTTCTTGTTTTTGTCAGGTTTGTCAAAGATCAGATGGTTGTAGATGTGTGGCATTATTTCTGAGGGCTCTGTTCTGTTCCATTGGTCTATAGCTCTGTTTTGGTACCAGTACCATGCTGTTTTGGTTACTATATCCTTGTATTATAGTTTGAAGTCAGGTAGCATGATGCCTCCAGCTTTGTTCTTTTGGCTTAGGATTGTCTTGGCAATGCAGGCCCTTTTTTGGTTCCATATGAACTTTAAAGTAGTTTTTTCCAATTCTGTGAAGAAAGTCATTGGTAGCTTGATGGGAATGGCATTGAATCTATAAATTACCTTGGGCAGTATGGCCATTTTCATGATATTGATTCTTCCTATCCATGAGCATGGAATATTCTTCCATTTGTTTGTGTCCTCTTTTATTTCGTTGAGCAGTGGTTTGTAGTTCTCCTTGAAGAGGTTCTTCACATCCCTTGTAAGTTGGATTCCTAGGTATTTTATTCTCTTTGAAGCAATTGTGAATGGGAGTTCACTCATGATTTGGCTTTCTGTCTGCTATTGGTGTATAAGAATGCTTGTGATTTTTGCACATTGATTTTGTATCCTGAGACTTTGCTGAAGTTGCTTATCAGCTTAAGGAGATTTTGGGCTGAGACGATGGGGTTTTCTAAATATACAATCATGTCATCTGCAAACAGGGACAGTTTGACTTCCTCTTTTCCTAATTCAGTACCCTTTATTTATTTCTCCTGCCTGATTGCCCTGGCCAGAACTTCCAACACTGTGTTGAATAGGAGTGGTGAGAGAGGGCATCCCTGTCTTGTGCCAGTTTTCAAAGGGAATGCTTCCAGTTTTTGCCCATTCAGTATGATATTGGCTGTGGGTTTGTCATAAATAGCTCTTATTATTTTGAGATACATCCCATCAATACCTAATTTATTTAGAGTTTTTAGCATGAAGGGCTGTTGACTTTTGTTGAAGGCCTTTTCTGCATCTATTGAGATAATCATGTGATTTTTGTCTTTGGTTCTGTTTATATGATGGATTACATTTATTGATTTGCATATGTTGAACCAGCCTTGCATCCCAGGGATGAAGCCCACTTGATCATGGTGGATAAGCTTCTTGATGTGCTGCTGGATTCGGTTTCCCAGTATTTTATTGAGGATTTTTGCCTCAATGTTCTTCAGGGATATTGGTCTAAAATTCTCTTTTTTTGTTGTGTCTCGCCAGGCTTTGGTATCAGGATGATGCTGGCCTCATAAAATGAGTTAGGGAGGATTCCCTTTTTCTGTTGATTGGAATAGTTTCAGAACGAGTGGTACTAGCTCCTCCTTGTACCTCTGGTAGAATTCAGCTGTGAATTTGTCTGGTCCTGGACTTTTTTTGGTTGGTAGGCTATTAATTATTGCCTCAATTTCAGAGCCTGTTATTGGTGTACTCTGGGATTCAACTTCTTCCTGGTTTAGTCTTGGGAGGGTGTATGTGTCCAGGAATTTATCCATTTCTTCTAGATTTTCTAGTTTATTTGCGTAGAGGTGTTAATTATAGTATTCTCTGATGGTAGTTTGTATTTCTGTGGGATCGCTGGTGATATCCCCTTTATCATTTTTTATTGCATCTGTTTGATTCTTCTCCCTTTTCTTCTTTATTAGTCTTGCTAGCAGTCTATCAATTTTGTTGATCTTTTCAAAAAACCAGCTCCTGGATTGATTGATTTTTTGAAGGGTTTTTTCTGTCTCTATCTCCTTCAGTTCTGCTCTGATCTTAGTTATTTCTTGGCTTCTGCTAGCTTTTGAATGTGTTTGCTCTTGCTTCTCTAATTCTTTTAATTGTGATGTTAGGGTGTCAATTTTAGATCTTTCCTGTTTTCTCTTGTGGGCATTTAGTGCTATAAATTTCCCTCTACACACTGCTTTAAATGTGTCCCAGAGATTCTGGTATGTTGTGTCTTTGTTCCCATTGGTTTCAAAGAACATCTTTATTTCTGCCTTCATTTCGTTATGTACCCAGTAGTCATTCAGGAGCAGGTTGTTCAGTTTCCATGTAGTTGAGGAGTTTTGAGTGAGTTTCTTAATCCTAAGTTCTAGTTTGATTGCACTGTGGTCTGAGAAACAGTTTGTTGTAATTTCTGTTCTTTTACATTTGCTGAGGAATGCTTTACTTCCAACTATGTGGTCAATTTTTGAATAAGTGTGATGTGGTGCTGAGAAGAATGTATAGTTGATTTGGGGTGGAGAGTTCTGTAGATGTCTATTAGATCCACTTGGTGCAGAGCTGAGTTCAATTCCTGGATATCCTTGTTAACTTTCTGTCTCGTTGATCTGTCTAATGTTGACAGTGGGGTGTTAAAGTCTCCCCTTATTATTGTGTGGGAGTCTAAGACTCTTTCTAGGTCTGTAAGTACTTGCTTTATGAATCTGGGTGCTCCTGTTGTGGGTGCATATATATTTAGGATAGTTAGCTCTTCTTGTTGAATTGATCCCTTTACCATTATGTAATGGCCTTCTTTGTCTCTTTTGATCTTTGTTGGTTTAAAGTCTGTTTTGTCAGAGACTAGGATTGCAACCCTTGCCTTTTTTTGTTTTCCATTTGCTTGGTAGATCTTCCTCCATCCCTTTATTTTGAGCCTGTGTGTGTCTCTGCACATGAGATGGGTCTCCTGAATAAAGCACACTGATGGGTCTTGACTCTATCCAATTTGCCAGTCTGTCTTTTAATTGGAGCATTTAGCCCATTTACATTTAAGGTTAATATTGTTATGTGTGAATTTGATCCTGTCATTATGATGTTAACTGGTTATTTTGCTTGTTAGTTGATGCAGTTTCTTCCTAGCATCTATGGTCTTTACAATTTGCCATGTTTCTGCAGTGGCTGGTACCAGTTGTTCCTGTCCATGTTTAGTGCTTCCTTCAGGAGCTCTTGTAGGGCAGGCCTGGTGGTGACAAAATCTCTCAGCATTTGCTTGTCTGTAAAGGATTTTATTTCTCCTTCACTTATGAAGCTTAATTTGGCTGGATATGAAATTCTAGATTGAAAATTCTTTTCTTTAAGAATGTTGACTGTTGGTCCCCACTCTCTTCTGGCTTGTAGAGTTTCTGCTGAGATCCGCTGTTCGTCTGATGGGCTTTCCTTTGTGGGTAACCCGACCTTTCTATCTGGCTGCCCTTAACATTTTTCCCTTCATTTCAACTTTGGTGAATCTGATAATTATGTATCTTGGAGTTGCTCTTCTCGAGGAGTATCTTTGTGGTGTTCTCTGTATTTCCTGAATTTGAATGTTGGCCTGCCTTGCTTGGTTGGGGAATTTCTCCTGGATAATATCCTGCAGAGTGTTTTTCAGCTTGGTTCCATTCTCCCCATCACTTTCAAGTATACCAATCAGACGTAGATTTGGTCTTTTCACATAGTCCCATATTTCTTGGAGGCTTTGTTTGTTTCTTTTTACTCTTTTTTCTCTTAACTTCTCTTCTCACTTCATTTCATTCATTTGATCTTCAATCACTGATACCCTTTCTTCCAGTTGATCAAATCGGCTACTGAAGCTTGTGCATTTGTCATGTAGTTCTCGCGCCATGTTTTTCAGCTCCATCAGGTCATTTAAGGACTTCTCTATATTGGTTATTCTAGTTAGCCATTCGTCTAATCTTTTTTCAGGGTTTTTAGCTTCTTTGCGATGGGTTCGAACTTCCTCCTTTAGCTTGGAGAAGTTTGATCTTCTGAAGCCTTCTTCTCTCAACTCGTCAAAGTCATTCTCCATCCAGCTTTGTTCCGTTGCTGGCGAGGAGCTGTGTTCCTTTGGAGGGGGAGAGGTGCTCTGATTTTTAGAGTTTTCAGCTTTTCTGCTCTGTTTTTTCCCCATCTTTGTGGTTTTATCTACCTTTGGTCTTTGATGATGGTGACTTACAGATGGGGTTTTGGTGTGGATGTCCTTTCTGTTTGTTAGTTTTCTTCTAACAGTCAGGACCCTTAGCTGCCAGTCTGTTGGAGTTTGCTGGAGGTCCACTGCAGACCCTGTTTGCCTGGGTATCAGCAGCAGAGGCTGCAGAACAGCAAATATTGCTGAACAGCAAATGTTGCTGCCTGATTGTTCCTCTGGAAGCTTCATCTCAGAGGGGTACCCAGCTGTGTGAGGTGTCAGTCTGCCCCTACTGGAGGGTGCCTCCCAGTTAGGCTACTCAGGGGTCAGGGACCCACTTGAGGGGGCAGTCTGTCCGTTCTCAGATCTCAAACTCCGTGCTGGGAGATCCACTACTCACTTCAAAGCTGTCAGACAGGGACATTTAAGTCTGCAGAGGTTTCTGCTGCCTTTTGTTTGGCTATGCCCTGCCCCGAGAGGTGGAGTCTACAGAGGTAGGCAGGCCTCCTTGAGCTGCGGTGGGCTCCACCCAGTTCGAGCTTCCTGGCTGCTTCGTTTACCTACTCAAGCCTCAGCAATGGTGGGTGCCCCTCCCCCAGCCTCACTGCCACCTTGCAGATGGATCTCAGACTGCTGTGCTAGCAATGAGCGAGGCTCCGTGGGCATGGGACCCTCCCAGCCAGGCATGGGATATAATCTTCTGGTGTGCCGTTTGCTCAGTTGGAAATGCAGAAATCACCCATCTTCTGCATCTCTCACACTGGGAGCTGTAGACTGGAGCTGTTCCTATTCGGCCATCTTGGAACCGCCGAAAATTTGTTTTATTTCTCTTCAGATTTCTTCTTTCACCTAGATATTTAGAATTAAGTTGTTTAATTTCAAAATATTTAGGAATTTTCCAGCTATCTTTTATTGATTTCTAGTTTAATTCCATTGTAGTTTGAGAACATAATTTGTCTGATATCTTTTAAATTTTTTAAGGTGTGGTTTTATGCCCAGATTTTGTAAACATTCTCATTTAAGTGTTCCTACCTGTTTATGGCTCTAGCAGCTCTGTCCAGGTGGGCAAATCTCAGCTGTGACTTGGTATATGGTCCATGGGCATTTGAAAAAAACAACGTAGATTCTGCTGCTGTTGGATAGTGTTCTGTATATGTCAGATTTTTAATTTGTTGTGTTATTCAGTTTTTCTATACTTATACTAATTTTCTATCTAGTATATCAGTTGCTGAGAGTAAGGTATTGAAGTCCCCAATTCTATTTTTGGATTTATCTATTTCTCCTTTCATCTCTCTTATTTCTTAACAGCTTTATTGAGATAATTCACGTATCATACAATTTCACCCATTTAAAGTATACAACTCAGTGTTTCTTAGTACATTCAGCGATATGCGCAACCCTCACCCTAATCCATTTCAGAACATTTTCTCACCCATACGGAAACCCTGAACATTTAGCTCTTGCCCCTGTCCCTCTGTCCCCATCATACCTAGCCCTAGGCTTATCTACTTTCTGTCTCTGTAGATTTTCCTGTCTCTGGCCTTTGGCTTGGGGGCATGGGCTTTACTTGGAGCCAATTGCATCTGTGCCTGTTACTGATTCTGGATTGGAGGCTTCTACAGCATCCTATTTAAGATATAGAGGGCAATAAGGTACCCAGGGAACGTGCCAGCACTGCGTTGTTCCTCAAGTCCCACTGTCCCTAGGCTGTCTGCCTTGGTTCTCCCTTTCAAAGCTTGCCTGTGCTTATTTGTTGTATTTTGTCCAGAGTGTTTCAGGTGGAGGGGGGAAGACCTGGGAAGAATGGGGCCTACCCCATCTTGGCAGAACCAGAAGTTCCACCTAAATATATTTTCCCCCAAAATCCAGAGGGATCCACCAAGTGTGTGTCTGTTTCTCTGTAGTGGGCAGTTCTGGATACAACTCTTCTTTTCCATTTGAAACTGCACTGATGTAGTAGGCATATGAACTCTTGCAGGATTTTTCTCTCTCACCTCTGATAATCGTATATCTATGAAGGCATCAAGGGTGCTTGCTACTTCCAGTTTGTATTCCCCCTTGCAAATACATTTAGGCTTAGGGAAGAAAAAGACTTCTTGGCCCTCCTGGAGATTTTCAGGAGGTGGCTGAGCAGGGTCCGCCACCCTGGGTCCTCTCTGCATTCCCATTTATCCTCCCTCTAGAATCTGCAAGGGGAGTCTAGCATAGCTGTCTCATTAGCTGTTGGCCTGCAATGAGTCAAGGCTTCTGTTAACCATTCCCAGGTGCTTAATGTATCATATTCTGAGGTATAGGTGAAGTACCCCTGTTGGCCTGATCCAATCTTACATTCATTCTTGCTGGCCAATGTACTTAGAATCCGTTTCCATGCGTGCCCTCCAGGTTCCTGCTAATATAATTTGACAAGATCCTGCAACTCCATCAGCGTGTATGTGATTTCCTCCAGGAGTAGACCTTTCAATGATCTCTGGATCATGCTAGGATTTTACCCTTTTTGGCCCTAGAGGCGATGAGTATTGATGGTGGTGGGTCCTGAAAAGTTTTTAGGTAACCACCCCAGGGGAAGCCATTGAAACATTTTTACCCAAGGGAATGCTAGTTTTCGTAGAAGGTGGAAAGGTCTGTTTCTGATATGAAGAAATGTTTAGAGATGCTAGGGAGTCAAGGCTCTTAGATTTGTGCCTGTCTAGAGGCTCCCATATCAAGTCTCAAGTTCCCACTCTTTCTCAACAGCACCTTTTACCTTAGCATAAGAGACTTAGCATAAATATATCTTTATCTGGCATGTGATCCTGAAACCTCTACATTTAGCCTCAGCCATGTCCCTTGCAGCTTCATAAAATAAGGATTCACTTAAGGCCACCATAAAAACTTTCTGATTCTCTGTCCATGCCTTGAGTTGAGATCTCAAGGCACTAAGCTTATTGTTTTCGTTTCAGAATCTCTTCAGCACAGTCAAAAGAAGCCATCTCACCCCACAAACTTGGAATCACCGTGATGCCATAGCAGTCAAGTGCCACAGCCACTTGCTTTCCCAATGCCTTTCCCTCCTGTTACCTTCTGTTCCAGTGATATTTGAGTAACCATGATGCCACCACATGCTACAGATTAGCAGGGTCCCACTTCTCTCTAGTAAGAAAGCCATTCGTGTACTCGCCAGCCCAACTTCAGAATCTCACTTGGATGAGCTGCTTCGTTGGGCCACTTCTCATAACACATACTGTATTCATCAGGGCTGGAAAACAAAATGCACATTTGGCTGAGACTTTGAAGAGAAATTAATGAAGAAGGACAATTGGCTGAAGTTTGGGCAGGGTGGAGAGCACCCAGAAGGATACTGAGGCACGCAGGGACTCACAGCAGTAGGAAGCCCTTACCATGCTTAATCCTTGGGCCTGAAGGGCAAAGGGAGCTCTCTCTGGAGCCTGGCGAGAACCAGAGGTAGCAAAGGGGGCCTGCCTGATAGGAGCTCCAGTCCCAGAGGTAGAGAGGGAGTGGGGTGGAAATACTCAACCTTCCTTCTTCCTGCCCTTCAGCCCCCTGCTGGTGCCTCCTGCTGGTGCCTCTCGCTGGCCTAACCAGAAGCTAGAGTTGAGGCAACTTTGCTGGTAAAGTCTACAGAGGTCCCCTTCCTGGGCCACAGGGAAAGGCGGACTGTGTTGGGGGTGAGGAAATAGAAAACAATCAGCACAGGGGGTCTTGTGGAAACAACAAGAGAGTCTTCTCCCTCTACCAGAGGATAGCACTTCTGGCAGGAAAACAAGGCATCTAATAGCTGGAGCTGTCCAGAGTGGGTCAGAGGCCCCCTGGGGCTCATGACTCACGCACAAAGGTGCCCAAACCTCTGATATGTGGGAAGACCTTTGAACTGTATTATTCAGATTCTGAAATGACCTCTACGAGCAACCTATGTGTATGCGTACATTTGTAGGATAAATTCCTTAAAATTATGTTGTTTAAGCTCTGTGGTATATATGTGTTCTGGCTAAATTGGAGACATTTTCTGTTACATGATTTTTATAATGGACTTCAATTCTGTGATTGCGTTGTTGGTTCTAGAAAGCAGAGTTCGAAACGTAATGTGGAAAAGGCATTTGTTTTTTTTTTTTTTCTTAGTTTCTACTTTAGGGATAATATATCTTCTGAACGCTGCTATTAAAATGAACATTCAAAAAATAAATAAATAAAATGAACATTCACATGTACATACTTCACCTGATTCCAGTGCTCAGTTTGAAAAGGAAATTTAAATTTCTATTATGCAGTTTGTTGACCATGGCTAATCCTCCATTTTAACAAAGAAAAAAGTTTCCAGCAGAAAGAATCAGAGACTTTAATCTTGAACTCACAGCGTTCTTCTCTCCCTTTTTCCCCTTCCAGGAAGACAACTGTTAGTTTTGTGGCTTACTGCTGCTCCACCCAGTGTCTGCAGACTTTTGACCTGCTGAGTTGATAAACACTCAAGAACCTCAGGAGCGCTGCCAGCTTGACACTGGGGAATCCAGCCAGTCCAGCACACTCTTCCATCCTGTCCTGTCCAATGCGGGGGCACTGCAGAACTCTCTAGAAATGTCATGATTGAGCTTCAGAGCTAAAATGCCTTCACCCTTCCCCCAAGTTGGAATATATCCTCCCCCAAATTAAGGACCCATTTGTCTTCTGTGTTTTTCCTTTTTATGTGAGTGTGTCTTTTACAGAAACCATTTAGATTGATGGGCCTCCCCAAATCTAATTTAAAGCAAGTTTCCGGTCCTTGGAGAACAGTGACTTGATCATCTAGCCAGATTCCCTTTTGAACACACATACCTTCAGTGATGCTTCCTCTCCTCTCCCCTCCCTTGCTTTCCCCAGAGAGTTATTTCCCTGAGACCATGTTCTCCACAGTGTCTCCAGTGGAAACTTGTCAGTTTTTGAGGAGTTTCAGCAAACCCCGTGGCCTCAATGGTCTTGAGTAGCAGGGTGGGGCGCCTGAGTTGGCAGCAAAGTGAGGCTCCCATGGAGGCTCAGTGAGGGTCCCAGAGCACACACCCTCTGGAAAGTTCCAGCCTTGTTTATACGTTCTACAGTGTAGCAACAGACTTTTGTGAGGGATTTTAAAAACAAAAATGTAGATTGTAATGAAATACACTTCCTGTTTTTTAAAAGTGTTTGCAGAAAAATGATTTTTGAAGTTTTTAAATTTCCTGATAAGATTTTTTTTATATGAGAAGAATTTGAGGAATATTTGAAGCTTTACAAGATCTGATTTTTTTCTTTCTCAATATAAAGTTTCCATACAATGAGAAAGGGGGAGAAAACACACATTGAAATAAGACCTCCGTGTTCTTTTTTGATGGGTTTATGATTCAGTTTATACTGACTTTGAAATATTTTTGTCACATGTGAAAGGCTTCAGCTACTTCCACTACTGGTTTTTTTTTGTTGTTGTTGAGACGGAGTCTCGCTCTGTCGCCCAGGCTGGAGTGCAGTGGCGGGATCTCGGCTCACTGCAAGCTCCGCCTCCCGGGTTCACGCCATTCTCCTGCCTCAGCCTCCCAAGTAGCTGGGACCACAGGCGCCCGCCACCACGCCCGGCTAATTTTTTGTATTTTTAGTAGAGACGGGGTTTCACCGTGTTAGCCGGGATGGTCTCGATCTCCTGACCTCGTGATCCGCACGCCTCGGCCTCCCAAAGTGCTGGGATTACAGGCGTGAGCCACCGCGCCCGGCCCACTACTGGTTTTTAACAGGATGATTCAAAGTACAGCCCGTGCACATTTACTTCGTCACCTGGTGCACCACACTGTCTTCATGTTGGCCCTCGTTTCTTGTATACTTAGCTTACTGCCCAGATGCAACTGAGAAAATACAGGAAAAGCAGGTCCAAATTCAGCCTTCGACTTCTGCAAAAGTCCATAAACAGAAAGTCTGTGAGCCTCCACCCTGCCAGAAAGAACTCTTCATGAAGAAGTCACGTATTTGCTCTTCCTTTCAAAGGATGGCATTTTAATGTTGCTTTGCTGCCAGATGTTCATCTGCTTGCTGTGAAGTGATTCTTTTTTTAAAATGTTTTTTAATGATGTAAGTTTTCTAAAAGGCAGGGCTGAATGGAGAACCAAGAATTTGCTTGGTAGAAAAATTATTTTTTTTTAATTTCAGACTTATCAAAAATTTGGTTGAGGGAATTTTTATTAGCTGCCCTGACTTTATAATGCTACGCTCTTAACAGTGCCAAAA
The DNA here is from genome assembly GCF_000001405.40 of Homo sapiens. Lineage (NCBI taxonomy): Eukaryota > Metazoa > Chordata > Mammalia > Primates > Hominidae > Homo > Homo sapiens. The sequence goes on from NC_000015.10 coordinate 99,387,866, forward strand.
ATCCTACATAGTTACTGACAAATGTGTGATCTTTTTACAGTCACAACACCTGCTGCCCGGAAAGCACACCGTCCACGTAGAATGGAGAAGGCAGAAAGTTACCGTGTGTTCCCACTGTATCTGCACTGTTCTTACTTCCTCTTGTCCCTTTTCATATCTTGGTCTATTCAGCCTTAACATTTCAAAGGCTTATAGTAAAATAGGAACTGAAGATCTGTATCAAAATGTAACACTTTCATCCTTTGGAATAATTGAAGTTTAACATAACCTCTACATGTATATAAGTTAGCTGGTGAAAATGTGGCATGAAACTTCACAATTGTGCTTCAGGCCTAAGTGACTGCTACCTATGATTTAAGTGACAGTAAATGTCTTGCTACATTTTTCTATTTCATCCTCTACAATCATATGTCATGGAATGGAGCTATGAAATGTGCTAACTTGGTATTCAGGATTCTCATTGTGATAAGGTGATACATTAGTTTTACCTTGTTTGAAATTTTACAAAAATGCTTACAATCCAGGCATTCTTTCTCTACCTATTATGAACTACGGTGTGTTAAACAACAGCAGTGGGCTGGGCAGACAACCTTTGGGCAGTCTCAACCTTAATCCTTGGGTACAGCACCTGAACTTAATTGATGAGAAGTGGAACTTAAGTGGTTTCCCTGGTGCTGTTCATTATGGAAATTTTATGCTGGATTTATCGATGTCATTCTTAATCTTTTGATACTATAAAGGAGTCTTACCAACTGGAGAAAATTTGCCTACATGCTATATATTTGAATTGTGTCCAAAGCTTTGCAGAAAAGCAAATCTGAAGTTATTATATATGTTGTTTTCTTGAGCAACAGTTACACTAGGTAGAAAAGTATTCACACAATAATAGTAATGCAAAAAAAGTGAGCTACTTGGAAAGTATCATCTCTGTTCAGGTAAGTTTACTTCAGTGAACTCTTGTGTGGTTAGCGATAAGTTTTAAAGTCCAGGATAGCCTCATGAGCATAGGCCTTCCTATGAAGTAGTGCAAAGGGGGCCGATTTTAGTGGATTACCCTATCAGTGTTCTTCAGTATGTCCAATTGTTATCATACCAAAAACCTTAATTACATAACATTGTGTGGATGAAATGCTGCATCTTCAGTTAATACATGTTTTGAGCACATTCTTAAAATACATAATAATTAAATGATCCCTATTCAAAAGAACCCTGGCTTGGGTGGAGGATCCACTCTGGCTAACGGATAAGAGTGATGAACTTCTTTGTTACCTGACCCTTCTCTTCTGGAAAAGTGAGGTGTACATTAAACATCTTTTGGTCACCGTGCCTCACTAAGACCTTTCACATTCCAGCTTGTCCGACTAGTGTAATGTACCTCTCACTTCTGTTTTACGTTGAGCATTACGAATTAAAATCTTTACAGTCTAGGGGGAAAAAAAGGCTTCAATACCAGTTGGCTTATGAGGCTCTGCATATAATTTTCTCTAAAATATGTAACTATTTTGTAGTCTGTGGGGACTTTCAAAGCCAATTTTTAAAATTAGTAGTAGTAAAGGTTTTTCCCTTTCCTGAATGAAAAATCAGAAATTCTAATCTTTGCTATAAAGTACTTAAACACAATACATTGCCTCAGCATAAATAAAAACATTTTTATTAAGATGATTTATGAACATGGATTTCTAACTGGACCAACACTAATGTTGCAACCTGATAAAATTTGAGATGTAAATTCATTTCACAGACTCATAAACACACTCTCTTTAAGACTCTTCTTTAAATGGATCCTTACATTACCCTGCCTGTTTTATTATGCCTTCATTTTTGTGGTTTTCATTCACTCCTGCTTGCTTCTATTGAGGTTCTCCTACATTTCCCAGAAACTCAGTGAATATCTTGCCTTTTCTTCAAACAAAGGGGGTTTTTATAAAGTTTGTATTTTTGAAACTAGCTCTATGTCTATCTAAAAATCAAGTCTCGGCAGTGGCTCATGCCTATAATCCCAGCACTTTGGGAGGCCGAGGAGGGCAGATCATCTGAGGTCAGGAGTTTGAGACCAGCCTGGCCAGCATGGTGAAACCCCATCTCTACTAAAAATACAAAAAATTAGCCAGGCGTGGTGGCGCGCACCTGCAGTCCCAGCTACTCGGGAGGCTGAGGCAGGAGAATTGCTTGAACCCGGCAGGAAGAGGTTGCATTGAGCTGAGATCACGCCATTACACTCCAGCCTGGGCAACAGAGCGAGACTCCGTCTCAAAAAAAAATCATTCAAGTTTCACTGTGCCTACAGTGAGGAGCTACCTCCTTGTGTCATCAGCTAATAGATCTGAAAGTGATGCCGGTGTCTCTAGGAAAGGAATTGATCATAGCCAAGTGACTGACATTCTCTCGGTCAGGAAAAGAGCTTGCTTCACAGCCTTTGAAGTATGACTGTATGTGTGGTCCCCTTGTACTTTGGAGACAGAAGGTACTGGCAGCGAGTGTGGTGGATGGGCAGAAGGTGTAGCATTCGGAGATTATTTCTGTATGTAATTAAGAGACTTTCAAGGGTTAGCCAGACTTTTTTCCACTCAAGTGTGGATTATCTTTGCTACCTGTGTTAAAGAATATCAGGTTTTGTTTCTTATTGTGATTTTTGAGTCTAAATGATCCAAGATTTTTAAAATAGATACATAATGAAATCCAGGCCTCTGAAAAATTATGGCAACATTCATTTGGAGTGTGGCTAAAAACTCATACTTTATCCAATTTGGTTGCCTCTCTCAGTTACTGCAGTTTATAGAATAATTGAGCTTGAACCATGTGAATGCTCAGAATGTCAATGGTGGAGTATTTATTCAAGAGAAATGGCTGAATCTCGATACGAACAACGAGTTTTGTGGTGTTTTAACTTGCCCTATTCCTATCTCCCCCTTCCGTCTCTGTTGTATCCTTGAAAACCAACAGTATACAATGAAGGTGAAAAGTAGCAGCCTGGAAGCCACTAGAGGGGGCAGAATGGGGTTAGAACTCCTTCAAAGCCTCATTCCCAGAGAATTGTCATTATTTGACCTGGCAGGCAGGTCCCTGGAAGACCTCATTTGCAAGACTGTCTTTATTTTACCGGATTGGAGCTTGCCAGGTGTGAAAAGCCTTTTTCCCAGGGACATTAGTCAAGAGAGACTCAGAGGCAATTGGTTAATTTTGTGGTTGCCTCAAGTGGTGGCTAAGCTTTGGAGCAGACAATAGGCTAACCAAAAACGTAAAAGGAAAAGCTTGGGAATGAGATGTCCATAGGGACCTTGAAAAGCTCTGGTATTCTTGGGAATTCAGATGGTCATGTGTATGTGTAGAGCTTTGCATATGCCAAGGGTTATACTCCTGCTCAGGAAAGACTTAAGAACATCTTGAGCTGTCACCATCGGTTGACCCTGACACACAAGCAGAAAGTGAGGCCAAAGGCAGCTTCCTTCCTGTCGTCTTCCTGGCTCAGTGTTGAAGGGGTGCTCCAACATGCACCCAGAGCCCTTAGCACAGACTTGGAGATGTAGCACAGTAAGAAAACTCCCTTAGTGGCATTTAGGGAAATTTCTGTCCAATCATTAGCTGACCACTAAACAACCCTAGCAGAGACTTCAGTATCCACGCACTATAAAGAATATAGACTTTACTGAATTAGTTCAGAATAGTCACTAAACAAGCCAAAAACCCAGCAAGTACATCAAACCCTTAGCAAGGAAATAAAAAGCTAGGTATGATTTCCAGAGTTGCCACATTGTTCTTTGAAATGTCCAGTTTTCCACAGAAAAATTATGAGACACATAAAGAAGAAAGTATGTTCCATACATGGGAGGAATAAAAAATAGACACCTGAGGAAGTCTAGACATTGGATTTTTAGATGAAGACTTTAAATTGGCTATTTTAAATAGGTTCAGAGAACTAAAGAAAAATAATGTGTAAAGAACTAAAAGTATGAAAATGTCTCACTAAATAGAAAATGAAAAATTATTTTTAAAAGAACCAAATATAAATCATGAAGTTGAAAATACAATAACTGAAATGAAAAATTCATGAGAGGAACTCTATCTAGTCTGAGAAACAGAAAAAAGAATAAAGAAAAATGAATAGAGCCTCAGAGAGCTGTGGCACACCATCATGCATACCAATATATGCATAATTGGAGTCCCAGACGAGAGGAGAGAAAGAGGTAGAATATTTTAAAAAAAAATAATGGCCAAAGACTGAAATTTGATGAAAAGCATTGATTTACATACCCAAGAAGCTCAATGAACCTTAAGTAGTATAAACTCAAGAGATCCGTGCCTGGATACAAAATCACACTGTGTACCAAAGCATCTTGGAAGCAAAGAGAGAAGTGACTCGTGTACTAGGGATCTTCATCAGAAACTATGGAGTGTAGAAAACAGTGGGATGATGTATTCCAAGTGCTGAAAGTGAATGACTATCAAATAAGCATTCTATTTCCAGCAAAACTATCCTTCAGAAATGATTAGGACATGCCCAGATAAACAAAAACAGAATTTATTAGCAAGGCTGCTCTACAAGAAAAACAGAGAACTTAAAGGCTGAAACGAAAAGATAATAGTAACTCAAATGCACATGAAGAAATAGCACTGGTAAAGGTAGTTATATTGGTAAATATAAAAGGCAGTACAAATGCATTTTTGGTAACTTTCCTCCTATCTGATTTGAGGCAACTGCATAAAACAATAATTAAAAATCTGGGCATAAGGTGAAAAAACAATTTGTATGACAACATTACAAAGGAAGGAGGAGGGAAGAGACTTAGGAAGAAAATTTTTCTATACTGTTGAAGTTAGCATTATTCCAAACTAGGTTGTTATAAATTGAAATGTTAATAATCCTCAGGAAAAACACTAAGAACATAGCTAGAGAATATATAGTAAAAGCTACAACAAAGAAAATGGTACACTAGAAAATAGCTGCTAACAAAAGAAGATATGGAAGTAACAGAGGAATAAAGGAACAAAAAAGACAAAAGACATAGAAAGCAAAAAATCTGGTCACAGTGGCTCATGCCTATAATCCCAGCACTTTGGGAGGCTGAAGCAGGAGGATTGCTTGAGCCTGGGGAGTTCAAGGCCAGCATGGACAACATAGTGAGGCCTTGTCTCTATTAAAAAAAAAAAAAAAGAAAAAAATTAGCAAAATGGCAGACTAAACCCTGCCTTATCAGTAATTGGCATTAAGCATAAATGGATTAAACACTCAAAAGGCAAAGATGGTAGAATGGATAAAAATCATGGTCCAACTATATGCTGCCCACTAAGAAACACTTTAGATTCAATGACACAAGTAGGCTGAAAGTAAAAGGATGAAAAAAACACATGTAAACTGTAAGGAAAAAGCTTGAGTGGATATAACATCAGACAAAACAGACTTTAAGATAAAAATTGTTAGTAGAGACAAAGACATTACATAATAAAAGGGACAATCCATCAAGAAGGCATAATTTTAATCGTTGAAATTATACAAAACACGTTCTCTGACCACAATGGGATGAAATTTAAAATTGGAAGAAAATTTGGGAAACCTAAAAAAATGTGGAAATTAAACAGTACATTCCTTTTAACCAATGGGTCAAAGAAAAGAATCACAAGGGAAATTACAAAGTCCCTTAAGAGAGTAATGAAAATAACAGAACATACCAGAACTTATGAGATGCAGCTAAACCATCACTTAAAGGACCATGTATAGCTATAAATGTCTCTGTTAAAAGCTTCAAATCAATAACCTAGCTCTAAACCTTCAGAAACTAGAAAATAATAGCAAACTAAACCTAAAGCAAGCAGAACAAAGAAATAATATGGATTAGAATCAAAATAAATGAAATAGAGGATAGAAAGAAAAACAGAGAAAATCAAACCAAAAGCTGGTTCTTAGAAAAAGTCAATAAAGTTGACAAACCCTTAGGCAGCCTAGAAAGAAAAACAGAGAAAATCAAACCGAAAGCTGGTTCTTAGAAAAAGTCAATAAAGTTGACACACCCTTAGGCAGCCTAGAAAAAAAAATAGAGAAGATAGATTACCAAAGTCAGGAATGAAAGACTACTACCAATCTTATGGAAATAAAAATAAGAGTTCATATGACAACAAATTAGGGAACTTAGATGACATGGACAAATTTCTAGAAAGACATATCAAAACTGAAGAAGAAATAAAAACTTTAAATAGATCCAAACAAGAGATTAAATTAATGAGTAATCAAAAAACTTCCCACAGCCAGGCATGGTGGCTCACACATGTAATGCCAGCTACTTGGGAGGCTGAAGCAGGAGGATGGCTTTAGGCCAGAAGTTTAAGACCAGCCTGGGCAACATAGTGAGACCTTGTCTCTAAAAAAAAATAAATTAAAAAAAAATAGGTGTGGTGGTGCACACCTGCAGTCCCAGCTACTTGGGAGGCTGAGGTGGAAGTATCCCTTAAGCCCACAAGTTCAAGGCTGTAGTGAGCTATTGTCACACCACTGCACTCCAGCCTGGGTGAGAGTGAGACTCCCATCTCTTAAAAACAAACTTCCCACGGGAAAAAGTCCAGGAGCAGATGTCTTCACTGGTGAATTCTGTCAAACATTTACAGAATACCACCAATTATTCACAAACACCAAAAAACAGAGAAGGAGGATACCCTTCCCAATTCAGTATCACCCACATTAGAAATCAGGCAAAGAAAACAACTACAGGCCAATAGCCCTCAATATAGAGGCAAAAATCCTCAACAAAATACTAATGAAAGTAAATCCAGCAACATATAGAAAGGAATGTACACCATAAGCAAGTGAGATTTATCTTAGGAATACAAACTTCAACATACAGAAATCAATGTAGTACACCATATTATTAGAATAAAGGACAAAAACAACAAGATCATCTCAATGCATACAGAAGAAGCATTTAACATTTGGCAAAATCCAAAACTCTTAGATGAAAACATTCAAAAAGCCAAACATGGACTTTTTCATCCTGAGAAAGGACATCTATGAAAAACCCGTAGCTGATATGTTGATGCAAAATACTGTAAGCCTTCCCCCCCAGAGATCACAAATAAGACAAGGATGTTCTGTCTCATCACTTCTATTCAATCTTGTACTGGAGGTTGTAGCCAAAGCAGTAGGCAAGATGAAATAAAAAGCATCCAAATTGGAAAGGAAGAAGTAAAACAATTTGCAGATGACATGATCTTGTATGTAGAAAATATTAAGGGATTCACACCAACATATTACTAGAGCTAATAAACTAGTTCAATGAGGTTGCAGGATACAAGATTAATATACAAACATCATTGGTTTTTATACATTAGCAATGAACAACACAAAAAATTCCATTTACAACAGCATCACAAAGAATACTTGGATTTAACATCATTAAAAACCAAAGATAATTTGAATAAATATAAAGAAATTTCGTGTTCACAGATTGGGAGATAATATTGCTAAGATATCAATATTCAATGTCAAATTGAACTCCTATTTCATACCGTAGGCAAAATTTGCTGCAAATGGATGACAGACCTAAAAGTAAGAATGAAAATAAACTCTTAGAAGAAAATGTGGATGTAAACCTTTATGACATTGGACTAAACATTTGATTATTTGATATAACACTAAAAGCACAAGCAACCAAAGAAAAAATAGACAAATTGTATTTCATTAAAATTAAAAATGTGTGCCTAAAGGACACTATCAAGAAAGTGAAAAGACAACTCACAGAATGGGAAAAATTGTCCAAATTATATATCTGATAAGGGTCTAGTATTTCGAATATATAAAGAATTCTTACAATTCAAAAAGAAAAAAAATTCAAAGAAAAAATGGTCAAAGGATTTGAATAAACATTTTTCCAAAGAAGATATGCAAATGTCCAAAAGCACATGGAAAGATCTCAATATCATTAGTCATTAGGAAAATGCAAATCAAAACCATGAGATACCATTCCACACACACTAAGATGGCTATAAACAAATAGGTGGAGAATAATAAGCCTTGACAAGAATGGATAAATTGAAACTTTCATACATACTGGTGGGAATGTGTGAACTATGCAGGCTGGCTCAGTCTGGCAGTGCCTCAGAAGGTTAAACAGAGTTACCACATGACCAGTAATTCCACTTCTAGGCACACATCCACACAAAAACTAGTGCATGAATGTTCATAATGGCCAAAAAGTGCCCATCAATGGATGAATGGATGAATCAAATCTAGTATATCCATATGATGGAATATTATTTAGCCATAAAGAGGAATGGGTTAGTGACACATGCCACAACATGGATGAACCTTGAAAACATGACATGAAAATGAAATGAAAGGAGCCAGCCACAAAAGATCACATGTATGATTCCATTAGTATGCAATGTCCAGAATAAGAAATCCCTAGGGACAGAAAGTAGATGGTGGCCAGGAGTTGAGGGGAGAAGAAAATGGGTACTAACTGCTAATGGGTATGGAGTTTCTTTTGGGGCAATGAAAATGGTCTGGAATTAGATAGCAGTGATAGTTGCACAACCTTGTGAATGTACCGAAAACCATTGAATTGAGGTAAAATTCAGTGTATGGTATATAATATCTCCATTTAAAAAAATCAAAGCTAGTGATGCAACTTACTTTACATATCTGTTAGTACATTTTTTGGATAGACCGACACTCCTTCCAGAAGCCAGGGAACTGCTGTCGCTGTGGCTGTAAAACAGATGAAAGCAGTACTAACAGCTCATCTGGTTTCAGATTCTGTTCTTGCTGGTTAACATCATCAGGCCAAAACTGCAGTAATTTTAAATTTTCACTTGGAGAGTCTTCCAACTCACTTAATCTATCGATCAAACAATTACCATCCTAGTGAGCGCTCCTCAAGGACTGAAACCTGCTGAAAGTAAGACACCATGAAATTAATGTGTTTGAACATAAAATCAAACGGAAAATTCTGTAAAGTACTAGGAAGTACTCCTCTGTAAAGCATTTGGATGCCATATTTGCTTTTTTCCTCAGTTTCCAATGCTGTGTTGGTACCATTCTTTAGAACAAAAATGTACAGGAAGGAATTATCTACCAAAGGTCCTCCTACAACTTGCTGGTGCCTGGCACTGACCTGCACCGTTAGATTTATTGACTGAAGAATTACACCCTCTTTGATGGTACGCAGTTTAATTCAATAGATCAAAGCTACGTCTAGATTTTAAATAAATGATAGGGATTTAAAATTGTATATAAAAAACGTCATTATATCTTGCTTTCTTTGGGTATGTATTCTTTAATTGAGCAGGCAAAGAATTTTAAGAGAAAAATATAAAATGCAGCTATAATATTATTAATCTGATCTTGCTATTTGAAAGAATCTAGGTCAGTTATGTTTTGAGCTATTACTGTTGAATCCTGTGCATATAATCTTTTTTCTTCTCTTTTCTTTTCTTTATTTCTTTTTATTTTGAGATCGAGTCTCTCTCTGTCTCCCAGGCTGGAGTGCAGAGGCGCGATCTTGGCTCACTGCAACCTCCTCCTCCCGGGTTCAAGTGATTCTCCTGCCTCAGCCTCCCGAGTAGCCGAGAATACAGGTACATGCCACCACACCCAGCTAATTTTTGTATTTTTAGTAGAGACAGGGTTTCGCCATGTTGGCCAGGCTGGTCTTGAACGCCTGGCCTCGTCCTCCCAAAGTGCTGGAATTACAGGATTGACTACCCTAAAAGGGAAGACCTGATCTTTTTTTTTTAAGTACAGAAGTGTACTTTAATCCCAGTCTCCTTCCAGGAATTCTCTATCCATGTAGTATTTTTTATAGTTTCTAAATCATATTGAAATAGCCTTTTTCTAATTACAAAAGTAATACTGCAGGCTAAAGAAACGCATGACGTAAAAGCTTGAAATTTAATTAATCCCCTCTCTTTTGATGAATATTTGCCTATCTTTTCATTCTTTTGTATGAATCCTACACATACATATGTGGTCTGACTTAAATGGCATCTTTCTATGCAGTTTTATAACCTGCTTTCTTCACTTATTATGAAAATCTATATCAACAGACATAGATGTACATAATCACTGCATAGTATTACATGTCTACTGGCCAGATGCAGTGGCCCATGCCTATAATCCCAGCACCTTTGCCGAGGTGGGCAGATCACATGAGGTCAGGAGTTCGAGACCAGCCTGGCCAACATGGCGAAACCTCTTCTCTACTAAAAATACAAAAATTAGCTGGGTGTGGTGGCAGGTGCCTGTAGTTCCAGCTACTCAAGAAGCTGCGGCAGGAGAATTGCTTGAACCGGGGAGGTGGAGGTTGCAGTGAGCCAAGATCGTGCCATTGCACTCCAGCCTGGGTGACAGAGTGAGACTTCATCTCAAAAAAACAAAAAAGTATTACATGTCTAACAATATCATTTAATATAATTTATATGTATATGTATATTTAATATATTTTTAAACCTAAGTCTTTTTCTTTCTATTGTATTTGAAAATATCAATTTCTTCCAGTTTCTTCCTCTGTGACTTTATTTGAGCAAGCAGATGGAAGATTAATTCTTTTACAAGCAAGTACTAAATTGCTACTACTTTTATAAACACACATGATCAGTTCAGTTCTTTTCAACCAGGGCAATCTTGGAAAACGTTATCTTTTTTTTTTTTTTTTTGAGTCTCACTTTGTCGCCCAGGCTGCAGTGCAATGGCACGATGTCAGCTGACTGCAACCTCTGCCTCCGGTTCAAGCGATTCTCCTGCCTCAGCCTCCCGAGTAGCTGGGATTACAGGTGCACGCCACCACACCCAGCTAATTTTTTGTATGTTTTTCAGTAGAGATGGGGTTTCGCCATGTTGGCCAGGCTGGTCTCGAACTCCTGATCTCAGGTTATCTGCCCGCCTCAGCCTCCCAATTTGCTGGGATTACAGGTGTGAGCCACCGTGCCTGGCCCAGAGAATGTTATCTCTTCATTTAATGTAAGATTCATGTATGATGAGGCTTGGAATAGGATTTCATTCCAAACGTGTTTTATTTGTGTGACTGTCTGGTGGGCCATGGCCACGCGGTCTTCATTAGGTTTCCCTGAACCATCTCCATTTGACGTATTATGTAAAAGCAGCAACAACAAAACAAGCTGGAGTTTCATCAATTAAGCTTTTGCTTGATATTAAATTCACAGCATTGCTTTACATCAGATTCATGGCCAGAGTATTAATAGTTGGCCTGTTGATCTGGGGTCACTACAAAAATAAGCTGTGGGATGCAGCTTTAGTTAAAATGAACAGCTCACAGAAAGAGCTGTGTGAACACCGAGAAAATGGCATCGGGAAGACGAGTGTGGCAGCAGGGGTCCTTGTGTCAGCTGCAGAAGAGCGAGCCGCACCCTTTGGGGAGTTTTTGTGGCCAAGAAACTCTGCAGACTTAGGAAGTGTGAAGAGTAAAGAGACTGGAGAAAAGAGAAAAGAAGAGAGTGGTGGGGGTTGGGGGAGATGATGAAATACCACTGCTTTAGGAACAAGGCATTACTTACAAATAAGCATAATTTTACCAGTGCCTATGTTTGCTCTGAAAGAAAATCCAAATTTAAGGAAAGAAATGTTATGGTGTCTCACACCTATAATCCCAGCACTTTAGGAGGCTGAGGCGGGTGGATCACTTGAGGTCAGAGTTCGAGACCAGCCTGAACAATATAGTGAAACCTCATCTCTACTAAAAATACAAAAATTAGTCAAGTATGGTGGTGCATGCCTGTAATCCCAGCTACTTGGGAGGCTGAGGCAGAAGAATCGCTTGAACCCAGGAGGTGGAGGTTGCAGTGAGCTGAGATCGCGTCATTGCACTCCAGCCTGGGCAACAAGAGCAAAACTCCATCTCAAAAAAAAAGAAAAAAGAAATGTTATGAATTGGTAACATCAGTCACATTCCTACAACTTGCTGGTGCCTGGCACTGACCCGCAGCAGCCTCTGAGATTACTAATAGGCTGAGTGTAGGAGTAGCCTGGACCATGTCTCCATGGGTGTGGGGGATAGCTCTTCTGAAGAAAGACTTAGGCTCAGTATTTAGGAAACCTGAAATGAAAGTGAGCCCACCTCTGTTTACCTTGTAGGAAGCTGAGCTAAGTGAGCAGCTGAAGATGAAGGGAAGCCCAGAGGTTTTGCAGGTCACCAGAAAAGCCCTAATTGAAGGAGGTACTATACAAATTTAGAAGAAATGGTGCGTGATTGTTTACAAAAGGTTCCTGAATTTTCAGTGTTTGGCAGAGGAGGAGACATGGAGAAATACTGAAACTCCTGCTAAAGGTAAACATGAAAAAGTGAGATTAAAGAGCAGAATCATCTGATGTCACAAATATCAAAAGAAAGCAAGAAATAACTTGATTTTTGCCTGTGCCTGTGGCCACCTCAAGGAGTTGTCTTCGCACGCCACTTTCCTTTGGGACAGTCTTGCCCAGTCCCATATCTTTGCGTGATCTCATTGATGTATCTGAATTGGCAAACCTATCTCAGAGGACATGGAAAATTCCTCAAATAGAATTCATCATGCCTCACCCCAACTCACCCTCAGGTTTCTCCAAGAAGCCCTCTCAGCCCCTTTGCCAAACCTGTAGCAAGCAAATATAGATGATTCCTACTTGAGATCACTTCCTCTACTTCTATTAGATGGTTTCCATTATTTTATTTAATTTAATTTAATTTAGAGACGGAGTCTAGCTCTGTTGCCCAGGCTGGAGTGCAGTGGCTCAATCTCGGCTCGCTGCAACCTTCACCTCCTGGGTTCAAGTGATTCTCCTGCCTCAGCCTCCCGAGTAGCTGGGATTACAGGTGCACACCACCACGCCTGGCTAATTTTTTGTATTTTTTTAGTAGACACGGCGTTTTACCATGTTGACCAGGCTGGTCTCAAACTCCTGACCTCAGATGATCTGCCTGCCTCGGCCTCCCAAAGTAATGGGATTACAGGCATGAGCCACCGTGCCTGGCCAGTTCCCATTATTTTTATATTAATATTTTAGTCATCTTCATCAGGAGTTGTGGTGGCCATAATTTGCAAACTACATTTTCCACATTACCAGTATAAAACAGTCTTTATTCTACTTATATAGAAAGACCCAGGAAAATCTGAGAGTTTCATTTGGACCACTTTCATGTCACATTTTTCACTAGAGTCTTAAAGGTCCATCACAGCTCGAGCATTCATTTGAAAATATGCCATCCGGGACCTCACTTTGGTCACCCGAGTTTCTGAGGAGATGCACACTTCAAAGCATGAATTAAACGGCTGCTTTCTATTTTAACCTGCAGCTTCCTCATAACAAACCTTTTTAATGGTACTGTATTAATCCATTTTCATGCTGCTGATCAAGACATACCTGAGACTGGGCAATTTACAAAAGAAAGAGGTTTATTGGACTTACAGTTCCACGTGGCTGGAGAGGCCTCACAATCATGGCGGAAGGTGAAAGGTATGTCTCACATGGCAGCAGACAAGAGAAGAGAACTTGTGCCCGGCAACTCCCCCTTATATAATCAGATCTCGTGAGATGTAGTCATTATCACAAGAGTAGCATGGGAAAGACCTGCCTCCATGATTCAATCACCTCCCACTGGGTTCCTCCCATGACATGTGGGAATTGTGGGAGTTACAATTCAAGATGAGATTTTGGTGTGGACACAGCCAAACCATATCAGGTACTTTTACTATCCAAAGTAATACACAAAGCAGTCACCACTAAGTGATATCCTGGTTCCTCTGAATAAAAGAAACAAAATCCAAACAAGACTGAAAGCTAGGAAGTGAGCCCACCCAGACCGGCAAAACCAGGAACTGAAAAATCACTCCAGGCCCGTCACATTTGTAAAGTGCTTTTAAAAGTTCTCCTCCCAACCCCGGCTCACTTTGTACTTAGGAAAAAGGAATTCAAGGTATAAATTGAATAAATAGATATGATAGTGATGACGTGTGTAAAAGCAAACCGTTCATACTTTTAGACTTGTGAAGTCAATTCTGTCGCTATGTTTTGGCCTATATAGAGGTTTAAGAATATTCAGACATGTTATCTGTTACATGAAATTATCATTTCACTTCTAAAAATACTCTTCTGCTACTAATTCAATTTAAACAATGCAGCAGGAAAGCTTAATTAAGCTTTCTAGGTTGTTAAAACTCTGCTTCCAGAAAAATATACTATTCTTAGAGTCTCACAGTCAAATAGCAAGAAACAACTAATATATTATCAGTCAAGAAATGTTGGTCCCTTTCTTGTGCTTAGCACAGAGCCCAAGCTAAGAGATTTTTAACTTAGTAAAGCCTGAGAGTGGGCAGCTGGAGAGGACTTTGCTCTGCTGGCAATGTCAGCCTCGGGAGAGGGAAATTGACAAGAGGCCAAATTCCTCCAGGAAATTTGGGACTAGTTGAAACCATCCTACCCCTCCTCACCTTGATGATGGTGATTGATAAGTTTTAATCTTTCAGCACCTGGTGTTAACAAGGCAGGCTTCACAGCACCAAAACAACAACAAAGAAAAACCTAAAACATCATTTACAGATTGGCAGCCTGATCCGGAGCCTGCAGAGGGAGGAGAGAGTAGCGAGGGAGGGGAGGGAGAAACTTGACTCTGTTTTCCAGACGCTGTGAGGAGAAAATCCAGCCTGCTGAAAAGCCACAGGACACATGAAGACGGTGAGGTGTTTGCTGGCTGGGTGGAAAGAGGCCTGCAGGCAGGGCCGGCCTACCTGTGAGTGGATTCGAAGGCAGCGTCCCCCAGACGTGCGGCCAGGAACAGCACCTCATTCCTGGGCACAGCGCTTGGTGAAGATGCTGGTAAACCCCACTGGGCTCCAGCCCCTCTTCTCTGCCAGGCCCCCAGTGCGGAGCAGGGCACAAACGGGCTTGCCAGTCTGCAGAGGAACAGTCTACAATGACAAACAATCCCAATTCAGAGAAAACGAAGGCTTTCCAATGGCCTAACCACCAACCAGAGCTGTATAGCGACACAGCAAAGAATCGCTGTCTCTCCCAGCCTGGCCAATATGGCGAAACCCCGTCTCTACCAAAAAATACAAAAATTAGCCAGGCATGGTGGTGCATGCCTGTAATCCCAGCTACTCAGGAGGCTGAGGCAGGAGAGTCGCTTGAACCTGGGAAGAGGAGGTTGCAGTGAGCCGAGATCGCGCCACTGCACTCCAGCCTGGGCAACAGGGCCAGACCCTGTCACAAAAAAATAAACAAATAAAAAGAATTACTATCTCTCCTGTGCAGTCCTGGGTGGGGGCAGATACTTTTGCCCACATTTATTACAAGAGAAAAGTGATACCAAAGGAAATTTAGAAGATGTAGCGAGGGTCTCACAGCCTCGTTGTAAAAGAGTTGAGGCTAAAACTGTATCATTCATTCATGTATTCGCAGGACACCCCTTCAAAGGGCAGGCGCTGTGCTGGGCTCTGGGACTCGTGGGTGAACTGCACAGAGCTGGGCCCTGCCTTCAGGGAAAGAAGACAATAAGCAAAACATACCCAAAGAGATGGTTACAAAGACAGCGAGCACCCGGAAGGAAAATGGAAGCTGCCAGGAAAGGGGCTCCTGGGCCTACTCACCAGGAAGTCCAGTCCTCACCAGCCCGGAGGCCTGGTCTGCATCCTCAGCCTCACAGAAGCTCAACCAGTCACTTAAAACGAGATTGCAGTGATGTTTTACAACTCTGTGAACGCACTAATAGCCACTGAATTCTACACTAACGTGTGCATTTTATGGTACGTAAATGACACAAAACAAAAGGAAAAGGCTACCAGCTCTCCTTTCTCCCCAGCCCTAACCTCCACACCCATGCCTTTGTCGCCAGGGAGCCACCACCTGCCCCCAACATGACTCACACTGCACTGACTCTTCCCCCTGACTAACTTCCCAGTCCAGAAGGTTTCCACAGTTGGCCAACCCTGGCCCACGAGTATTTCTCGAACCGCCCACCTCAGCCCCTACCATCCATCGGCAAACCCCCGAGGGCTCTGGGTCAGTGGCTCACAGCACGGGCACTGCCACCCAGGGAGCATTCAGACCTTTGTGGGGGGCGCTTTCGGTTGTCACGTGACTCCAGGGCACTGCCAACAGAGGTGGGTGGGAGAGGATGCAGGACAGCGTCTTACAACAAATCCTGGTGTCCCACAGGCCTTTAGAACACCTCATCCACTTCTGTCCAGATCAGTCTGGTCTGCTGTGATCCCTCCTGCTACTCCATTCTTGTATTAACCTGTTCCTCTACTCTTTGTTTTCATGAATCTCTTATACAGAATGGCTTCTGATCCTCTTATTTTCTTAAATTCAAAATTGCCCCTCCTATCTAGCTGCCAGCAACCGATTCCTTTGCTGTCTATGAAGAAGGAGCAGGGCACTCTACAAACACCGGGATCACCATGTGGCTCGGACCATGAGCTAGTGGGGACCTGGACCCCCATCTTCCAGCCAGAGGGGCTGCCTCTGAGCTCGGCCTCATCTGGGACAAGTGGTTTCTTTGCAGCTTTCCTGGGCTAGGGTCTCCAGTTGCCAGACAACTGGCATTCCCAGACAACTCCCAGAAACAGCTGGCACCAGCAGCCAGATTTCCTGGCACCCTGCAGTGTGGGTATTCCCGCTGTGATGGGGCCACTTTCTCATGTGGGCCCTACAAACAGGGAGAGTGACAGAGGCGGGGAGCCTCCCGTGGGACATCTGTTGGCCAGCTCCCCACGCCACTGCTCTGCTCTCTGTGGGATGTAGGAGGCTGGGGGGCCCACCTCCTGTCTCTTGCTGATGCTGACTTTGTAAGGGTCCACATCCTCCGGTAAGGCCTGCTCCCTACCGGGGCCAGCGGCGGCACGGAGTCCAGCCTGAGCCTGTGAACGTGCCGCCCTTTGCGTATTCTTGGCCCTAGGGGTCAGATGCCTTTGGACCCCCTCACTCCCGCCGGTCAGCAGCGAGCTCTCCCTCTCTCACTCTTAGAAAATGTTTTATTTGTAGTTCTCTAACGATGTAGGTCACTTCCTTCCTTACATAAAACAGTCCCCTTTCTCCCACTGCAGTACTTTCCATGCAATCTATGACAAGTGCATGCAGGAGGGGAGTTCAGGTCTCATCATTCTAGAAATATTTAACATGTACCTAAGGTCTTATACTAGATACCACTTTGGGGCCCCGCAGAGATACTGTTAAAGAAAAATTATTCCGAGGTAGTCGTTAAAGTGCGGTAAGGAAGACTATTCAGGACCATCAGGATAGCTACAGGGACTGCTGCGACGGGCTTATACAGTGGGGAGGGGAGATTGGGTCGGCTCTGAATACGGTTCGGGCAAGGGGGAACTGACAGCCAAAGATCAGGGTAGGGGCAGTGGATGGAAAATTCCTGAGAGGAAACATCAGGAGAAAGGGGGATTTGGGGAATCCGGAGCAAATGGACCTCACAGGATTCTTGCAGAAGACAGGCCAGAGGGAGCAGACCCCACCCGGGGGATGGTGGAGAGGGAAGAGCTGGATCAGATATCGAGGGTGATCAGGTACAAATGGTAGGGGGTTCTTGCTCAACGGACTCAGCAGGGTTCTTGTTAAAACTGGATTTTACAAGGAAATGCAAAGATGAGCCTAGGAGAAGGCCCAGGAATCTGACTAAAGTTTGGTCAAGCAAAGGATCTATGTCAATTCCTACAGATCAAACACAGTCCCTGCCTTTGAGAAGTTCATAATGTATTCATGTGTAGCCACTGGAGTACGAAGACATTAGTAGGAAAGGAGAATGGAGGGAGGGAAGAGGCAACACTTATAATCCAACAAGGATAAATGCCACCCTGTCCAAACCCACTACTGGGTCCAGTCAAGGATTTTGTGATGTGGCGACTGGAGCGGGCAGTGGGCCCAGCCATTCTCCCTGGAGCTCCCCCCTTGCAGGCTTGATGGGGGGCCCCTGGAATGTCCCCTCAAGACTTCTCTCTGCTGCAGGACGGAAGAAGTCTCACTGCGGAGGAAGAGGCAGGCTCCGTGATGGTCTCTCAGGTCCCCGATTTCTACTTTCTTAGACAGGAGTGCTGCATCTGGATGGCATGGCAGAGGGAAGCCCCAGCTGCCACTGCTCCAGGGACCCTTATAGTTCCACGGTGATGGGGAACAGAAAGAGGCTCTTCCAGGAAACAGCCTTGGGGACAAGGAGACCACACTTCTGGGTGATTCGAAGATCAGACAAGGCTCCTGTAAAATGAACGAATGAAGTGAATGAATGAGACGGTAAGTCAAGTGAAATGAAAGGTGTGGGTGTGGGCTTTGGGCTCTCCACCCTCTTACCATTCCACAGTGTGCCTTCCTTACAGGGAAGGGGGACGATGTCCCCGGGGCTTTACTCTTTGGCAAATATCACCATTTCCAGCCAAGGCGCCCTGGGCGAGCTGTGGTTAAGTAACTGAACATGGCGTGGTCAGGGCACACAGGACACCTGTGTTCACAACTGGAAAATGAGAAAGCAGAGATATGACTTTGTCAGGATAAGGACCACGCACCTCCCGAACTAGGCGGCTCTTGCAGGTGTGAAATGGTGACAACAACGTGTCTTCTTGCTCATAAAAATAATTCTCGAGCCAGGCATGGTAGCTCAAGCCAGTAATCCCAGCACTTTGGGAGGCCAAGGCGGGCAGATGACCTGAGGTCAGGAGTTCGAAACCAGCCTGACCAACATGGAGAAACCCCATCTCTACTAAAAATACAAAATTAGCCGGGCATGATGGCACATGCTACCAGTCCCAGCTACTTGGGAGGCCGAGGCGGGGAGAATTGCTTGAACCTGGGAGGCGGAGGTTGTGGTGAGCCGAGATCGCGCCATTGCACTCCAGCCTGGGCAACAAGAGTGAAACTCAGTCTCAATAATAATAATAATAATAATAATAATAATAATAATAATAATAATAATAATTCTCATCCCTAAAAACGCTTCAACCAAACAAAAACCTTTCCCGGTTCTGAGCCATTCAGTTGGCCTTTCCAGAGCCAAAAGTTTGTGGCAAGAATTCTGGTCCTTGCTCTAAAAGCAGTGGCCAGTCTTCCAGGTGCACCCACGTAGCCCCGTCAGGCTTTCTGTGCTCCCTGCCAGCTGCTGCTCTGGAGCTAGGATGTGCCAGGGTTAGCATCTTAAAAATAAAGATTTCTTCCAGCTGAAGATCAAAAATAGACTTGGTGAGAGTTTTTCAGATGAGAAAGAGGAGAAGAGCAGATTCTCTAAAAAACTGGTCCCGATTCTTACCCAAACCCAAGCTAGAGAGCTGTGTGTGCCCATAAACTCAAGTCCCCCTTCTCAGCCTCTCAGAGTCCACCCGTAGCCTGAAATCAGGCCCGTCCCCACCTCGTGCCCATCATGGTGCTGCACATTCCTCTGAGGAAGCTCTCGGTTCATCCAGGTGGACAGTCGGGACCAGAGCGACAAAGAAGCCTGCAAAGCCAGGTGCAGCAGGGCTGGGTGGGCACGGCACGGACCGAGCTTGCTCTTCCCTCCCGTCCCAGCCAGGCACGCTGTCTGCGTGGTCCTGGCCTGGGTCCTTACCAATCAACAGACATGAATGGAAGTCCATCTGACACTGATACCCTGCCCAAATTGGTTGCCATTGCCTCTTTGCTGTGCTGGGACCTTGGGCAACACAAGGGCTGAGGGTGATGAGCTGAAAGCTGCTGCTTCCAGCCTTCGGGCAGGTAGGGCTCAGACAGAGGAGCTGGTGGATTCTGCCTAGGGGCTCCACCAAGACCTTTTGAGGGCTGCTCCCCAACACCTGCCCTGGGCCTCACGTGCCTGAAAGGTTTTATCTGCCTGGGGAACCTGCATGTATTAAGTAACAGCTACTTTACTGTCCCATTTTTCTTGATAATCAAAGCACGTGTATCTTTGCACACAGCCTCAGGTCAGGCTGGAGGGTCTCTGGGTTGTCATAAATCCCACCTAAGGCAGGTGTGCTGGGCCTGCGGCATGGGCACGTGTCTGCCTCCATGGGGTGCTCCCCGGACCCTGCTTCCCATTTGCAGACCTCTCGAGCCCTGGACTCAGATTCAGAAGGGCTGGGCTTTGAGGACCTAGCCCTGCAGCCAGAGAACCACAGAAGCTGCTGTGGCAGCGCTGAGACTTCCTGTAGGCTGATGAGGCTGACTCTGGAGGTGATGGTCCCCAAGTCCTAGTCACTGGCACCACCACATTCTGCTGCCCCTGAAGTCCAGAGCCACCTTTGCCCTGGAGGGGACACAGCTTTGCAGCTAGATGGCATGTGTTTGCCCCCAGCCCTGCCATGCCCCTCATCCTCTCTAAGCCTCATTTCCTGATCTTATAAAGGGAAACGACGAAGAGATTCTCCTCGGATTTTTTTAAGGAATAATGAAATGTGCCTGGTATATGACAAGGCCTCAAAAGGAAAGCTTCTCCCCATTCCCTGCCATCCCCCAAACTCTGCCCACTCCCTCCTGCCCACTCCCTCCCTCTCTTGGGCGTGGCTCAGTATTTATCTTCATTCCCTGGAGCTGAGTTGGTTGGAGGGAGAGGGGTGCTGTAGGAAAGCCCTCCTCCTGTCCCCAGAGAGATAGCATTCCCGAGGGGCTGATTCCAGCCTCCGCTCGCATCACACTCCTGCCAAGCCTGCGGCCTCCTTTTTTCTCCTTATGGCTCAGAGCCCAGTTTTGGAGACATTTGGCTCTGATGCACTTCTAAGTGCTGAGACAAGTTACTTGGATGCCTTTAAACCCAAAACAAGGTCAGACATCAAACCACATCTCGCTGTGCAGCCAGGCTTCCACTCCCAGCTGCCCCAGGGAGGTGGTGGAAAGAATAAACAGTATTAATGGTGGAGCTAATATTGTGCCCACCCAGGCTCCAGGCCCTTCACCAGCTGCAGCCACTCTTGCTGATGGTAGTCTGGGGTCTCTCTGTTTATTTGCTATATGTTTGCACTCGTAAATGTTGCGCATCTTATATAGTATGGTTTTGTGGGCATTGCACGGATAATATTGTTCTTCAACTGTGCTTTCACTAACTTGGCATTGCTGAGATGAGGCCCTGTGGATAAGTTTTGTGCATGGTTCCCCTGAGCTCCTGGCTGCCGCCTGTCCTCCCCAGAAATGGCCAGCATTTGCTGACTCTGAGGCAGTGTCTGGCCAAGGAGTGCCTTTCCTTCCAGAGCACAACACGATCACTTTAATGATAATGTCACTTAAAGATATAAAAAAACAAGGCACATTTGCCTGATTTGAAGCTGAGAGCATATTCCGTATGCTGGTTTAGGGCTGCAGAAAAGTTTTTGGTGCCAGTGACACATACACAGCACTGTTTCCTGATCTGGGTCATGGTGACGGCCGTGGCACCCTGAAAAGCACCTAGCACCTAATACTGGCAAGGGGTAGAGGGAGCTCCAGAGCCAGGGCTGGGCTGGAGATTGCTGCTCTTCCTGCTCCTCCCGTGTCCCCAGCTGCCAGAGGGAAGCTGCTGCCTTCCTGTTTAAACGCATCTTAAATCTGTGCTCATCAAAAGCATCACCCAGGGCCGGGCACGGTGGCTGACGCCTCTAATCCCAGCACTTTGAGGGGCCGAGGCTGGCGAATCACCCAAGGTCAGGAGTTCAAGACCAGCTTGGCCAACATGGTGAAACCCCGTCTTTACTAAAAATACAAAAAAATTAGCCAGGCATGGTGGCGGGCGTCTGTAATCCCAGCTACTCAGGAGGCTGAGGCAGGAGAATTGCTTGAACCCAGGAGGCGGAGGTTGCAGTGAGCTGAAATCGCGCCACTGCACCCCAGCCTGGGTGACACGAGTGAGACTGTGTGTTAAAAAAAAAAAAAAGGCATCACCCAGAACATGGGCCTGATGGGCACCCTGGATGCCACCCCAGCAGCCACCTGGTGAGCGGGGCCCCACTTAATGGGAGCCCTTCTAGAACAGCTCCATGGTAAATGCCCCCACTGCAAGCTGTAGGTTATGGGCAGGGGACCTCGGTGCCTGCCTGGTGCTGTGTGAGAGGCTGCTGTGCCCATCAGGAACAGAGGTGGGCTGGATGTCAGCCTCCACTGCCCATAACACATCCCTTTCTTCACCTGGGGCTGTTTGTCTGAGATGTGAGTCAAACCTACCCTCAGATGGCTTCATAAATATAAAATTGACAGAGTGGCCTGGTGCAGTCACTGCTCACACCTATAATTCCAGCACTTTGGGAGGCTGAGGCGGGTGGATCACTTGAGGGCAGGAGTTTGAGACCAGCCTGGCCAATATGGTGAAACCCCATCTCTACTAGAAAGAAAATACAAAAATTAGCCTGGTGCGGTGGCACATGCCTGTAATCCTAGCTATTTGGGAGGCTGAGGCAAGAGAATTGCTTGAACCTGGGAGGCGGAGGTTGCAGGGAGCTGAGATCGCACCACTGGACTCCAGGATGGGTGACAGAATGAGACTCTGTCTCAAAAAAAAAAATTAAATAAATAAAAAAAACAAATAAAATAAACCAAAGCTATGGTTTCCCAAGGGTCTCTGAAGACCTAGTCAACCTTGGGGAGGTGGCCCACAACAAAGGGGTTCCATCTCCAGCCATCACCACTCTGCATCAGGTAAGGTGCCAAGTGCAGGCCAGCCGGGATGCATCCTAAAGGAAGGATCCATTTTAGGACACAGCCACCAGCCAGCCTAGCTGCCCAGCCCTAAGGCAAAGGCCCATAGAGTTTGATTTTCTGGTGTTTGACTAATGTCCTCTCGTTTTAGAGCTTGGGTTCCTCTGCTGTTGTCCACCAGCTCCCTCCCCTCTCCCCAGGCCTGCCCCAAGCATCCCTGGGCCAGGGCTGAGCCTGACTGGCCAAGCAGCATCCCACTGTCTTGGGCACTGTGATTGGTGGAGGAATCCAGGCTTGAGCCAGTCAGCACAGGCATTACCCTGGGCCCCAGAGTTGTAGCTCCAGTGGCTTGGAGGTGGGCGTGTGACCTAGTTTGAGACAGCGAGATGTGAAAATGGTTCCTTGCTCTTCAGAGTGAGCCAAGGAAAGAAACACCTCCCTTGTCTCTGGACATCTGGGCGGGTTTGAGGCCTGGGACAGCTGCCACCATTTTGCCACCATGAAGGAAGCCAGACTGAGGATGAAGCTGACACAGTTAATTCGGGGAGACAGAGAATCACTGAGAAATGGGGCCACAGCCCCTGGATGGAGCCAGTCGTGAAGCCCACCCTGAGCCTCGGCATGGAATTTATGTGAGAACAAACTTCCCTGTGGTTTGGCATCTTAGTGTAGGTGGTTTTCTTTGAGCTTAGGTGAGAAAGGGCTGAGGGTCTCTTCAAGGAAACCTCCCTGCAGACTCCCTTTCTGGCAAACACACCTACTCTGAGACTAGTCCAGTGTACCTCGAGGATCAGTATTGCACATTGATGTCACAGGGTGAGTTGCCTGGATTAACAGGCATGTCAAAGGCACCTGCAGCCTTGGCTCTGCCTGTCCTGGATCTCTTTCCAAGTGACCCCCCAAAGACCCTAAGTCGAAGGAGTACAGGCAATGGGCTTTGAGACCAGAGAAGAAGACAGCAAAACCACAGGCATACCTCCAAGGCCAGGATGCCACTCTCTGGTGAGATCAGCTCCCTCATTACAAAGAGAGAGCCTGGATTCACCGCTCCACAATCCCAATGGCTGTGCTTCTCCTTAGAGAGGCCGGAGGGCTCAGAGGTTCAGAGCACTGGGGTACCCAGCTCTGCTGCTTGTTTTCTGACCGAAGGCGTCTGTGCTTCAGTTTCCTCATCTGTAAAATGGGAGTAGTTTCGCCGTCCTAGCGTTGCTGTTAGGATCAGATGAGCTAATTATTCATAAGAAACTTAGGACAATGCTAAACAAAAGCAAGCACACAGTCTAACAGCAGTTATTAGTAGTAGTATAATTCTCATTAGCAATCATTAGTAGCAGTATTCTCATTAGCGATTAGTATTAGCATTATTATTTTCATTCTTGGTAGGAGAGTCAGTTGAGTTAGTTTCT
Source organism: Homo sapiens (assembly GCF_000001405.40). Classification (NCBI taxonomy): domain Eukaryota; kingdom Metazoa; phylum Chordata; class Mammalia; order Primates; family Hominidae; genus Homo; species Homo sapiens. The sequence continues at coordinate 99,411,818 of NC_000015.10, forward strand.
GGCTTTCTTTTTTTCTTTTTCTTTTTTTGAGACAGAGTCTCACTCTGTCGCCAGGCTAGAGTGCAGTGGCGTGATCTCGGCTCACTGCAACCTCTGCTTCCCGGGTTCAAGCGATTCTTCTGCCTCAGCCTCCCAAGTAGCTGGGACTACAGGTGCCCGCCACCACGCCCAGCTAATTTTTGTATTTTTAATAGAGACGGGGTTTCACTATGTTGGCCAGGATGGTATCGATCTCTTGACCTTGTGATCCACCCGCCTCGGCCTCCCAAAGTGCTGGGATAACAGGTGTGAGCCACTGCGCCCGGCCCTTTTTTTTCTTATAATTTTTTTTTTCTTTTTTTTCCTGGGGAATGGAGTCTGAAGCTCTTAGTCAGTGCCCTCCAGCAGCACTGGGAGGTAGATGGATTCTAGAACTCCTAAACATATCAAGATTCCCACACCCGCACGCTGGGCGGATCCCAAGGGCAGGGCAGGCTGAGGTCTAGTGTCTCACCACACCCAGGACAGACCAGTGAGCAGGGCCTCCAGCACCTTGGCCTCATAGAGAAAGCCTGTGACCTCTGCTCTTCCCAAGGAAGAAGCCTAACGATGGCTGAGGTCAAGCTCCCTCCAGCCCAGCATAAGGAGGCCTAGAGCTGAAAGTAAATGAATCCATAGAAACAAAAGCAATGAATCTTCCTTCCAGCGTGTGTTCATGCCCAGCACATGTATACAGATCCTATATGCCATTGCTAATCACGGAGGGCTTCCATGCCCTGAGTACTTGCGTTGGTTTCTTGTTCTGAATGAGTGCCCTTAGGAGATGCCTTGCCTGGAGCCTCATTTTGCTCCAGCACCAAGAAGGGGAGGAGAAGAGTGCTAAGACGAGGAGAGCCACAGAGGCACGGCGGGGCATGGCAGGGCTGCATCAGGCTGCTGAAGGCAGGCAGGACCTCAGGCTGAGAGAAGTCACAAGGACTCGGCACTGGAGGGGACTGCATGGCAGACACCGTCTGGTGTGTTCCTCCAACCGCACTGCCTGGCACCCACCAGGAGTCCAGCTTGGGGAAGAACCCCGGGGAAGGCTGGTGGTCCCTCTCCTGCTGGCCTCCCTATGCCCCTCTCCCCTCCCTGGTCATGGGGTCCAGGCCTGTCCATGTGGCTATGATTGGGGACAGGCTTCAGCACTACGCCAGCTCAGAGCAGGGCCTCAGCCAGCCCATGCCAAGTTCCCAATAAGTCACTTCCACTGAGGACTAACGAGTACCCTCGGCATTTTTCTTGCTCTGGACTCCAGAGGCCACATGGTGATGAAATCATGGACACAGTTTGTTTGTTTGTTTGTTTGTTTTGAGATGGAGTCTCGCTCTGTCGCCCAGGCTGGAGTGCAGTGGCGCCATCTCTGCTCACTGCAAGCTCCGCCTCCCGGGTTCACGCCATTCTCCTGCCTCAGCCTCCCGAGTAGCTGGGACTACAGGCGCCCGCCACCACACCAGGCTAGTTTTTTTCTGTATTTTTTTTAGTAGAGATGGGGTTTCACTGTGTTAGCCAGGATGGTCTCGATCTCCTGACCTCGTGATCTGCCAGCCTCAGCCTCCCAAAGTGCTGGGATTACAGGCGTGAGCCACCGCGCCCGGCCTTTTTTTCTTTTTTTTTTTTTGAGATGGAGTCTCGCTCTTGTTGCCCAGGGTGGAGTTCAATGGCTCAATCTCAGCTCACTGCAACCTCTGCCTCCCAGGTTCAAGCAATTCTCCTGCCTCAGCCTCCCAAGTAGCTGGAATTACAGGTGCCCACCACCATGCCCAGCTAATTTTTGTATTGTTTAGTAGAGACGGGGTTTCACCATGTTCGGCTGGGCTGGTCTAGAACTCCTGACCTCAGGTGATCCACTTACCTTGGCCTCCCAAAGTGCCAGGATTACAGGCGTGAGCCACCACACCCAGCCATGGCCACTTTTTTTGGCGGCAGGAGGGGTGGGGGGGTGATACAGCTAGTGGTAATTATATAAAATTGTTTGCGGTGGTAGAGTTTAAGACAAAAATGCAAATGAAATAAAATGAAGTTTGTTGCATAGAAACACTGAAAACATGGTTATGTCCTTCTACAACCCTATAAGACATACAAACATTGTCAGAAACACCCCCTGGTTCACATTTTAGATTTCATTCATTGATTAATTATTTTTTTTGCCCATTCTCTGTGCAGGAGTTGCACTGTTAGAGATGGTGGCAGCAGTGTGAATCAAATGAAGTCCCTGCTCTCCCGGTTGTGGCCACGTTAGTCCAGCCCAGAAGAGTCTCCAGGGGCCCGAGCATCTGTCCTCACATCAGAACTAGCTTTGGGATTGTGACTTTGGGGTTGCTTTGTTGGCTTCCTTTTCCTGTCAGGCAGCATATAGGGCTGGGGGCTGTCAACCGCACCCTCCCTGAATCTACGTCCATCACGAGTCCCCTTGCAGGGCCTTCTTTTTTTTTGACCCAGCGTCAGTCATGTAACTTGCTTTGGCCAAGTGATGTCAGCAAGTGGGATACAAGCAGAGGTCTGAAAAGTGCTGGCAAACGGGGCTTGCTCGCTCGGCTCTGCCACAGTGTGAGAACGTGCCTCGACTCGCCTGCCGGTGGACAGCACACTTGGAACAGGACTGGTGTCGCCAGCTGCCCCAGCCGAGGCCACCCTAGACCAGCCAGCAGCCAGGACCATGGCCCGGGCGAGTCCAGCCTGCATCACTGGCTGCAGACTCGTGGGCTAAATAATTGCTCATTGCTTCAAGTCACTGAGTTTCAGGGCAGTCCGTCCCATAGCATTATTGTGGCAGTGGTCACTGATGGGGCAGTAGGAGGGCTCCTGTCAGTACCAGGAGCTGTTGGCTCCTGTCAGAAAGGACCTAGTGGTAGCCAGTGTGGACCTGGAACAAGAGAGTGGGCCTTAAAACGAGGATCTCCAGGCACCATGTGGGGCTGAGCCTCATAGGCAGCCATTCCTGAAGCGCAGGAGGTGGTAGGAAATTAGGAGGCAAAGGCATGAGATGCTATGGCAGCTTCCCTGAGCGGGGACGATGGGCACCACTCATCGGTGGGCACCGCAGGGTGAGTCAGTTCCCGGCCCTGCTGCTTGAACTCATCTCCCACAGGCACAGGCTGGCCGTGGGAGTCCGCGGGCCACGTGCAGTCTCCTCATTCCCACCTCCTCCAGGTTTCCTTGCAGCCTCCACCTCCAGGGCTGAGTCATGAGCTCATGGCCCCAGGGAAGGAGAAGCTGGAAAGGCCTAGGACTTCAAGGTCACAGAGCTGTCAGCCCTCTGGGGAACTGCCTTGGTAGAACAGAGTAGCCACCTCACCCAAGGCAGCCCCCAGCCAGGGACGGATCAGCTTGGGGGCGTAAACCTTGGTCCCCTCACCGCAGCTTGGTGCAGCCTGCAGGGCCACCCCAGCTCCGGGGCTCCTGAGACCAGCTTCTCCCTCGGGCCATCCTGCCTGTCCCATTCTGTCCCCTTCCATCAGGGCTGACCCCCAGAGGACACCCTAACAATTCCCTGCAGCCCAGGCTCCACCTCGGTGGGTAGCAGCTTCCCTGAAACCAGTGGTGCTTCTCATTCAGTCCCTGCAGGCTGAGAAGCAGCCTGAAGGATCTCCACTGCTTCCAGGCGAGGCCCCAGGGATCTGCTGAGAATCTGGCTGGTTGGCTTGCCAGGAAACATCACTGTGAGTGTGAAGTGTCCCAGCCTTTGAGGGCCGCACGCCCACTGCCCAGGCAAGGGCTGAATGGGAGCTTCAGAACTCAGGAGATCACAGTGTGGGCGAGCCTAGGCTGCAGGACGGAGCCACAGCAAGGGTGACACAGGTTGCCAGTGCCCTGTGGAGGACACCACAGAACCCCACGGCAGCCCGGGCCTGCCGCGCCTGCACTGTCACCCACTTGGGGTGGAGCATTCTTCTCTGCAACCAGCTATAGGAAATACATAGTCTTATAATCTTTGTCCACCTGAGGAATTACAGATGGTCCCTGGCTCCTGGTGCCTCAATTTATGATTTTTTGACTTTATGATGGTTTGAAATATTGGCAGTTTTGATGAATGTACAGTATTCAATATATCATGTGAGGTATTCAACATTTTATGATAAAATGGGCTTCGTGTGGCATGATTTTGCCCAATTGTAGGCTAACCTGAGTGTTCTGAGCATGTTTAAGGTCCACTAGGCTAAGCTAGGATGTTCGGTAGCTTAGGTGTGTCAAATGCATTTTCAACTTACGATATTTTCAACTTGGAATGGGTTTACCTGGATGCAACCCCCATGTAACTCGAGGAGCACCTGTATGCGTCAATTGCCTTCACCCTCTAACAGGGTGGGTGTGAGGGCTGCCATGTCAGAGAAAGCAGGCCTGGAATGGCGGTCAGAAGAGGATTCTGGAAATTCTGAGGTTTCCTAACAAGGCCCCAGTCATGGCAGGAGGCTCTGAGGGCTCCACTGGGGCCGGAGAGGCTGCTTCCAGGCTCTCTCTGGCGTCCCTTGCTGGGGCTCCAGGCCTTCTCCAGCTGCTGGTGGCAGACCTGGATCACAGGGCTGCTCAGTACAAGGCAGCTGGCTTTTCCCAGAGCAAGGGCTCTGAAGGGGAGGGAACAAGAGAAGGCGGGCAAGGTGGGGGGCACAGGCGTTTTGTAGCCAAATAATCTTGGAAGGGACAGCCCATTACCTTTGCCAGATTCTACTTAGTTGAAGCCAGTCCCTAGGTGACAGGAATCACGAAGGCCATTGGAGAGGCTGCCTGCCCTACGGGATTGCAGAGGGGACGAGGCCCAGCAAAGTCTGTGGAGCTGGAGGATGCCACGCCCATTCAGGACGAAATGCAGAAGGACGCTGCAGAGCCTGCTTCTCTGTTCCTTCGCCTCACTGGGGCAGACCAGCTGCGGCCAGCCTGTGCCCACTCCTCGCGGACCTGGGTACTGCTTCCAGAGATCCTTCAGTCCTGGGAGTTTAATCATTCTGTCCCGGCCTCTTTGCTCCCAGCCCTCCCCTGGCAGTTGCTGCTCTATTGTTCTAGCTCAGTTTTCACTTTTTGCCCTTGCAATGCACAAGGGTTAGCAATTCTTGATGGTACAGTCTCTCTGTTCGAAGAGCTGGGGTGGTTTCTACTTCTAGCTGGACCCTGAGTGATCCTTCAGGCAGGGGTCTCTGCGACTGGAGACATGCTGTGTGCATGAGGTCCCATGTACACTCAGATTGCATCCCCCATCCCTGCCCAGCCCTGAGAGGCAGGCGAGACAGTCCCCCTCTCACCATCTCTGGGGTGGGCCTGGATTTATTGGCTGAAGAATTACACCCTCTTTGATGGTATGCAGTTTAATTCCGTAGATCAAAGCTATGTCTAGATTTTAAATAAATGATAGGGATTTAAAATTGTATATAAAACACAGTCATTGTATCTTGCTTTCTTTGGGTATGTATTCTTTCTTTAATTGAGCAGGCAAAGAATTTTAAGAGAAAAATATAAAATGCAGCTATAGTATTATTAATCTGATCTTGCTATTTGAAAGAATCTAGGTCAGTTATGTTTTGAGCTATTACTGTTGAGTCCTGTGCATTGATTATATAATCTTTTATTATTATTATTATACTTTAAGTTCTAGGGTACATGTGCACAGTGTGCAGGTTTGTTACATATGTATACATGTGCCATGTTGGTGTGCTGCACCCATTAACTCGCCATTTACATTAGGTATATCTCCTAATGCTACCCCTCCCCCCACCCCATGACAGGCCCCGGTGTGTGATGTTCCCCACTCTGTGTCCAAGTGTTCTCATTGTTCAATTCCCATTCCCACCTATGAGTGAGAACATGTGGTGTTTGGTTTTCTGTCCTTGTGATACGTTGCTGAGAATGATGGTTTCCAGCTTCATCCATGTCCCTACAAAGGACATGAACTCATCCTTTTTTATGGCTGCAAAGTATTCCATGGTGTATATATGCCACGTTTTCTTAATCCAGTCTATCATTGATGGACATTTGGGTTGGTTCCAAGTCTTTGCTATTGTGAATAGTGCTGCAATAAACATACGTGTGCATGTGTCTTTATAGCAGCTTGATTTATAATCCTTTGGGTATATACCCAGTAATGGGATGGCTGGGTCAAATGGTATTTCTAGTTCTAGATCCTTGAGGAATTGCCACACTGACTTCCACAATGGTTGAACTAGTTTACAGTCCCACCAACAGTGTAAAAGTGTTCCTATTTCTCCACATCCTCTCCAGTACCTGTTGTTTCCTGACTTTTTAATGATCGCCATTCTAACTGGTGTGAGATGGTATCTCATTGTGATTTTGATTTACGTTTTTGCGATGGCCAGTGATGATGAGCATTTTTTCATGTGTCTATTGGCTGCATAAATGTCTTCTTTTGAGAAGTGTCTGTTCATATACTTCACCCACTTTTTGATGGGGTTGTTTGATTTTTTCTTGTAAATTTGTTTAAGTTCTTTGTAGATTCTGAATATTAGCCCGTTGTCAGATGGGTAGATTGTAAAAATTTTCTCCCACTCTGTAGGTTGCCTGTTCACTCTGATGGTAGTTTCTTTTGCTGGGCAGAAGCTCTTTAGTTTAATTAGATCCCATTTGTCAATTTTGGCTTTTGTTGCCGTTGCTTTTGGTGTTTTAGTCATGAAGTCCTTGCCCATGCCTATGTCCTGAATGGTATTGTCTAGGTTTTCTTCTAGGGTTTTTATGGTTTTAGGTCTAACATTTGAGTCTTTAATCCATCTTGAATTAATTTTTGTATAAGATGTAAGGAAGGGATCCAGTTCCAGCTTTCTACATATGGCTAGCCAGTTTTCCCAGCACCATTTATTAAATAGGGAATCCTTTCCCCATTTCTTGTTTTTGTCAGGTTTGTCAAAGATCAGATGGCTGTAGATGTGTGGTATTATTTCTGAGGGCTCTGTTCTGTTCCATTGGTCTATAGCTCTGTTTTGGTACCAGTACCATACTGTTTTGGTTACTGTAGCCTTGTAGTATAGTTTGAAGTCAGGTAGCATGATGCCTCCAGCTTTGTTCTTTTGGCTTAGGATTGTCTTGGCAATGCAGGCCCTTTTTTGGTTCCATATGAACTTTAAAGTAGTTTTTTCCAATTCTGTGAAGAAAGTCATTGGTAGCTTGATGGGAATGGCATTGAATCTATAAATTACCTTGGGCAGTATGGCCATTTTCATGATATTGATTCTTCCTATCCATGAGCATGGAATGCTCTTCCATTTGTTTGTGTCCTCTTTGATTTCGTTGAGCCATGGTTTATAGTTCTCCTTGAAGAAGTCCTTCACATCCCTTGTAAATTGGATTCCTAGGTGTTTTATTCTCTTTGAAGCAATTGTGAATGGGAGTTCACTCATGATTTGGCTGTTTGTCTGTTTTTGGTGTATAGGAATGCTTGTGATTTTTGCACATTGATTTTGTATCCTGAGACTTTGCTGAAGTCGCTTATCAGCTTAAGGAGATTTTGGGCTAAGACGATGGGGTTTTCTAAATATACAATCATGTCATCTGCAAACAGGGACAATTTGACTTCCTCTTTTCCTAGTTCAATACCCTTTATTTCTTTCTCCTGCCTGATTGCCCTGGCCAGAACTTCCAACACTATGTTGAATAAGAGTGGTGAGAGAGGGCATCCCTGTCTTGTGCCAGTTTTCAAAGGGAATGCTTCCAGTTTTTGCCTATTCAGTATGATATTGGCTGTGGGTTTGTCATAAATAGCTCTTATTATTTTGAGATACATCCCATCAATACCTAGTTTATTGAGAGTTTTTAGCATGAAGGGCTGTTGACTTTTGTTGAAGGCCTTTTCTGCATCTATTGAGATAATCATGTGGTTTTTGTCTTTGGTTCTGTTTATATGATGGATTACATTTATTGATTTGCATATGTTGAACCAGCCTTGCCTCCCAGGGATGAAGCCAACTTGATTGTGGTGGATAAGCTTTTTGATGGGTAAGCTTTTTGATGTGCTGCTGGATTCGATTTGCCAGTATTTTATTGAGGATTTTTGCCTCAATGTTCTTCAGGGATATTGGTCTAAAATTCTCTTTTTTTGTTGTGTCTCTGTCAGGCTTTGGTATCAGGATGATGCTGGCCTCATAAAATGAGTTAGGGAGGATTCCCTTTTTCTATTGATTGGAATAGTTTCAGAAGGAATGGTACCAGCTCCTCCTTGTACCTCTGGTAGAATTCTGCTGTGAATCCGTCTGGTCCTGGACTCTTTTTGGTTGGTAGGCTATTAATTATTGCCTCAATTTCAGAGCCTGTTATTGGTCTATTCAGGGATTCAACTTCTTTCTGGTTTAGTCTTGGGAGGGCGTATGAGTCCAGGAATTTATCCATTTCTTCTAGATTTCCTAGTTTATTTGCGTAGAGGTGTTTGTAGTATTCTCTGATGGTAGTTTGTATTTCTGTGGGATCGGTGGTGATATCCCCTTTATCATTTTTTATTGCGTCCATTTGATTCTTCTCTCTTTTCTTCTTTATTAGTCTTGCTAGTGGTCTATCAATTTTGTTGATCCTTTCAAAAAACCAGCTCCTGGATTCATTGATTTTTTGAAGGGTTTTTTGTGTCTCTATCTCCTTCAGTTCTGATCTGATCTTAGTTATTTCTTGCCTTCTGCTAGCTTTTGAATGTGTTTGCTCTTGCTTCTCTAGTTCTTTTAATTGTGATGTTATGGTGTCAATTTTAGATCTTTCCTGCTTTCTCTTGTGGGCATTTAATGCTATACATTTCCCTCTACACACTGCTTTAAATGTGTCCCAGAGATTCTGGTATGTTGTGTCTTGGTTCCCATTGGTTTCAAAGAACATCTTTATTTCTGCCTTCATTTCGTTATGTACCCAGTAGTCATTCAGGAGCATATTTTTCAGTTTCCATGTAGTTGAGCAGTTTTAAGTGAGTTTCTTAATCTTGAGTCCTAGTTTGATTGCACTGTGGTCTGAGAGACAGTTTGTTATAATTTCTCTTCTTTTACATTTGCTGAGGAATGCTTTACTTCCAACTATGTGGTCAATTTAGGAATAAGTGTGATGTGGTGCTGAGAAGAATGTATATTCTGTTGATTTGGGGTGGAGAGTTCTGTAGATGTCTATTAGGTCCGCTTGGTGCAGAGCTGAGTTCAATATGCTGGTTAACTTTCTGTCTTGTTGATCTATCTAATGTTGACAGTAGGGTGTTAAAGTCTCCCGTTATTATTGTGTGGGAGTCTAAGTCTCTTTGTAGGTCTCTAAGGGTATGAATTTGGGTGCTCCTGTATTGGGTGCATATATATTTAGGATAGTTAGCTCTTCTTGTTGAATTGGGGATTGCTGGGAGAACCACTAATCTCTTCAAAGCTGTCAGACAGGGATGTTTAAGTCTGCAGAAGTTTCTGCTGCCTTTTGTTCAGCTATGCCCTGCCCCCAGAGGTGGAGTCTACAGAGGTCGGCAGGCCTCTTTGAGCTGCGGTGGGCTCCACCCAGTTTGAGCTTCCCGGCAGCTTTGTTTACCTACTCAAGCCTCAGCAATGGCAGATGCCATTGCTCAAGGCCACACAGCTGCGAGTGGAGCCCACTGCCTCTGCTCCTCCACTGCTCCACACTGCCCTGCAAAAAGGAGGAGGCCAGTCTCGTTTCTTGGGGAAGGTGGGGGCTTAAGACCCCAGGGCCGAGTTGCTCCACTGTTTGGGAGCATTTGCTTCAATCTGGGAATTCAATCATCTGGGAATTATTTAAAAGAGGTGTAGAGGCCTTGAAAAATCTCAGCTTGGGTTGACTGGGGGAGGGAGAGGGACAGTGTCCTGTGTTTTCCATTTTCTTTTTTTTTTTTTTGAACTTTTATTTTAGGTTCAAGGGTACATATGTAGATTTGTTATATAGATAAACTGTGTGTCACGGGAGGTTGCTGTAAAGACTGCTTTGTCACTCAGGTGATAAGCACAGTTCAGACAGGTAGTTTTTCTGCTCCTTTCCCTCCTCCCACTCTCCACTCTCAAGGAGGCCCCAGTGTGTGTTGTTCCCCTCTTGGTGTGTCCATGTGTTATCATTTAGCTCCCATTTATAAGTGAGAACATACATGTGGTATTTGGGTCTCCTGCATTACTCTGCTAAGGATAATGGGCTCCAGTTCCATCCACATTCCCACAAAGGACATGATCTCATTCTTTTTTATGGCTGCATAGTATTCCCTGGTGTATATGTAACACATTTTCTTTATCCAGTCTACTGTTGATGGGCATTTAGGTTGGTTCCATATCTTTGCTATTGTGAATAGTGCTGCAATTAACGTATGTGTTCATGTGTCTTTATGATAGAACAATTTATATTCTTTGGGGTATATACCCAGAAATAGGATTGCTGGGTTGAATGGTAGTTCTGTTCTTTGAGGAATCACCACACTGCTTTCCACAATGGCTGAGATAATTTATACTCCCATGAACAGTGTATAAGTGTTTCCTATTCTCCACAACCTCACCAGGGTTTGTTTTTTTTTTTTTGTCTTTTAAATAATAGTCATTCTGCAGGCTGGGCACAGTGGCTTACACCTGTAATCCCAGCACTTTGGGAGGCTGAGGTGGATCACGAGGCCAGGAGTTCAAGAGCAGGCTGGCCAACGTGGTGAAACCCCGTCTCTACTAAAAATACAAAAATTAGCCAGGCGTGGTGGTGGGCGCCTGTAATCCCAGCTACTTGGGAGGCTGAGGCAGGAGAATCCCTTGAAACTGGAAGGCAGAGGTTGCAGTGAGTGGAGATTGCGCTGCTGCACTCCAGTCCAGGCAAAAGAGCGAAACTCAGTCTCAAAAAAAAAAAAAAAAAAAATAGGCATTTTGATTGGTGTGCAATGGTATCTCATTGTGGTTTTGATTTGCATTTCTCTAATGCTTAGTGATATTCAGCATTTTTTCATATGCTTTTTGGCCGCATGTATGTCTTCTTTTGAGAAGTGTCTGTTTATGTCTTTTGCCCACTTCTGAATGGGGTTGTTTTTTGCTTGTACATTTGTTTAAGTTCCTTATAGATGCTGGATATTAGATCTTTGTCAGATGCATAGTTTGCAAATATCTTCTCCTACTCTTAGGTTGTCTGTTTATTCTGTTGATTTGCTGTGCAGAAGTGCTTTAGTTTTATTAGATTCCATTTGTCAATTTTTGTTTTTGTTGCAATTGCTTTGGCATCTTTATCATGAAATATTTCCAAGTTCTATGTCCAGAATGGTATTTACTAAGGTGTCTTCCAGGGTGTTTATAGTTTTAGATTTTCCCTTTAAGTCTTTACTTCATCTAGAGTTGATTTTTGTATATGGTGTAAGGTAGGGGTCCAGTTTCAATTTTCTGCATATGGCTAGCCAGCTATCCCAGCACCATTTATTGAAAGGAAGTCCTTTCCCCATTGCTTGTTTTTGTCAGCTTTGTTGAAGATCAGATGGTTGTAGGTGTTCAGCCTTATTTCTGGGCTCTCTATTCTGTTCCATTGTGTCCTGTATTTTCAGTGAGGGAGACAAGACGCTGAGCTTACACAGCCCCACTCCCTCCAGAGCTACACGCCAGGGACCCCTGCCCAGACCTGCCTGGAATGGCTGCTCCTGTGTTGGCCTCCAGCTCAGCCGTGCATGGATACAGGAAGACCAATAGCCAGAGGCTGAAGGGCCATAGGAAGGATGCTGGGGCAGCATCAGCTCCGTGGAGGGGCCCATGGACCACTCTTACATTTAAATCCATCTGCCAGTCAGGAACAAGTTCACTTCCATAACACAACTTTATTGTGTTTACACAGTTAAACACAGCCCATGTGTTCACTGTAGACACAGAACTGCTGTGAAAGGACTGCCCGTTTCTAGGCTTTTCCATGAAGATTAATATGCCACTTGTTTGTTCCCTGTGTCCGTCTGCTAGCATTGGCCAGTCAGCGGCGGGTTAAGAACTCACCAGGGAGAAACTTAAATTGGAGAAAAAAAAATTCTAGTAGATACTGTCTGGCTACTCACCCAGCTTCCACCACCTTTTCTGCTGTCTCAAGAACCCAGATATTTTTTGTCGTGGTCCCCCCAGTCCTCTCTCGTTAGAGGCCCCAGGAAGAGCCCTCAAAGGCGGAGCTCTCCAGACACTGTCATGAGCAAATGCGAGCCCAGGACAGCCGTGGCCACCCGGCAACACACCTTGTGGAGGGAAGTGTGCACCACTCAGGGGGACTGAGGGACCAGAGCAGGTGCCATGGGAGATGCCCACCCTGCAGCCCCTGGCCTCCGCTTAAACCGGTTTGAGCTGGACTTCCTATTACCTGCAGCTGAAGCATTTTGACTGCTACAGTTCTACTCATCTTCTTGTCTCTCTTACGCTGGTCAAACGCAAGTTAACATGGGTTCCAGCTGGATGCCGAGTTGAACTCTGCGTTTGCACTCCTGCTGCACCCGCCGTGGCACACTCAGCCAGGGGCCTGTGCTGCTTCTCTCTGCCTGGAAGGGGCATGGCTACATGTGGGATCCCCCTCAAGCAGACTGCAATGAGGACTTGGGTGCATGAAGTGATCCGAGGAAGGGCAGGGCAGGGGTGGAGGTGGAGGGGGAGGCAGGGGAGGGAGACAGGTCCATGAATGAGGGGTTTCCACTGCGGGCAATGGGCTCAACCCACTGGGCCCTCAGGGAGACTGTGGGACACAGGCCTCCAATGTCCCCACTGGAGAGGGCGGAGGTGAGCATTTCTACAGACTCCCATCCCCATGGATGAAGGGGCCCTGGGGCACAGACTCCCCTGGCATAGCCGACCTGTGCTTGCAAGTGGGAGGGATATTCCCAAGGTGGCAGGGAAGAAAAGAATAATCGAGAAGCAGGCTAGTAGGTATCTCCTGTCCTGCAGGAGAGCTGGGTGGCTGGGGCTCTGGATGGGACATCACAGCCTCTGCTTAATCACGGAAGCCTCAATTTTCTTATCTGTGAAATGAGGCTAATGTTTGGGGTACATACCTGGCAGGGCCAATGTGACAAGAAGCAATAATAAATGTACTTCCTGGCATACAGCAGGGGCTCTGTAAGTGCTGATCCTGTCAGTGGCAGCTCCTTAAGGAAAGCAGCTGCCTCAGTTATGGTGCCAAATGCTGTGTGCCAGGCTCTGCTCTCCCTCTGCCACCTCTACCCCACCTCTTCCTCCTGAATCTATGAGTGGCCCGGGGCTCCAGGCAAATTAGGCTTTAGCACCCCGAGCTGGCCCACTGGCCTAGAGGCCAGGCCACTGTCCTGAGGTGTCCTGACAAAGGCTGTGGGGGCCACATGAGGCAGCCAGGCCAGGCAGGTGCCCCTGCTTGGTGTCTGCAGCCCGGGCCCAGGTTGATCTGCAGGGTCACTGCCAGCTGCCGGTGCCCACAGACCGCGCCACTTGGCCCTCTGACCTGAGCAACCGCCTGCTGCCTTCCATGGGAGGCCTAGCCGCCTGACCTTTCCTTCCCAAAGTCATTTTCCGTTCTGCTGTGTTATTGGCCAGGCCTGAAACGCTCCTCTGAGGGAGTGGGAAGGACCGTTCTGAGGCTTGTCATTGTTTCAGGATCAGGTTGCCTCAGCCTCAAAATCTGACAGAAACCAGAACTTCCTCTGAGTCACCCACACCCATGACAGGGGCCTCGGGTGGAGGGTGAGGCTGGGGTGGGGGGCGGGGGCTCTCTCAGCCCGTCTGGGCCTAGAAGGCCTCAGCGGTGCCCTCCCCCTGGCAGCCCAGCTCCAATTTTGCAGCTCTGGCCAAGCACCAAGCTGGCATGAGGGTCTGGACCTCAGCCTGAGCCCTGCGCAGCCTGAGCCAACTTAGAGGGCAAGGTGGGAAGGAGGTGGCCCCTCTCAGACAGGAGAATGCAACTGCTCCTGCCACGGAGCCAGGGGAAGGAGGCTTTGGGGTTTGGGATGAATGCTGCCAAAGGCCGCAGGAAGCCCCTTCACATCTTCCTGAAGGCGGATGAGGGAACCCCAGGACCCAGCACTCACTTCCTAAGTCTCCAGCCCCATATCCAAGACGGGGCCGGGGCGTGAGGACCCCTGCACAGCTCACCACTCGGGCCCTCTCTAAACAGCCTCCTGGACATCTGTGTCCCCTGTGTCCTTTGAGGAGGAAGGAAGCCGCTCCCTGGAAGAAGTTGGCTCTGGCCTCAGACATGCATCTCCTGTCAACAAATGAAAGCCCCGCCACTCATCAGCTCCGCTGTCGGTTGGGAACCTGCAACCGCCTCTGGCTCTCCGTCTGTACAGCCGGGGGTCCTGGCCCCATCCCCGCCTCAGGCTAGCTGGCTGTGGATTCCATGCCAAGACACACCGCCCAGACACATCTCCAGCCAGCAGGAGGCTACGGTGCCACGTTCAGGCTCTGCCAGTGCTTCTAGGTCCTCCGAATGTCCTCAGGTGGAGAGCCTGGGCCACTCCTCCTATGTGCTCCTTGTTCTTCCACCTCAGAGTGGCCAAAGGAGGGGCTCTGGTTCCCAGCCCTGGGCCCCAGGAGGAGGGCCTGTCTGTCCCTTTCCTGCCGCTCAGCCTTTCCCATAGTGCAGCCTTTGAGGACCTCAGCTGAATCCCACCTGCCTGCCCTCCACGGGCCACAGCCCTTCCTCACGGTCACCTGCATTAAGCACCTACTGTATACCCAGGGCTGTGTCCCATGAAAACAGAGCAGATGTAAGAGCCAGGTCTTTGGTCACGGCGCCAGCATCTGAAAAGCATTTGCAGTTTGAGAAACATTTGACCCTCATGGTCACTTCCAGGTGCGCAGAGTCCAGGAACTGTCCCGTTTTCCAGATGAGGAAATGGATGCTTTTGAGAGTCACGTCACATGCACGGAGCACAGGTGTGCCCGAGGCCGCGCCCCGCAGCAGAGCTGGGATTAGAATCTAGCTGTTTTGGAGCCATCGTCTTTTCCGTGATGTTCTGAGGGGCCTCTCTGTTTCTTTTGAGGAGTTTCATGCTGATTATTGAGACAAGGTGGTTCAGGCAAGACCGCTCTCGAGCATGGACGCAGGCACGTAAAAGTTCATGCACAATCACACCACAGGCATTCCAGAGCACCTCAGACGGGAGGGGCCTGCGGGAGGGTAAAGTCAGAGGGCCTGGGCGGGCGGCAGATGCAGTGATGAGGAGAGAGCATCCCGGGGAGCTACTCTGGGGATCGGCGTGGGAGGCTGGACGAAGCAGCGTGGACGGAGCACAGATGTGGTCACAGGCCACACCCTGCAGCAGGTCAGGCTGGGCTGGTGTTAGAGTCAAGAATGGGAGGCTTGGGACTGTGGTCTGTGCTGCAGGGTGATGGTATCACAGCAGGTTTTGACCTGGGAGGTGACTCCCTGAATGCATTCAGTCTGGAGTAGCCTGGGAAGTGGCGAAGGGAAAGGGTCTCCAATGAGAGTAACTGCTGTTGCCCAGCTGGCAGGTGAAGAGGGCCTGGAAATTGGATTTTAAAACTTAGAGTCAACCCGATGATTCAGTAACAAGTGGGGCACATCTGGCTTGTAATAATAATAACCCCTTCTGCACTGCAAAGGTCTCTATGCACCACGCACTGTTTTCTCCTCTTGTGCCTACGGGAAAGACGTTACCATCTTTCATGGCAGCTCATCACCTTCAGCAACCTCTGGAAGGACCCCACAAGCCCTCGCCTTGCACTGAGGGTGGCCCCACACCTGTCTGCCTAGGCTATTTGGGGGTCTCTGCACCCAGACC